>NC_000016.10:82630682-83255682 GCF_000001405.40 Homo sapiens | reverse complement strand
AATTCCGTATTTATCCTAGCAGGCCAGGAAAACAACAGGTCTAGATGCCAAGAGGACGATTTTCAAAAGTTAAATGAGACATTGATGTTTGGGCCAGCACAGCCCTTGTAGAAAGAGCCAAGCTGGAGCAGGGAGGTAATCAAGTCTGCGGGACACGTAGCCCATTCTTTACTGGACATCATGGTAGGGACGTTCTCATGTGGAGTAAGTGCCAAATCACTGAATATGCTCATGAAGACATTTTCCAGCATTTAAGAGACTTAATAGTCTTTTATCTGTGGGAAAGCCATTTTCTGCAGGCGTTCCTAATTTTCTAATGCAAGCACAAATACACTCCTTGCAACCAGCCGTAGTTCAAACCTGGAGGATGGAGCAGGAGGCCCGGCAGTTTGGGGCATCTCTCCACTTGTCTTTTTAATTGCCAAGCCTACCATCATGGCCACATAGTCCATGCTGGAGAAGTTATAATGTGCCCATACTTGGCACAATTAGTTTCAAGGACTGAATTCTCAGCCTTTTCAATAGTCAATTTATTCTAGAGTCAGTATTTTTTTATTAAAAATAATAGCAGAGGTTTTGTGCATTCCTGCTGCTTCACGAGCCATCTGTCACAGACACCTTGGGCAAAGAAGCTTCAAAATGCATGAGGAGCACTGATCAGCTGCAAAAAAGAAAGAAAGAAAGAAAGAAAGAAAGAAAGAAAGAAAGAAAGAAAGAAAGAAAGAAAGAAAGAGAAAAAGAAAAAATCCAAGAAAGAGCTTGTCTCTTGTTTTTAGACAGATGAGTTTTAGCATCTCATCTAGCATTTCCCCTAGTAGGGACCATTTTTACAAGGAATTTAATTGATCTTATTAGGCTTGGTACAGGAATCAGTTATCTTTATGGTTACAGTCAGCCAATAGGCAAAGCTAGGGAGTCTGAAATTGGAAGCAGCACAGTAAAGCTAAGCAAAATCCTGGAGAATTATTGAACAGATTCAAGGTTCAACTTTTTAAAAATTTATTTATACCCCACATCAATCCATACTGGATTTGCGGTGGCTTGCACAACTAAGCACAATAAGGCAGAAGTACAAGCAGATAAAAACAAGGATCAGAGAAAAAAGAAAAGGAGGAGGAGATGGTGACAGCATGCCAGCCACAGGGGATCCTGTCCATAGAGTCATTATGGTAGAACCACACATTTGATCCTGCGTGCCTTGTTGGCTGAGGTAAAAAGGAGAAATATGGCCAGTGAATAATCCATTTTGCTCATGGTGATGGTGGTGAGGAAGAACACCTGAAACTTTCTCAAACAGGTTCCTCAATCTTAGGTCTGAAGACACTCTGTGCATGAGGCTTCCAAGAGGACCTTGGCACCATGAGCCCTGAATCTCATTTTAAGGAACGATCATGATGCTAAGCAGTGAGCTATACGCTTTCTTATGCACCATACAGCAGCTCCGTGACTTCGCTGTGGTTCCCAATCCCCAGGTGGGGAGGCTAATTTGCACAGGGTCACAGGACTCATAACCACCTGATGCCTGGATTTAAGCCCCTAACTCCAGGGTGCTTGGCTTGCTACCACACTTCGGAGTGTTATCTGTCTTGCTTCCATCTTTGGGTCAAAGGAACACTGCGGCGTCTTGTCCTTCTCTCAGGAACACCAGCCAGATCCAGGAGCAAGACATTCTCTTGGCCTCACGGTGCTGGCTCTCTATCTAAGATTGACTCTGGGCAGACGGTTATGACTGCAAGAGTTTGGGAACATTAAATCCCATTACATCTGCACGTCCTATGTATATTTGTGTGTCTGTTCATGTGTATACCTAGAAAGTACTGAATGCCCCCACTTTCCTAATTATATTAATATATTACATGGATGTGCCTGCACATGTCCACAGGCAGCTGTGTGTACATAATGACAAATCTAAGTGAAAATAATGGTAATAATTGCTAACAGAACACTGAGAACAGTGCCAGCCCCTGTCTAAGCATGTCCTGTGTATTAACTCACATGATCTTAAGAGTATTTGCAGAAGGGCAGTAGCCTGCTCTGTCAACCCCTAGCAAAATGACACCTGGAGGGCAACCAGGCTTGCAAAGCACCCCCGAAGGGCTGAGCAGCCCCTGAGGTTGACAGCTCATCAACTCCCTCAGCTCAGCCAGCTTTCACGTTGTCAGACCTGCTTAATGGCAGAAGGCACAGGTATCTTGTGGCGAATGTGCCTGGTTCTCTCAACACGACCACACAGATTTTGCCTTGGACACTGGCTGCTTCTTACTTTGATCAAGATGACTGATCGCTAAGAAACCTGGGCAGTTGAGGCGGCTTTCTAGAGCCACACTCACGCAATGCTCTGAGGTTTAATGTGTCGAATCCACTGCAGGTGCGACTAATGTCAGGTACCCCGCCCTAGCAGCACCAGAGAGGGAGTCCCACCCCCAACAAACAAGTCTTATAGGAAGCCTTTTACGGAATCATAAAATAGAAAAATAAATCCATCTTGGAGGACTTTGATACCAAAAAATGCAACTTTTCAAATGCAGCTTGATTTGAAGCCTTTGCCTTGTTATTTTACTTTGAGGAGGACACCACCACCAGATTAGTAAGAGTTACAATCTCCACTATTTATTGAGTACTTACTCTGTGCCAGGTGCTGTGCTAAGGGTTTGGCACGCAATACCTCAATTCTCTTAGTACCCTATAAAATAGGTATAATGATGAGACACACTTTAGAAGAGAGGACACAGAGGTTCAGAAAGTTAATTAAGGTCAACCATCCAAGGACACAGGTAGGATTTGAAAACAAGTTGCTCTGACTCAGGAGTCCCATGATGTTAACTCTGTACGCTTATTCTTGATGGTATGGATTTTTGGGGCTAGGAAATTCCTTATTGGGGTGGGGGGCAGGCTGTGCTGTGAACGGTAGGATACTGAGCAGCATTCCTACACATTAGAAGTCAGGCGCACTCCTCCCTAGTCATGACACTCAAAAACATCTCCACCAAGTGTCTTCTAAGAAGGTAATCACCTTCGCCCCAGGTTGGCCCTTAATCCATGTGCTGAGCTTCCCACTGTGGCTGAGACACCAACGGCCAGCACTTGGTGACATCATACAACTGCTTGCAACATGTCACTTGGCTCAGCCTAAGCCCCCTTCCATTCTTAGCATGAGGAAAGATAACGGAATTCACTTTAAGAATAGGCGTGCTCCTAAAATGTTCTCCATAAGCACAAGGAAGATATAATGGTTTTAAGGTCACCATCTTTGGTTAATAAAATCTTATTTTCCCCATTTGCATTCATTAGGAAGTTATGGCCATGATTATATTAACCATAACATCCTAATAAATTCTTGCCTAAAGATGCACATGTACCCTAAAACTTAAAGTATAATAAAAATAAATAAATAAAAATGAAAAAAAAAAAGAAAAAAAAGATGTAGCAAACACATCAAGAGAATCTAAAAAATGCCAGTCAAATCTTAAAATAAAAATGCATTAGGGGTGGGGAGACTTCCAGGCATGCCTAGCACAGTAACTTAAAGATATATATATATATACATATATATGTGTGTGTGTGTGTGTGTGTGTATAATATATATATACATATATACATATATACTATATATATATATTTATTTAAAAAAGAGGTAAAAGCTGGGATAATCTCGGAGCTTAAAAATCCAATGCATCCCGGGGATCAGTCAATACAGGACACTGCTGACCTATAAGGGTCTTTGTAGGGATTAGAAAGAGGCACTCCCTCAGGGGCTATAGATTAAACTTTTAAAAAGCTCAGCTTGGTGAGGGGAAGGCCTCTTTGTGTGAAGAAGAATGTTCCCTGCCTCTAGGTGGACCCAGCCCTGCTACCTCTGCCAGGTGACTTTGCAGGGTACCCTGATTTTGGGTTGCCTGATGGCACAAAGCCCCTGCCTGCCATCAGACTGTGATTCCCAAGGTGGAAAGACAAGGTCTACCTTTCTCAGCGTAGCTATTCAGATGTCAGAGGCTTGGCTTGTCAACGAAGGCCTACGCCAATGGCCACAGACCATCCTGCAGGAGAGACAGGTGATGTGCCTTCTCTAGAACTGGCCCCACCCTCTGCTGCCTCCTGACATTCAGGATTCAGTCACCTCCAGATTGGACCCATCAGAATGAGGACAGAACAGACATGTGTCCCATAGGGCTGAGGTTGGGAATCTCAGCTTTGGAGACAGACCATCTGGAATGATTCTGGCCTCACCACTTACCAGCTGGGTAACTGTGCAAATCCCTTAATTTCTAAGAGCCTCAGGTGCCTTCTCTTTAAAATGGGGCAATGCTAGAACTCACAATTTTCTTGTAAGGATAACGTGATAATTCATGTAAAATACTTAACATGATGTCTGGTACCTAATAAAACACTTAAATAGAGCTTTTTCTCTCATTACACTTTCTATTTTGAGATCATTGTTGATTCACACACAGTTGTAAGAAATAGTGCCCAGAGATCCTATATACCCTTTACCCATTTTCCCCCAATGGCAATATCTTACAAATCTATGAAATGACTTCCCAACTAGGATACAATCAAGATGTGAAACAGTTCCATCTCCATCAGGAAGTTCCTGGGTTGTGGCTTTCATTATCCTCCAAAGTCAGCCATGGCTGAATATATTGGAGAAGGTTGGCTGGGGGATGAGGAGCAGGAGAAAAACCTTTACCGAACCACCGAGCATATAAACCATATTTTAAAAGTCTCTTCCCCCAATGTTTAAACAGATAAATACTTCCATATAGTTCAATACTTCATGTTTGCATAACAGTGTCACTGGTTTTGCAACAAAGAATTTAAGTCACTCCCATATCACTTGAAGAAAGAAAGAGTGCAGCTTAGACTCCTAAGCACAGATGGGAAAGTCTGTATCCTGCCTGGAATTCTACAGTGCTTCCTATGTGCACTTAGAATAAATCCCAACTCATAACCTCTGAGACTCTGTATCATCTGGGTCCTGCTTTCCTCTTGGATTTATTCACTAAACAATCCTATCTCCCTTATTTCACTTCTACCACCACGACCAACTCTCTATTTCTTGATTACTCCAAGGTTGCTGGAGTCTCCAAACTGTTCCCTCGACTGGGTGCGTCTCAGTGCATACCTCTGCATGGCTGGTTCCTTATGAACGCTCGCTTCTCTGCTCAAACACCTTGTCAGCTCTGTTTCAGCAGAGCCTCTGACTGCATACTTCTGCTATCACTTCCTTTCCCTAGGGCTCATCACGCCCCGAAATTCTGGTTTTATTTATTTTTTATCCTATCTTCCCTAACTAGAATGTGAACCGTGAAAGCTAAGATCTTGCCTATATTCTTCATCCCTCTAATCTCAACACTTGGAACGGTGGCTGGCATAAATCAGGTGTTCTTTGAATATTAAATTAATGAATGAAAAAGTAAAAAGGAGGAAAAATGACTTTTTTGAATGCTCATTGGGTCAATGAGTTTTTTTTCTGATAGTGGCAATCTGAATATTTATTCAGGTTTATAAACAAAATCTAATCTAGACCAAAATTGTTTTATTTTAAACATAGCAATAATTCACAATTACTGTTGCTCTGACACCCATGGGTATGGTCATTTGGCTAAAGGATTTGCAACTAAAGGTCTTGGATAACTCATTAACTTAGGATCTGTTGTCTCTCATTACACTCCTATTGCAATGAAACAACTACTTGGTTGGTTACCAATAGGGCTATTTTGGGGAGATTGTTAGTCAAACATTTGTAGAAAGAATTTAAAGTTCAAATATTATTCAATTAACACATGAGGACCATCATGAGAAGCTATCATCCAAACAGAAAACTGGGCCTGTCTTATGAGCAGTTTTTTTGGTAAATGATCTGTAACACCAACGTCAAAGCTTCCAAATCCTGTTTGTTCCAAGAAAGAAAAACGTGCAAAGTCTGATCCATCACAGTTACCAGTAGCATTGTCTTAGAATGGACATGAATTGGAGACAGACATATCCCTAATATGGGGAAAAATACCCCCAGCCAGGTTTCTGCTACAAATCTACTTCGATGGCATGGACCTGCTCTCAGACACACGGTGTCAGATCTTACCTCTCTGAGTGCCCATTTGCCTTACCTGTAAAACAGATAGAATGATGGCACCTTTCTCATGAAGTAGCTATTGGGATTAAATGAGATAAATCAGTGAAGTTTTATCAGAGTGCCTCAAGCAGAGAAAGTTAATATCATCGATAACTGCACAGGACATAATGGGTGTGGTGGGGCAGTTATCTGCTGTAACTTAACCACCAGCTCTGTGAAGAAGTAAGACAATCCTTGGTGTTGCCCATTGCCATGGTGAAGACAATCCTGCCATGGCTGATATCAAGCTACAGTGAAGACAGAGTGAGAAAGAGACATTAACAACGGTCTCACGAAAGCTGGTATGAGCTGGCTCAAGCGTGCCAACCACTGGGTTAGAGGGTACGATGTTCTCTCCTTAGTCTGGTCAATAAATATGAGAAACAGGCTCTGTGTGACATATATTAATAACTTGCAAAAGGGACTCACTCAGGGAGAACGACATGAAGGTCCAGCAGAGAAAAGTTGGTGAATTTGTGTTTTAGTAGTACTGCTCTACTCAAAGTTATTTCTGAGAGTCAGATAAGAGACTGCAACACACACTACAGTCCCTGAGTATAAGAAACAGAGTGAAAGGTTATGCACTCAAAGAGTGAAAGCTGGTGATAACTTCCTTGCCAAAATTCAGGGCACGAGTTAAGTGTTGAGTTCAGTTTGGATATGCACCAAGGGGAAGATCACATCACATCACATTTGAGGATGATTCAAGTGGACAATTGCCTACACTAAATTCCAGGGGAGAGTTCTGTGGTAGACAGGCAATTTCCTGCAGAAAGTGATGGGTGAAGCTACGGGTGTGGTTAAGATTGTGAGGGAACATAATGAGAAATGGAAGATAATGAGATAGGGAAGGAACTTGGAGAAGGCTCAGTTAAGATTAGAAGGAGAGAAGTTCATGAAAGAGAAGTACATGAAGGAGAGAACTTTACACCTTTAGGGGAAAAGTATTCTGAGAGACAGAAACGGAACCAGGAAACTTAGTATCACAGAAGCCAAGAGAAAAGAGATGTACTACATTGTAGAAATCTTCTTGATCTACTAACTACCTGATGACCCTTGAGCCTGACTTTCATTTTAAGTTACTAACCCTGGGAAGTAATTTTTATGATGATACAATGACACCTGCATGTGACAGGGCTTCCTGCTGCTGATTTGCGGCTGCTGATCTAGGGGAAGTTTCTGATAAGCTCCCAAGAGCATAGGAAAAGTAGCAAACAACAACAGATAGACCCGCTCCTGAAGGACATAGCTAGAGGGTAGGATTTTTATGTACCCCCCTGCCTCTGTTTCTCCTTCTTCTCACCCACGCGTGAGCTCATGCACACTATTCTCTTCCTTCCTGATCTCTTTTTTCATCCCCTCCTTGATGCTCTCCCTGTGCTTTGTCCCAGCTGGTGGGAACATTCTGGCGCTGTGAGTGGAAGAAAGCCAGCAGGTTCCCGTGGTGTTCACATCCCCTGTCTCTGATCTCATTAGCACCCCGCTGATCAGGAGGGACCCTCAGAAATCAGAAAACATGAATCTTCCCCTCCAGATTCATCTTGCCTTCTCACTCTCGCCTTTCTACTCTTTCCACTCAACAGCCTGGGGCTTCCTGGACTTCAGAAATGGAGCGTGCAGAAACAGAGCGGAACAAAAGGCTCTAACACATGGGTGACATTTAAAGAACAGTAGCTCTCTTTGAAGAATCATCTGTCCTTTGGAAGCACATTTTGTTCTGTGCCTCTGACTCACTAGATGATATCCAGGGGATGCATTTAGGCTCTCTGGTTCCTGGTTCAATATAGAAGTGTTATTGGTTTGTCCACTGAAAGGATTTATAATTAATTATAGGTGGGGTGGACTCCAAGATGGTGAAAGCCAATTCCTGTATCAATGATTAACATTAAAACAGTGAAAAATGATGTAGATAATAACTTCTCATTTTCCCTCAGGCTTCATGAAAAATCCAGAAGTATTCTAGTGGAAAATAAATAATAAATCAAGTATTTAAAGAGGATTTCATGAGGGTGGGGAGTGATATCTAATTCTGAATCACATGCATGTTTAACAGACACTGTTAATTAAAAAAAAAGTGGTGACAGCATGGGCTTCATCCTCAGGATGTACAGAGTTCAGCAGAAATAAAAATAACTGGATTAGGACACAAGAGTGGGATATGCACTAAACTGAAGCACGTACAAAGTCATTAAGCTTGCTTCTCTCATTTCCAGCTCTTTGCAACTCAGCCACTGAGTTCCTCACCTGGAAGCTTATTCTCCCCAAGCCTCCATGTAAATTATGTCTGGTGCAGAACATGTACTCACAGCCTGTCCTGGACCCCACACCACATGCCTCCTTCTAGTGGGCTTACACTAAATGACCTGCTAAAACCCCATGTTCCTTTGCTCAAAACTAGATCTGTGAACTGGTTCTTCCCACCTCCCCAGGATGGCACAGGTACCAATGATCTCCAATCCTAAAATCCACAGTGCCCTCCTGTTTAGAGGTAGGTACTTGACTGAAACAGTCCTGTATCCATTCTCACCATCACCTACAGATCTAATCTGATATCCTTTCTGGTTCATGCCAGGCATCTACCCCGGATGCTGAAGTCATCCCAGTTCCTCAGTAGAGATGGATACGCAAAGGCACCAAGGCAGAGAGCTGCATTAGAGAAGTCACGGGCATTTTAGCATGCAGGAACAGAAGATGTCACTTGTAAGGACTGGAGTAGAAGGGAAAGGAGAACTGAAGAAGGAAACAGACGGCAATGTCCCAACTGAACACATCTTGAAGTCGACAGAGAAGCATCAATGGTTTCAGCAAGGAAGTGATTAGATCCAGCTTTAAGCTTCTGGCAGCAACACCGGCGAAGAGTAAACATAGGGGCCTCAAAGGCAGAGGTTAATTTCACCCGTTCAAGTGAATGACAATGACAGTCAGAAGAAAACCACACTGAAGATGCAACCAAAGAAGAAATATTTCATAGCTCAAACCAATAAGAATTGGTAATTGCTTCTAAAAAAATACATTCTAGAAGGAATAAAATGGAGATGAATGAACCATGGAAAAGTATAGAGAAGAGGAAGAATGCCAGGCCAATGATAGGATTAAGAGCTAGTGAATCTCTCGGAGTACAGAAGTCAGCAAAGCAGAAAATCAAAATGAGGCTTCTGATGAGGTGAAGATTAGGAATGTGATCTTTGCAAATGCAAATGGAAGGAGCAGCCAGGGAAGAAAACAATCACAGACCCCCCCTGAATCAGGGGGAAAATTATAATTTGCTAACAGAAAAATACTATGTCTTGTTCAAGTTTTTGCATAAAATTTCCCACAGGTGAATTTTTAAAGCTCCCTCTTGGAAAAGTTAGTGGAAATCAACTTTTGGTTTTTATCAGTGATTCCAAAACTAATGCACTTGCAGAATAAAGAAATTCTAGTCCAAATATATAATTAATAAAACCCTATTCTAAATCTTGACTGTAACAATAAATAAGAACTAATTCTGGTTGGGACAAAAGACATCCTGGTCAAACAAGAAATAGGAATTTGGGCCAGGCGCAGTGGTTCACACCTGCAATCCCAGCTCTTTGGGAGGCCAAGGCAGGTGGATAGCTTGAGTTCAAAAGTGTAAGACCAGCCTGGGCTGTATGGAAAGACCTAGTCTCTACAAAAAATACAAGCTGGGTATGGTGGTGCGTGCCTGTAGTCCGGGCTACTCAGAAGACTGAGGTGGGAGAATCATTTGAGCCAGGGAGGTCTTGGCTGCAGTGAGCCATGATCACACCATTGCACTCCAGCCTGGGAGACAGGGTGAGACCCTGCCTCAGGAAAAAAATAAAAATAAACTAAAATAAAAGGAAAAAAATTGACTAAGTCTTTAACATGCTGAAAACAAATTTAAATTACTTTTCAAAGCTTAAGCTCTAACCTTATGTAATCTAAGTCTACTGCATTGAGAAACAATTTGAATTTACAATTCAAATGAAAAAGCTAATGATTACTTAACAGATGACCCCTTCACTACAGGTGTGTAAAGACCACCACATCTATTAACTCGAAGCCTAGATGGAGTTCTCGGGTTTTACTTTCCAAAGGAGGCCAGTGCGGCTTCAGCACTTGCTTTCCTTAGCTTCTGTGATCAAAGTATGAGACAGTATTTCAATTTAACACTTATCTGTCAATGCTGAAGTGTAAAGGAAAAGATAATTCATAAATTTTTAAACTGTCCTTTCCTGCTATGGATTTTCTCAGCATTTAATGCTACATTGAATAGGACTGATGTCATTTCCCCACGAGAACTTCTTGTGGTTGTTCCCTACAAAGCAAAAATCTTCTAAGATGTACAGTGGGGGGTGGCAGAGAGCCAGATAAGTCTGGGAATTTAGAGTCCAGAGGTAAAGAAAGCAGCTTAAAATTGGTTGATTAAGGTTTTCAAAATTATCTGAATATGAAACTTTTTTTTTTTTTGCATACTATCCAGAAAAGAGCCAACATAGCAAGTGTGGGACTGCTATCCCTAGAAAGGCCAGCCTGCAAGGTTGGCTCTTGGCTGGTATTTGGGAATGATGATTTGGGGAAGGTTCCTACCATTCTCTGATAAGAGTGGCTCAACGTGCCTAAACCGTACAAATAGATATGGCTTATGCTGAACACCGTTTTTCCTTCTGGAGGTCAGGGATTTGGAACCTATCAGGCAAAGGGTGCCTATGTGACCAGATTCCAGGAAAAACTCTGGGCAGTAAGTCTCTAATGAGCTTCCCTCATTAGACAGCATTTTATACTCGTTGTCACTATTTCTCCCTGGGGGAATTAAGTGTGTCCCGTGTGACTCCGCTTGAAAGCTGTTGCCTGGTTTCTGTTGGTCATTGCCTATGTGCCTTTAATGCTGATTTTGCTTGGAATCTTTTCACTGTAACAAACCTTAGCAACAAATGCAACTAGATGTAGAGTCCATGAGTCTTTCTAGCAAATCACCAAATCTGAGGGTGGTGTTGGGGACCAATGACACACATAGCATTCATCAACAGTTTGCAAGAACTAGTGTTCCAGGGGAACTACTTAGAGAAACACTGATCAGTGGCACAGACTTAGAGAATGTATGTTAAACACCGAGCACAGTTTCTGACAGATAAGATGGCATCTATACATAATAGACATTAGCAGTGTTACTTCTTACTGCTGATAAACTTATGGGAAATAGAAATCCTTTTTGCCATACCCTTGAGTATCTTCCATGTGCTATGTATACTGCTTCACACACAGTAACCATCACTAGATGTTTGTTAAATAAATTGTAAAGCCTTTATTTGCAAAGTGCTGTGCCAACACAGTAAAGCCCATTTAAAGTGTGCAGTCTCAGCCCTCTTGGAGCTCACAAGTCTAAAACAAACACTATCAATAAAGAACAGAGCTGTAGATGAAAATGCAGACAGAAAGCTCAGCGAGCAGAAATAAATGGATGCTGAAAAAAAGAGGGGTCACTGCACCTTCACCAAGCAGAAAGCTCGACACCTATGTATGTTTCTAATTTTGGTGGCAGAAGTGAGGATGGACGTTAGAATTCTTCGTTTCTAGAGAGATGAATTTATATGGTTCCATGAAAGCCCTTCCTACAATGCTGATAAACCCATATGGGAAAGGGCTTCATAGTTAATGAAGAAGAAAACACTTCAAATGGTGATGTTACTCTTTTAAAAGATCCAAATCTAAGCCATCTGGATAAAGTGTGTGTTCAATAGGTTGCCCATTCCAGTAAAATTTCACTTTCACTGAGGCTAAGATCTCATTTACTAACTGACCATAAGTATAATGACCTCATATTCCAGTTTGCTCCGGACAAGACTGGTTTATGTTTGTAGTCCTAGCCTAAATATTAACATAGTCCTTTTTGCTCTCAAAAGCACTCCAGTTTTGGACAATAAATACATTTTGTGATGATCCTAGATTGAGTCCTTTGAAGCCAAGAGGAACAAAAATTGCCAAGTGAATCTCCCAGCCCCCTGTACAGAGATGGAGTCTTAGCCATTGATATGATTTGGCTGTGTCCCCACCCAAATCTCATCTTGAAATGTAGCTCCCACAATTACCATGTGTTGTGGGAGAGACCAGGTGAGAGAGGTAAGTGAATCATGGGGGTAGGTCTTTCCTGTGCTGTTCTCATGATAGTTAATAAGTCTCATGAGATCTGATGCTTTTATAAAGGGAAATTTCCTGCACAAGTTCTCTCTCTTCCCTGCCGCCATGTAAGATGTGCCTCTCACCTTCCACCATCGCCGTGAGGCCTCTCCAGCCATGAGGAACTGTAAGTGCATTAAACTTCATTTTCTTTATAAATTACCCAGTCGCAGGTATGTTTTTATCAGCAGCGTGAAACAGACTAGTACAGCCATAGATGAGAGAAGCTCCTGAAGCCCCAGGCAGCTCGAGGCCCTGGTACGAGGCCACTCTTTGGCGGTATGGTGGTTAATAGCCTGGACACTGGAGTCAAGTGGCCAGGGTTCCAGTCCTGGCTGTACCAATTACTCACCATGTCTTAGGTAAGCTACTTAACCTGTCAATCCTGCAGTTTCCTCAACATTCAAATGAAAATAATAATAGTGCCTACTTCACCGAGTTCTTATAAAGAGTAAGAAAAGCTGAATAGTTTTTGACACATGGTATATGCTCAAAGATGTTAGCTGTACTTGATGATACTCCCCTCTGAGCCAGAGAAGATGAGAATCCAGCTGAGTCAGGGGAAGTGAGAAAGTGACTGATATGTCTGTCTCCAAAGGTGGACATTGCCAACTGACAGTCATTCTCCATCCTGCTGCATCTGGAAGCAGCCTCAGAGTCTTCCCCAACATCGGTCTCCAAGAAGACAATCATCTAAAACTATCACTTTCTGGGAATTTTCCCAAGTATTGCCATTGTCCCTAAGACAGAGAATTTTGCCTCTTCTATGAGGATCTTCTCTTCCACTGATCTAACTCCATGAGCCTTCTTCAATCTTGCAAGTGATGTTGGTTGGCTCACTCTGCCTGGACCTGTATGTCACCCTATAAGCCCAGCCCATTCTGACAGCCATTCCACCCTCTCCAAACACATCTGATTTAGAAAAACTTGGCCTATGTTTATATTGGCTGCAACTCAGACAATTTGGGGAAAAAATCTTTTGATGTCAGAAAATGACCAACCTATTTTTCTAACGGCACTTTCATATGGCACAAGAAAATTCCTTATATTCTTCAGAGTACCTGTGTCTCTCAGTCATTGCCACCTCAGTAAATGGCAATCTGTCCATCTTTTGGTTCAAGAGAGCAAAATCTCTTAGTCCTGGAGTCCTCGTACTTCCTGTTTTAGAAACATACTACAAAGCAATGGTAATCAAAATTGTATGTATTGACATGAAGACAAATATCTAGCTCAATGAAACAGAATAGAGAACCTAGAAATAAACCCTTATGTATATGGCTGAATTATTTTTGACAAAGGTGCCAGGACTACACAATGGGAAATGAGCAGCCCCAAATGGTGTTTGGAAAACTGAATATCCACAAGCAAAACTGAACTTAGACCCTTACCTCATGCCGTATACAAAAATCAGCTCAAAATGGATTAAAGACCTAAATGTGAGACCTAAAACTATACAACTGCTAGTGGAAAACATAATGGGAAAGCTTCAGGACATTGGATTTTACAATGATTTCTTATATATGACACAAAAAGCACAGACAACAAAAGCAAAACTAGGCAAATGAAACTACATCAAACTTAAAAACTTATGCTCATCAAAGGAAACAATCAACAGAATGAAAACGCAACTTACTAAATAGGAGAAAATCTTTGCAAGACATATATCGGATAAGGGGTTAAAATCCAGAAAAATATAAAGAACTTCCCCAACTTCATCCAACAAAAATCCAAATAAACTGATTAAAAAATGGGCAAGGGGCCTGAATAGATAATTCTCCAAGGAAGTTATACAAATGGCTAATGAGCATATGAAAAAATGCTGAACATCACTAATCCTAAAAGAAATGCAAATCAAAACCATAATGAGGTGTCACTGCACAAAGCCATTAAAATGTCCACTATCAAGTAAACAGAAAGAGTAAGTATTGAAAAGACATGAAGAAATTGTCACACTTGTATACACTTGGTGAGAATATAAAATAGCACAATCATTATAGAAAACAACATGGAGGTTTCTCAAAAAGCTAAAGACAATTACCATATGATCTAGCAATCTCACTCCTGGCTACATATCTGAAAGAATTTGAAGAAGGATCTGAAAGAGATACTTGCATACCCAGTGAAGTGTAATTTACAATAGTCAAGAGGTGGAAGCAACCCAAATGTCCACTGATAGATGAATGGATAATGGAAAAAGAAAATGTGGTATATCCACACAATGAACTATGATGCATTCTTGAAAAAGAAGAAAATCCTGTCATATGAGACTACATAGATGAACCTCAAGTGCATTATGCAAAGTGAAATAAGCCAGTCATAGAAGGACAAATACTGTATGAATCCACACATTCAAAGTATCTAAAGCAGTCAAGATCACAGAACCAGAAAGTGAGAAGATGGTTGCTAAGATCAGAGGGTTGGGGGAAGAGAATTAGTGTTTAATGGGTATAAAGTTTTACTATTGCAAGATGAAGAGGTCCTGGAGATTTGTCACACAACAATGTGAGTGGACTTAATGCTACTTTACTGCATACTTATAAATGGTTAAGAAGCTAGGCACAGAGGTCCACACCTGTAGGCCCAGCTTCTTGGGGGACTGAGACAGGAGGATCACTTGAGCACAGGAGTTAGAAGCCAGCTTGGACAACACAGTGAAACCTTGTTTCTCAAAAAAAAAAAAAAAAAAAAAAAAAAGATTAAGACAGTAAATTTAAAGTCATGTTTTTTTTTTTTTTTTTACTATTTAAAAAAGTTGAAATATTTAAAAAATCTTCCCACTACCCTCAACCCTCCTCTCTTTCATCACATACTGCACCTAATCCAGTAGCAAATTCTGATGCCTCTTTCAAGACATACTGCAAATCCAACCACTTTTTATCACCTCCACCTTGGCCATGGGCACTCTAGCCTCACTCTCTAATCCAAGTTCTCCTCTTTCTCACCTGGTTTCCTTCAGTAACCTCCAGCTTGGCTCCTCACTTCCACTGAATTCCCCTCCAATCTGTTTACAGCATTCCTGGTGAAAGAGATATCTGAACACATCCTGCCTCTGTCCAAAACCTTCAGTGCTTCCCATTTCACTCAGAAGCCAGAATCCATGCAAAGTTTCCAAGGCCCTGAGTGATCCACCCCCTCCCAGGCCTACGTTCCCTACACATGCTAAGCCCACTTTGACCTCCGGATCTTTGCACCTACTTCCAGGGTTGCCAAGAAGGGGTCACGGCCTGCTGAAAAAAGAAATGAGGGGTACACCAACAAAGGCAGAGCAGCTAAAAGAAAAAAATCTTTCCATAGGATTTGCCTTGAGCTTGTCAGACTCTGGGGCCCTACGATTTGCAACAGTTCCCCTGCACCCAACCTCCTGCATCCTCCACCATCTTGCTGGCTGTACACCTGTGGGGCTTTCTCTCTTTACAGATATTTGTATAGCTCATGACCTTCTCTTTCATCAGATCTCTGTTTAAATGTCTCCCTTTCAGAAAGGCCATCTCTGATCATCATGTATAGACTACAATATCATGCACCTCCTCCAGCTCCCCTGCCCCCCACAAATTCCCCATCCTCCTGGTCCTGTTTAACTTTACTCAGGGGCATTTCTCATCACCTGCCTGCTCTTCTGCTGTAAGTTCCCTGAGGGTGGAAACTCTGGTTCACTGCTGTTACTGAGTGCCTTGAATAGTGATTGATAGGTAGTAAGAGCCAAGTAGGTATCTGTTGAATTAGCCAGTGAGTGAATGAGAGTAGAACAAGTGGAAAAGACAGATTTAGCTCCAGAAAAAAATCACCTCAGTCACAGAAAGTAGACAGACTGGAATGATGCTATGCCTATTTTCTTTGTGTGCTGTGAACTCCAGAATCTTAGAGAAAGGTTTCAGTTAAATGCACCTGCAGACAATTACCCAGCATGATGCCCCCAGCTTGGTGGCTGGCGAAGTAAGACCCTCCTGGTGTCATGGTGTTAAAGACAGTCATGTGAATATCACCACAACAAATGGCTCTCCAGAAGGATTAAACAATTATTAATTGCCTTTGGTGTATAATCTGTGTTTAGAAAGGGCTTTCCCCTCTCTCCTCACGCACCCTTGACAAAGTGCCCAGGCGGTAGATCACTAACTTCATTTCCTCCTCCCATTCATCTTTTTTATTTCCAACTTGAGGAGCTGAACCTGCTGCTCTCCCTCTGCAGTGATAACTTATAACTGAACTACTGTTGATCTCTCATATTAATGAAACCTCACTTTATTTCTCTCAAGAATGGCATGGTAAGGCTGTTAAACAGCAAGTGTGACAAGACAGGCGCTATATTTAGAGTAGGAAGTAGAGCATCAGTCCCCTGACCAACAGTGAGTGTTAGCTTCTTAAGCGCCCATGGAGAATGTAACTGAGATGCCAGTAACAGCACATGCAAGGCACTTTGCAATGCCTGACTTTGACTTATCTCTCGTCAGGACAAAATTTTCATTAAAAACCCAAACTCTGCTCTTAGCCCAAAGGTGAGGAGAATAGGATGTGTCCTTCCAACTAACATCAGGACAGAAGAAGACTGTCTTGCCCTTGTCCATGCCAGACAAAGTTCTCCATGACTTGGAGATATTTTCATATAGAATGAAAAAGAAGGCATTCAACAAGAAGTGTTCAACGCTAAAACAAACAAACAAACAAACAAACAAAAAAACACATATGGAGGTACTGGTTAAATGTTATTTCTGAAAGATTTGACTTTAGGTGCCTGAGATGAAAGAGACCAGGATCTCCCCTGCCAATCCAGTCCAGAACCTACCCAGAACCAACCTAGGTAAGAAACAAAGACCACTATGGACATAGAAATCCATCACACAACCACATGTTTCCCCAGGGTTTCAAGTCCTACAAGAAATCCCATCTGATATGGTTTGGCTGTGTCCTGACCCAAATCTCATCTTGAATTGTAGCTCCACAATCCCCCCATGTCATGGGAGTGACCTGGTGGGAGGTAATTGAATCATGGGGGTGGGTCTTTCCCATGCTGTTCTCGTGATAGTGAATAAGTCTCAGAAGATCTGATGGTTTTATAAAGGGCAGTTCCCCTGCACACGCTCTCTTGCCTGCCGCCATGTAAGATGTGCCTTTGTTCCTTCCTTCCACCATGATTGGGAGGCCTCCCCAGACATGTGGAACTGTAAGTCCACTAAATCTCTCTTTTTTTTTTAAATGAATTACCCAGTCTCAGGTATTTCTTCATAGCAGTATGAAAATGGACTAATACACCATCTCAGCAAAGACCAGAACAGTTCATACCTAATGGACGAACTTGTAGGAAAAAGGGATCCACTCCTCAGTCCCAGTCTAATGCTACAGGCTGAGATGAATTTGGTAACCAGGATTCCAAGGGAAACCCAGTGCAGTAGCAAGCAAATGGGCTTTGGCATCAGAACATCTGGGATTAAATTCCTAGCCCTCTGCCTTCTGGCTATGTGACGTGAGCATAGTTACTTCACCTCTCTGTACCTCATTTTCTCAAAGCACCACTGCATAAGACATATATAAGTTATCAATACCCAAAGACACAAATAATGTTTATCAAGTATTTATTATTTGCCCAGTTCCACGTACTTCATATGCTATACCTCATTTTATCTCGACAGTGACTCTAGGAAGCATATTCTCTCATTTCTACCTTTCTACAAATGAGGAACTAAAGTTCACGATTAAACAACTTGCCTCAAATTACATAGCAAGGGAGAGGCAAAATTGGTGTTAAAACATAGGCCCACGTGATGCTAAAGACAGTTTTCACCTGTGACATTCAAAACCTATGCTTTCCAACAGTAAGGCCATCAGCCAAATGCAGCTATTTAAATTTAAAAAACAGTAATTAAGAACTCAGTTCTACAGCTGCACTAGCTGCAGTTCAAATGCTCAATAGTCACCACGTGGACTACTATCTATTTGGCTTCCTTATTGGACGGTGCAGTTATGGAACACTTCTATCATTGCAGAGAGGTCTATTACACAGTGTTGGTCTACTCCTTCTCTACGATGTAAGGTACGATCCTTTACACAAGTAAAGAACACCAGAAGTTAAGCTTAGTTTCGTGGTCACTAGCTTCTGCTTGACAGCAAAGACACAAGTGTGGGTCACTAGGCTGTGACCGTGAGCATCACCATGGGGTGGGTGCCCACTCAGCTCTTTGCTGAGACAGGCAGAGGCTGCTCTTCTGCCTTCCCTTGGTGACCTTCTCTTGAGGGCCTCTCTTGTGTACTGAACACCGCTTTAGGCTGCAATTTCCTAAAATTGTTTTCATCTACATAAAAGCTGCCCATGCCACCCTGAAGAATGTGGCGGAACATCCCCTCGAATCTGCCTTGTCCCCTCTGCCCCACCCTCTTCCTCCTGGTCCTCACACCTGGGTTTTCCTGTCCAGTTTCTCTGGCCTCCCTTACCTCTTTTTGTGCACTGTGATTTTTAAAATGAGGTGAAACTCACATATGAAACATTTTTAAAGTCATGTTTAGTGTACTCATGATGTTGTAGAACCACCACCTCTGTCTAGTTCCAAAACATTTCCATGACTTCAAAGGGAAACCCAGACCTATAAGTAGGCCCTCCTTCCCACCCCTGCCACTCATCTAACTTGTGTTTCTATGGCTTAACCTACTCTATTCCTTTTTATGGCTGTATAATATTCCATTGCAAGGATGTATCACAATTTGTTTATCCATTCATGAATTACTGGACTCCCTTATATTTTACTTAGCTGAAACAAGCAGAAGTGGGAAGAACCTAGCTACCACTATGTTAACAGAGATAGTTAATGCCAGAATCTGTCTCCAGAACTGTTTTTCCAGAATAGCCTTGCAGCATTTTAGGAAGGCACATTGGCATCCATCACAAATCTCCATGCTGATAACTTCCTTAGGGTTTCACTAATTAAATTTTTTCTCACAATATTATTCAAAGAGTAACTTCTATAATGGTTAAGATTTTCTTATAGGATGTTATTAAGAGCTTTTCTTTCTTAAAAGTGTGTAATATGTTGGCTTAAACAGGTTTCTGGCCTGCAAATCTTCAAAATATCTTTACTATGTCAAACGTCCACTGTACATTTTAAGGAAGCAATTGTAGTTTGCAGAGTATCTTAAATGCTCCCAAGACAGCACAAAACCTATGTGTGTGTGTGTGTGTGTGTGTGTGCATGTGCGTGTGTGTTGCAGGGGGCTATCTCTCAGTTCTTATGTTTTCAGAACTAGTTTGGAAAAGTTATTCTATATTAATATCTAAATCCTTTTCAGGTCCACAAACTAGGGAGAAGTAGAGCGTCCACATACTTTGGAGACTAAAGTACTTCTACCAGGCTTAAAATAGGCACATTTGGAATCATAAGTTAAATATCTTAAACGCATTTAAATGCAAATTATTTCTGAATTAATCATCTAAGCTATATAAAGCATCATGAGTTTCAATTGCAGTCAAATGGTAACAACTCAAAACTTACAGCACAATATCCATTTGAAAATATTTTAATCCTTTAGCACTTCATAGCACACAAGTTTAAGGACCTCGAATGCAGTGAGTGACAAAAAAGAAAAAAGTGTCTTTGAGAAATGCACATTCTAGCATATATCCTCAGTCTATGTATTAACACTTAAAATATAACGTGCTTAAGTGTGCCGTATAGTTGAAAATTGTGTTTCTGAATAATATCTACATAATTTTCAATAAAAATAAACTTGCAGTAAATTACCTAGATCTTAAGGTACCAAAGACAAATGGCCTTTGCTGGAATTAGTTTTCCCTCAGGAGTAAGGAAATAGAATTTGTCTTCTGCAATGAGAAAAAAAAAAAAAAACACCACCACATAGAATAAAAAATGAGCATTGGCAAATTCCTCTAGAACCGTGTTACTGGTCATTTCTCAGATTTTGGGTCGGGGTAGGAGTGGGGCCCGGCTAGGCAGAGCCCTGACATGCCACGATTCCAGCTGAAAATCCAGTCAGTGAAAACATGATTCGGTTAGATGAAGGCTCACATAATAGGGCTTTCAAAACTCATAGCAACGCTCTATGGTGGATTTTATTATTTTCATTTTACACCGGGGCTTCTCCGCAGTGACACTATTGGCACTCGGACCTGCGTCATTCTCTGGGGCAGGGGCTGACCTGTGCATTGGAGGGTGCTTCCCTGCAAACCTAAGTGTTTGTTTATATATGTGTGTATGTACTTTTTTGAGACTGGGTCTCACTCTGTTACCCAGGCTGGAATGCAGTTATGTAATCATAGTTCACCGCAGCCTTGAACTCCCAGGCTCAAGTTATCCTCCCACCTTAGCCTCCCAAGTAACTAGGATTATAGGTGCATAACATCACACCGTGCTAATTTATTTATCTATTTGTTTACTTTGTAGAGATGGAATCTCTATGTTGCCCAGGCTGGTATTGAACTCCTGGCCTCAAGCAATCCTCTGGCTTAGGCCTCCCAAGGCACTGGGATTACAGGCGTGAGCCACGGTGCCCGGCCCAAACCAAGCAGTTAACAGAGTCAGTGTGTGGAGCTTGGGCTCTGGAGGGGAGGACGTGGGTTTGTCATTTGGTTCTTTCACTATCAGCTACCATGTAACCTTTTTCCAGACACTTTCCTAAGCTCAGTTTCTCCACATGCAAAGTGGACAAAAACAATCTTTACCTTTAAGGTCCTTAGGACTATAAGCTCCAGAGGGGCTGGGGGTAGGGCTACAAATGTGTTTTGTTCACTCTAAAATCCCTTGTGCCTAGAACAATGCCCCCGGCATGGCAGGGGAGACTTAACTTCTAAGTGATCATTCAGGAAACACACTCACGCCACACCTGAACCCCAGCGGTGCTCAGTCAAGCCTAGCTGTTGTTGTTTAGCATCAGTTGCACTGGAGCAGGAATCTGGACTTGGAGCTGCCTAGGTCCAACCTCAAGGGGTTTCCCTCTCCCTACTGACCCTGCGTTATCAATTACCCTCCATCTAATCACCTATCCTCTCCAGTGGACAAAAGGGCCTTGGGGCAGGTGGTTATTTGGGGCCTGCTTCTTGCTAAGCAACGAATGGAAAGGAGCTCTGTGCCCAGGACTGTGCCAAACAGGAATAAAAATCAAGTGGCCGGCTGTTTTGTGACACTCACTCATTCTGAAGAAAATCATCCCCGCAAAGCACCTAGGTAACATTTATGAGAAAAGGAAGATTTGCAAAAGACTGGGGCACTCCCACTCTGGAAAGAAAACCTATCAGAGACACCAGTGTTGCCACACACTGCCTATGAGCTTTCAGAGCAAGAATCTAGGGTTGCCCCTGGGGGTTCATCCAGAGTTACTTCTCCTTCCGGCCGTCACCCTATTTGAAGCCAGCAGAAGAGGGGAACCCCTTGGACACTGTGCTGGCCACATTATCCATCCCTGCTTTCCAAAGATGACAATAGCTGGGGTCAAAGGTTAAGATCATCCATCACTTAGCACTGTGTGACCTTGAACAAGTTCCTAACCCACTCTGTCTCTCCATTACCTCATCTATACAAGGAGTGTGGTGGTAGGTAGAATAGCGGCCCCCAGAGATGCCCACCTCCTAATGTCTGGAAACTTTGACTATGTTAGGTTACATGGTAAAGAAGATTAATGTTGTGAACTAGATAAATTTAAATTAAAGAAAGGATCCTGGATTATGTAGATGGGCCCAATGGACTCATAAGGGACCTTATAAAGGAAAGAGGGCTGGGGATGGGAGAATAGGAAAGATGTCAGTGTGAAAGGAGCTGCTTCCATTGCTGGCTTTGAGGATGGAGGAAGCAGTCATGAGCTGAAGAATGCAGGTGGCCCCCAAAAGTTGGAAAAGGTCGGAGAATGATGCTCCCTTCCAGAAGAAGCCAGCTCTGCCCACAGCTTGGTTTTAGCCCAGTGAGAACCATGTCGGACTTCTGACCTAAACAACTGTAAGATAAAAATTGTGTTGTTTTAAGCCACCAAGCCTGCAGTAATTTGTTTGGGCAGAAATAGAAAACTAATACAGCCACCTACTCGTTGAGTCAGCACAAGGACTGGTGACGTAGCATCTGTGAAGGACTAGCCAAGCCTGCAAGCACTGCTTATGATCATCAACATTGTCGTGGTCGTCACTGGGTGAGAGGGTAAGGGTCGGCTTCACGCATAGCCTGTGGGCAAAACAGACTCCTAGGGTAGCTCAGGCCTGTGAAATGGTCCTAAGGGAGAAAACTGCTGGGAAAGAAAAGCAATTTTGTCTCGTATATTTGCACATTTTCCCTTTCCTGAAAAGACTTTTCTAGTCATTATTTTGTTTACTTAGGAAGTGGGATGCAGACAATCTCAAGGGACCTAAAGCTGGCCCTGCCGCCAATCTGGAAAAGGGGGTTCACACTGACCTCCATGAAAATGCTCCCTGGGGAGCCTGTCCCAGACTGGACTTAGTTCATCTCTAGGTCAGACAACATCAGCATCATTTCAGGGTGACACATTTTTGCCTTTCCTTGGAAATACCCAGAAAAGGGGAAACTTATAAGCTTCCTTTAAGGCATAAACTACGATAGTCTCAAAAGCTCTTAAAATTAGATATAAAAGGGCTGGAGCTATCAATTCCTAAATATGAGGGTTTGTGTTAGGTTGTTCTTGCATTGCTATAAAAAAATACCCGAGAGTGGGTCATTTATAAAAGAGACAGGTTTAATTGGTTCACGGTTCTGCAGGCTGTATAGGAAGCATGATGCTGGCATCTGCTCAGCTTCTGGGGAGGACTCAGGAAACTTACAATCATGGTGGAAGGCAAAGGGGATGCAGGCGTATAACATGGCAAAGGCAAGAGCAAAGTGTGTGGGGGAAGGGAGGTGCCACACTTTTTTTTTTTTTTGTTTGTTTGTTGTTGTTGTTGTCGTTTTTTGAGACAGAGTCCTGCTGTTGCCCAGGCTGGAGTGCAGCTGGCGCAATCTTGGCTCACTGCAACTTCTGCCTCCCAGGTTCAAGCGATTCTCCTGCCTCAGCCTCCCTAGTAGCTGGGATTACAGGCATGCGCCATCATGCCTGGCTAATTTTTGTTTTTTTAGTAGAGACAGGGCTTCGCCATGTTGGCCAGGTTGGTCTTGAACTCCTGACCTCAAGTGATCTGCTCGCCTCAGCTTCCCAAGGCACTCAGATTACAGGCATGAGCCACCGTGCCCAGCCTTTTTTTTTTTTTTTAAAAAAAAAAAAAAAAAAGAAAACACTTTTAATTTCAAGGGTACAAGGGCAGGCTTGTTACACAGGCAAACTTGTGTCATGGGGGTTTGTTGTAAACATTATTTCATCAATCAGGTATTAAGCCTAGCACCCATTAGTTATGTTTCCTGATCCTCTCCCTTCTCCTACCCTCTACCCTCTGAAAAGCCCGCCTTGTGTCCATGTGTTCTCATTGTTTAGCTCCCACTTATAAGTTAGAACATGTGGTATTTGGTTTTCTGTTTCTGTGTCACATTCTTTTATAAACATCCTGATCTCATGTGAAATAGCTGAGCAAGAACTCGGTCGCCAAGGGGATGACACTGAACCATTCAGGAGGGGTCCACCCCCATGATTCAATCACCTCCCACCAGGCCCCACCTCCAGTGCTGGGGGTCGCATTTCAATATAAGATGTGGAGGGGACAAACATCCAACCCATACCAGGGTTCATCTAGTCCGGGGTTGGCAGGCTTTTTCTGTAGAGGGGCAGAGTAAGTCCTTTTGGCTTTGCAGGCCACACTCTGACAACTATTCAACTCTGCAGCTGCAGGGTGGAAGAGGCCACAGACAATATGCAATGAGTGGGTGAAAATGGAGTGGGCCTGCAGGCCACAGTTTGCAGACCCCCTACTTCTAATGTAACTACATAAAGTAACAATCCCTCTGTGCTCTTCCTGAAGGTGCTCACCAGCTCCTGCTGGAACACATCAACCATGAGGGGACTCACTACCTCAAAGGACAGCCACTCCATGTGCAATCTATGCTTGTTAACGTGCAATTCTCCTCACCCCAATCCTGACTCCATCAGGAAGTACAATCAAAGGTGAATCCAAAATTTTTCTCCTATCTATTCCCTCGGAGAGCCCTGAACCTAGCAGATTTGCCAACGCACAGATGCTCTTTCAGTAGCTGACCTTCAGTAGGAAGGCAACTCTCCATCACCCCAGGGTACCGGCATGCCATGATCCAACCTACACAGTTAAACTGAATTCTTCATAGAGAAGAGGGAAGTGAGGATAGGGGTGGAGGATGGAGAAAGGGATTATTACAAAAATGGGGCCGTGATGTGCAAGTTATCTAGAATGTGACCTTATTCATTTCCATGTGTCTTCCCTGTTCCGATCCTAGCACCAGGTCTTGCTCTGAGCATTTGCTCAAGTTTAGAGAGCTGGGCGAAGGTCAGAGCCCGAGGAAGATGAAGGCATGTGGACAAAGGGAGCAACCATTCTGAATGGAAATGGTATTTCGAGGATGTCTCCCGGCATATGCTTGGTTCACATTCCAAATACAGAATTCACAGTTTTCCTTTCTTTCTATCTTAGGGCCCAGATTTCCTGGGCTGACCCAAAATTATGTCATCCACATTGTGGCATTCCCAAGAAATACTTGTCTTCTCAGTTTGATATCCTCTGGGATAACTTTGAGACAGAGTCTCGCTCTGTCACCAGACTGGAGAGCAATGGCATGATCTTGGCTCACCACTACCTCCACCTCCTGGGTTCAAACGATTCTCCTGCCTCAGCCTCCCAAGTAGCTGGGACTACAGGCGCTTGCCACCACGCCCAGCTAATTTTTGTGTTTTTAGTAGAGATGGGGTTTTGGCCACTCTTGCCAGGTTGGTCTCAAACTCCTGACCTCAGGTGATCTTCCAGCCTCGGCCTCCCAAAGTGCTGGGATTACAGGTGTGAGCCACCGTGCCGGCCTGGGACAGCTTTCTAAAAATAATTCCAGATTTGGGAATAGGGAGTCAAGAGGCTTGCGGGGGTGGTCAGGCAGGGAACACACAGTATGATCTAGAACTTCTTCCACATCAACTTGCAGCCTACCTCACCAAGAGAAAGATACTTCATGCAGCCCTTCCTGTGCCTGCTTTCCCGGGTTAACACATCCATTTTCTAAATATATCTCCTTTTTATTTGGGAGCAGAAACAGCCCTGCTAATTACCAGAGCCTCACATCACAGGAGATAAGAAACACTGAACAGGAACTAATGTGACTTTGGTGGAGTTCATGATTAGGTTCTGCAATAAAAACTCGAAAGGAATAGAAAATGCATTCACGACTAATTGTGAAATGCCAGCTGCCCATTTTTCTCAGCCTTTCTGACCTCTGACCAAGACCTCTGCTGTGGGTCTACCCCTTTTAAATGTGGATTCCCCAACTATTAATGATCCATTGAAGGAGGACACAATCAATTTCAAAAGAGCACAGGGCTCTCCTCCCAGCATCTTATTGTCAAACACTGACTATCCAGTCACACGAATGTTTTACATGCTAAGCCATCATTTAACGAGGATGCGACTCTCCAGTTTGCTATTACTCTAGTCCAGCTTCAGAGTGTTTGGTCTGGCACACTGAACATGGCTCAGTTTGGTCCCACATGCAGAAACAGGAACGAGGATTCCTGAGTTAAAGAATATAAGATAGTCCCTCATCGTGGGCCTGCAGGCTTTCCAACATGATTCCAGAAAAGGTGGATTTTACTTAAAGGAGCCTATTATGCAAACATCTGCACCTTTGGAAGAAAGAAAAATACGGAAATGATCTCTTTTACTACCTAATGCCTCACTGGGAGAAAAGATACGCCTTCTGGATAATAAAGATCTTAAAACAGATACCAATCAAAGAAATCAACAGCTAACAGCTCTGGCCAACTGTGTTTAATAAATTTTGAGAGAGCCCACTGATAAACCCCCGTAGAAGAAAAAAAAAACCCTCAAAATTTAAAATTTTAAGAGAGAATATTTACTTGGCATGGAAATTATGCCAGACTAAATGGGGAGAACGAGTCAGTGCATAAAATGCTCCCCAACCCTCTACTTGTGAATTAAAAAATAAAGGTTTTCTGGTTTGCTATGTGTAGAGGGAAACTTGAAGGCAGAGCTCCAGGGAAAGCAAAGTTTTCTCTTTGATCTCTTTTCCCCAGTGCCTGGTAGTGGGGCCTCAATAAATGAATGCATTTTTGAATTAATTTCTATTTCATGACAATTTGAATGTTATTGTTGACTTGCTCAAATAAATCTTATCTTCTTGAAATGCAAATTGGATGTCACTCCCTTCCTGAGAACCCTCTGAGGCTGAGGCTTCCTTAGAGTAAAATCCAAGCACCTTATCCTGCCCTGTGAGGCCCGGTATGGCCTGCCCTCCTCCCACAAGTCCGCATTCCTGCTACTCTTTTCATCCCAAGGTATATTTAATATCTTCACTATGAGTTTGGACTAATCCCATTCACTACCCAGGTCTTCTTGGGTGAAAACTGCATCTATCTGATGTGTGTCACTCTGGCTTCAAAGACCCAGAGACAGAACTCACTGTCTCCCATTCATCCCCTGCATGTCAACCGGATCAGTCCCTGTAAAATCCAAATCTGATCATGTCACTTTCAGCCTAAAATCCTCCATCATTTGTCCCTTTCGCCGCAGGAGTATCATGTCTAAGCTCACTCCTTAGCATGCGAGTCCCACCTTTGCTCCTAGTCAAGCCCTGCCATGGCCCCACCCTCGTCTGCTCTAAACTGCACGCACTCCGCTGGAGGTGCCATTAAATGCTTTCTTCCATCAGCTGTTCTCACAAAACCCTTCCTGCCCCGTCCGCGTCTCTGTCTCCTGTCATTCCTCATTCTTGAGAATTTGCTTTGACCTCATGTCCTTCCGAAGGCTGAACCTGTAACATGACCCTCCTCACAAGATAATATAGTCGATTGTTGCAAATCATTGCCCCAGCTAGCGTGTGGACTTTACAAGAACAGTGATAGTGTCCCTTCCTTCATCTCTGGTGCCCCAGAGATGAAGACAGACTTCTTGACTATCCAAACCTGATGAATACTGAGCAAACAAACCATGCAATAATTTTAGACCCTCTGAGTGGCCAACGCCATGCAAGGAGCCTGCAGAGCACGGCCCTGCGGACGTGTGGGGACTGTCCTGTGCACAGCAGGATGTGGAGCAGCATGCCTGACCCACCAGATGGCAATAACAGCCCCAGTTGTGACAACTAAAAACATATGCAGACACTGCCAGGCATCTGCTAGGGGACTGAAGCATCCATGGTTGAGAAAAGCTGTCAGGGGTACATGAGAGATAAGGACAGCACTCATTCCTGCCCTCAGGAGACTTTCCATCTGGCCTCCCTTCTCACGGCCCCTCCCAGGAGGGCCTTCCTGGACCAAGCAGTGTCTCCCACCACCCTATATCTTTTATCGGCTCCGTGTCTATTCCCAGCACTTAGGGCCACCTGATCGTCACATACTCACTAATGCCTGTAGATTGACAGAGCTCCATGAAGCAGGGATTTGGTGGTTGTTTGCTGCTGTATCCCCAGCACTGTGAAATAGTGGCTAACACAAGTTGGGTGCCAGATCAATGTCCTTTGAATGAATCGGCCCCCAGGTTGAGCTGAATCCCTTTCTGATGGAGCTGCCGAGTCTGCACTGCCTGGCGTGGACGCTGGCTCTATGGTCCCCAGATGCTCCCCTGTTTTCCTCCACTTCTCTAGACTGGAAGAGAAGACTCAGCTGGCCAAAAAGCATGCTCCCCCACGTGCTTTTTACCTGGGGGTTTTGCTCACAGGTTATCCGTATTTCATATCCAGAGCAGTCACGCATCTGCTTCAATTAAACAGGAAGCAGTGGGCAGGCCAGAATCGAGATGGGTAACACGGAGGTTGGCTGGCTTCCCAGCATTGCATGACGACATGGGACACATTTGCCTTTATTCCCTGATCATAGGCACCACCAGCTTCCAACCTGCTCCACAGGAACTCAGCCCCCATCACAACATTATTCCCCAGGTATTTCCTGGGAGGCCCAAGGCTGGCTTCACAAGGGCCCCCTGATCAATGTCAGCTTCCATACCATGTGCCAACTGCTGCTGCCTCCTCCCTTATCAGGACCACTGCGGGAGATGTCACCACGGTGACCCACCCCTGAAGACCAGCACTTCCCATGCCACAGTGCTACAGGTGTCAGAGGGGGCCTCTCTTTCCAACTGTGTAATCCTTGGCCACCTGTTCCCATAGCTGTGGTGCTTGCATCCGGGTTCTGACCCAATCGTTTGTGATCAATTTAATTAGCTTCTGGCCTTCACTTTCAATCTTGCAGTCTTTCGTAAAACATGACTTCAATCATTTTCTGTTCTCGAACCCAAGGGTCTTCAACACACTTCAGGGTCCCAGCGTAGGAGGACAACCTGTCCGTATCCCCTCTTTCGCTCCTCTGTCTTCCAGTCCACACCACTAATGCACTTCTTCTTCCTCTCCCTTCTCATTTTTACCAAATAAAAATAAATATCTTTATGCTGATAGCTGAAGGCATATAGATGGCTAATGGGTGGCGGGAGCTGGAATGGATGGTCCCCCACCGTGCCCCTGCATTTGGGGATCTGGTCCCAGAGTGTCACTCACAATGCTCGTCATAGCCAGGGAATCTCAAGTCCTGGGAGTCTGAGCAGTTGCCCCGTTATTTAACTTGTTCCCTGTAAATTCGCTGGGCTGCTGGGCTGGACAAAATGGGTCTAAGGCTCTTGCAGTCCCAATGTATTGCGATGCTTCCGCACCTTGGGAAAGAAAATGCCGCCAAGTAATTTGAAGAATCAGCATGATGAAGTAGACCTGGTTGTAGTTAGACAACTAAAACAGAAAAAAAAGGGTAGCCATCCTGTCATTTATTCATTCCATGGATGTGTGCTAAGTACCGAGTGTGGGCCAGGTGCCACAGGTGCAAAGACCAGTGTGGGGGTGGAGAAGAGAAAATTAAGGAATGTGGGGTTCTCCCACCTGCCAAGATTCAAGTTGAACCTCTTCTGAGGAGTTTGTGCTAATGAAGTTCAGAGAAAAATATGTTTCCATAGCCCTGAGTGAGGAAGCAGCTTTGCTTAGTGGACCAAATAAATAATCAGTCAGAAGCAACTCAGCAGTCTAATCCAGGTATGTAGCTGCCTCCACAAGGTCGTTTAACCTCTTCATGCCTCAGTTTCGCCAGCTGCACCTGACAGATAAGGCCGGGTTGTAATAAAATGAAGTGCTTGGAAATACGAAGAGACGAACTGGAAAAAGTCAGGTGGAGGTGATCAGAGGTGCAGGGGTAGGGAGGGGCTGTGAACAAACCTCGAATTATTTTTTCACAAGCACTCAGAAGACAAGCGTTTGTTTATTAAATTCTGTTTCTCAGAATTCCTATTTTTAAGTGTTTGTGTCCAAGGAGGCATTAGAAAGCAGCCTCAGATGTTTGCTCAGAGTGAAGCAGTTGGGAGAAATGAGATCTTTGACTTTTATTTTGTGTTAGAAACCCCTGCATTGTCTCGCTTGATATTCAAACACACACCTAGCTGGTTGGTATCATTATATTAATTCCTAATTATGAACGAACTGGGGTACAGACAAGTTATAGTAACACAACAGTTTCTCAAACTTGGCTTCACAATGGAAAAACTTGGAGAATTTTATAAACATACTGACACCTGGTCACACTCTGAGACATCCTGATTTAATTGGTTTGGAGTGCAGCTTGGGCATTCAGGGTTTTCAAAGCTCCCCAGATGATTCTAAGGGCAACAAAGTTCAAGAACCACAAATGCTTTGTTCAAGGTCACAGATCTACTAAGGCAGATAAAGCTGGTTCTGCCGACCCCAAGGCTAATTTCCCCTATCAGGAATTACATCAGCCTGTTCCAACTCCAATCTTCTGAGGACATCTTCATCTCTGGCTGAGAAACAAGCAAACACGCAGTAACATGGCATTTAACAGTCATCCAAAGTCTAGGCAGGATGCAGCAAGGAAGCCTGGGACAAATTTGCCTGGCTCTCAGGTGCCACTAATGAAACAAAAAGAAAGCAGTTTGGAAGAGTTGGAATTGGATGGAGAGGGCTTTCAAATGGCACACCGGAGCACCAGGAGAAATAAGCACAGTTGAGGCACATGTTACCCCACCAGAACTGTAACGAAACAGGTTCAAAGGTCATCTTCATCAAGGCCAATTAGTGATCAGGTCAGCTGCCATGATGTTAATACCCAAGAGTGTGATTATTTAGACCTGTGTTCCTCCAACTACAGTGAGCGTCAGGATGACCTGGTGGGCTGGCTAAAACCCAGATGGAGAGACCCACCCCGAGAGTTTCTGATCCAGCAGGCCTGGGAAAGCACCTAACAATTTACATCTCTAACAAGTTCCCAGGTGACGCTGTTAGTCTGGGGCCACAGTTTGAAACTGCCCAGTGAGATGATTCCCTTTTACAGAGAGTTACTGACATTCAACTGTTTACCTGCTAGCTGCTCCCTCACAAGTGCTTTCAACTCCATTGTACTTGCAGGGAGCTTAAACTATAAAACCGATATGTGGCAGGCTGGCTCCCAATTCCGGAACACTTACTAAGTGACTGGGCTGAGTGATAAACACCCACTAATGATAACACTGTTAGGAGATGATACTGTAATCTCACTCTCATTCTAAAAATGAGAAAACAGAGGCTGAGAAGTAACTGGCTAAAGGTGTCAGAGTATTAGAATGAACCATGAAATTGCCAATGTTCACCTCTTTTTCACCTGTAAGAATGGCAATTTCATATGGTTCACGTGATAGGAGAGTCGAGATTCTTCCCTCCGTAGGTCTGGCTCCAAAGCCTGGGCTTTTAACCCAAATCCTTTGTTTTGTCCCACTCAGGGCTCTTGCCTAGGTCACATGTGTGTTATTGATTGATAGGACCCTAATGATGACAGAAGTGAAGATCACAGGTTTGAGAACACAGTCTCCTAGGTGTAAGCCTGTTACCTGCCTTTGGGCAACTAAGCTTCTCACTGACAGGCTCTCACTTGGAACAAAACTGCACTCCAGCAGTCCCACTACTGAGTATCTACACAGAGGAAAAGAAGTCATTATACGAAAAAGATACTTGCACACACATGTTTATAGCAGCTCAATTCGCAATTGCAAAAATATGAAACCAGCCCAAATGCCCATCAATCAATGAGTGAATAAAGAAACTGTGGTGTGTGTATACATACATATATATATGGTAGAATAGTACTCAGCCGTCAAAAGGAGTGAATTAATGGCATTTGCAACAACCTGGATGGGATTGAAGACTATTATTCTAAGTGAAGTAACTCAGGAATGGAAAACCAAACATCATATGTTCTCACTCATAATTAGGAGCTAAGTTGTGAGGATGCAAAGGCAAAAGAATGATACAATGGACTTTGGGGACTTGGCAAGGGGGAAGAGTGGGAAGGGAATGAGGAATAAAAGGCTACAAACTGGGTTCAGTGTATACTGCTCGTGTGATGGGTGCAGCAAAATCTTACAAACCACCACTAAAGAACTTACTCATGCAACCAAACGCCACCTGTTCCCCAAAAACCCATGGAATTAAAAAAATTGCACTCATGTCATCACAATGTGGTAGATGACAACCACCACTCCAGTCCTCTGGCAAGCGGACTTTCCTGTACCAGGGAGCTGGAAAAACTAAAAACTATGTTGACCCAGCTCTCTTGCACCTAGAGTCCTGCTTACGGTCTAGGTTCTTCCTGCAGATGCACCAGCGTGAGACTGGATGGAAGTGAGTGGCGGGAGGCCACAGCTGTGCTTTGCAGATCAGAGGTTCTGAGCTTGGCAAAGTCACCTGGCTCTTTTAGGTAACCCAAGCAGGGCTGCCACATCCAGTTGTGAGCATCAGAGCAAAGTGGCAGGAAGAGCCAGCAGCGACCTTGACTCTTTGCTATGGTTGAAATGCCTGTCACCTCCAAAACTCTTGTTGTAATGTAATAGCCAATGTAATGGTGCTGGGAGGTGGGGCCCTTTAGAGGTGATTAGAGCATGCGTGTTCCACCCTCATGGGTAGGTTTGATGCCTTAATTTAAAAGGCTTTCAGGAATAGGTGCTGTCTTTTGGCCCTTCCACTTTCTGCCATATGAGAATTCAGCCTTCCTGTCTTCTGGAGGGTGCAAGGTGCCAGGCACCATATTGCAAGAAGAGAATGGCCTTACAAGACACCAAACCTACTGGTGTCTTGACCTTGGATTGTCCATCCTCTAGAAATGACAGCCAATACGATTCTCTTCTTTATAAATACCCAGGCTCCGATATTTTGTTACAGCAGTACAAAATGGACTATGACACTTCTCTCTAACAGTGGTTCTCAATTTTGCCCCTTATAGGACAACTGGCAATATCAGCAGACATATCTGATTGTCCAGATTAGGTGTGTGTGTGGGTGGGGGGTGGTGGTACTGGCATCTAGTGGGTAGAGGCCATTGGTGCTGCTAAGCCTCCTACAATTCACAGGACAGCCCCCCATAACAAAGAATCACCCAGCCTCAAATTTCAATAGTGCCACTGTTGAAAAACCTTGCCCTAGAATAGTTTCATATGTGGGTATTTCCTGTAGCACCACCTCATCTGGCCTTGTCAGCTAGGTTACTTGGCACTTTGGGCAATCCTAATGGCTACCTGTACTCTTTAATAAATCTCTTCCTTTGTAAACTAGTTGGAGGTGATTTTGTTGACTGCCACCAAGAACCCTGGCTAAGAAAGGTAGCAATGGGGGAGACCAGAGTAGAGGACAAAGAAGACTTACATAGCATGTCCCTACTAGTGAGGGCTGGGGTCCTTTCCAAGTACAAGTCTAATCAGGTGTAGTACAATCCCATCAAGGTAATATGTGCATCATTTGTTCATAACATGAACGTTTTTATAACCAGGTTAATCACTTAAATAACTCTCTAATATGGGTACATCTATATCTCCCAATCGTCTTATAAGCACTGACATTATGATACACCTATTTCCGCATGACGGCAGCAGCTTTCACTTTAATGTGTATTCTGCCAAATTGTCATGGAGCTACAGATGGGTTAGAATAGGGGTAGAGCCACATTAACAAAAGAAAATATATGAGCAAGGATACCTCTGAATGCCAGTTGTATTTCAATTTTATGACAACATTCTTGACCACAAATTCAAAACTTGACCAAGAAATTGGCTCAAAAAAGAACAAGTTATATAGTATGAAATGTGAGCAAATACTCAGAAGGTGGCAGTGAGGTCCTTTCCATGTTCTGAGGCCAGGAACACAGGTGGTTCCAGTTACCTGTTCTAGAATTGAGTGTGATAGACGTATCAAGGTTATCTTTATGAAGATGAGATGAGACCATCATCTGAGTATTTGGCATGGAGCCTTGGCACACTGTAAATGTTCAAGACATGTTCACCCCAACATTAATAGTAAAAATACATCTTGGGAACCTGTTTAGCCCTCATCTAATTCATCAGTGAAGACAAGATAACCATTTTCATAGGTCTGTGTATGTCAGGGATCTAGGGAATTCTTGGGCACTTAATAGATGCTCAATAAAGTTAGTTTTGCCTCTTCTTCCATATGCTCCTCTCTTCTCCCACCCAGCTCTGACATTCCCAGTTATCTGAGCATCTCCCACTGGACAACAGATCAGTGTGAAGGTCTCCTGCCAAGGACACCTGCCTGCTACCATGGTCTTGGCCATGCTTCCTGTTTTGCCCTGCACCTCCTGCAGAGCCCATCCCAACCGCCCCCCCACCGTCTTCCTCCCCCACTCGCCTAACAGATGGTCTCCCACTCCACTCCCGTCATCCCATATTGGCAAATTTGCAGCCAGTAGATCATATTCACAGTGTGAGGGAATCATTACCACCTGCTAATATTTTTATAGAATTTCATAAACTTGGTCATTCATGAATCATTTACAGTACTTTATTCCAGTGAAGAGTTCACATATCACTCAAATGCTGGCAAAATGCATAATAATGAGTAATATTTCAGGAGGCTTTGCATTAGTATGTCAGCTTCCAATACTGCAAGAGATAAATTATTTTGCCAGGTGCTACTTTGGGTCAGAAGCTGGGGAAGTTTTTCTGGGGGCTGGGGCAGGGAGGAGTGGCAAGATGGCAGTGGGTCACGGAAATGGATGGTTTTTAAAAAGTAATAGATCACCCAGCCAGCCAAACTCCCTTCCCAGCCCCGGTAAGCAGAGTTCCTAGGAAAGGAGCTAAGGAATTTGCAGATTAGATATAAAATCTAGCTGGGGATAAAATAGGAAGAGTGTTTCTTAGTGATTGAAAATGTGGGGCTTTGGAGCTGAAAAGAAATGGATATGGATCCCAAATCCAATACATGCCAGCTGTGAGACCTTGAAAAAGTTGTTTAACAGCTATTTGCTTATCTGTGAAATGGTGTTAACACCTACTTCTTAAGTCTCTTGTGTGAAATGGATTAAATAAGAGAATTATACAAAGTGTTTAGCATAATATCTGCCATGCAGTGTTCAATAAACAGGAGCTTCAATGGTGATGCACTTTCAGGGGCCCAAGGACAAATGTATTCCAGATTATTTCTTATCATACAAATCCCTGAGGTTTAGATCAAAATATTTCTTGTTGGATTTGGAAAACGTTAATACATCAACACGTACTTGCATGTGAGCAGCACTTAACTTTAAACAACAGAAACATTGGCGCTATTATGATGACAACACATTCACCTGCAGGCTCTCTCCTTTTTTTTTTTTCTTTTTCTTTTTTTTTCTTGCTCTGTTTTTCTATTTTTATTTTTATTTATTTATTATTTTTTATTATTATTACACTTTAAGTTCTATGGTACATGTGCACAACGTACAGGTTTGTTACATATGTATACATGAGCCATGTTGGTGTGCTGCACCCGGCTCTCTCCTTTTTAAACTTGCAAGACTAGAAACTAAAATGTGAGGATTTGGAGACCCAGGATTCTCCTCTTTGAAGAACCACATTTGCTCCCAACCGTGTTGACTACCATGAATACCATGGATCTAGCTGTACTACTAAAATAGTAACTTATTCTTAAACAGGCACTTGGAATGAACGGAAATTGCAACATTCCTGTGCCCAAAGTAGACCAACATGAGAGTAACCCAGTTCTCATCATCTAAAAATAAAGAACCGCAGAATGATCGGGGCTCTTCCTCAAACTTGCTTCTTCAAGGAAGAAGCTTCAGCAACTGTAAGAAGCTTCAGTGCGGGTATGATGAAAACAGGACAATGACCGAACTGAAGTGCATGAAGCACGGAGGGAAACGGCATCAGAAAGTAGGCCCTCATGAGCCCATTGAAGAGTGCGCTGCCAAGGGCTGGGCCCCAGTCTGCCAGTCGTAAGTAACCCAAGTACTTGTGTAAGAAACTGCATTCCCACTAAATACCAGTACCCTTTCCAATGAGGGTATATGACCCTGTGCTGGTGTTATCAACAAGCCATGTTACAAACCAGGCACAACTTCCTGCCATGTCACCTACACACAGAAGAGAGGAATTCAAGCCAGTTTATTCCGAAACAAAGAACTAGAATAAAAGATACATGAAAGCAAGGAACCCAGTGTGTCTTGTTGCTACTGTATCCTCCGAACACCTTGAAGCGTGTCCCTTACCCTATAAGCACTCAATTAAATGTATGTAAAATGAATGAATTGCTCAATCAATCCATATGCTATGACATAGACTATAAAAGTATAGTAAAAACTCAAGACTACTCAAGGAAAGTTTGTGCTGGACATGAGAGATTGGGCTATAACTTGGAATCCTTTGGGTTTTCACTTACCTTCCTTCACCTTTAATATCATTGATTATTGTCACCCATGTAGGAAGATTATATGATGCTTACTATGTTTCCAGCATTTTCTAAATGCTTCATATGTATTAACTCATTTAATCCTTATGAAATCCTATGACATCATTATTATTTTTCCCATTTTCCAGGATAAGAAGTTGAGGCAGACAATTTGTCAAGTTTCCACACCTAGTACATGATAGCCATGATTTGAATGCAGCCAATCTGGCTGTGTGCAGAATCCATGCTTTTAACTACCGTAATATTATATGGCCTCAGTTTTTAAAAAGTATGGGAAGCTCCAAGCTGCAACCGAAGCTCTGTTTTATTAGCTGTTTAGCAATTACTAGTTAGCAAAAACTAGTAATTTCATTTTTTATAATCCTCAGAAGCGTTAGCTGTAATCATACTTTATGGACAAGAATCCCAAGATCAGGGAGGGTAAGAGTGTTGCTCAAGGTCCCACAGCTCAGTACGCAGCAGCACTGAGACCTGAATGGAGGATCTCAGATGCTGTATTAGTCCGTTCTCATGCTGCTAATGAAGACATACCCGGGACTGGGTAATTTACAAAGGACAGAGATTTAATGAACTCACAGTTCCACATGGCTGGGGAGGCCTCACAATCATGGCAGAAGATGGAGGAAGAACAAGGGGACTTCTTACACGGTGGGCAAGAAAGCATGTGCAGGGGAACTCCCATTCATAAAACCATCAGATCTCATGAGACTTATTCACTATCACGAGAACAGCACGAGAAAGACTCACCCCCATGACTCAATTACCTCCCACTGGGTCCCTCCCATGACACGTGTGAATTCTCAGAGCTACAATTCAAGATGAGATTGGGGAGACAGCCAAACCATATCAGATCCCACAGCTCTTGATCACTCTGTTAAGAAATTATGAAATTTATTGTATCTTTCCTTAGTTTTTTGTGCCAGAACTTTCTTGGAGACTCCCATGATGGGCACAGAAAGACAAGAGGGCATCTATCCATAGTCTGCTGCTGGTTGTTCCTACAGGAGCTGGACCCCAATAGCTGCCAGGTCACCTCTGGTTACTGTCAAGGCCAGCTGGAACTGGGTATTTCTGAGGTCACCAACATTCAATTTATACAACTACCTGATTCCCCCTTGAGTATAAGTTGGGACTCATGGCTCACGTTTCAGTTCTCATTGACAGGTGACTCCCCCAGCAAATGCTCAGAAAAGGCTTTGGCAAGGCTTCCGAGATGGACATCTGGAAAGCACCCGCATCCTCCCAGGGCCTGAGACCCTTGAGCGCATTGCCCAGTAAGGGTTCTGCTGGAGGGTGGGGACTTTACTACCTACCATCATGCTACTGCTCTATGTCTGTCCAGCACTTTATGCCTCCAACGCCCTTATAGTATCTTCTCACTTCAAACTCACAATAATGCATTTAAGTAGGTAAGAAAACCAAATCAATCAATCAATCAATCACTTCCAAATACAACCATTAACCCACTGATTTTTCTTTATCATTTTTGTTAAACATATACACCTCATGATATGTGCAAATACTCCATTGGTAATGAGGATACCATATGTGTCTGTATGTTGTTTTCATTCAATATCTTGAATCTCTCCCATATAACACAACTTCTTCAGAAGCATTTTAAATGGCTAGAGAAAACTGCCTTGCAAAATCTGCCATAATTTAACTACTCCTTTATGGCTGAATATTTAGCAACTGTTTTCACCCTAAGGACCATGTCTTGCTAATTATATCAGGTCTTGGGGTTTATACCTCTTCCAGCTCTAGATCATCAAGCTGGTCTCTGGAAAGCCAAAGTTGCCCTAAGGGTTCTGACCTCCTCTGAGATGCCCCCAGGGTCTCCCTTCTTGGTCTCTGGTACCCAAAGTCTGATGCAGGCCTGGAGGGCTCTACTGATGAGATAAAGACCCCCCACTGTTGCCCTGTCAGGGTTCAATTCCATCCACTTCAGCTCCCACAGAAACACCCTAAAGCCATGCAGTCCCGGGTTTGATGAGGCACAGAAATAATGAGCTCAGTGGGAAGAAAACAATCTTTGAAAGCCACATTTCTGCGCACAGGGTGGGCATGGGAGAGGGGTACTCACTTGATAAACAGCGATTACTTCTCTGTCCAAGGTCCGTGTCACGGAGACGCTCCCTGTGTTCTCATTGATTCTGAAAATTCCTTTAGGCTCTTGATCCACTCCCTTTCCAGTGAGCCGGAACTTGGACCTTTCTGGCCTGTCACTATCGACTACCTAGTCAGAAAAACAGAGAGACATTTAAAACTGCCTGGAAAACACAGAGAAAGCACATTGCAAACATACTCCCATGAGCAATTCACTAATCACAGGTGCCAGCACATGGGTACCTGGTGAACACAGATTTGACTAAAGTAACAGCACCAGAAATAGCATCACTGCCTAACGCCTTTCATCCTAATATCCACGTCTTTGCAGCTGGCAGCTGAGGAAGCTTACCAGCACTCGGGTGACATACAGTGATGGATCAAGGAGGGCAATAATGCCAGTTCAGTCAAAGTTGGACATTTTATTATTTTTAACTCCACGAAATATATTTTTTTCAAAAAAATATTTATCTGCAAACAAAACAAAAAAGGTAATGGAAGCCATTTGCTGCGCATGCATTGATCAAGATTCCAGGTATTTACATATATCCACTAATCCAGTGTCACCTGCCCTGTCACTTCTACTAGGTACTAGGCATGGTGCAGAGGAAGCACTTTGTCTCATCAGAAAAGGTTTATACATATACATATATACACATATATACACATACACACATCTATTTAGGGGGCTTATATATATAATATGTATATAACCCCTAAATATTATATATATCAAACCCCTATATATTAAATATATATGCATCAATATTATATATAGATACCTCAATTTAGGGGTTTTATATATGTGAAACCCCTAAATATGATATATAATATATATATTAAACCCCTATGTATTATATATATTAAACCCCTATGTATTATATATTAATATATATATTAAACCCTACATATTATATATATTAAACCCCATTATATATATTAAATATTACATATATTAAATCCCTATGTATTAAATATATATAATAAATAAAATATATATGTTATATATAAACCTCAAATTAGGGTTGTGTATATATATATATATATATATATATATATATATATATATATATATATTTCAATGCTGGAGGCAGAGGACATTATTATTTCCACTTAATGGATGAAACCACTGAGATAGAATGAGTCAGCAAGCTGGCCATGGCCAAAGCTATGAAAGAGATAAAAATGGGTTCAGAACCACATCTTCCATTCTCTAGAGACACTGCAATACAACATACAACACTGTCGTTTCTGAATTTACTTTATGGAATTTTCCTACAAATTGTCGACCTTGATTTGACATTTGAAGAATAAATTTGGAAGGGAAAGGTGGAGGAGAGTAGTTCCAGGCAGAGGGAACAGCACAGACAAAGGCAGCAGGCAGACAAGGAAGAGTCTGGAAAGTTTTGCAAATCGTGAGTTACTGGCATATGCTTAAGCATGTAGAGGGTTAGGCTGAGAAGCAGTTGGGGTCAAAGTATGGGGGGTGGTCTTTTTATGTAGATGTGCAACTAAAGAGAACTATTATTGGCATAAGTGGAATCTAGAGTTTACCCTCAAGTATTCATCTATATTTATGTCACTTTATCATCAGAACCTTCAAACGTTAATTTGATTATAACAAAACAATTGAAAGGTCATGAACACAATAATCATTCAGGACACACAGATAAAAGAAAGCTGATACAGATCTAGCTGTCACCAAATTACAAACGAACAGGCACCTGTTGACACATACTCAACAGCGCCTGGAGGGTTTAGGTGGCTAAGACAGGAAACCTGCCCTCTCCTAATCAAAATGGGTCCTGCCCGCCCCCTGCTCCACCACCCCACCACCCCCGCCACTTTAGCTGCCGCCAAGCCTGCAATTCCGATGTCTGACACCAGGTGGCAATGGTGCCTAAGGCAGCATGAACTTTACGCCAGGGTTCATCTGGCAGGATCACTCAAGGCATTACAGGTTTTTTTTTTTTCCGATTAAAAAATGTTGTTTATTAAAATACACTGAGTGTTGACTAAACACCAATTACATATGTTTGTATTTTTAAGAGTAACTGAAAATTGGATACAAAAGAAAATTAAAAATAAACTATGTGGGCCGGGCGTGGTGGCTCATGCCTGTAATCCCAGCACTTTGAGAGGCCAAGGTGGGCGGATCACTTGAGGTCAGGAATTCAAGACCAGCCTGGCCAACATGGTGAAACTCCGTCTCTACAAAAACTACAGAAAATTTAGCTGGGCGTGATGGCGCACACCTGTAATCCCTGTTACTCTGGAGGCTGAGGCAGCAGAATCGCTTGAATCTGGGAGGCATAGGTTGCAGTGAGCTGGGATTGCTCCACTGCACTCTAGCCTGAGTGACAGAGTAAGACTCCATCTCAAAAAAAAAAAAAAAAAAAAAGAGGTGTTTGATACTCTCTGATGAAAATAATTTTCAGTCATTGCTTGACTTGATTAATCCAACTGATACTTTTCCACTGACCCCTCTACTTGCTGCCTGGAAGCCCCATGAGGTCAAGAGCCACAGCTTACTGGGCTCACCATTGGATCCCTGTGGCTGGCAAGTAGCGAGAATGAACTCCACGGATTAGACAGCTATATGTTGCAATCCTAGCTTTCCCAGTGATCCACTGTGTGAGTATGAACACGGTCCATCGCCTCATCTTTAAAGTGCAGATGACACCACTTACTTCCCAGCATTGCCGAGGGTTTAATGAGATGGCATCTATAAAGTACATGTCCTGCCACACAGAAGGAGCTCAGTTAATCAAAGCTAATAATTCCAATATTAATCATCACAATAAAATTACACTGTTGTTAATGGGTAAGAATGGTATCTCTATCCTTTTCTGAGGGAATAGGTGGTTTCCTCTTTTTTTTTTTTTTTTTTTTTTTGAGACAGAGTCTCACTCTGTCACCCAGGCTGGAATGCAGTGGTGCAATTTCGGCTCACTGCAACCTCCGCCTCCCAGGTTCAAGTGATTCTCCCACCTCAGCCCCCTAAGTAGGTGGAACTACAGGCACACGCCACCATGCCTGGCTAATTTTTATATTTTTAGTAGAGATGGGTTTTCCCCATGTTGGCCACGCTAATCTCGAACTCCTTACCTGATGTGATCCACCCGCCTCAGCCTCCCAAAGTGCTGGGATTACAGGTGTGAGCCACCACGTCCGGCCTAGGTTTCCTTTTTAATAACAAAATTCACAGGCCTCCCAGAAGAGAAGTGCTCTGGAAACAGCTCCCTGCGTGGGAAGGGGTCACCAAGCACACTCACCTCTTCTCTGTCACTGTGGTCATTATTGCTTCACCCCTCTCTGCCAGCAGCAGTATTTACTGTGAAGAGCGAAAGAACAAAGCTTCCACGGTGTGGAAGGGGATCCGAGCAGGTTGTCGCTGCTGCCTTGGGGGTGGCCAGCTTTTATTCCCTTATTTGTCCCCACCCATGTCCTGCTGATTGGTCTATTTTACAGAGTGCTGATTGGCCCACTTTACAGAGTGCTGATTGGTCCATTTTACAAACCTCTAGCGAGCCACAGAGTGCAGATTGGTGCGTTTTTACAGAGCACTGATTGGTGCATTTTACAAACCTCTAGGTAGCTACAGAGCACTGATTGGTGCATTTTACAATCCTAGCTACAGAGTGCTGATTGGTGCATTTTACCATCCTCTTCTAAGAAAAGTTCTGCAAGTCCCCACTCCACCCAGGAAGTCCAGCTGGCTTCACCTCTCATTACCACCTTTGCCCAAATATGGATTAAAACTCCTTCCTCTTGTTCTCCTAAGCACACCTGAGATGAGCAGGTCCTTTTTGAAGATTCTATTAACATACAATGCATTCTGACGAGCAACGAACATGGGAATTCTACAAGAGCTATGAAGCAATCATGCTTCCCAAGAATGGGCTTCTCTGACCCATCTATCTGCCAGACACAGGCCCCGCTGGTGAAGACCTGCCAGGAAAAGCCTTCCGGGCTGTTAGTTATCTTTTCTTGACCCTTCTCTGCTCAGAAAAAGTTGGGAACACAGCACCCAGACCTTCTAGAAGAAACAAGGAGGGGGTGGGGGAATGGGCCTCTTGGGACAAACATCACCACCCTCCCGTTTCTCTGCCTGCCACTCGGCACAGAAAGCTGAATTCTAGACCCAGAAATTATCCCAGGGTGACTTTCCCTTCTGCTGCCAAGGGTGGGTCTCAGTCATTTTCTTGCCCTCTCTCAGAGAGCTTGAGCCACTTGGTGGTACAGACACAAAGGTCTTAGAGGCAGGACCTAGCTGAGTTGGCTCCTGCTGCTGAATTGAAATTACTTATTCCCCAGGAAAGAAGCCAGTCCCCATTGTGAGGGCCCCAGCTTAGCACTGCACACGTCTGTCTCTCTTCTGTCTCTCTTCAACTTTTTATGTTCTTAAGGATGTGGCTGCTGAACCTGCCTCCTGCTCCTCAGAGCTATGTTCACTTTGAAGAAACACCCACAGCCAAGAATGGTGTTCCCAGAGTGAGAGGCCCTATGGGACCACCAGCACAGGGAAATGGTGGGTGTCACTTCCAGTAGGGGCCTTGCTTTCTCTAGACTAATTGGTCTCAAGATATGATTCACTGGAACAGTATCAGCATCACTGGGAACTCATTAAAAACGCAAATTCCCAGGCTTCCCCCAAGCCTCTTGTATCAGAAATCAGGGTAGGGGGAGAATTGCTGGCAATCTGAGCTTTAACAATCCCCCCTCCCCAGGTGATTCTCACGCATACCCAAGTTTGAAGACCACTGCTTTGGGCAGCTTTCAGCACCATCCCTGTTGAGTATCACTGATGCTGGTTTCCACCGCTACTGTTTGGAGCCCTCTGCTAAAAATAGGCTGGGTCTGTTTGCCACCTTCTTTCTAGACCTATTTTAAACATATAACACTAACAGGAAGTCTTTTAAAAACCTGTTTCTAAGACCTCAGAAAGCAGAGTTGGTTTTTCTTAAAGTCACTAGATGCAACATCTCTACGTGTGTTAAAGGCACCCCATGGCTTGGAGGAAGCTTGGCGAGGAAAGCATGAAAGTGGAGTGGGGAAAGTCCCTCTTCAGGGGAAAGCTCAGTGTCTTGGCTTAGTTTAGATCCAGGAGGAAGCTCAAGCCCTTCTGAATTACCCACCACCTCTCTGGCTTCTTGGTGCCTAGCTGGGTTTTCAGAGGGACCCCAGCATATTCCAACTTCACGAACTGGGGGATGGGAGGTATGCAATGACCATAACCCAAGGATACACTCAGCCATGCTTCAAAACCACTCCATGCAAATCAAGTGTGTTTCCAGACCACCTTGATTATGCTGTGCTCAACTCCTGGGAACTCCACAGCTGCAGCAGCTGAGCCTGCAGCCCTTTGTTGTTGTTTAATGTCAAGAAATATAAGAAATCCAGTGCACTCCTCTGGCCAAAGCAAACCCTGCCACGAGTCTCGACTGTTGCAGCAGCTGTTAAGGCCCATTATATACTCCATAGCAGGGCTTCACAGTTAGCGAGAACTTCCTATTATTCTTTGTAATTCCACACTTCTTTTCACAGTGGGATGTTTTTTTTTCTTGTCCTCTGAGTTGGAATGGAAAAAATAGCTAAGGATGAGAAAGAACATGAGCCCCTGGTGTCAACACTCTGGAAGGGCATGTAAATAGCACACAGGAGTCTTGCCTCATACCTGGGTAAAGAGACTTCCTGGCTGGCTGTTTGGGGGGGGGAGGTGGGCGTCGCATAGCTGGGACCAGTGTCTTCTGCATCCGGGCAGGGGCAGGGAGTACTGAGGCCTGGAGCAGGTAGTGACTCCTTGATTTGATTTTAAGGGTGTTCTCACGGTATGCCTTTTACAGATGTGACACAATATGGACAAAGCCAATGTTCCATTCAGTTCCCCTGCAAAGTCCCATGCCTACCTCTATTCTCAGCTGTAATGAATGATACAATGTGGTGTGTGTTTTTAATGTATTTGCATACATATGAACTCATAGACTATATAGCAGCTTTGAGTGGTTTTACATAAATAAGGTCATTATATATGAATTATACAATTATTTCTACTCAATGTGGTTGAGGTTGAGGTTTGTATGTGTATATGTGTGTATTCATTTATAAACTTCGGGTGGTAATTTTAGATTTACAGAACTATTACAAAGATACTACAGAGTTCCCATGTACCCTTCATCCAATTTCCCCTAATGTTGACATCTTACGTAAAAATGGAACATTGGTCATAACTGATAAATTAACACTGATACTTGACTATTAACTAGACTCCAGATTTTATGTATTCAGATTTCATCAGTTTTTCTAGTACCTTTTTTTTTTTTTTTTGAGATGGAATCTTGCTCTGTCACCCAGGCTGGAGTGCACTGGTGTGATCTTGGCTCACTGCAACCTCTGCCTCCTGGTTTCAAGTAATTCTCCTGACTCAGCCTCCCAAGTAGCTGGGACTACAGGTGCGTGCCACCACGCCCAGCTAATTTTTGTATTTTTAGTAGAGACAGGGTTTCACTGTGTTAGCCAGGATGGTCTCAATCTCCTGACCTTGTGATCTGCCTGCCTCGGCCTCCCAAAGTGCTCGGATTAGAAGCATGAGCCACCACGCCCGGCCTCTAGTAACCTTTTTTTTTTTTTAATCCAAAATCCAATCCAGGATCCCCCACTGCCATGTGTGACTGTGGCGTTTCGTTGTATATTTTGGTACTTCCCTGTAGGTTCTCACTTTCTTGAATTGCACTTTAATCGGTTACTCTTTTTTCCTTGTATAGAAAATGAATTTGAAGTATCAGAATGACAGAGTTGCCAAGTTCTGCAAGTCATTGTCCTCCTCCCACACTCTGCCAACCTCTATCCTCTGCTCCTTAACCCAGATCTCAAGTAGCTACTTTGTCTGCTTTGTCCTCAGAGCCTAGAACAGTATGCCGTACGTGGTGGGCTTTTAAATAAACATTGCATAATGAATACGTAAATGAATATTAAGTAGTCTCTTCCCTGGCCTCCATGTTTCTGATTTCTCTTTTATCCCATCTCCTGTCCTAATTGCAACCAGAATGGTCATTCTAAAATGCAAACCCACATCTGACTGGGGCAGTACCCATATGAAAACTTGCAATCGGCCTGGCACAGTGGCTCATGCTCATAATCCCAGCACTTTGGGAGGTTGAGGAAGGTGGATCACCTGAGGTCAGGAGTTCAAGACCAGCTTGGCCAACATGGTGAGACCCCGTCTCTACTGAAAATACAAAAACTAGCTAGGCGTGGTGGCAGGCGCCTATAGTCCCAGTTACTCGGGAGGCTGAGGCAGGAGAATCGCTTGAACCCGGGAGGCAGAGGTTGCAGTGAGCCAAGATCACACCACTGCACTCTAGCCTGGATGACAGAGCGAGACTCTGTCTCAAACAAACAAACAAAAAACACCCCATGAAAACTTGCAATGGCTCCCTCTGCCAGAGGGTAAAATCTCAGAGCTCTTCTTTGATGGGTCTCCACCTGCTTCTCCAGTCCGAAGCCACAACCCAGCATGAGGCACAGCCCTCTGAGCTGTGCCTTTCTTTAGCTGGATGGCCATCCCCCACCTACTCTGCTGGGGATGCCCTCATCTTCCTGGACTTGGTGCCGGCGATTACTTACCCACTGAACCTTCCCCTGACCCTTTCTCCTGCCCACTCCATGCAGACTTAACCTCATCCACCTGAGCTCTAGCCCTCCTCGCCTGCAAGGTCTGTTAAAGCTAGGGGAGCACCTTGCCTCTTGGTGGGTGGTGGTAACTGTCCCTCAGGCTGTTGCTTTCTTATTCTCTTTCACATTCCCAGGGCTTGGAACATAGAAGACACTTGATTAACACTCTGAGTGAAGAAGTACAACTTTATTTGCCTGTTTTTATATGATTATAAAATGCTTCATAAACTCACAAATTAAAAATAAGGTCTGTCATACAAACCTCCTTTTTCTTTTTCTTGGAAAATGCAGCCACTTTACCTGGAGACACATTTTCAGACCTTTATTTCTCTTTTTACAATTCCCCTGCATGGTAAATGCACCTGATAGCAATAACTTATGCATACCCTGAAAATGACTCTGTGTGGAGGATGCACCCGGATGTCTGTTCCAAGCTAGGAAATCTGGGAGTGGCCGACCTGGAGGCTCCTTCCTTGTCTATGAGGAACATCTGAACCCCTGGCCTGTCCCATGGAACATGGACGGCAGATCCAGGCCCTGACTCATAGGTGGAATGAAAGTTGCCAGGTGAAGGATGTTAGGGAAAGGGTGCTAACTGAAAATGCTATATAAACTGCATGCCTTTTACAGGTGGTTGTGGTTCTCCTGTTCAGCCTGCCACCACTGGATTCCCCTGTATGGAAGCATCCAATAAAACCCCTCGTCTCATCGCTGGCTCCAGGTCTCCTCTTTGGCATCTTGAACCTGCTGCCACCCCCACTGGAGTTGATAGGGGTTCAGCAGAACATCCCCATAGTGAACTTCCCAGGCAGTGGTAATGCTTAGGAGTTGAAAAGGGACTTAATACCCTCCCTATCCTTATAATTTGCAGGGGTCCCTTTAAATGGAGACCCTCCAAGTGAACACTGCTTGTGAGGCAAGGCAGCTTCTAGATAAATAAATTCTAGTACCCTTTCCCTGTCACATCCAACCAGATTGATGCGCCTAGTTTTCCTCTATGTAGAAAATCAAGGGACACATTTTCAGAGGATGATAACTATACATATGCATTATTATCACAAGGGTGCAAAACTAGGAAATAATTAGACCTTCCTTCCTGGCTACCAAAGCGAACAAATCACATGTGAACAGCACTGGTCTTTAGAGGATGAAGGTAGGTGTAATACTTTTTCCTTCACCTTATAATATTTTCAGTTTTATAAAATGAGCCTATATTACTTACACAGGAAAAGACAACTTTTAAAAACATGTAAGAGGAATTATTGGAGTTACATGCATATGCTAATTTAGAAGATGTTTTCTACTCTACGTTAAATAGGAAAAAAAAAAACACTGTTGCCTTTACCTATAGCTGTTCAGAGGCATTTGTGTTTTATCATTAGATTGCTTCTGTAAGGTAATCTGTAAGCATTAATTAATTCTCAGCTGTGGGTTAGTCCTTGCCATGCCTTTGAAATTGAAGACACAGCCATTCAGCAGTCTGGGTAGCTGGAGTACCATGCTTTTCTCTCACCCTTATGCTGCTCAACCATGTTCAACCTCTAGGTCATAAATTAGCCAGGGAACTAAGGAAAGCTCATGGCCAAGAGTCCCCATACCCTGGTGAAGAAACATGGAGCCAAAGTTCTCGCAATCCACTGAGAAGGACAGAAGCTCCACACCCACCTTATCAATCAGCAGTGCTCACGCCACCTAGGGCTGTCTGTGTTCATCACCAAGGTCAAATGGAGCTCCCATCATCCCAGGGAAGGCGCTAAGGTTACAGGCAAGATGGAGCACTTGGGAAGAAAAATAAAACTCCAGCAACACACAATGAGGGGATCTGAATCTACCATCCAGATCCTTCATCTTTTAGTGGTCATTTTGCCAGTCTGGTTTCCTTCTTATATAGCAGACTCTTAAGATTATGCTTAAGTCTAACTTAAACTGAGCTCTAAGGAAGTCAATGTTCATTGTTGGGTTTTTTGCATTATTTTCTGAGAGTGTGCCCTTTTTTCTGGTTATTTTCACTAGGCTTCAGTCTTTTTTTTTTTTTTTTAAGGAGAGTATTTGTTAATTTCTAAGTATTTGCAGGGGTTTTATTTTTTTCCAAATAATTATATACTAATGTGGCTAATAACAGTTCTACCTTTGAATGTTATTTTAAAACTTATTATTGGCCAGGTGCAATATCATCTTTACTAAGTGACCCATAGACACACGGAAAGAATAAGCATTCTGTAGGATTTCTCACAATAGCCAAAATGTGGGAACAACTCAGGTGTCCATCAACAGATGAATGGATTTAAAAAAGTGTATGTGTACCTATATGTGTACATATGTAAAGATTGTATGTGTCTACATGTGTGTAAATATAAAGAAATACTATTTAGACTTTAAAAGGAAGGAGATGCTGATACCTATTGCAACACAAATGAACTTTGAGGACATTATGCTAAATGAAATAAGCCAGTTACAGAAGAACAGATATTGTCTGATTCCACTTACAAGAGGCACCTGGAGTTGTAACATTAATAGAGACAGAAAGTGCAACAGAGGATTCCAGAGGCAGTGAATGGGGAGTTAGCATTTAATGGGTATAGAGTTTAAGGTGAGGAAGATGAAAACGTTCTGGAGATGGATGGGGATGATGGTTGCACAATAATGTGGATGTACTTAATGCCACTGCCATGTACATTTTACCACAATTAAAAAAAATAGTATTTTCTCTTTGTAGGCCACATAGTTCCATATTTATCTATCTTTTCTAGTATTAACTGATTAAACTATTCAGATCCTCTATGTCCTTGCTTTTATGTTGCTTTCCAGATCTGTCACATTCCGAAGTATTTTAGTCTGAGTACAGGTGATTTTATCCAGTCCTCCCTTAATGTGTTTGTTTGTTTAACCTACTGTGGTTTGAATGCACAGAGAAGGTCAAGGCCCTTTTGTGAATTGTAGGCACTAGGAGGCTCTGTAAAGAAAAATACTCTGGTCAGTGTCCTTGGTCTCTTGATTGGAGAAAATAATGGGTCCCCCCAAGTCAAATTCCTCCAGTATATAATTTTGAAATTTTCTAGCTCACCCACACAACACAACTGTTGAAATGTTATGTAACTCTTGTGGTTTAAGAGCCATCTCTCTGATTAGACTCTGTGGTCCTAGGAGCAGTGGCCACGTCTGATTGTATTCGCTGGTATCCCACAGAGCCAAACCCAGTTTCTGGCACACAGTGATTCCTCAAACATTTGTCATCTAGTGAATGAATGTATCTCGACATTTTCCTAAAAGGACAAAACTGTCGGGTGCATGTGAGAATGCCTGGCATGCTGATCTTGGAGCTGGGCATGAGATCCAGGGCACAGCTCCTCAGGGATCTGCCATTGCAGCACGTCATGGGTGACACTGGAGGAGGTGTGCAGTGGATCTCATGCCCAGCCCCTTGGCCTGGGGACATGAGATGTGCATGAGAAGCTGCAATATGAACCTTCATGAGATGAAGATGAAGATAGCATGAGATGGTGCAGAGGGAAGTCTTAGGTGAATTCTGAGATTGTCAGAGAAATCACGGCCAGAGGGCTTCGTAGGCAATCAGTACTTGTGTTTGTTTTTGAGAAGATGGTTGTGATATTAAGAAGCAGACAGAGAGAGAAGGGAAAAGCTGCCGAAAGTCCTCCTCCCCTGGTTGAGGTAAATTTCCTCATAGGACCCATAGGCCATGTATGAGTCACCCTTTCATGCCTGTCCTTCCCAAAGCACACCAGGCCACCCCGTAATGAAATATGTAACCAGCACAAGGCTGTTCTCACTGTAAGAGCTCAGTCTATGCCTGTTAATAATATATCCCAACCTACACTGACATTCGCTCAGCCTCATGGTCAGTTTCTCTCTCATGATTTTGAATAAGATGTTTTCCTTTGGCCGGGCACCGTGGCTCACACCTATAATCCTAACACTTTGGGATGCCGAGACGGGTGGATCACAAGGTCAGGAGATAGAGACCATCCTGGCCAACATAATGAAACCCCGTCTCTAGTAAAATATAAAAAATTAACTGGGTGTGGTGGTGCACACTTGTAGCCCCAGCTACTTGGGAGGCTGAGGCAGGGGAATCGCTTGAAATCAGGAGGTGGAGGTTGCAGTGAGCCAAGATCACGTCACTGCACTCCAGCCTGGCAACAGAGCAAGACTTTGTCTCAAAAAAAAAAAAAAAAAAAAGGTTTTCCTCTTGGGCACCATTTCTTGTAACATATGATCTCCCCTCAACTTCTTTTCTTGCATTCAAAATACTTATTGATCATTTCTGACTTCCAGAGTACTCATGGCCTTCAAGGGACCACTGCTCAATAAACTCTATGAACCTCATTTTACATAACATGGGAGATGCGCTGAAAGATGCCTCAGCAGATTGGAGGAGGAGGAGTCATCTTTGGGTCATTCAATCATTGCATTTTATTTGCTGGGCCCAAACCCCCCAAATTGCCAATCAGTACCATAATTTTACATCCCTTATTGTCCCAGTGAATAACTAGGTATTTGTAAGTGTCTCTTTCTGAATTTCTGATTTCTTAATGCATGCTGTGTGTTTCACTCTCCTGATCACTGAGCCCTTTGAAAACACTCTCCTTGGCTTTGCCTTTGGTTGTTCTGCTTTAAGTCAAGGTGGCTCCTGGAATCTCTGGTGAAAACCCTGGATCTCCTGTACCTCCCATCTCTTCTATTCACAGATCAGATTTATGGTATCAGAAAGTAATCATGGTGGCTGCCTCAGCCCCTGTGGGCTCCTATCCTTCTGGGCACACAGCAGTGTTCTTCCTTGGCCATTTGGACCTGGATGTGGCCATGGGACTTGCGTTAGCTAGTGAAGTGTAAGTGAAAGTGATATGTGTCACTTCAGTTAATTGTGGGCGAAAGCATTAGGAACTCTAGTGTGCCTAGATACATTCCCTTTTCCTTCCTCATGGTGACCAGCAATGTTCCAAATTGTAGTGACTTCATGGACCTGGGTCCCAAAGAAAGGACAATGACAACGAGGAACACAGTTCCCACCTAACCTTCTGAGGGCATGGAGCTTAATCAAGCTTTTGTTTTTTTGATCAACTGAAATTTGGGGTTTCTTGTCACCAAAGCCTAACCTATCCTGATTAACACACACAGTATTTAGCAGAGCAGGGTTTAGAGACACATAAAAACGCATCTGCATCCCAGTTCAGGGCTCACGGACAACGTGGACTTATAGAAAGCTGTGTGGCCTCTCTGAGCCTCACTCCTGTCTTCTGCACAATGGAAAATAATGGAAAGGCTCATGGTGAGTGAATGACCTGAGACATAGGAAATGCTTAGGTACATAAATATGCTCAACAGTTTAAAATGATGGTGATGATGACAATGACAGCTGCTACCATTTACTGAACACTGACTCCGGCACATGCTATTCTTAGCATTTTACAGGCACAACAATTCTATGAGGTAGGTATTGGTAATAATCTGTTTTACAGAGGAGGAAACTGAGTCCCACAAACCTTGCCAAAGTCTGCTAGATAAAGATTTTGGATTGGAACCAAATCCCCCAGAGCCCATGGTCTTGACCCATACTTCATAGGGGCAACAGATAAGCGTGTCCTGAGTTGGGTAGGAGCACTCAACCCAGTAGACCCAACAAGGCATTGAGCCCGACACTGATGGAAGAGCTCCCAATCGGAACTCCGTGTGACATGGCCATTCATGGCCCAGGAACATTCATCTCAGGCCCATGTCAGTGGCAGAGCCAGGACGAGGGACTTCAAAGTCTCGATTTCCAGATTTATGTGTATCCAGTGGGTTGCCCGTTTCCTCTGTACATCAAACTCTTGGCAGGAACATCTTTAACTTCTCACACCCCCTGAGCTTTGTCATAATAATGGTGTAATTTGAAGGGTTTTGTGTGCATTCTGCCATCTAAAAGGACAATAAATTAATCATGCCCTCGGATGCTGTTGAACTATACATGCTTACTCTCTTGCTAACTTGCCAAACTTCACTTCCCTGGAGTTGTTCAATTCTTCTTTCCATCATTTCAGACCATTACTGTTCCCAGGGAAAGGTTAAACCAAATTTTTTTATTAGTGTATAGATTTTGCTTTATTTTTTATTTTTAAATCTTTTTTTTTTTTTTTTTTTTGAGATGGAGTCTCACTCTGTCACCCAGGCTGGAATGCAGTGGCGCCTCCCGGGTTCACACCATTCTCCTGCCTCAGCCTCCCAAGTAGCTGGGACTACAGGCACCCACCACGACAGCCGGCTAATTTTTTTGTATTTTTAGTAGAGACGGGGTTTCACCATGTTAGCCAGGATGGTCTTGATCTCCTAACCTCATGATCCGCCCGCCTTGGCCTCCGAAAGTGCTGGGATTACAGGCGTGAGCCACCACACCTGGCCTTATTTTTAAATCTTATTTTACTATGTTATTTTAGATTTGGCGGTACATGTGTGGGTTTGTTACAAGGGTATATTGCATGACTCTGAGGTCTTGGCTTCTAATTATCCCATCACACAGATAGTGAACATAGTACACAAAAGGAAATTTGTTTGTTTGGTGTTTTTGTTTGTTTGTTTTTTGAGACGGGGTTTTGCTCTTGTTGCCCAGGCTGGAGTGCAATGGTGCGACCTCAGCTCACCACAACCTCCACCTGCCAGGTTCAAGCAATTCTCCTGCCTCAGCCTCCCAAGTAGCTAAGATTACAGGCGTGCACCACTATGCCTGGCTAATTTTGTATTTTCAGTAGAGATGGGTTTCTCCATGGTGGTCAGGCTGGTCTCGAACTTGTGACCTCAGGTGATCTTCCCACCTTGGCCTCCCAAAGTACTGGGATTACAGGCGTGAGCCACTGTACCTGGCCCCAAAAGGAAGTTTTTCAGCCCTTGCCCTACCCCATCCCTCCCCACTTCTGGAGTCTTCAGTGTCTATTTTTCCTGTCTTTATGTCCATGTGTACTCAATGTTTATCTCCCTGTACCAAATATTTACGCACTTATTTAAACCAGAGTTCAGAGAAAGTAATGTAATAAAATCAGCATTATGAACCTGGCACTATTCCCATTTGCTAGTAATCAACATGAACAACTGAAGACTTTCTGGCTGGAAATTCACGTTGACTGCCCTTTCCCTGAGAGTTTTAACACTTACTCTTATTATTCTTATCATTCAGGACAAATTTTAACATGAAGACTGATGCCTGGAAATGTAAATAGTATCAAAAATAAATAAAATTTCCATGATTTTCATCCGAAATCCTGACATTCTGTTCTGCCTTGCATGTGCCTTCATTGGAAGGATGTGTAGACAGCTTTGAGGTTTCTCACTCTGTGAAGCCGCTACTGTCTCTTCCAATTGGATCATGCCCTGATTAAAATCTTTCCAGGGCCCCCCACCCCATTGATTTCAGGAAAAATTCAAGTCCCCTCAGGAAAGCAAGGCTCTTTATAGCCATATCCCTGCCTCTGTCTTCAGCATCAACTTTTGCTGAGTTTGTCCACATCCCCTCATCCTATTTTGCAGCCGTTTTCCCCAAAAGCGCCATGCTTGGGCCTAGCACTATGTCAGTCCCGGGCTGCCCTTTGTGACCCAGAGCGTCCTATCCAAAGCTGAGCCTGGCAAGATCATTTCTTTCGGAAGCCTGGGATTGGGACAGGGAGAGACTGAGGACCTTTGAAGTCTTACCAGCTTGAAAGTCGAGTCCGCCATTTTCAGGGGACACTATGGGGCCATTAGCAGAGACCTTGGCAAAGAAAACAGCCTACAGGGAAAACTGAAATAGAGTTCTTAATGCTTGTGTAAATGAATCCCATGCAGGCTCAAACATGGTGACACCACCCTACAGCTGGTAAATAATCTTCTCTGACATTACTCAATCTTTTTTATTTATTTTTGAGACAGAGTCTCGCTCTGTTGCCTAGGCTGGAGTGCAGTTGCGTGATCTCAGCTCACTGGAAGCTCTGCCTTCCGGGTTCACGCCATTCTTGTCTCAGCCTCCCAAGTAGCTGGGACTACAGGCACCCGCTACCACGCCCGGCTAATTTTTTGTGTTTTTTTTTTTTTTAATTTTTTTTTATTAGAGACGGGGTTTCACCATGTTAGCCGGGATGGTCTCGATCTCCTGACCTCGTGACCTGCCCGCCTCAGCCTCCCAAAGTGCTGGGATTACAGGCGTGAGCCACCGTGCCCAGCCAACGTTACTCAATCTTATTCCTCAGCCTTGGTCCCAAATTATGCTCTGACACTGAAGTATCCCAGCCCCCTTTCCCAGTGGTGTCTGGTAATGGCTTGAATTCGCCAGGACCTTACCACATGGGTCTCCTGTGGCTCATTACATTGTTGCTACAGAAATCTCAATTTATACTCATCTCTTTGCAGAGGACTTCCCTGGCCACCTTATTGAAAGAAAGTAGTGCCTTTCCTTCCAGCATCATCCTTGTCTTATTTTTCTTCACCGAACCCTCAGTACCTGACATACTTCCTGACATATTTATATCTGTTGTCTCTATTTACCATTTAAATATAAACTGTGCTAGCAGGAATTTTCATTTTGTTCTCTGCTGTGAACAGTGCATGGTCCATAGTAGAAACTCAAATATTTTTTAATAAATAAAGAAGCTATGCTAAGACAAGCTGAAATGAGAGACCATATGGTCAGGAAAAAAGGAAAATGAATGCATAAATCAATGAACAGGCACAGCTACCCTGGTTTCAAAATGGCTTGCCAACTTCTGGTAAGGACCAGTTCTGCTTCTTGGGCTTGAGTTCCAAGAGATATTCTGGTATCCTCCAACAGAGTCATTCTGAGTGATTCTCCTAGTTAAAAGATCCCAATAACACACACACACACACACACACACACACACACACACACACACACACACACATTTTTAAGACTAGAGAATCTTGCTCCCTGAAAATTAACAGGCTCATGGATACAATGAGATCAACTTGGATGAATATCTCTCTTCCTCTGAAGCTCTGGCTACCTAAAATATGTTGTTGTTGTTGTTTTCCCTAAGGGAAGCTCAACAAGAGAAGATCATAGTAGCTGTGAGTCAATAAATGCTTTGGCAAAGTTTTTCGGAAACTGCACCATCCATGCAAGTCTTTGGTGGGTGGTATATGTAGATTTAAGTTCCTCTCAAGTTTCGGTTACTAATATTCCCCAAAACGACCCTGGGTAAACACAATTGCCCAATACCTGCTTTGTAGGTGATGACTCCTAATGAGATCATGTTGTGTGGTGAATTCTAACCCACAAGGATACAGGGATGGATAGAGGCTACGTGTAGACAGGGGACTAAGGAGGAAAACATTTGAGAGAAAAGTGAGGAGATCTGTTCTGTGTAAGATGAGCACAGCCCAACCCAGTAAGTGGTTGAATGCTTAGAGACATGGAACACGAGGTACAGTTTTGGGTATCATCTAAAGACCAGCAGAAAAGGAGACTGGTTTAGTCTTAACTTTCAGAAAAGCCAATCGATGCAAGCTATGGAATGGACAGATTTCAGCTCAAAAGGAGGCAGGCTTCCTGGGGTTGAAAACTTGGCCGACGGTGCTAAGCTCATCTGGTGATGGACAAGGCTGCCACCCAGCGCCCAGGCTCACACCCTCATCCTGTTAAGGCGTTACAAAGACCATCAGCACCACATAGACTCTGAGGTCCCTTCTGACTCTGAGTCTGAAGCTTGAGGCAGCCCTGAACAAGCGTATCAGCACCGTGTGAATCAGGTAAGGAATGAGGCGCTGTCCAGGGATCTCTGCTTAAATCTGGCCCAGCCACTGTCTCCCCATGGGTGGAGCAAGGATTCGTCTTCATTCCCTGTGCCTTCATTTCTCTAGGTCCCGAGCAATAGCCACCATTCCTGCCCCCGTGGTGCAGTGGTTTAGAAAATGATTTCTGGGTCAGTTTGTACGCTGGCTCTAATGTGCCCTTGGTTTTAACCTTGGGCAAATCTTTTCACCCCTCTAAGCCTCAGTTCTCCCTTCTGTTGATTGGGAATAATAGACCTGCATTCCTGAGGTCCTCGGGAGGACAGAATGGAACTGCATCCCTAAAGCACATTGTACCGTGGCAGGCACATAGTAGGCACTCAATAAATGTTAACGACACTCATGAGTATGCATTGAAACACAACATGTAACAGTCACGGAGAGTAATTTTATCATTAAAAGGGTTTAAAATGTTTTTCAAGTGGCATCCTAGGTAATAACTGCATTCACTGAGGCCTTGTGCAGGCCACGTACTGTGCTAAAGCTACGTGTGCATTTTACCTGGTGGTTTCTATTGCTTTTTTTAACTTCACAAATGCAGTTAAGGAGACCCAGAGAGGTGAAGTCATTTGTCCAATGGGTTACACAGCTAGTTCAGGGGGAGGAACAGGTACAGAACACTCTGAAATCATCCAGATCAATCCAAAACTCCAGATGCTGGTCAGATGCCAACTCCTGGATAACAAAGTCCTAACAGCTTAGACATCTCCTCAAGGAGCAGGGCTGATTATTTCCAGGCTTCAGGAAAAGGATGACTAGACCTTTTATGAAAAGTTCCTGCTGAGCAGACAAGCATGCTCACATCCCAAGCCCACATGGCACCGTGGGTGCTAACTGTCACAAGGCACGTCCCTGGCCCATGCATGAGATATGTGTGCCACACAATGGAAATGAATCCAAGCCCAGCTCCAGCACCTTCTGACTTGAAGCCAGGCAAATGTACCCGGGCCCATTTGTAAGCTGCCATAACACCCCTCCTCCCAGCCTGCCTCGTCTTTTCTCCCAAGTTCCCTAGTTGTTATAAGCTTATCACAGTAGTAAATCAAAATGTTCTCAAGAGAAGAAGAAAAGATAAAAGCAAAAAATGCAACATCCCCAAGAGAGGAATATTTTTTATAGTTTCACAACTTTCACAATTCTGTCTTTAAAAAAAACCCCATTATTTAATTTTAGTACCACAGAGTTGCCAGTGATGAATAATGGCTCCTCTTCTACCTTCCAGTATTTCTAAAATATTAATACTGGTTGGGTACCTCTCCTAAGGGAAAGCAGGAGTTGAATCTTTTATAGGCTTCTGAGCCTGTTCCCATACAACAGACTATATATTTATTCCGTTTCTACCAATCCTGCACTCTGGGTTCCTGAAATTATGTGTGCATCAAAGGGAGGAAGCCACAGAGTGGGATGGAGAGGATGAAATATGTCGCCAAATAGTCCCTTTCTCATTATTTTGTCTAAGTCTTTACCCTTTTGAACTATCCATCAAGATGCACCTTCTGTCTGTACACTGGACTGGAGATCTGAATAATAAATAGAAAGCACAACAAGACATCCAACTTTACAGTCTTCCCAGCTGGTCCATCCACTAACAAAAGTTCATTATGTCTTCAGCTGCAAATTGTTGGTGTCGAGCTTTGGATGCTTAGTCCCCACATATTTATTCTTGAGCTGGTCATGATTGTGTGTGTGTGTGTGTGTGTGTGTGTGTGTACATGTGTGTGATTTAGTGTTACATTTGGAGTACAGAAGAGAAAGAAATCATGAGGAGACTATTTCAGAATATACTAAAAAGAGTGCTGTAAATTGTTGTACTTGGCAATGGGATTTTTTTTTTAAAACCAGGTTTGCTTTTTTTCCTCTTTACAAAACTAACACATGCTCACTAGGAAAATCCTGGCAGAGAAAGTAAAGTAAAAGGTAGAAAGCAAGATGCTCAATGTCCTACTGGATAGTTAACTATACTAAAATGTCGATAAATCCTTTCTAGTCTTTTAAATGCATACAACTGCATAAACATATTTTAATTGACTTTTATTACTTTTTCAATAATTATAGATGCACATGCATTTGCAAAAAATACTCTTTTACCCAGTTTCCCTAATGTTAAACTGTGGTACAATGTCACAATTAAAATATTGACATTTATGCAATCCACAGATCTTATTCAGATTTGCCATTTTACTTATACTTTGTGTGTGTGTGTGTGTGTGTGTGAATGTGTCAGAGTGTGTGAGCATATGAGTGTGTGAGTGTGTGAGAGTGTGTGTGTGTGTATTTAGTTTTTTGCAGTTTTATCTACGTATTGGCTTGCGTATCCATCACCACCATTGAGATACAAGGCCATTCCATCCCCACTGGGATCCTTCGTGTTGTCATTTCACAACCACATCTTCCTCTCTTGCAGAGACTGCCTCTTCCCTCACAGATACACATTCTGGCAGCCACTGATCTGTTCTCCATTTCCATAATTTTTCATTTAATTGAGGGTGGGGAGGGGAGACGAAGGGGTGTTTAATGGATACAAAAAATTAGAAAGAATGAATAAAACCCAGTATTTGAGAGCATAACGGGGTGAACAGGTGACCATAGTCAATAATAATTCAATTGTACATTTAAAAATAACTAAAATCACATAATTGCATTATTTGCACCACAAAGGATAAATGCTGGAGGGGATGGATACCCGGCTTTCCATGATGTGATTATTACACAATGGATGTCTGTATCTAATGTACCCCATGCATATATATATATATATATACCTATGATACACCCACAAACATTAAAAATAAACATAACATTTTCAAAGAAAATATCATATAAATGGAATCATATAGTATGCAACCTCTGGGATTAGCATTTTCATTCAGCATAATTCCCTGGAGATTCTTCCAAGTTGCTGTGTATCAATAATTCATTCATTTTATTGCTGAGCCATATTTCATGATATGAATAAACCACAGTTTGTTTAACCATTCACATGTTGAAGGACATCTGGGTTGTTTTCAGTTTCTGGCAAATATGAATCAAGCTGCTATGAACATTTGTGTACAGGTTTTGTGTGAACATAAGTTTTTATTTCTGGGATAAACGCCTAGGAGTGCAATTGCTGGGTTCCATGGTAAGTGCGTGTCTAGTTTTATACAAAACTGCCAAACTCGTTTCTTGACTGGCTGTACCACTCTACATTTCTACCAGCAATGTCTGAGTGATGGTTTCTGCACATCTTTGCCAGCATTTGATGTTACTGCTTTTTAAAAATAAATTAACTGTTCTAATAGGTGTGTACCGGTAGTCTGTTGTGGTTTTAATTTGCATTTCCCTCATGGCTAATGAGTTGGAACATTTGTTCATGAGCTTATTTGCTATCCTCATATCCCCTTTGCTGAAATGTCTGTTTATGTCTTTTGTCAATTTCCTAATTTGGTTGATTGGGGTTTTCTGCTGTTGAGTTTAGAGAGTTCTTTCTATATCCTAGATACTAATCCTTTTTCAGATATGTGGTTTGTAAGTATTTTCTCCTAGTCTATAGCTTGTCTTTCCATTCTCTTAACAGGATTTTTCACATAGCAAAAGTTTCAAATTTTGATAAAGTCTAATTTATCAAAATTTCATTTTAGGGTTCACACCTGTTTGTGACAAGTATAAGAACTCTGCCTAGCCTTAGATCCCTAAGATTTTTTCCTACTTTTTTCTTAAAGTTTCATAGTGTTTTACATTTATATCTGTGATCCACTTTGAGTTAACATTTTCTGTTTTTGTTTTTTTTTCTTTTTTGAGATGGAATCTCACTCTGTTGCCCAGGCTGGAGCGCAATGGCGTGTTCTAGGCTCACTGCAACCTCCGCCTCCCGGGTTCAAGTGATTCTCCTGCTTCAGCCTCCCGAGTAGCTGGCACTACAGGTGCCCACCACCAAGCCTGGCTAATTTTTGTATTTTTAGTAGAGACGCGGTTTCACCATGTTGGCCAGGCTGATTGCGAACTTGTGACCTCAGGTGATCCGCCTGCCTCGGCCTCCCAAAGTGCTGGGATTACAGTTGTGAGCTACTGGGCCTGGACCACTTTGAGTTAAATTTTGTATGAAGAGTGAGGTTTAGGTTGAGGTTCATTTCTTGCCTTCAGATGTCCAATGGCTCCAGCATCATTTGCTGAAGGATCTATCCTTCCTCCACTGACTTCCTTTCTCATCTTTACTAAGAAGCAGTTGGACACGTTTGTGTGGCTGTATCTCTGGGTTGTCTATTCCCTTCCACTGATCCATGTATCTCTCCCCTGCTGTATCATGCTATCTTGATGACTGTTGCTAGGGTGATTCTTTACATATTGCTATGGTTTGGATCTGTGTGCCTGCCCAAATCTCATGTCGAATTGTAATCCCCAATGTTGGAGGAGGGGGCTTGGTGGGAGGTGATGGGATCACGGCGGGGGGTTTCCTCATTAGTGGTTTAGCACCACCCTCCTAGTGCTATTCTCGTGATAGAGTTCTCAGGAGATCTGGTTGTTTGAAACTGTATAGCACCTCCCCCATCTCTCTCTTGGTCCTGCTCCTGCCCTGTAAGACACCTGCTCCCACTTTGCCTTCTGCCATGCTTGGAAGCTAGCTCCCTGAGGCCATCCCAGAAGCAGAAGCTGCTTACTCTGCTTCCTGGACAGCCTGTGGAACCATGAGTCAATTCAACCTCTTTACTTTATAAATTACCTCATCTCAGGTATTTCTTTATAGCAGTGCAAGAACAGACTATAATACACATATTATATCATGAGCATTTTCTTCTATCATTACCAGCTCCTTTTGTTTAGCTATGCAATATTTAAGACAGATATACCATCATTTAACAACCACTTCAATCATAATGGACTCTCAACTGTTTTAATTATAAACACTGTGAATGATGTAAATAAAGCTACAAAGAACATCTTCCTCTGAAAAAAATAATTCTCCACATTTTACATTATTCCTTAGGATAGACACCCAGGAAAGGGGTTACTCAAACAAAGAGAAAGAATGTTTTATGGTTATTTCTATTGGAATATTCTCATACTTTTTTTACCTATATGAAAAAATATTACCATTCGCTTTAAAATTTCATGGTGTTATGGGTTTGTATGTCAAAGCAGGAGAATGCACATCAATGAACAAAAAGGAGATTGTAGGAATGAAGCATAATGAAGCCACCTTGCCTCCTGAAATGATGATGACCGTAATAGCCACCCAGGCCTGGCCGTCACAAAGTGTTGCCACAGACCCGTCTCAGGTAATGCTCCCAACTACCCAACTAGGAAGTCAGGTAAGTAAAATCAATTCCCATTTTACCTACTTTAGGACAGTTATTTGCTACTAGAATGTTTTTTAAAATCTCTTTTCATCCTAAAGAAAAAAGATTTAGTTAAGTCGTTTTCTTTTTACCCAAGAAAGGGAAAGGACAAATTGACCAGCCTAATTTATCCCTTATTGTTTCGGCTATAGAAATGGCTGTTACAGGAGATGGCCCTGAATGGGAGGTGAGAAATATCTGCCTGGTAGAATAATCAGTGACAGCTTGGAAGGCCTGACACAGTTCCATTTATGTTTCTATCCTTCCTAATCGGGTTTTCTCCTTTTTCTCTAATGGAGGCAGCATTCCATGGGGAGACAGGAAAACAATGTGGTTTTTCTTTCTATGTAGTCAGTCATTTTGCTTTTAAAATTACGCTGGATCTGCGCTGCTAACAGCAAGCGTGATCATCCTTGCATTGTGAGTCCTAAAAGCTGAGGTTCTCATTCTGAGGACCCAGGCCAGAGGGGGCCCCCGTGGATTGTCAGGGTGCATGTCCCTATGTGTACCTAGCAAAGGCTGCAGCCAGAAGAAAGGAAAGCCCAAGGCTATCTGTAGGTCACACTATTATATAATTTAGAAAAACCATTCTTCATATTCGCAAAGGTTGGAACGAGCTGTCCTTGAAAATTGTAAGGCACAGAATCACTGAAACTATAAACACTCAGAAGTAGAGAAAAGCATCCTGTGTGTGGGTGGCAGCTTTTCTAATGAAAACATCGGACTCTTCCCTCCTCGTATTGTGGGGATGAGGGCAACGTTTAGGGAGACTTGACATTAGTTAAGTGTCTGCTTTGGGACAGGCAACTTACTAGGGACTTCTATTCTGTTTTTATATTAATTTTCATAATCTAAATAGGCATCGTTAGCCCTATTCACAGAGAAGGAAGCAGAACACTAAATAGGTGGAATGATTTTTTTAAGAGCTGTTAATCAAATCTAGGCTTGTCTATGCCAAGGTGAATTCTTTTTCTACCACTCCTTGGTGAAGATGCAGAGGAAGAAAGAAAAGGAGCCAGTGATTTAAGTTAGAAGAGCAGATGTAACGATAAGTCAACAATGTGATGAAGACAGGAGCTCTCAAGCTCTCTGCTTTTGAACTTGACTCTTGCACAAATGAATGGGATTCAGAGATTGTGGGAAAAGGTCTCAGGGAGACCACACAGGCTTCCACTGCATAGAAAGGAGTCCTTATACCTCCCCATCCTATAGAGAACCTAGGTTCTGCTCTGAAATAACGGAGTCTGTAACCCCCATGAAGAGAAGAGAAATACAATGTGTGTCTTCTCCCCAGGAGGTAGGGTTTGGGGCTCGCAACTGGCATGCAGGGCTTGCGATTCAAGTTCTTGCTCAGCCACTTTTTAATCTATGTGTCAGAGAACACATTACTAAACCTCTCTAGCCCTCAGCTCCCTCCACTGTAAAATAGGAATAAAATCCACCTGGAGGCTTGCTTCCAAGATTTGCATGATATCATGCAGGTAAAGAGCTAGCATCTAGGATGGCTCAGTATCTAGAAGCCACATAGCTGCCACGGCTAATACCCTGATCTTTTTTTTTTTTCAAGTATAGCATTTCCCTGGATGTTGATGATTCTGTCATTCACAGCAATGCCTGTAGGTGCAGATGCCCTTGTACTCTCCAAGTGAGTCAGACAACTCCGAGTGTGCCATCTGACACCAGATTCTACCGTCACCCATGATGGGCAGCCTCCATCTTTGCCAAAATCTCCAAATACAAAGCCCAAGTACATAGTTCCTCTCTTTCTCTTTAAGAGAAATTGTTTCTGTGGTTTTTGGGGTAAAGACACATGCACCATTTAAACTCTGCAAAGAAAATCAGACCTTCATCTTTTAGATGCACTGTTCGCCCCGAGTCGATTGCAATGGCCGTTCCACCCACACTTAGGGGGCAGTTGTTGGGCAACAGTGGCCTGGTGCATGCATCAGGTCACCACAAGATAAAGTGTCTGTATAGTCCCTCAACTTCCCGGAATTCACAGCCATGGGAACGGCTTGGTGATACAGCACGCAAACACCTGCTCCATCTCACATTTTAAGCTCCCTGTTAAAGTCAGCAACACAGAGAAGCCAAATCTACTTTCATACAGTCAACCACGGAAACTCAGATCCTATTAGTTTATAGCCTCTGGATTTACATTTCTTCTTTGGATACAGCTCTGGGGATATCACTTTTCTCAGAGCATGTGGAGGGAGAGCTGGGAATCACAAAAAGCACCAAATGCAAGATTGCAGCTAGTGATCATATCCAGAAATGTCAAAAAAGCACTGGATCATTCTGAGCAAGTCTTCCAAAGGCCACAACTCTGAACGGCTCAAGGCAGGAGAAGACCCTTTATTCTGCATCTACCCTCTGCTCTCTGCAGAAGTGAATCCACAGCACAGTCCCTGACACACAACAGACACTACGTAGTTACCTGCTGAATACTGTGGGCATGAAGGTCAAGTACAGTGTTTACAGAAGCGGCCACCATTATTGCATTCACAATAATTTCCAAGGCTTCAGCATGGGAAGGGGAATCTCTGGGAGGAATGGAGGCAAAGGAACGGCTCTTGCTTGAGGCTTGAGTGTGAATTAGAAGGCAGGAACTGTGCCAGGTGGTATAAATAACAAAATAGTGACCGAGTATCCGTGCAGATTGCTGGTGGGCTTGGTCCTTCAGGTGCCTTAACTATCCCCTTTAACCGTCATATCAATTCTACATGCTTTTGCTCTCTCTTTTTATCATTGAGTTGGTTAATACTGAGCCTCAACTTGATTGGACTGAAGGATGCAAAGTATTGATCCTGGGTGTGTCTGTGAGGATCATGCCAAAGGAGATGAACATTTGTGTCAGTGGGCTGGGAAAGGCAGACCCACCCTTAATCTGGGTGGGCATCATCTAATCAGTTGCCAGCATGGCTAGAATATAAAGCAGGCAGAAAAACGTGAAAAGCCTAGACTGGTTTAGCCTCCCAGCCTACATCTTTCGCCCATGCTGGATGCTTCCTGCCCTCGAACATCAAACTCCAAGTTCTTCAGCTTTGGAACTTGGACTGGCTCCCTTGCTCCTCAGCTTGCAGATGGCCTATTGTGGGACCTTGTGATCATGTGAGTTGATACTATTTAATAAACTCCCCTTCATATATATGTGTGTGTGTATATATATATATATATATATATATATGTGTGTGTGTGTGTGTGTGTGTGTGTATATATATATATGTGCATATATATATATATATATATATATATATATTTCCTATTAGTTCTGTCCTTCTAAAGAACCCCGACTAATACAATCATCAAATAAACTCTAATTTATTTGATGATGAGTGGCTCTATTATCCTCCCTTTACAGATTGGGAAACTGAGGCACAAAAGTTAACAATGTTGACCATGTTCCCATAAGCATGCAGTAGAGGTGGCCTAGACAAACTATTAACACTTGTGATTTGTTACAGGCTTATTCTGTCCCAGTGGTGCTAAACACTGAAAATGTATTATCTCGTATGACCCTTCCCAAAATTTCAGGAGGCAGGTTCTTATTCTTTCCATATCAAAGACAAAACAACAACAATAACAACAACAAAAACTTCACCAAAGTTTAGGTTAAGAAACTATCCAAGTAATATGTAAGCCTTTCTGCCAGTTGGACCTTTGCTCGGAATCACTACATAAAGCAATTTGATTGATTATTTGCAAAAAGTTTAACCAAATAAGAACATTCCCACCCCAAACCTGTCCTATAGGTGACCAAAATGAGCCAACTGAGAAATGGTCGGGAGAGTCGTTTTGGCCAGCTTAGTAATTACATAGTAACAAAAGAGGATTCAATCAATTGCTTAGCAATTAGCCATTATAAGAAGATGGGAAAGAAATCAATTGGCTGTTTGGTTGAGCAGGAAGCATTTTAAATGTCACCACAGTGAGAAAAATATTTGAAGATTTGTCTTCATAATGGTTAACTAATTGCAATCTTCACATTTTACTGCCTTGGAAAAATAACTCAATTCAAGAGACAGAGTATTAGCACTTGGGGCTATTTCTCCATTGTCTTAGTTAGCATCAAAGGGTGGCATGTAAATTGATCAGTCTCTATAATTTAGGAAGACCCATCCTAATGAACAGCATTTGTGAGGGCAGAGTCAATGTGTTATTCATCATTTTGCCATCATATGTACCTAGAACAGTATGGGGGCATAGGGCAGGCGCTCAAGACATGGTGGCAACTGAAAATAAAGGACAATTGGAAAAAATACTAGGGTCTGTCCCCAGTGCTGCATTCCCTTTAAGTGAAACTCCAGTGCTATAAATGCAATTTGACTTTGGTAGAACTATGGTGAAGGACAGTAGCTATAGATTTGTTTACCCAGCAGGCTTTCCAACCCCTTCTTACATCAACCCTCCCACTTGCCCCATGACAATCAGCTGTACCACAATCATGGTGCCATGACATTCCCCCACTTCCACTCATAATGAGATGTACTTCTAGCCAAGCGGAACCCATTTATTTGGCCTCAGAGATGGCTACAGCAATGGGCATTTGCCCAATGTTATACCAAACAGTATTCTCCTTGGGGTATTCTTGTTAGATGTGTGTATTAGTCTGTTCTCACGCTGCTAATAAAGACATACCCAAGACTTAGTACTTTATAAAGGAAAGAGGTTTAATTGACTCACAGTTCCACATGGTGGGGGAGGCCTCACAATCATGCCGGAAGGTGAATGAGGAGCAAAGTCACGTCTTACATGGGGGCAGGCAAGAGAGCTTGTGCAGGGGAACTCCCACTTATAAAACCATCAGATCTCATGAGACTTACTCACTATCATGAGAACAGTATGAGAAAAGCCGCCCCCATGATTCAATTACCTCCCATTGGGTCCCTCCCGTGACGTGTGGGGATTATGGGAACTACAATTCAAGGTTAGAATTAGGTGGGGACACAGCCAAACCACACCAGGCTCAGAGGGAAGATTCCTCTTGCCTTTAATATTCACAGTGCTAGAAGGATGCAGCTTGTGACCAGCTTCTTTGACCAAGTGTCTGTGGCAGGAGAAGATCAGGCTACCACGCAAAGGGAGAGTACAAAGTGCAACTGTGTGAGGCCTGGATCCAGCTGTCCTAAAGCCAGATGCACCTTTGGATTTCCTGACTATGGGAGTCAATGAATACCCTTTAGCCTTAGCCATGTGAACGTGTATCTGTCACATACAACCTCTGTGTTCTGACTAACACAGTACCACTTTCCAGCAACTGTAGTTATTTTTGCTCCACTTTGTTAATATTGGGGGCAATCAGAAAAAGAAAGAACCAGAGGTTGAGAATAGCATGAGGAGGTAATCCACAGAGGATTTACAACTTTGAAATAAATCTGCAGCAAGTCCCAGGGAGACTGGGGGCAAAGTAATCCTGATCTAAAGGAGCAGTTGTGCATGAGGGGCTGGAGGCCTGAGCTTGCAGCTGAGGGTCTGGGATGATGGAAAAACACAGACGGCGGAAATCTACAGAGTTCTAGGCAGAAAGGGGCCCTAAATTAGGATGAGAGCACACACCGAACAAAGTGACCGCTTTTGCCTTATCTATCACAAAGCAAAAAATCAATGTACTTTGTTGAAACAGGGCATCGAGTTCCTTTCTAAAGATTCTGTTAAACATAGCTAATAAATACAGAAAATGCACCATGCCCATATTACTAATGCAGGATGAGTAGATGTCAGTGAACTTCCATGACTGAGATCCCAGTGTCACAGCTAAAGTTAAAAACAGAGGCTTCCTGAAGGGTCTCACTCCAAGCGTGCCTCTTCCCAGCCCAATATCTTTGTCAGTGATGTGAAAACTCACCCCGACTACAGGAGAAAGAAAAGAAGGCAAGGCGACAAGCAGCTGAAGAAGGTACAGTAAACCGTAATAATTGCTTATAAAATTTTATGGTTGGTCATTAATCCTAACCACCTCAATTTCTAAAAAGAAAGATTCATAGTCTTTTTAAATACACAAAATTTGAGTTTATAGGAAACTTAATAATATTCATGCTGATACAATAAGAAATTCCAGGAGGCTTAAATTTCCTGCAGACTTTGGAGGGGAGGCAGCCTGTTACAGTAGAAAAAGGACAGGTTTGGGAGCCAGGACCATGGCCAACGCCTGGCATGGGGCTTTAAGCAAATCCCTGAATGTCTCTGAGCTTCAGTTTCCCCCCTCTGGGAGATGGGCAGCGAGGCTGGCTTCTTTACAAAACCACCAAGAGGACTCAAAAAGAATGCATGACAGTTCAGAGAGGCGCAGAGCCTGGTTTGCAGGCAACCACACTCAATAAAACAGAGCTAAAATCCTCACTTCCCCCGACAAATCTTTTCAAATTATATCCAGAATACGGCCATAACCACGCCTCTCCCCTTCCACCACCATTGCTCTGGGCCAAGCCCCCATTGCTTCTAGAGCCTGAGTGATTGCAGCTGTTCCTACCCTTGCCCCATCCACACTCTATTCTATTCTCCATCCGTCAGCCAGAGCCATTCAATAAAGACATAAGCCAGATCACATCTGTCTTCACCAAAGCCCACCAGTGGCTTTCCCACTCAATTAGAATAAAGGCCAAAGTCCTCATGGTGGGCTCCAAGACCTTCTGTGATCTGGTCACAGCTTTTCTCCTATCTAACATTCCCTTGCTCCCTCTGCTTCAGCCATACCAGCCTTCCTACAGTTTCTAGAATATTCTGGACACACTACTGCCCCCAGCTTTTGCACTCATAGTTCCTTTTATCGAGGATGCTCAGCCCCCAGATAGATGCATCCCTGCACTCATCCCAGTTCATCAGTTCTCACTGAGGGCCTCCCTGTTGAAAACTGCAACCTACTCTCATCTCTAGCCATTGACCTCCATAGCCCCTATCAGGACCTATCATAGCAACTGACACACCATGTATTTTATTAACTTTTGATTTGTCAGGTTCCCTTACTAGCAGGTGGACTGTAGGACAGGGCTTGGTCTGTTCTGTTCACTGCTGTGTCCACGGAATTTACAGCAGTCCTCATCATGTAGCTGGAGCTCAATGCATTTTTGCTGAATGGAGAAATTAGTCATTTCTCTCTCTGAGTCACTCCAGAGCTGCGGGTTGCAAACAGCTTCTCCCATCAAAAAACACCCCTGCCTGGGATTTCCCCTGCCAATCTACATCCTAAAGTCCCTGAGGCTTCAGGCCAGGCTGTATCCAAGCAGTAGAAAAAGGCAGTAGAATCAGAAACCCTGGTTCTGAATAGTCACCTTTGCCTCAAGTCATGGTTTTATCACTGATGACGGGAAAAATGAAACCTAAATCAGCTGGCATTTGAGAGGATTCAAAGAGCAACATAAAAATGTCAAGCTCATGAAGGTGCTCTAATAATGCAAATATCCTTCTTCCTTTGAGTGACTGTTGTAAGGATTAAATTAAATTTTGTTTGGGGCCAGGCGTGGTGGCTTACGCCTGTAATTCCAGACTCTGGGAAGCCGAGGTGGGTGGATCACCTGAGGCCAGGAGTTCAAGACCAGCCAGGCCAACATGGTGAAACCCCATTTCTACTAAAAACATAAAAATTAGTTGTGTGTGGTGGCAGGCAACTGTAGTCCCAGCTACTCAGGAGGCTGAGGTGGGAGGATCACTTGAACTCGGGAGGTGCAGGTTGCAGTGAGCTGAGATCACACCACTGCACTCCAGCCTGGGTGACAGAGCGAGACTCCGTCTCAAAAAAAAAATTACAGTAATAAAAAATAAATTTTATTCATAAAATAGGTTACAATTTTCATTAAAATATCTCCGTCTCCCATCTGCCCTTCACCACCTTCACAGGGGATCCCAGCTGCCTGCTTCAATGGGGGCACCACTTCTTCAGCTCCTTCTCCCCATCAGAACTCTTCCTCCACATGAGAAAGAGTTGGCTTGTCTCACAAGAGCTTGACTTGTCTCATTCTTTCAAGTCAAGCTTTTGATTTTCCTAAGTTACAATGAGCTCATCCGATGCAAGAATTCAACATTAGCCCTGAGAAATTTAACTTTTTGTAACTCCTTAACCCAGTGGTTCTCAACCCTGACGACATACTACAGTCTTGGGCAGAGAAGGGGTAGATTAAACACAACGTACGACAAATACAAACATAAAGCAAATAACAAAAAGAAAGAAAAACAAAACAATAACAACAAAAATACTATGACAACGAAAAGCAACACAAGAGAACCTCAAGCATCAGAGGCTACTGATAAGGCTGTCTCGAAAAGTCGAATGACTAAGATGCCATTAGGCCGGGCGCTGTGGCTCAGGCCTGTAATCCCAGCACTTTGGGAGGCCGAGGCGGGTGGATCAAAAGGTCAAGAGATTGAGACCCTCCTGGCCAATATGGTGAAACCCCATCTCTACTAAAAGTACAAAAATTAGCTTGGCATGGTGGTATGTGCCCGTAGTCCCAGCTACTCAGGAGGCTGAGTCGGGAGAATTGCTTGAACCCAGGAGGCGGAGGTTGGCTGCAGTGATCCGAGATCACGCCACTGCACTCCAGCCTGGTGACATAGTGAGATTCTGTCTCAAATAAAATAAAATAAAATAAAATAAAATAAAATAAAATAAAATAAAATAAAATAAAATAAAATAAAATAAAAAGATGCCTTTAAAAATAATACAATTTTAAAAGAGCTAATTTAATGACTAAATGACTAAATGCTGTTTATCAGGAAAATATCTCCTCTAAGGTATAATTTCTTTTCTTCCATTAGACAATACAGAAACAAAAAGGGGATGATAATTGGTTTTCGGACATACTCCATGGATAAGACATAGAGGTTCTCAGGGAGTATGTGAACAGGAGATGGGCAGGCAATCAGTAAAAAATGTTTCAAATGCATAAATCTATCCATCAGTGGCAGGAGAATGTGGAATGAGCTGTTGTAAGTTGTCACCACTTATGATTCTGTTCCTGGTAATTAATTCAAACAACAGTGCCTGTTTATTCCATAGATCACTCCTGTTCTCGTTATGATAACCTGCAGAACATTTCCAGAAATGAATTGGACCAACAGGTAAGTAGGAGAAACAGATTAGACGTTTTCAGAGGCATGGGTGGGAGTGTACTGCACTGGGGAAAATTCCTTAGATGAAGTGATACTGTTCAAGTATGAAAAATCATGACTTACCGTGGTGAGAAATTACCTGCACAATTTAAAATTCTCAGAGAAAATATAGCGTTTAGCATCAAATGTGACAAACTGATTTTGAAGTCTTTCACTTTAATTTGTCTCAATTTTTTTTAAAGATCTGTTTGTGTACATGGTTGACAATTTTTACAGCAACACAGAAACTTACTGAGAAATTATTAGTTGCCAGAAATTACAAGGTGCAGTAGGTCAGGTGCTTTATCCTCATAGCAAAAATCTTTGGAGTTATTATTCTTATTTCTTTTTCACATCAGAAGTTTTGCTCAAAGCCCCATAGCGTATACTTCAAAAAGAAAAATAAAAGATGGGGTATGAATGTAGACCAGCAAAGAGCACAGACTTGGAAGCCAGGCTGCTTGGATACAAATCTCAGTGCTGCCACGACCAGCTGTAGGACCCTTAGGATTCTGTGCCTCAGTTTCTTTATATATAAAATAGGGATAGTAGTAGTATCGGCCTTACCAGGTTGGTGGGAAGATCATAAATATATAGATAGGTATATCAGAAAGATAGAGGAAAGTGTATATATACCCACACACCACACATGTACACTTATAAGTGTGTATTTAAAAAATCAAAGAGAAATAGAAAAAAAATAAGCTGCTACTACACACACACACGCACACACACACACACACACACACACGGCTTAGACATCACAAACACTAAATGAGCTAATGTATATATAGTCTGGAGCAGGGACTGCTACGAAAGCATCAGGTATTATTACCGTCCTCATCAACACCCACCCTGGACTCACATCTTTGCTTTTTTGAGATGGAGTCTCGCTCTGTTGCTCAGGCTGGAGTGCAATGGCATGATCTCAGCTCACTGCAACGTCTGCCTCCTGGGTTCAGACGATTCTCCTGCCTTAGCCTCCTGAGTAGCTGGGACTACAGGCGTGCACCACCATGCCCAGGTAATTTTTGTATTTTTAGTAGAGGAGAGGTTTCACCATGTTGGCCAGGCTGGTCTTGAAATCCTGACCTCAGTTGATCCACCCACCTCAGCCTCCCAAAGTGCTGGGATTACAGGTGTGAGCCACCGCACCCTGCCCCTGGCCTCACATCTACGTCAAGCCTTGGTATCTGTGAAATATCTCTTCTCTGGTAGTCCTGAGGTTCTGCTTCCCTCTCATAGAGTCCCTCTGTTGGTTGAGGAATGATACGGGGAGGACAATCCCATTGAAAGCAAAGAGTCGACAGAGTTTTACTTTTTAGAGTTAATGTAAGAGGCTGATTATTGGTTTCAAAAGGTGAAAAATAAAAGCACCGTAGAGAAATCTTGGCCCTCATGAGCCTCTAGATGGGGAAATTTACTACAAAATATATTCAAGCCAGATTTGGAAACAGCTATTCATTGTTCTGACTTTTTTTTTTTTTACTAGTTGTGTGTGTGTGTATGTGTGTGTGTGTGTGTGTGTGTGTGTGTGTGTGTGTTTAACCTCTAGAGGCTATGAGATGGCTGACCAATGGCAACATCTCTTGAGCCTCAGTCTGCCCCCTCTACAATCAGTGCTATGGCTTAGATGTTAATGTTCAAGTTGAGAAACGGGGGTGCCTTAGAGACTTCTTGCTCTGGAATTTTGGGATTGGGGTGGTGATGAAAAGGTTCTTTCTCCCTTACTTCTAGTCAAAACCAATTCACCTAATGTCTGCTTCACTCAGTGAATTTTTAAATTAGATTTTATTTGAAGGACACATTTTGAACATCAAAAAACTTTTGCCAAACACTGCCTTGGATCCCTTCCAGCTCTGACGTGCTGATGTCTGAGACTAGACTACCACTCGCTTTTCCAAGACTTCCATATAAAGCACTCACCTGAGTAGCAATGGCAGGTGCCGTCCCATCAGGGAGGGACACTGGATCCAGAGCGAAATGGAAGCCAAACTAAACACACCCTGACTTTGGAAAGAAACACAAGAACTTTCCCATATTAAGATTCTGAATGATGCTTTCTAAAAATGTGTGAAGAAAAATTGAGTTTAATTCCACCAGTTGAGGCTATGGTGATATTATGGGATTTTTCTAAAGGACTTGGTGCGTACCCAATTCCCATGTGTAGCATATAACTCACAGATTTAATTATAGATCTTCCTCACTCACTAGTTCCCTAGGAAACAAATCCATGGCTTCACGTCGTGTGCGTGGAAGGTCATAGCAAGAAGATAAATATTTTCTGCATTTTGAAACTTTATCTAGAGGTCACAGGTCTGCAAGTCAACAGACAAGAGCTCTTCAGACAATAGCCAAAAGCTATTATGTTTGACTAATATCAACGATACTTAAAACCTTTTGTGTTTATCTCAAATAAAGCACTTCCCACTCAAACGACTAAAAATTTTTGCTATATCCCTTTTCCTTTTATCAGGTTGAAATACAAATAAGACGAATAGTTCCCTTAAATGTTTCTTCCGACTCTTAAGATAAAGTCTGTTTATAATAATAAAAAGAAGGAACCTTATCTGAAAAATCCAAACTAATTTTAATCAGGTGGACAATGCAGGTCACAGTTTTTTTTTAATTTTTATTTTTTATTCTTTTTTACTGTGAATCAAACAGAAAACTGCCACAATTGGTGAGTTACACTGAACATCTAATACAAGAGGAAAAACTAAAAGCAGAAAATTCAGAAAAGGAAAAATGCAAATGCCTTTAAGTATGTGATAAAAAGAATCACAAAGTAAAGAGACATTTTTCCTCATGACGTGGGAAATCAGTCTCATTTTACTTTATAATTTTGTGTATTTAATACTGTCTGAATTTGGTTTTCGCTCATTCCCATTAGTGTTACTAACTTTTTTAGTCCTAAGTGAAGATTAAATGAGAAAATACAAGTAAAGTACTTGGTAAACCCCAAAGAACTATACAAATGTTAGTGATCACAATAAGCATTTAGACTATACATTCTTAAACACAATCCTTTTGATCACAGCATGGCATGACTAACAGAGGGCTTCAAGTGTCCGCAGACTTTAAAGGACAAAGCTTAGAGACTGGTGGCAGTTATGAACTTCACCTTTCACGTGGAGATCATAAAGTGAACACACATGACCATCCAACAAAACTCACAGAAATGTCCCAGAGGGGTTCAAAAGATGAATTATTTTCCCTAGCAGAGCACAGCAAACCCATGGCAGACAGAAGACCAAGGGGTCTGAACCTGGCATTATGACTCTTCCACCTTCTCCTGCAGCCTCAACAATACACAGTTTATGGCCTTAGCTGGAGACCAGAGCCATCAGAGGAAGCTTTCTTTGTCAGTCTTTAGCGAAAGATCCAGATGAGGAGAAAGAGACAATATGGTGATGTAAGGCGTGACTAGCAGGAGGCAGGAAGGATTAGTTAATCATCACTTCCTTTCAAAATGCATCAGGTAAAATTGCTCTTGCTCAGTTTAAGGACCTCCATAAAATATTTGTTAGGATGTAGCTGGTATTTATTGAGCAATTACTGAGTACCAGACAATGCACACTTTTCCTATGTTCCCAAGTAGTCCCACAATAGCACTTTGCCACAGGTAGAGCACGCTTGGAGGGGAATCCAGCTTCTGTGTGCAGCTAATTAATAGAAGAGATGGGCTCTAAGTCAGGGTCTCTGTGCCCGACGCCTGTGCTCCAAATCACCACCTAGTTAGAAGGATGGTTCTGACCAACCTGCAATCAACATCTCCATGGGAAATCTATGCAAACTGTGGTCCTTCCCTCTCCAGAAAAATACACACACATACACACACACATGCACACACACACTCACTTTGCCTGTGATTTCAGGCATTCAGAGACTCCCTCAAGTCCATCCAGGGACCAAGGGTGAACACCCCAGGTTAAGAAGCTCTGTCCCACAAGCCTTCCTGGCTCCAAGTCATCCCCTCTTCTCCCCCTCTTTTCAGCATGCGGCTCAACTCAACCTTCCTGAGTTTCTCTTATTTTGAACTCACAGAACCAGGCAGGCATAAGATTCTAGCTCATGTACATTTTAATGATGACATAACTGAGGGTATTTTTGCTTTATTGAAGAAAAGCCAATTGTCAAGTACTACAGCCCAAGATGTGGTTAGAGAAGCTTCCAACTTGACGGGACTTCTGGTATTAACCACATAGTGGTTCCTTTATGGGGCACCTGGGCACCTAGGCTAGAGCCACCCACAGCTTGTTAGCAAGGAGGTCCAGTGGACCCCTCTGCAGACTTATCAAATCCAAATGTGAGGGTGAGGATGGGAATTCGCTTGATTCTGTGAACAAACTCCCCTAGTCAAGTTGGGACACGTTGCAATTAAACACCTGCCTTGGACTGAGAAGAAATTAAGTCCCCTAATACTAAATGACTTGCCTGAGGCCTCATTTCTTGGCTGCAAAGCCTTCAGTAGATGTGATGACTTCTGACTCTCTGTCTACACATTTCTATCCCAAATACCCAATAATGTGATCAAAATTCAGTCAACAGGACAATTTATTTAAACACATCATTCTGTAGAGAAAATGGATTTGAAATACCGAGTGCTAGTGGGAAGTAAAATGTTTGTGATTTATTCCTTTAAAGCAATAATGTCGCCAAATAGGATGTTCATTAAATTGCTAAAATTGTAATGCATGGATTTAAATCTGCTGTAATGCCTTCATTCAAGAGAAGTTCGCTGTTAATAGGATTGTGGGTTCTCTGTAAGAAAAAAAAAACACATTTTGTTGTAAATTGGGGATTAAAATAAACAAGCCAACAAATGACTACAGCATCATGGATTAAGCAGCCTTTGTTTGTTTGTCTTAAAGAACATTACCTAGAGTGACCGTTTTTCTAGAATTAAAATTGGCATGCATAGTCTAATAATTACGTCTGTGAAAAGGAGGCATGGCTTCGGGAGTCTGCATAGTTCCAAGATAATATGGACTGCTGGGACCATGTTTTCACATAAAATGTACAAAGCACACACTTCAAACATATGGCTTCTTTTAGGTTGTAACTGAAGAAATCTTAAATGATGGGACACTTCTTTACAGATCTGATGTCATTTCAGTTAGCTACCACCAAAAGGTGAGTCCTACGTTAAAAGTCTCATGCTCTAAGCCATTTAAATTGGTTCCATTCCTTGGCACTATTTTTGTAAAAACATAGATTATGATAATCCATATTAGGATAGTTCCTAGGAAGTTTGTTTGTTCCTAACCTTATAAAGGAAAGGATGTGAAAAAAAAAATACATCCATCGTCTGATCTTAACTGATTTTTTCATTTGCATTTATTTCCTCCAAAGACTACAATAGCAAAAATAAAGTTACCCCAAAACCATTTCAGTTCTCTTAAAATATGTTGATTGATTTAGGGCTATGTGATGAAGAGAATGTTTTCCTAATAAAAAAAACAAACAAACAAACCAACAACAACAAAAAAAACCTTACTTTTAAACGACAATTAAACCAATGAAATTTAAAAACACAACAATCACTATGCTCCAAGGTCTCTGTGTTTTCTAAGTAAAACAAAGTTTACTTTTAAGAGAGGGAAATCTACTCTAAAAGCTACAAACAGTGGCCTACAGAAAATATATGGATTAAAATTAGACGCTCAAAGCAGTCATTGAAAGTAAGCTATTCTCCCATCGTTTCCTGTTCATAAGCACTTATAAATTAAAAAAAAAAAAACTTAACCTATTTTGATAGGAATATATGTTGAACTAACTTTAGTTTGATGCTAAGGAATGCTTCTTTTAAGTGGAAAATATAAGTCATTTGTATTTTATCCTAAATCTAGGGGCAATGTAGCACTGGAAAAGACTGCAATTCCAGAAATCTGGGGAGACGAATTCAAACTCTGGTTCTGTGACTTCAGGCAGGTTACTTAACACCTCTCTAGGGAGGCTCCCTTTTCTTTTTTTTTTTCTGAGAGAGAGTCTCGCTCTGTAGCCCAGGCTGGAGTGCCGTGGCGTGATCTCGGCTCACTGCAAGCTCCACCTCCCGGGTTCACTCCATTCCCCTGCCTCAGCCTCCCGAGTAGCTGGGACTACAGGTGCCCGCCACCACGCCCGGCTAATTTTTTTTTTTTTTTTTTTTTAGTAGAGACGGGGTTTCACTGTGTTAGCCAGGATGGTCTCCATCTCCTGATCTCAGGTGATCCACCCACCTCGGCCTCCCAAAGTGCTGGGATTCCAGGCGTGAGCCACCGCGCCCATCCTCCCTTTTGTTGATAGTAAAATCATGGTCCTGTTAGCATGTGCCTGATAGGGTTGAGAGATTTAAGGAGATAATAGCTTGTAGTGCTAGGGACACTGCATGGAACACAAAAGTTCTGTGGTCTTCTGGGAAATGTGGATTTCATATGAATGGGACTACACATCCCAAAGGCTTTCCTGTATTTCCTGGAATCCCTGAACTCCTTACTAAGGCAGTTTTCCAAGGAAGGGGATTGAAAGTCCTACTAGGCCACCACCACATTTGCTCTGATGTGAGACTCGAATTCCATAATTGCCAATAGGGTGGCGCATTTGTTGAGGCTTAATGCATACATGTCCTATGAACAAATAGTTGTGTAAAAATATACCTCCTTTTTGACCAAGGTGTATATTTTTTGCATAATGAGAAGCACAAACACACTGTTCCAGGAATTAACTGCACGTCTCTATGTAACTTCCAGAAGCAACTTTAATAAGTTAGGGGAGAGTGAACCAAACACTGGGAGGATTCAAGGCCAGGCTATTTGTGCATCTTAATGAGCATTAATTAAAGGTCTTATTCCAAGGAAACGAGTGGAAGATGAAAAAAAACAAAGCCTCAATGACTGTATGGATTCTCTAGAAATAAGCTATGATTGTTAGGGTCATTAGCAGGCATTCTGACATTCAACTATAAAGCGTTATTCATGAACACAGAGCGGGAAAAATTACACACTCCATTTAAATAAAATCAACCAGCTAACAGAATTCACAAAGTGATCATTTTTAAAAATGGAAAATTGAATTTCAAATCAGCATTTTAATGGCCCACTGATCCAAATATTAAATTGATAATCAGGTCTGAGTTATTTGCGTGAGTAGCTGGAAATATTCTTATAATTCTATAACCATCTATGAAATGTCAGAAAATTCACATGTTCAGAAATTATGGTCCCAAGAAGAATCTTAGACTATCAGTGCCAGAGGGGACTTCAGACAGGATCTAAATCAGTGGTTCTCAACTGGGGTGCGGCGGGGGAGTTTTCCCTGCTTGGAACATTTTTCTGGAGACATTTTTAGTTGTCGCAGCTGGCGGAGGAGGGCTGCTGGTAGCTAATGGGTACAGCCACAGGTGCATTAAACATCCTTTTATAAGCACAGGACGGCCTCCCACAACATAATTATCTGCCCCAAATGTCTATAGTTCTGAGGCTGAAAAACCCTAATCTGGATCAACCTTTTTCACTTTATAAAACAGAGAAGCCAAAACCAGGGCTTTTCAGTGGACCGATAGTTAGCTGTGAACCTAAACAGGACTAGATTTCAGGGGTTCTGGTACTATTTTTTTCTATGCTAGGGTTTCCCGTAGCTCCTTTATTCCTGCCCATCTACTACCCACTCATCCTCAATCTATCATTCAGGATTTATTAAACACCTACTATATGTTTAGCACTGGGAATACATCCGTGAACAAGATAAACAGTCTTGCTCTGGTGTGTTTATAGCATGGTGGGAAAAGCAGGTATTAGGTAATACTACTGCAAATAATTATCATTGTGGTAAGTGCTTCATGAGAGCACACAATAAGGGGAACTCAATTTGGTTTGACATTCTCTTGTTCTTAAGCCATTTCTCCTAATGCAATACTTGACCACGTATTTAAATAACCCTAAAAGAGATTTTGAGTAACAGGCGTGGGTCTTGACAGGCTTATCCCTATGTGGAGGGGACCTTGCTACAATGTTGGAGGCAAGAGTAATGGTCCCCATTCACTGGAGACTCACCCTGCACTAGGCACTAATATTAAGTGCTCTTCTTATATTTAATCCTCACAACAATACTAAGGGACAGGTACTATTATCATCACAATCTCCAACTTACAAGATCTCCATATTTTGGATGAGTAGCTTGGCTTGCGGATATGCCATGATCTATCATAGCTGAGTTAAACTTTGAGGAAAGTGATTGATGTTGACATGCTTATTCATTGAGGGTCCCCTTTGTGCTGTAGCAGACCTGGGGATGGCATCAGACTATCATTGGAGATTTGGTGATTAGTCCCTACCTTTGAAGAACTAGCGAGGGAAATAAATGTCATTTGAAGCAAGCAGCTGAGCATGAGCAATGTTATCAATTGTCATATTTAAGATAAAACAATGTGGCAAAGATCTGAGTATTTGAGTCTCAGAGGTATGCTCTTAGAACAGCTGTCTAAAATGTTAGCCACTAGCCACATGTGGCTATTAAAATTAAATAAGATTTAAAATCCCAGTTATTCGGTCACACCAGCCACATCTCAAGTCCTCAGCAGCCAGATGTGGTCAGTGCTTATCATACTGGATGTGCAGATAGAGAACATTTCCATAATCACAGCAAGCTCCAGTGGATGGCAGTGCCTCATCATGGCATCCGGGGTAAAAACTTTCTAGTTGCCATTCCTAGGGTGACATTCTCCTGCTCATAGTTTGGGACCTCAGGCTAACTCTGGCTCAGGCTGATGGGAGAGGAAGGTAACTAAGGGCTCGCTCAGACTTAAGACCCAGGCTCAACAGAGCTACAATCCGGCACTCAGACAACTTTGGAATTAGAAGGGTCCTTAGGGATTAAACTTCTGCCTCCATTTCATCAAGCAACTAAAGACTTTTATCGCAAACTTTAATAATATATACCCACCCCAACCCCCTTTTAAGACAGTAATTCTCCTTCCATAAATGTATTCCTTGCAGATTATTAGGAATGTGCACAAAGTTGAGGATGCTCAGTGGAATTATATTTATAATTGGGGATGAACTGGACCCCCACTAAATGTTCCACTAAAAACACCTATAGAACAGATTAATGCACAAGGACTTTTTTTTTTTTTTTTTTTTTTCTCTAGCTGGATTCTTGCTCTGTCACCCAGGCTGGAGTGCAGTGATGCAATCTGGGCTCATTGCAACCCCCGCCTCCCAGGTTCAAGCAATTCTCCTGCCTCAGCCTCCTGAGTAGCTGGGATTACAGGCACCTGCCACCACGCCAGGCTAATTTTTGTATTTTTAGAAGAGACAGGGTTTCACCATGTTGCCCAGGCTGGTCTCGAACTCCTGACCTCGTGGTCTGCCTGCCTCAGCCTCCCAAAGTGCTGGGATTACAGGCGTGAGCCACCAAGCGTAGCCACAATCTTTAAGTACAACGTTTTACAAGTCATTTTGGCTTGGAAATGTGTTGAAGCATATTAATTTAAAAAGTAGGTTGAGGCCGGGAATGGTAGCTCACGCCTGTAATCCCAGCACTCTGGGAGACCGAGGCAAGTGGATGACCTGAGGTAGAGATTTCAAGACCAGCCTGACCTACATGGAGAAACCCCGTCTCTACTGAAAAAAAAACAAAAACAAAAACAAAAACAAAAATTAGCCAGGCATTGTGGCACATGCCTGTAATCCCAGCTACTTGGGAGGCTGAGGCAGGAGAATCGCTTGAACCTGGGAAGCGGAGGTTGCGGTGAGCCGAGATCGCGCCATTACACTCTAGCCTGGGCAATAAGAGTGAAACTCCGTCTCAAAAAAAAAAAAAAAAAAAAAAAAGCAGGTTGAAAAAACAGTATGTATATTATGATCTTATTTTTGTGAGCATATTATACACATTTACATAAAGGAAGGTATAGAGATCTATAAAGAATTTAATGTGTTGGTGACTCATCTGGCTGCCAGAGTAAGAATGACGGTGTTTGTTTGTTTGTTTTAACTTATCTGCATTTTCGTATCCTTCCTCAGTGAACAAGTGTGCTGGTCAAGGCTATTCTCAAAACTAAGGACTGACAACACAGGGGTTTGTTCAGTCCCTCTGTGGTCACCCAAAGCAAACTGGAGGCTCTGATTCAGTCAGTGGTGCCCCCATCCCCATACAGTTTCTCCTGGATGCTCTGATCTTTCCAAACAATCCCTTCCTCTTCCCCAGTCTCCACACTGGCTCATTAGAAAAAGAAACAGAGCCGAATTAATAGTGTCTGCATGGTTCTGTCTTCACCAGTGGGCTATCGTGGGGGTTGAGAACTTGTCATCTTTTAATCAATATATTAATAAACTATTGATAACTTCATATAAAATAATCTAAAATGGACTCCCTGTTTCAGAAACATTTTTCCTTATTTCTTCTGTCCCAAACCAAATAGAATGGTATCCATGCCAATATCTTATGTGTTATCCTGTGGCATGTTTGAGAATAAAGCATCTAGAATAGGGCTGTCCAAGAGAGCTTTCTATGATGATGGAAACGTTTCATATCTACACTGTGCAGTATGTATGTACTGCATATAATAGCCACCAGCGATACGTAGCTGATGATTTGAAATGTGGCTAGCATGGTGATATGGTTTGGCTCTGTGTCCCCACCCAAATCTCACCTCAAATTTTAATCCCCATGTGTCAGGGGAGGGACCTGGTTGGAGAGGACTGGATCATGGGGGCAGTTCCCCCAAGCTGTTCTCATGATAGTGAGTGAGTTCACACAACATCTGATGGTTTAAAAGTGTTTGGCAGTTCTCCTTGGCTCTTTTTCTCTCTCTCTCCTGCTTTACTGTGATAAGATGTGCCTTGTTTCTCCTTCACATTCTGCCATGATTGTTAAGTTTCCTAAGGCCTCCCCAACCATGTAGAAATGTGAGTCAAGGAAACCTTTTTTCTTTATATATTACCTAATCTCAGGTATGTCTTTATAGAAGTGTGAAAACAGACTAATACATATGGCTCGTAAACTAAAGTTTTAACTTTATTTTAATTAGCTTAAGGGTAAATTTAAGTAACCACAGGTGGCTAGTGGCTACCTAACTGGACAGTGCAGGTTTGGAACCTGAATTGAGCTTCTACATACAAGCATAAAGGGTCCTCTTTATGGTCATGAAGTGTAAACTTTATTCTGGCTCAGAAATATTCTGAATTATGAGTGGTCATTTGCTTCGGTCTTGCTGCAATCCATAAAGCTCTAAGTAATTCTGAAACATTGGTCAAGATAACTTGAATATATTGGAAAGACAAATTAATCTCTTAAAAAGAAAAAAAAGATAGTGCCAAGTAAGAAGATGGGATGTATGAACATCATTGAGTGGTGTTATTATATGCAGCATTAATTGGAAGGGATGGATTGTAAAGTGAGATTGATGATAGAATTCAGGGTTCAAGATATGTTCAATTGATTTGACAGACCCCGAACTGACCTCATCCTTTTCAGTACACATTGCTTCCTAAGCTTGATAAGCCCTCAACTCCCCTGAAATGGAAATGTTGCAGAGGGATACCACAGGACAGACTTCATACTGACCAGCCTCAAGGCATCAGATTTGGGTTTTATCTGCATCTGTTCCCCATAAGTCCCTCTCCTTTCCCTCGAGTGATAACTGGAGGAGGATTGTTATTGTCTGGTCATATCTCTACATGCTGGTGTGATACTGGCTTTGAAATAACCAGGGATATGCCTGTTCTGTTCCCTGGGTCTGGGATGGCATGTTCTAAGTCATAAGAGACAGGAAGCAGAGTTTGATAGGAACCCCAGGGTGGCAGAATGAAGGACAGCAAGATGGATGCTAGGAAGGTAACAGGGCAGGTAAAAAGGGTACAACCTCAGTTTGGGCAGGTTTATGTTTGTTTCCTAAAGAAAGAGGCCCAGAAGATTGGGAGAGGCAGGGATCTTTGGCTGTGTTCTCTATAGTTTTCGAAGCATCTTTCATATAGTTTGCCAAATTTTGCAAATAAAAATACAGAACGCCCTAGTAAAATTAGAATTTCAGATAAACAAACACAAATTCTTTAGTATTAATATGTCCAGTGCAATAGTTGGGATGTGCTTATTCTAAAACACTAGTCATTGTTTATCTGAAATTTCATAATGGGGTCTTGTATTTTGTCTGGCAAGTCTATTCAAGAAACACCAGTCCCAAGAGATCTTGCCTTAATAAAAAGAGACCCACGGTTAACTATGTGCTAGAAATGCTGCTTACTTTACCACACTCTCAGAGATTCCCTAAGATAATAGCATATTTAAAAGCTCTGACAAGTTCCATAGCAAATATTCCAATTCTCTTTAACAAATACCTTCTAAACTTTTGAGAACATAGAACCCAGCAATAAAGTAGTTTAAATGTCACCCCCAGGGTCAGACTGCCTGAGTTCAAACGCTGGATTCACAACCAGCAGAGTGTATGACCAGGAACAAGTTATAACTAGAGATTCTGGCTGGACATATGTAAGTGGCATAGTCATGGCACCAGTCTCACAGAATTAATGTGAGAATTACATGAATCCATATAAGCCTGGCACAGGGTAACTGCTTTGTGAATATTAGTTTAAATAGTCACATTAGTGCCAAGTACCTTTCCCAGCAAGGGCTAGTAACATCCAAGCAAAACAACGCATGCAATTTCGGACACGTTAACGGTAGACTAAGGTGGGGTGGGGAGAGTGTTGGCTTGGTTCAGCATCAAATAAATCCCTTTGACTTCAGTTCATTATACTTGATGAAATGAGAATTTTTAGTGCAGTAGAAGGTTCAGTAGATCAAATCCTCTGATGAAACGATCCACATTCAGAAGGAAGCTATTTAGCCTTCTTTGTTTTCTTTTTTTATTGTTTGTTTTTTGTTTTTATCTACTATGTTGTTTGTTAGGGCTGTTATGACAAAGTACTGTAGATTGGGTGGCTTAAGCAACAGAAATTGATTGTCTCACAGTGATGGAGGCTGAAAATCTGAGATCAAGGTGCTTCTGAGGTCTGTGAGGAGGAATCTGTTCCAAGCCTGTCTCCTAGCTTCTCATGGATTTTTCTTGTTGTTTGTTTGTTTTGCATTTTTTGGCATTTTTGGGCTTATAGATGTATCATCCTGATTTCTGCTGTTATTTTGTGTTTTTAGCTTTTTTTTTCTTTTTTGAGACAGAGTCTCTCTGTCACCTAGGCTGAAGTGCAATGGCGTGATCTCAGCTCACTGCAACCTCCGCCTCTGGGGTTCAAGCAATTCTTGCGTATCAGCCTCATGAGTAGCTGGAATTACAAGCATGCACCACTACGCCTGGCTAAATTTTTCATATTTTTAGTAGAGACGGGGTTTCACTATAGCCCAGGCTGGTCTTGAATGCCTGACCTCAAGTGATCTGCCTGCCTCGGCCTCCCAAAGTGCTGGGATTACAGGCATGAGCCACCGTACCCGGCCATCTGCCTTTATTTTCATGTGGAGTTCTCTCTGAGTGTGAGTCTATCTCCAAATTTCTCTTTTTATAGGCATCAGTCATATTATACTAGGGTCTACTCAAATGACCTCAGTTTAACATGATTACCTCTGTAAAGATCCTATGTCCAAGTAAGGTCACACTCTGAATTACTGGGGATTATGACTTCAACATACGAATTTTGGTAGAGCATGTTTCAACCATAGCAGCTACCCCTGAGAATGGGGCTAATGTCCACCAGCTATCTCACCATGCAGGATGACAATAAATCTTAAATAACAGAGTGCAGAGGGACAGATTTTGAGAAAGTTGATAGCATTATAAAATGGCAAGGTAAACATTAAATTTCTTATGTTGATCTGCACCGGTGGAGGTATTCATGCCTTTGCAAGAAAGATGTCAGGAAACTGTTAATCTTCCTACAATACTACCTGAAAACATACAGCTTGGGACTCCATGCCTCAGAAAGACGAAGAGGTTCTGGGGAAATGGGAGAGGCGTGCCTGCCAAAGAGCATGCTATTTGCAGTGTCACTAAATCCCCTGATGGCATATAGGAAATTGGAGACACAAACAAGGAAATGAAGATAGAGACACAGATATTTCAAAATTTCCTGTGCACTTATCTCATGTCAGCCATCGTGCTAGGCACAGAACTTGCCAAATCTTCATCTGAAAAACAAAGATTATTTATGGGCAGTCTATTTTCATAGAATGAGTAACCTAATTAGAAAAGCTTTTGATATGGTTTGGATCTGTGTCCTCACCCAAATCTCATGTTCAACTGTAATCCCCCATGTTGGAGGTGGGGCCTGGTGGCAGGTGACTGGATCATGGGGGTGCATCCTCCATGAATGGTTTAGGACCATCCCTTTGGTGCTGTTCTCATGATAGAGTTCTCACAAGATCTGGTCCTTTAAAAGTGTGTAGTACTTCCCCACCCCATTCTCTTGCCCTGTTTCCGCCATGCCCCTTTTCTGCCATGTTCTGCCAGGAAGAAGTGCCTGCTTCCCCTTTGCCTTCCACCATGACTATAAGTTTCCTAAGGCCTCCCCAGAGGCAGAAGCCACCATGCTTCCTGCACAGCCTGCAGAACCACGAGCGAATTAAACCTCTTCTCTTTATAAATTACCCAGTCTCAGGTATTTCTTTATAGCCATGTGAGAATGGCCTAATACAGCTTCCCTCAAAAAAAAGGAGGCGGGCGGGTAAAAAGACTGATGGGGAGGTTGAGTAGAGGAGAAGAGGATAGCGACGATGGAAGAGGGCCAAGGCAAAACTTTGTCAATTTTGTCATTTTCATTGATGCTGGATCTCTTCTCTCTATTTTTGGAAAACTAGTTAGAAGGGTCACTCATGTTGAAAAGTTTGGTCAAATCAGGAAACATGCACATGCCTACATCTCCCATACCTCTCATCCACACTGTTACCAGATAATGTTACGACTCTTGGACTTTCCATTTTACTCCATCAATAAGCATTTAACATTTAGATATATTATAGGGATGGGTGCTTAGAAATACTTTTTGTAAGGAAATCTGTTCAGGATCTTCCAAAGCAAAATCTCTTGTTCCTCACTAAAATATCTTTGAAGAATTGTGTTCAAACTTCCAACAATTTTAAGTACTAAGACTGACAGATAGCTGTCCGGAAAATCTCAAAGGCTGATAGAGTGGAATTGGGGGAAATTGTATTGGTGAGTTTCTCACGCTTTGCCTCATGAAACATAGTATCTTTGACTGGAAAACTGGAAGCTTCTCCTATGTTGTCATCTTCCAGTTTGGGAACCCTGTGTCTCCATCAGTCAAGCAAACACTCCTAAACACCCTGATCTCTCACCACCCCTGACCTTGTACATCCAGAGTGTGACAGTAGCTTTGAGAAAACAAGTAGGGTGGGAGTCTGAGAAAATGATCACATTTTTTTTCTAGAGGAAAAATCAAAGCAAAAAATAATTAAGGCAGTTCTGAAACCTGTGTGTATTTTAGAAGGGTTTATTGTCATGTGTTAAGACACATTATAAAACTATGAGTGTTGGAACAGTATGGCATTTTTGCAAAATTTAATATATGAGATGGTCCCAAAGTAAATTGTTGTATGTATTAGAGCTTAACATCACATGAAAGCTATGTGACAAAACCAGAAAAAGAATGGGTATTTAAAATAAAATAAAATAACATTTGGAAGGAAAATTAATTTGAAGGGTAAAAACTTGAAATGGGACTTCACATTAAACCATACATCGAAAGTAAGATCTAGAGGGACTGAAGAATCAGATGTGAATATGAAGCCATAAAAACTTAGAAAAATATATGTATTCATGTGACTTTGATTTTGGAACAGGCCAAGATTGTTAATTGTATAAACAAGAGAATACGCATAAGGAAAAAATGGTATTGTATCTGTCTAAAGATTTAAAAATTCAGTATTTCAAAACATCAAATCCAATTAATTCAAATAACTAGCTGGCATAAAAGAAAGGCAACAAACATATGACAGGCAAGAGATTAATATCCACAATAAGTAGTGGGCCTTTATGAATCAATAGGGAAGCCATTAACACCCAAATAGGAAAAGGAAAGAGGGCTTGAACAGGCAGCTGCTTCCCAAGACATGGAGAAACAAAAAAAAAACCTTACCACTGTTTTTTAAATGGCAAAAAAAAAGGCCACAGTACCTTATCATTTTCATCAATCAAAGTGGCCCATTTAAGAAAGCTTGGCCGGGTGTGGTGGCTCACACCTTACTCCCAGCACTTCGGGAAGCCGAGGCAGGCAGATTATGAGGTCAAGACATCAAGACAATCCTGGCCAATATGGTGAAATCCTGTCTCTACTAAAAATACAAAAAATAGCTGGGTGTGGTGGCAGGCGCCTGTAGTCCCAGCTACTCAGGAGGGTGAGACAGGAGAATCGCTTGAACCCAGGAGGTGGAGGTTGCAGTGAGCCAAGATCCCGCCACTGCACTCCAGCCTGGCGACAAAGTGAGATGCCGTCTCAAAAAAAAAAGGAAACCTAAGCACTGAATGCCGGCAAGCATAAGGTAAGCAGGGACTGTCATATGCCATAGATGTCATATACCATAGTGTTATTTCTTTGCAAAAAAGTTTGATAATTATGTTTTAATTGTCAAAGGAATTTAGTTATTCAATACAAATTTCAACTTCCAAGCACTGAGGCTAAGAAAATAGATAACTGTGGACCCACGTCTGTGTACCTGAATGGTCCTCACAGAATTGTTTAAAGTAATTAATGACTGGTGGGAAACAGAATAACCAAAACTAGGGAAAAGTTTCAATAAATTGAGAGTCCATGAGATGTTTTCTTATGTGGACATTAAATATCATGGTTTGGAAGAACTTTATGAAGAGAACATTCCCAGAAAATAAAGTGTGATTTTAAAAAGCAGAATACAATTTGAACATATAGTTTAATCTTACATATGAATATATATGAATGAGTATAGATATAGATGTGAATATGTATTTAATTATACTCATATGGATAGAAAAAAATAGAAGTAAAAGCACCAATATGTTATCAGAAGCTATCTCTGAGTGGGGAAATTACAAGTTCGTTTTTTTTAAAATTTATTTTACTAACAATACTGAACATTACTTTTATAATCAGAATAAGTTAATTTGAAAATGGAATACTGGAGTCGGCATTTTGGAGAAGTTAGGTAAAGTTGACTCTGTCATTCTGTATCTATTCATGAAATAGCTACTATTAGCATTTGGGCTAAGGAAGGGCAGAGGCATTTGGCAAACTGCTTCTGCTGGAAAGAAGGCTACAGTCGTAAATATATGTGTGTGTATATATATACACATACATACATGTATGCGTGTTTGAGTGTGTGTGTAAATATCTATATTATATAATGGATGGCACCGTCCATTGGATGGTACTTAACACCTAGCTAAGCTCTTTGGGGTTTTTTTGTTCATTTATTTTAAAAATAAGCACCACATTTATTTATTTATTTTATAATTTCAACTTTCGTTTTAGATTCAGCGGGTACAAGTGCAGGTTTGTTACCTAGGTATATTGTGTGGCGCTGAGGTTTGAGTATCATTGGTCCTGTCACCTAGCTAGCACAGCATCTAGTAGTTTTTCAACCCTCATACCCCTCTTTCCCTCCCCACTCTAGTAGTCCCCACTGTCTATTGTTGCCATCTTTATGTCCGTGAGTATTCACTGTTTAGGTCCCACTTATAAGTGAGAACATGTGGTATTTGGTTTTCTGTTCCTGCATTAATTCGCTTAGGATAATAGCCCCTGGCTGCATCCATGTTGCTGCAAAGCTTGTGATTTTATTTTTTTATGGCTGCATGGTATTCCATGATACATATGTACCACGTTTTTTTTCAATCCAGTCCACCACTGCTGGGCACCTAGGTTGATTCTATGCCTTTGCTATTATGTCTATCCAGTTGAACTATTTGAAAATGGAAACCAGAAGGAGGGAGAATAATTTTAAAAATAGGATAATTAAAAAAAAAAGCAATGAAATAATGAGATTTGGCTTAAATGGAATTGATACGAGAGCTTTGGGAAAAGAGAGAAAGGGTCTTGATAACGTGGAACATAGAAAGATTTAGCAAAACATCCACCTGCACACAGCTCAGTAATAAAGCCAACACGGGAGCCCAGGCTACTCCAACTTGTAATGCTTTTTTTTTTTTTTTTTTTTTTGGGAAAGGGTCTCACTCTGTCCCTCAGGCTGGAGTGCAATGGTGTGATCTCAGCTCACTGCAACTTCTGCCGCTTCCCAGGTTCAAGAGATTCTCCTGCCTCAGCCTAGTGAGTAACTGGGATTACAGGTATGCACCAGCATGCCCAGCTAATTTTTGTATTTTTAGTAGAGACGGGATTTCACCATGTTGGCCAGGCTGGTCTCAAACTCCTGACCTCAAGTGATCCACCTGCCTCAGCCTCCCAAAGTTCTGGGATTACAGGCGTGAGCCACTGTGCCCGGCCTTTTTTTTTTTTTTAATACTACATTTCACTTACAGACAAGAATCTAAGACTCAAAGTCTACAAAGTAAATAGCAGGGAAGTACCACTGCAAATACGTTTGCCAATATTCATAAACCTTCGTGGAATTATTAAAACACCAGGAGAAATCTGCCGTGTTTTCTTATATAGTATGTTTATTTTCATGTAACTTGCAACTTCTCAAAAAGTAAAAATGCAGCAAATAGAGGCATTTTCACATATAAAATCCAACTGCTTCTCTCCTAGAATCTTAGGCAGCTAATTGTGAGGTGCAACAGGCAACTGCTGTAATTTTTTGAAACATTTGGGAGATTTGCAACACTGCAAAAATGTCTCCGTGAATGGCGGTAATACACTTGTCCTTGCTTCATAATAATGCTAAGAACACCTCATTCTGTAAAAGCTACTTGATGCCCAACGGGCATTTTTTGAAAAATCTGAATTAGAAAATAGTATTTTATCAACACAAAGTTAAAAGTGAACTTCAAAAGACACAAAGTTAGTGTAAACATGAGATGCTCTATCATAACCATGCCTGAATATATTAAATATGGAAATGGGGCAGGTAAGAGCACAATCTATATTCCCTCTGAACTGCTGTCCCAACCACATAAATTAATCAAATGGCATGTCAATGGAAGCTGGCTCAGAAAGTCTGTGTTCCTCACATTTTCTTGAAGTTCATATGTTTCTGAGACGATAAAAATCTGATCTTGGAAGGAAAGGAGGGAGGAATCAAGAGGTTAATTGTCCGCAACCTTGGATGGCTTTGGAGATGTGCTGAGTTTTGCCCCTCTCTCATCTTAGCCCAATTACTCTTCCTGTCTGGGCCGAGAGGTCCTCAAAGCCCATTTCTGCTTAAGCCCCTTCCTCCCCGCTGCTCTGTCCTGCTTAAACACCATGTTAGAGATTTACATAAAATAGTCAGGTCTGGTATTTCATACCTCAATTGTACCAGAGCAGCACTTGGTTATTCACTTACAGTATCAAGAATTGACTCCCTTAATGACAGGGATCAGCTATTGCAAATTGATTTGCTGGATACCCTTTCTTGCCCAAACTACTGTTTAAAACCTGGCCACCAACTGCAAATTGTCAGCATCACTGCCTGCTGCTAATGGCAAAATGCTTTCTGACTGAGGAAGGTTCTATCTTTCCACAAACAATGCACATCTCCACTTTCATTTTTTCTACTTTTAAAGAATGGTCATTAGAGCTAACTACTCTTTTGCCTTGAATTTCCTGAGGCCCTCCAGCCTCTCCCACCACTGTTGATTCCAGGCTACTCTTCTCTCTCCTGGGTCCTACAGAGCGATTGTGCTGAAGCCTTTCAGTTGTTCTTCTCTTTCCACCATTCCTCCAAGAAAAGGAGAGGTAAGGTGACCTAGAGTCTCCATTTGCTAGTTCTGCCTTCTCTCCTGAATTCTAGGTCTCTAATTTCTATTTTGAGGTCAAACCGGCACCCATGTGTATTTTTAAGCCATCTTGGAAACTAGCTCTACCTCCATCTTTTTAACTTACACATATGTCACTGTTATTTGCTTCTTATCCTTCCTCCCCTTCTCTGCTGAGGTCATCAATTCCAGGTCTCATCATCCCTACCCTGTACCCACTGTCCACTCTTCTCATTTGTGACCACTACATCTTCCACAACCAACCACCTTCCTCAGCACAGAACTTAGCACCCTCCTCTGCAGCCTGCTAGTCCCCTCCCTCAAATGCTGAGTGCCTTTCAGTAGATGTTAATAGGTTTTGCATAATAAAAAGGGTGCTGTGGTCAAAAGCAAATTAGAAAGGAAGAGTTAAGCACACAACCAGCCTCTTGCTACAACAAATCTTAGAATATCCATCATCTATCATCTACTGTGCATTTTGAATCTTCAAGACAGGCAGGGGTGGGCATTGTTTTTGCCAACAGAATCCTTTTTGTATTGTGGAACATCTTGGCAGATCAGTTGTAGGGGTATACTCTACTGAGATGTCCCCACTTGACGTTTGGAGGGACTTACTGGACTTGGCCTTTTTCCCTTGATCCTCTAGTTCTCCTTCTTAGGGATTCCTAAATTCTTACAGGACAACCCCTTAGCCTACATTTTACTTTTTTTTTTTTTTTCTCCTGCTTCTACTCATCTCCCACACACTTTCTGTGATCAGAGCGTGGGCTGGGCTCTGGGCAGAGAGTGTGCTGGCCAACTGCAAGGTTTTGGAGCCAGGCTGCCTGGATTGTCTCCAGTTCTGCCATGGTTTTACCTGGGCACCCTGTGGCAAACAATGAAACTCTCCAAGCATTAGTGTTTTTATCTGTAAGATAATAATGTCCACTTTGTGAGGGCGTGACACTAGCCAGCATGCATATATATATATACACACTGTTAGTATTTAATAAATAGCATTGGTTATTGGTAGTCTCTATTACTGGCAGAAGCTGTTATTGTAAATATCATCAGTAAAACGATGATTTTTTTTTTCTTTTTTTGAGACAGAGTCTCGCTCTTGTCACCCAGCCTAGAGTGCAATGGCACAATCTCGGCTCACTGCAACCTCCGCCTCCCAAGTTCAAGCGATTCTCTTGCCTCAGCCTCCTGAGTAGCTGGGATTGCAGGCGCCCCCACCATGCCTGGCTAATTTCTGTATTTTTAGTAGAGATGGGGTTTCACCATGTTGGCCAGGCTGGTTTTGAACCCCTGACCTCAGGAGATCTGTGGGGCCCCTAGACATTTCTGAAACAGACTTGAAGGAATCAAAATCACCTGCTTAGACACTCTAGTTTTTCAATAAATGATGCTTCCTTCAAGAGTCAGAGGGACGTGGATTGTGACCTAACTCCACCATGTGTGGTGTGTGGTGTGTGGTATGTGATGTGTGGTGTGTGATGTGTGGTATGTAGTGTGTGGTGTGTGATGTGTGGCCTCAGACCAGACATTGAATCTGTCCAACCTTCAGTGTTCACAATGGAAAATTAAGTTAATCATGCCTACTTCTACAGGTTGACAGAGGATTACCTATGATAAGCATGTAAAGAACTAACCACTGAAGCTGGCACTAAGCAACCTACGCTGTAGTGTTTGGATAAGCACACGGGCTTTGGAGTCAGGCTGCTGGGTTTTCATTTTTTTCCCGATCAGTTACCAGCTGGGTAAGACACAGATAACAACTATGTCTTTTTTATAGTGTTGGTGTGATTATTAAATTAGATAATGTTTGCAAAATGCTTAGTCTAATGTTCAGCACACGGTAAGGTTTTATGTTCATAATTAATACATTTTATTATTGCGATGATGATGATGATGTTGACAGCGACGAGGTTTTATTGGTTAGGATGGGTTAGGATATGGTACAGAAATTAAAAACTGAACAAAATAAAACAAAATCCCAGAGCCTTAACTCAACAAAGGTTTGTTTATCTCTTGCTCATGCTGTGAATTCAGAATGGTGGGTGGCGGCTTTATGCTATATGACAGCTCAAGAACCCACACTGAAGAAGCCTCCACTACTTTGCAGCTGGCACCATATCAAACACATCCATGGTACCAAGGAAAGAAAGAGAGTGGAGATGACACACTTTGGCTAGCACTAGTCATATGGTTCCATCTGACTGCAAAGGCAATAGAAAACAGAGTCGGAAATTTCTGTGTGCCCAGGAGGAACGGGGCTGGACATGGGTGAGTGCCAATGGCTCTACTATAATGCTGATGGCAAAGACAACAAAACAAGGTGATGAGCGTCTGGCCTGGAGCACTACAAGAGGAGGTTAGCGGGCGGTTCACAATTATAGCCATTGTTATTTTTATTTTATGTTACCTGGGGTGCAGGTTTTGACCACAAGATGGACATCCCAGTGGAAGAGATGGACTCTGAACCAATGCAGAGAACCTATGTAGGGAACAAAGAGGTTTCCCTACATAGGTGAGTGTATTAGTCCATTTTTTGCACTACTGATAAAGACATACTCGAGATTGGGCAATTTACAAAAATAAAGGTTTATTGGACTTACAGTTCCATGTGGCTGGGGAAGCCTCACAATCATGGTGGAAGGTGAATGGCATGTCTCACATGGTGGCAGATAAGAGAAGAGAACTTGTGCAGGGAAATTCTCATTTTTATATAACCATCAGATCTTGTGAGGCTTATTCACTATCACAAGAACAGCATGGGAAAGACCTGCCTCAATGATTCAATCACCTCCCACCAGGTTCCTCCTACGACACATGGGAATTGTGGGGGTTACAATTCAAGATGAGATTTACGTGGGGACACAGCCAAACCATATCAATGAGTGTGCTAGACTTGGGAGCAGCCCAAGCTAGCTCTACAAGTTGGGGATTTAGGCATCTCAACAGTCCCCAATCCAGCTATAACACCATTTCTCCAAGGGTGGCCTACAGACTGTCTCTGTTGAAATCACCTGGGGAGTTTGCCACAAATACAGATTTTGGACTAATCTCAGGCCTATTGAATCACAATCTGTGTGTATGTGTGTCAGAGGGTGGTGGTAGTGGTAGTGGTGTAGGGCCTTCTTTATGCATTTTGACAAGCTCATTCAGTAACTGTTTAGGCAACCTGAAATTTGAGGACCTCTTCAGTAGATACTTCCTGCCCTGATTCCCCTCTGACTGTCAGACTCAGGGTGCTCTTTCAACACCTTGCTTTGTTCAACCTTTAAAACTTGGTAGGGAAACTAAGGCTTAGCACTAGAGAAAGACAGATTGAATTTTCAGCTCTATCATTTACTTGCTACGTATTCTTGGGTAAACCACTCAACAACTCTGAACTTCAGTGTAAATATCTGTAAAATGTCTACAATAAAATGGTCTGGTATCTTGTTGGAAGGATTCAATGATATCACGTAAATAAAGCATGATGATGCTTTCATCATCATGAAAGCATCTTTGTCATCGTGACAATGATGACGACAAGATGCTAATGATGGTGATGATGAGGACAATGGTGATGAAAATTTTCTAGTCAGTGCCTGGTCCTCACATATGTAAAAGATGGAACACGTGAATGTTTCTTATTATCTGTAAAACAGATTCCAGTACTTGGTTATATGATGAGCTAAGGAAGCACCAGGCATGTAAATGCCACGTCTGAGAAGCAGTTCATGTTTAACCTATTTTCCTTTAATTCTTTATAAAATGGGCCTAACCCCCAAACAAAGGGACTAGCTGACTTTACTTACTTCTGAATTAGAACCAGGAAAGTAGTGAGAGAATTTGGCACTGATAGAAAAAGATGGATTCTTAAGCAAAGAAGAGAGTTACATGAATAATGATCATTTGTTCTCTGGATCGATGGCTACCTCATTTTGAGTTGCAGTGTCCCTGAATAACTACGGTGGGTTGTTTGACATAGCGTCTCAGGCTTCTGAAACTCTCATCTCGGGGAATCTTTTAGAGTTGTTGTTTGTTGTTGATTAATGTAATTAGTAGGGAAGAGGTATATCAGGAGAGTGACAGAGACGGATGGGTAAGACAAGAATGTGGATAAGAAAGAGAACCATGGTGGGTGATTCTTTAACTCTATAAATATGCAAATCCATGCACAGTCAAGGCGGGGGAGGGAAATGTTGGTGGTTTGTCAAGACAAATGCTGGTGGTTGTGGATGAGTGGCAGACCATAAAAAAAAGACATAATGCTTAATTTGCTTATTTAGTATTTGCACTGCTTGAACTTTATCTGTTTCTATCTGAAAATATAATAGTAATAGGCATCTTTGATTACATTCTGACTCCTTAAAATGGACCCTCCCTATACTCATTTAAAATACAATTAGAATTACTCATTTAAAAACAACAAAAATCTGAATCTTCAGAAAACTGATAGACCCTTATTTATTTATTTGATGATTTCTTTAATATAGAAGCTCAATATTCAAATTCTGAATACTACATTGAACTTAGCCTCCCAAAGTGCTAGGATTACAGACATGATTCTCTGTCTTTTACTCAAATCCAGCACTTTATTGAGATATTAGTATATCTCCCTGGAAACTGGAGGCTTTAATTAATTTGTTCTAGAATGTATAGTGGTCCAATATAGCCTTAGAAAATCACGTGGAACAAATGATATCAAAAATTCAAAGCTTTCAGGAAGGGTTGCCAATCTCTTTCATGTATGACGTATAAGAACACCAGGCATGCTGATGCTCAGTCTAGATGCAATAAGAATGCCTCATTTTCATAGCAATGGCAGCGATCTCAAGATCTGTGACTGTCTTGGGTTGCCCAATTTCTGCCCTAACAGGAAAGCTTCCAGCATTGTATCAAGTCCCAGTAACGGAAAAATGTGTACTGGAGGAATTAGACATAACATCCCAGACAAACACTTGTGTGGAAACTGTTTTTCTCACCTGATGTTTAAAAACATCTTTAACATCCTTTAAAAATGCAGGTTGCCATGGTTACAGTTGTTGTGCAGGCAGGAGGTTTCCGAGCATCTCTGAGCTCATCAGTTAATACCAACAGATCAGAGATTTTTGAAAATTGATATTTATAAAATATCACCCCTCTTTTCTTTCCCTCCAGATCAGAAGTCATGTCACTGAAAGCAGCTGGAGAGGTTTGTAGGATTATTAGTGGTGGTTATCACTGTGGAACTGGCCTTTTGGAAGGCCACACGAGCACCACATTGACAGTATGCTAAATGTGCCCTTTGATCTACGTCCATACGTCATGGGTCAAATTCATTTGCTGACATTCACAAAAATGCAGAATTGCCATTCTGATAAAGCCAAGCTCCCACCCTTCATCTCCATTGCCATAGGTCTGTCTCTATGACAACCACAGTCTTAATTGCTACCTGCTTGAAAACCAAGTTCATCAAACTTATTTTTTTACGGTTTTTTTAAGAGCAGTTTCAGGTTTATAATAAAATTGAAAGTCAGCTACAGAGATTTCTCATATACCTCCTGCCTCCACATGTAGCCTCCCTCATTACCAATGACCCCCACCAGAGTGGTACATTTGATACAGTCATTGAACCTACATTGACACATCATTTTCACCCAAACATGTTTAAAATGTAGCTTTCCTACAGAATTCATAGTTTGAATCATGGTACATCCAACAGCATGTGCGAGGGTGCATTATGTAACAATTTTTTTTTTCTCTTTATTTTTTGAGACAGAGTCTTGCTCTGTCACCCGGGCTGGAATGCAGTGGTGTGATATCGGCTCACTGCAACCTCTGCCTCCTGGGTTCAAGCAATTCTCGTGCCTCAGCCTCCTGAGTAGCTGAGATTACAGGTATGCACCACCATGCCCGGCTAATTTTTTGTATTTTTAGTAGATACGGGTTTTCGCCATGTTGGCCAGGCTGGTCTTGAACTCCTGGCCTCAAGTGATCCACTAGCCTCAGTCTCCCAAAGTGCTAGGATTACAGACATGACCCACCGTGCCCAGGTGCATTATATTAGAATTTAAAAACCGATCCAGCTCAATGTGGTACAGTTTTATATGCTTGACAGGCGGCTATGCTGTAAATGAGTTGGTTAAATGGATGCCATGTACGTTCAAATGAGAAATTAAAGTTATATCCCCTTTAGTGACCACTGTGACCCAACAATGGAAATATCGTTTCTTCTTTCTGCTAAGGCTCTTTTTTATGTGCCTATGTTAACATGTGCTCAAAATTTCAGAGGAGAGGTTTAGGCATCAATGTTCACTTCTTGACCAGTTTAATTCTCCAACAACCTATTTATCTTTCCCATAGAGACTTTAGCTCAGTGTTACAAAAGAATAAACGCCACAAGACTGACCCCATATGATACCCATTAATTGTTTAGAAAATATTTTTGCAATATGGAAATGTGATTTGACTAAAATAAAACTGTGGATTCAGCAACTTCACAAGAATGCAGGCTTTGTAATAATCTCTCTGGTCTTTCATTGGCTTTATTTTTAAAAGCTAGGAATAAATTTAACTCAACTAGAGTCACAGGAATTCACAGTGTTACTCAGAGATATAGAATCAGCAGACTGATGAATGGTCTTTTTTTTTGTTTCCCCCAGGGTATTTTTAAAAGCCAGATTATTTTCAATCCTCTACTGTGGGCAAATGGGAACTTTTACCGAGACAGAAAAAAATAGATAAGCTACAAGACATGGAAGGCAAGACAAAGAATCAAAATGGAAACGTGAAGTTGAAGGTGTCTGACTATGTAGGAATTGTGAGTGAAAATAAATTTGGAAACCAAATGAGAGGCAAAGGATGAAATTCAGATTTGTGAATTATTAATATATATGCAGTAATGAAGGTCCTGAGAACAGTGTTATTTAGGAAGTGAGTAAAGTAAAGAAAGAAGGCTGCTGCGAAGAAGCCCAAAGAGAGCCCAGCATTTGATGGCTCCAGGTACCAAGGACCACCCCGCCGCCCTTCCTGGCTACCATGGGCCAGTGCTGCTCTCAGGGCAAGAGCCAGAAGCCAGGCACACTGCTCAGTGACTCGAGCAAGGGTGCGACCCAGCTGGGCACCTTCCTGGCCATGGAGCAGCTGCAGCACCAGGCAGGGACTGAGTGTACCGTGGATCTGTTTAACGTGGCTCTGCAGCAGTCCCCGGCCTGTGGCCTTATGACCCCAACGCTGGAGCAGTATATCTACCTCCACGACTTTCTGAACAGTGCGCCCGTAGATGGGCTGCTCTGAGTCAGCACTGGTCACTCCTCAGTGTCAGACCAGGAGAGGTCTGTGACCTGCTGGACAGGGACAGCCAGCCCTGGCAAGTACACGTGAGCCTGGGCTCCCTGGAAGGGCAGCCTCCACCGGGCCCTGTGCTGTGAAGGGGCAGAGTTATTGAATAAAGACGTGGTCAAGTGTGAAAAGGAAAAAAGGAAAAGAAATATGGATTCACTGCACAGCACAGTGCAGTGAGGAGAAACAACATTCAGAGAGGCAGCAGGGGTGGGGAGGGAGCAGGAAACAATCTTGTTGAAGGAGAAAGCGAAGAACATAAAGAAAGAGAAACTTTTATTTAAAAATAAGATGAGAGGTGAAGGCGAGGGATTGCCTCTGACCTTGTTGTCCGGGGGGAGTGGGAGTACCTGGATTCAGGAAGGGACTCTTCCTGATCTTATCCCCTGAATTTACCTAGCTCAGTGCCTGAGACAGGGAACCCACTTTCTAAAGGTTTGACCCAAGGAAAGTGAAACAATCAAAGGTGCATGATACCTGGAATGAGTTCACGGCATGCATTGGTTGGGGGCTGCTAGTGCTCTTTTCTAGAACAATCTGAGGAAGCTTTGAGGACACATTTCTTTCTGTTTTCTTTTTTCTTTCTTTTTTTTTGAGACAGAGTCTCACTCTGTCACCCAGGCTGGAATGCAGTGGCATGATCTTGGCTCACTGCAACCTCTGCCTCCCAGGTTCAAGCTACTCTCCTGCCTCTGCCTCCCGAGTTGCTGGGACTACAGGCAAGCACCACCATGCCCAGATAATTTTTTTTTTTTTTTTTTTTTTTTTATATTTCTAGTAGAGACGGGGTTTCACCCTGTTAGCCCGGATGTTCTAAATCTCCTAACTTTGTGATCTGCCCGCCTCGGCCTCCCAAAGCGCTGGGATGACAGGTGTGAACCACCGCGCCCGGCCGGACATATTTCTTTACTGCTTAGGCAATGTGGTATTTTCCTGCTAGGTCCTTTTGCGTTTCCATAAAAAGAAAGCTCTAGTTCCCTTAAATGATGTGACACAGTTTTCACAATCAACTGCATTTAGACTTTAAAAGGCAATTAAAATATAACTATAATGTAAATTGGGTTAGCCTGAAGATGTTTCCAAAATCTCTCTGACTCATCCAATTGACCAAGATGAGAACTGATTCCGGATGACAGCATCTGTCATCTCTTAGAGCCACCCATTCCCTGCCCAAAGGGTAGGCACATGGTTCACTACCTGGCTCCTGTTCCTTGTGAGAACACCCAAATGATAGCAAGGGTCTGTTACCTGTAGTCATCTCACCGCTTGATCTGAATCACAATACCGTTAATCAGATAGACTGTGTGGTAATTAGCTATTAAAAAGTAATTTAACTAAGAATCAAAATTAATCTAAAAAGTCAATTCTGAGACAATCTACTGAACCAGGATCAGATAATAAGAAACCTGACTGAGAACAGCATTTTGAAAGTACAGTGGCCTGACGTCATTGGAGTTCTGGAATCTACTGCCCTTGATTTGGAAAATATAATAAGAAAAAGAAAAGGAGAATTCCATCTTATTAACTATGACACCCTTGTTCGAATTTTAGAAAATTGCTCCTTTGAAGAGCACTGTGGGAAAAAAGCAGACCTTATTTTCATCTGCAATGTCAGAAGGAGTGCCTCTGCCGCCTTCCGGATCAGAGAGATGAGCCTATCTACTGATGGCAAGCCTCTGAATTAGTATAAATATATTATGGCCATAAAAACATCTGTGCTGAATGAATACGGAATAAAGGAGCATAGGATTTATGGAAGGAGGCTGGGGGAGGGTCCTTCAGCAAAAATGAATGCTGTCAAAGCCTGGTTTCATGTCGTCAAGACGCAGAAGTCAAGCCCTGGCAGCAGGTGAGTAAAACTTGATGTAGTCCTATTAGGGGCTTGTTAGCTGCCCATGGTGCCTTTTATCTGGAGGCTTTGAAAACATAAACCTTTGTGCAACAACCACAACAAAATCAATTTTCTCCAACTTAAAAGAGCACCCTTCATCAGCTTGGACACACAGGCAATCACTCCCCTAAAGGAAATGCTTTGTACCTTAAGAGTACATGTCGCCTTTGTAGATGGGGTGTGTATCTTAGAGGGCCATGGATATGGCACAATGCTAGGATTAGACTCTTGAAAGGAAAATGCTTTGCTTATACTGGTTAGAGATGCATACATGATGGAACTATGGAGTGAATCATCATCAGATAGAATCCATTAATACGCATGCTTTTAAAGAACCAGTGGCCCTTAACAAAGAGAGATGAAAAGAGGTTGCCATGTCAATGTGAGCTGATGCATTATGGTGTGTACTGATTCAACTCAAGGAGTTTGGTTATTCTTTAATTTATAACCACGCTATGTTCAAAGCACAAACCAAGCCTCTTTGTGCTGAAGAAGCTTTAGTACTGGGGTTCCCCTAGCCTGGAATGCACACTGCTACCAGCTAATTCCTGCCCAGCCTTCAGACCCACACCAGATGCTCTTCTACACAGCTGTAGCCCCCAGTCTCAACCTTGGCTGCATGTGGACTCACCCGGGGAGCTCAAAGACATGCTGATGACCAGGTCCTCCCCAAAGATTCCAGGGTCACTGGCAATTGGGGTGCATCTGGGGTGTGTCTTGGGCATTGAAGCTTTTGGAAGCTCAAGTGATTCTAAAATGCAGCCAAGGTTTGAGAACTCCTGTTTGTGGCATTGTGTGTTTACCTGAGCTACTGCCTTGACTTGACTACACTGTATTTATATCATCTGTTTGCAGTTCAGTCTTCCTGGCTCCTGTGAGGTCTGTTGTTTCCTCTCCTCATCTCACCCCCATCCCTGCTTTATATCTCTTCCATATCTAGCCTAGGACAGGGTACACAATAGGCCCCCAATGCATCCATTTTAAAGTTTTTAAGTTGTAAGGACTAGAGTTGCCTAACATGCACATTTAACTTGTTTGACTTTAGCTATATGCACTGTTGAGGGGAAAGAGCAGGAGGAGAGCTGGAGGAAGAGTCACCTAGAGAGAGGACAGGAGACCAAAAGATGGACCAAGAAAGGCAGAGATCCTTTATTTTCCCCATCGTCCTTTGCCCCTTTCAAATTAGACCTTGGCCTTCACTGCCCCAGAGAAACAAAAGACATTAATTCTTGGCCTTTCAACCTCTAAAGGCACAGGTCCAGACAATTTAAGGGCCATTTAAGGGACTTTCAAGGATAATTTTGACACCATGCAATTTTTGCTTTACAATGCTGACTCTAGAACATGACTCTTCTACCTCCATCCAGACCTACACTTGAGATGTCTCTCCCCTCTGTCCTTTCCTTATATAATCTGTTGCTGTCCAATATTTCTCAGGGAAGACTACTTGTCTTTGCCAAATTTGGTTGCTTTCAAAGATTGCTTCTTGAAATTAACATTCTCTAATAGTAAATGAAATAAATTTGACTGTTCCCACAGAAGTGGTTTTCTTCCTTCTAATATAACTCAATGTCTGAACATCTTATTTTCCAAATGAGAATTAAATAATGAAATAATTGACCTAGGTTTATTTTTCAGAGGGGATTTTTTCCCTAAACCATAAAATTTTAATTGGCAGATTTTATATCTGTACATGTAGTTCAAGATTGCAAGAACCACTTTGAATATGAGAGCTTTTAAAGATTTTTGCTACAGAAAAACCGGTTGAAATAACATCATTTAACATTTACTTGCAGGTCTTACAGAAAATATAGAACACACCTGGGGCCAAAAATCTTTATCTTTTAAAGGCCAATGGTACACAGTATAATGTTAGTTCTTCACTGGCAGGGTCTGTGTCTAATTAATTTTTTCATCCTGGCATGGTACCTGAGAGTTGCTTAGTCAATGTTTTATCAGTCAGCTTAGGCTACATTCTGCTGCAGTAACACTACGGCCTCCTAATCTTGGTGAATAACACTAGTAAAAGATACAATTTTTTTTTTTTTTTTTGAGATGGAGTCTCTCTGTCGCCAGGTTGGAGTGCAGTGGTGCGATCTTGGCTCACTGCAACCTCTGCCTCCTGGTTTCAAGCAATTCTCCTGCCTCAGCCTCCACAGTAGCTGGGACCACAGGTGTATGCCACCACACCTTGCTAATTTTATTTTATTTTTTTGTATTTTTAGTAGAGACAGGGTTTCACCATGTTGGCCTGGATGGTCTGGATCTCCTGACCTTGTGAACCCCCAGCCTCAGCCTCCCAAAGTGCTGGGATTACAGATGTGAGCCACTGCACTTGGCCAAAAGATACATTTTTATCTCATGTGACAGGTTCATTGCAGATCAGTTTCAACTCTGTTTCAGGCTAAAGAAGCAGCTCTCCCTTAGGATAAGCTCGTGTCATGGCAAACGACAAAGGTGGCAGAACCGTAGCATGGTCTTTAAAGCTCCCATTTCTCAATGGAACATGTGACTGTGACTCACACGCCACAGGCTGAAGCAAGTCACATGGTCAAGCTTGATATCAACAGGACATGGCTCTCTAAAGAGGGGCCAGGCAGAAAGAAGGAATACGTATTTTTGAAAAACAGCATTGTTTACAGTCTTAGTTGAGTGAACAAGCTTCTTTTGTTGCACTGAACTTCATTCTTCCCTACTCCTGCCCATCTCTCACCTCCAGAATTGCTCTTAATTTCTAAATATAAAATAACTACAATGACCATTGTATTAGTTTCCTAGGCCTACCACAAAAAACCGAAATGCCACAAAGTGAGTGGCTTAAACAGACATTTCCTGTCTCATGGTTTTGGAAGTTAGAAGTCTGAGATCAAGGTAATGCCAGGGTTGGTTCCTTCTGAGTCTCTAAGGGAGAATCTGTTGTATGTTGGTCTTATAGGATTGAAACCGCCTTTGCAAAATTATGACTGAGACAGTGAAAACAGTCCAACTTAAGTGACTCCATCTTGCCTCGAACCTCCAAACTGTCCCTGTTCATTCCTGGGCATAGGCTGAACTAACTTTGGGAGGAGCTTAGTTTATAGTTTAAAACAAAGGTGATAACAGCCCTTTCCCGAAACAAACCTCTTTCTTGCCTGGGGATTAGACTACTAACATTAGCCACAAGATTAGAAATTATGGTTTAGGAGTCATGCAGCTGGAGGCTGTAAGATACTGACCCTCCCTAAACTGCTCCTAAGGTCATTGTTTGAGGTGTTGTGCAGACTCTGCATTTGATGGATCAACTGGCACCACCCAGATAGAGACACTGGCCCATCTGATCTTATGACCCCCAACTCAGGAACTGACTCAGTGCAAGAAGAACATGACACCCCATGATTTCATCTCCGACCCAACCAATCAGCACTCCCCAACTCACTGCCCCTCCCCTCCCACCAAATTGTCTTTAAAAACTCTGATCCCCAAATGCTCAGGGGAATTGATTGGAGTAATAATAAAACTCCAGTCTCCCACACAGCTGGCTCTGCATGAATTACTTTTTCTCTATTGCAATTCCCCTGTCTTGAGAAGTTGGCTCTGGGTAGGCAGCAGGTAAGGTGAACCCACTAAGCGGTTACGGCTTTTGGTGGTTACTGTCTGTTCTTGGCATTCCGTGCCTTGTAGATGCATCATCCCAATCTCTGCTTTCCTGCTCACACAGTGTTCTTTCTTTGTGGGCGTGTCTATGTCCGTATTTTTCCTTTTTCTAAGGACACCAGTCATATTGGATTAAAGACCCAATCTATATCATTCAGTATAACCCCATCTTAACTAATTATATCTGCCACAACCCTATTTCCAAGGAAAGCCACATTCTGAGAGACCAGAGGTTAGGACTTCAACACATGGGTTTTGGGGGATGCAATTCAGCCCGTAACAACCACATAGCGTGTTTGTCCAAAACAGTCCTGCTTTTGCCTATAGTCCCATATTATTGCTAAGGTTTCCTCTTTTACTCTGAAACCTGTCCCAGATTGGATGACCAATTGAATGGCAGCCCTAAAAATAAAACATGGCCATTATGAAGAAGTCAAATAAATATAGAAATATTTCAAGTAGAAAAAAATGTAAAGGAATCACCTTTAAGTACCAGTCCATTTTAAACCCTACTGTCAACATTTTGGTGAATACACACGATTTTTTAGTAAAACTAGAACAATGCTATAATATTGTTTTATAACCTATATTTTCCCTTAATAGTATTTTTATGCATTTTTCTATATGTTTAAAAATTATTTGAGAATAGATTTTTAATGATTGCATAGTAGTCCACATCCACCTTATTATTTAATTAATGACTTCCTTGTCGTGGATCATTTAGGTGGTTTTCAAGAGAGCACTAGTTCACAGTCATTTTGGCATGTAAGACATCAAACAGCAATTTTAGAAAGATGTGGCAAGAATTTCCCACAGTTTTGAGTATGTATTTCACAGCAGTTTAATCACAAATGGTATTTCTCATGCAACAGAGACTTCAGCTCTTTTTTTTCCTCTAATTTTCCTTAGGAAGGACAGGATTTCCAAAAGTCAATGGTTATAGACTAAATCCTAAATATTCTTTTTTTTTTTGTTTGTCTTGCAAAAGGCTACTTAGTGATTTACTTTCTTTTTTTTCTTTTCCTTTTCTTTTTTTTTTGTTGCCCAGGCTGGAGCGCAATGGCGCGATCTTGGCTCACTGCAACCTCCACCTTCCAGGTTCAAGTGATTCTCCTGCCTCAGCCTCCTGAGTAGCTGGGATTACAGACATGTGCCACCACACCCAGCTAAATTTGTATTTTTAGGAGAGACAGTTTCACCATGTTGGTCAGGCTGGCCGTGAACTCCTGACCTCAGGTGATCTGCTCGCCTCTGCCTCAGAAAGTGCTGGGATTACAGGCGTGAACCACTGTGCCTGGCCTACTGACTTTATTTCTAATAGACTAAGTAGGTGGGCTTTTATTTTTTTTTAAAGCTATCCTTGAAAAATAAGTGATTGATTCTTTGCAACATATCAACACCTCTTAGCAAATACTCTCTAGAACTTCTTGTCCAAATCCACCGCCTTTTAGGGGTTCAGTTGTTCTGGGTTTGTTATTAACTGGGTTAGAATAACTAGTTTCCAGGTCTAGCCAATGATGGCTATCCTCCCATAGGTACATTTCACAGGGGCATATTCCCTGCTGGAGGGAGCAGTGACTGGCTGAGTTGGTTGGAAACGATGGGAAGAGGGGCACAGAGAAGACAGAAGAAGCAGCACAAATATGTTAATTCATTAGGTGTGAGGTACAGTCTGGAAATCTTCATTAAAGCATGCCAGGGAATTCTAATGCAGTTAGTCTCACACATGTTTGTCATGGAGCATATTGTGTCACCACTGTTCAATTATGTGTCTGTCTCTCTGATGGGCCTTCGAGTTTCCTACAGGGATATTCCGTGCCTTGCTCATCTTTCTAAGCATCTGGAATGAAGCAGTACCTGATTAGTATCTGGGTGAATAAAGGTAGTAAGGTTGAGTGGTATGGGAACAAGATTGATTTCACTTTACTTCAAGCAAAATGTACACACCTACTATATGCTTGTCACCATGTTTCACATAAAGATGAATAATATATGATCACAATGCACTGGGAATGTAAAAAAAAGATGGGGTATATAATCTTCAGGGACAGAGGCAGATAATAAAGATTGCTATACACATCTAAGTGCTACAATGACAGAATGTATGCTATAATGGAAATGGTTAAGGGGAAGGGCCAGTCATGCAGGTTGTTCACCACACAAAATACTTGGGAAGAAAAGGTTGAAATCCAGCTCAAGCATTCCTCATCAAGCATCTGTCCTGTTTTGGAAATCTGTCTTACAGAAATGGGAACTTTTGTCTAATTCCTAAGAGTTGCTTACTATATAAGCATATAGTAAATAGGTAAGACAACAAAAAGTATAGTAAGTGAGATAAAAAACGCTCTATAAGGACAGATATCTGAACAGGACTTGGAGACAGCTTCCTGGAGGAAGTAATTTCTAAGCTGAGACCTGGATCAACAAGACACAGGCAGGTGAGAATCAATCATATGTATGAGTCAGTATCTGAGTGTGGAGTTGAAGGTGAAAATGATGTCAATAGAGAAGTGAAGGGTCTTATGGGGAGCAGCATAAGAAAAAGCCAGAATGTGAGATGTGCAGAAGCATATATTGGGGACAGAGATAATGATAGCAAGGGAGAGAAAAGTGGGTAGGGATAGGGAGATATAGACACAGATATAGGCATAGGCATAGACATAGACATGAGACAGAGAGAGAGAGAATTAGGGATGTCATTATTATTACTTTTCTTCTGTTTGCTTAAGTGACTTACAATTTTAGAAGATCACTCTCATTGGTGGATGGAGATTGGATTGGAGGGGAGCAAGCATCAACACAAAGGGACTAATTTGAAAGTTACAGACAAAGTCCAGCAAGAGAAGTTGGTGGCTTGACTCAGGGTGAAGTAAACAGAGACAAGCTTACAAACCTCTCTTATCTCACCTTCATCTAGAGAGGCAAAAATCAGTCTTACAGGTGAATGTGGAAGAGGTTTGGGAAAGGGAAACAAACACATAAAGTGGAAAGAGCAGTCTTTGAAATAAGAAGATACAATCTCACATCGCTGCTTGTAATCAGTGGCATGCTGCTAACTGTTTAATAGCCAATTCTCTGGGAAGAAGAAAAAAAGACCTGACTTGTAATATTTGTTTGTTTCTGTGGTGTAAATATTACCATCATGGTGGACTTCAACTACCAACAAGACATCGCTGAATACAGAGTTTGGAAGAGATATGTACCGCTGGTGCAAGATGCCGTGAGCCAGCCCCAGCACCCCAGTGCTTCCAATGCTTTGATGTCTCTAGGATGTCATGAAGAGCTTTTGAGAAATTGCTACTGATGATAGGGCTTTTAGAAACCAGTGTAACTTCCTTTCTTCATTATTCCCACTGTTTTGAATGTTTAGTGATATACACAAAAATATTATAATAATTTCAGTAGACAAAGAATAGGGTATGGGGGTATCCTACCTAATACGTACCTAGCACATGATAAGTTTCCATGAATTACTTGTGGAATTGAATTCAATTGTACCATATCCCCTCTCAGTTCCTGCCCATATGAATCTCTAGTTTTCTCACTGTTGTGATCCTATCATGGACGCAATGAATAAATAATATTAAATACTTGAGTTTAAAGTTAACATCGCCTCATGAGATGTCATTGCCATGTCTTTCTCATTATAAGCTTCCTTATGCTTCCTGATCAAATGAGTATAAATGTGTATTCTCTGCTTTGTTTAATGGAATAACCTTAGAGCAGGGAGAAAGTCTCACCACCTTGGTTTCCACCTCTGAGGTCATTAGCATGATTTACTATGAAGCTACAGGAAATTAGTTGCTGAATATTTCAATATAGAGAGGAAATAATGTAATTCCAACCTTACCATAGAACTACTGTATCTTGGAGTAACATGTAGCCATAGTAACAAGATAAGGACATATTTCTTAAATGTTCCACTATGATTCTATACTTCATGCACATTCAAGTACAGTCAATTCTTGTTATTTATAATTGAATTAATTTTATGATACATTTGGGGTCTACTCTTAAACAGTGGTTTTCAATTACCTTAATTTAAGATAATGAGTGTAATAAGATTTTCTTTAGGCTACTATTGCTAGAATGAGGATAGAATTCCTTTTTTTTGTATAAAAAGGAGCTGAAAGCGGTCTTTAAAAAAGAGTAAATATTTTTGAATGAGTTAAATAGTGTCTTTGAGGATAAATATTAGGAGTATAAGGATAAATCTGTCTCTGCATCTTCAAAAGTGCCATTCACACCTGCCTGCTAAAACTCCTACGTACAAAGATATTAACTGTATTAGATATTCATAATAATAATAACACCATACTGCAATAGTTAATATGGTGCGAGAGTTTACCATGTACTGGAATACTCTCAAAGATTATCTTATTCAATCCTCTGGAAAATCCTATGAGGCAGGCACTATTATTACCTCCACTGTGCAGGTGCATAAAATGAGGCACAGAGGCATTACGTACATTGACCAAGGTCATCTGGCTGGTGAATGGCAGGGCTGGGATTTGAACCCTTGCAGTCTGACTCCACAGACATTATTTTATCCACTTCTCCTACTGCCGTCTTAGTTCTTCCAGCAAATCATGGAGGGATGAGCCTACATGGCACCACCCATGTTGTCTACATGTTGTCTACATGGTACCCATGTTGTCTACATGTTGTCTACATGGTACCACCCATGTTGTCTCAGCCTCTGTGCCTATTGTGGTCTCTCTGGCCCCTTAAACAGCAATGCCTCAAACTGGGCACAGTGGCTCACATCTGTAATCCCAGCACTTTGGGAAGCTGAGGCGGGTGGATCACTTGAGGTCAGGAGTTCAGGATCAGCCTGGCCAAAATGGTGAAACCCCGTGCCTACTAAAAATACAAAAATTAGCCAGGCGTGGTGGCGCACGCCTGTAATCCCAGCTACTCAGGAGGCTGAGGCAGGAGAATCAATTGCTTGTACCTAGGAGGCTGAGGTTGCATTAAGCAAACATCGTACCACTGTACTCCAGCCTGGGCAACAGAGTGAGACTCCATCTCAAAAACAAGAACAGTAATGCCTCAGTGAGCCACCAGAACCTGCTGGCTCCTTACCTTCATACTAATTCCATTGAATTTGTAGTTACAGCTTATGATGGTGTCAGGGTGCTGTGCTCAGAGCCAGAGACCAAGATGAGTGAGGTGAGGTCTTTGCCCCCTGTGACCCCAGAGACCAGTGGGAAGAAGATACTCAGGTGGACAAACAAAAGCCCTCTAGGGGAATGTGTAGCAACCTAGGGGTGGAACGCAAGTGGGGTGGAAAGGCAAAGGAATGAGTTGTCCCTTTCCCATAAGGATGTCAAGAAAAGCCCACTCTGACTCTGGAAAGGACCCGAAGAAAAAGGACTTCAAGGAAGGCAAATGTTCCTGAGGGATGTTGGGAGAATCACAAATAACAGGACAGCTGTGATAAGATAGTCGTGAAAGGAGGAAGTGGCAGGGGCTGTGGCTGCAGGATAAGGCACCAGATCAGAAATGACTTGAGGTCACACAGAGAAGCTTGGAATTTACGTCATAGGGAGCCCTGAGGAATGTTGAGATTTACTTTCTTTAAAAGTCACAGATAGGAGATGCAAGGGTGCAGGCAGGAAGTGGAGGCAAAGGGGCACAGTTAGAAGAGGACTGCAAGAATCAAAGCAAGGTCAGGCCTCACACGGACCTTCAGGAAAGGGTGGACGGAAGAAGGTGGATGTGGAAAACAGAAGACGGAACAATTCAACTTTAACATGTGGTTGACTACAGTTGGTGATGTCTGATCACGGCCCTCAGTTTCTGTGGATTTGACCTCTTCACACATCTCAAAAATCATGTTACACTATGCTATCGCTCCACCTTTGGAGTGCAGCCTCCATGGGCTTTTTTTTTAAGATGGAGTCTCACTCTGTTGCCCAGGCCAGAGTACAGCGGCGTGATCTCATCTCACTGTAGCCTCCACCTCTTGAGTTCAAGCAATTTTCCTGCCTCAGCCTGCTGGGTAGCTGAGATTACAAGTGTGTGCCACCACACCAGGCTAATTTTTGTATTTTTAGTAGAGACAGGGTTTCACCATGTTGACTAGGCTAACTTCGAACTCCTGACCTCAAGGAATCTGTCTGCCTTGGCCTTCCAAACTGCTGGAATTACAGGCGTGAGCCACCATGCTTGGCCCCATCCCTGGCCTTTTTAAAATAATACTTTGAACATACCATTTTTTTTGAAATATCTATGGCCTATTTTGTCCTTTGATAACCAAACTCCAATTGTGCTTGAATTATTGGTATTTGCAACTAAATCTTACTTCTCCAGCTGCTGCTGCAGTTAGGGATGCCTGTTGAATACCATTCTGGTTAACGTGACATACACATATAACTGCTCAAAGTTTCTGGAAAATATCTTGCTTTCTTGAAATAGAACAAACAAAAAATGACAGATATAGTTAGCTTAAAACCTTCCTGTTACTCCTGCCCCAGCCTTAGATAGGATGGCCTGAGCTGCTGCAGGCAGCTTGTAACCATAAGGGAAGACCAAACAAATTGCAGAGATGCTGGTCCTGACATGGCTGCACTGGTAAACTTTTGCCTACTTTTAGGTTTCTTGCTATGTGAGACAGACAAACCCCTACATGGCATAAGCCATGGTGATGGAGTTATCTAGACATAATGTCTTCAACTACCAGGGCCTCTGCAGTTGCTATCCCTCCACCTGAAATGTCCATTCTTCTTTCCTTTCTTCCTGCCTTCCTTCCCTCCTTCCTTTTCTTTTCTTTTTTTTTTTTTTTTTGAGACAGAGTCTTGCTCTGTCGCCCAGGCTGGAGTGCAGTGGCACAATCTTGGCTCACTGTAACTTCTGCCTCCCAGGTTCAAGCGATTCTCCTGCCCCAGCCTTCTGAGTAGCTGGAATTACAGGTGCTGCCACCATGTCTGGCTAATTTTTTGTGTTTTTAGCAGAGATGGGGTTTCACCAAGTTGGCCAGGTTGGTCCCGAACTCCCGACCTCAGGTAATCCACCCGCCTCGGCCTCCCAAAGTTCCAGCATCCGGCTGGAACATCCTTTCATTAGTTACAAATCTGGCTTCTTTTCATCCTTAGAGTCACAGTTTAAATGTGACATCCTCAGAGAGATCTCTGATCATTCTACCTAAAGGTGGGACCTTCTGCAGTAGAAGGTGAAAGATTCCAATAAGGGCAGAACCCAGGCTGGTCTGCTAGCCCCTCTATTCCTCAGGTCTTGCAATGACAAGTACTCAGTAAGTATTGATTGATTGAGAGACTGAATGAGGAAGAGAATAAGCCTAGCATGAATCAGAGGTCTGGAATAATTCCTTCGATCTATAGAATGTTCTTCAAAGAAAAAATGAAACAAGTGCAAAGGCAGAATATCAAAGTGGGACCCTGAATGATGGCGTGTTTGTTTCCATTTGCAGAACTGTGTTGACACGGTCCTTGGTGTCTGCTGAACAATTAAGCCAGTGTAAAAATAATGACTGCATTGTCATCGCTAATAACGGCAACAGTCCTCATGACATGCCAAGAACACTTCTGGCATGGTAACTTTGTTTAAAAGCCCCTGGTCTTCAAAATTGCATAAGCTCTCTGATAATTATTTTCTCCCTTTCATTAAGCTTGGCAGAGTCATAACTGTTGGGTTTCAAACAACAAATATTGAACTAAGTGCTGCTGCTGCCCAAGCCTCAATGATCAGCAGCCAACAGGGGAGTTGGTGTCACCCCTGCTCCGAGTTTGTCAGCGACCAAGGTGGCGTTGCAGCTCATGGCACCCTGACAAACAGCTCATCACTGTAATTAAAGCCGAATTGGATGTCCTCTGGCTTTGGGCTTCATATCCCTTCATGTAGACAAATAAATTGGAGGAGCAGCATATGGATGGAGACCCAAAATTGAATATAATGTCCCCGTACTTGTGTCTGCAAGGGCAAGTGGCAACATAGCCACGGCGTCTCCATTTGCAACATGGGCCATCTGTATCACAAGCCCCAGGATGCTAAGAAGGGTGAAATCGTGTTCCTTTTGCTGTTCTCCAGAGGGCTCCTCAGTCTCCATTAACCTACCCTCTGCAGCCCAGGGAAAGGAGGCTCTGTAGCTGCTGTCTGTTAGGAGAGAAGGCCATTTCCATGAACGCTTTTGCAAAAGAGGAGACTGTTCTTGAAATAGACACCTGGGTGGATGAAGTCTTCTGCTCACAGAATCTGGGATCCCCAGCCCAGGTGATGAACTCATTCTGACAGTTGGACTCTTATGTGATTTTTTCGGAAAAATTTAGCCCTGAGCAGGGAAAAAAATAGAGAGATAGCTGGTCTGAATATAACTTTTTGCCTTTTTGCCTTTGGCAGGATCTGGGCATAGTATAATCATCACACCTCCAGGAATAGCTATTTATTTAGTCAAAAAATACAGTGCATCTATTATGTTCCAGGCCCTGAACGTAAAGTTGTTAACACACCTTGTCTCGTGGTGATTATATCTGATCATGTATTGCTGATCATGTGTTCCCATGTCCTTAACTAGAACATAGAAATTGGCAGACAGGTAGAATGGACTACTGCTTCTTATTTATTTTTATTTTTTAAAATATTCTGCTTGGGCAAAGCTAATTCAAGTTAGCATCCTTTATAAATACAGTAGCATATTGGTTAGGTGGTGTTCACTTACACGTAACTTCAACTATTTGGAAGAGTGTCAACCGCAGGAACAAAAGGTGCCTTGACTATCCAAATAAGTACAAGCCTGTGTCACTTCCTCATGGGAGAAACCTTCAGAATCACTTACCACATCTGTAGGCTCTCCAGGTAGGGAGAGAAAGAAGGAAGGGGCACGTTGACCAAGCACTAGCTGTGGGTCAAGTATGACCAATCAGGCGATTTCATTTTATCCTTCCCCAAACGTGGAATGTGAGTGTTACTAGCCTTATCTCATACAAGAACAAACAGGGCCCAGGGGTTTTCAGTGTGACCTATCCGAGGGTTAAACAGCTGGTAACCAGCAGAGCAGCAACCACCAGCCTTCTGTCTCGTCTCACTATGTTGATTCTAGACCACAGGACTGGGACACGCCTGTGTATGAGTTTCCCAGCCGACATCAACTTCAAAGCAGCAAATTCCAAGGATTAGTTTATCTTAATAGAGTCAGGCAGAGGAACGGCAAAGAGGAGTAGTGGGTGAGAAAGCCTGGAAACGAAGGAGGAGACGAGGGAAGTTTAAAAAGCACTCAAGAGGATGCAGAGCAGGTTGTATAGAAGAGCAGAACGAAGCACCCAGCAGAGGAGCTTACAATCCCTGCACTCATTCTTGTCCCTGAGATTTTAACACAATTGTTTTGATGGTCCTAATGATAAATGCCACCTCTCCATTGATAAATGAGTATGTTAACTTCTGTTTAAGATAAGGAACTAGTGTATAAAACAACTCAAAATATTGCTATCCAAGTAGTTCACATTGTCAAAATATTTTTAGTTCAGTCACCTGTAATATTTATCTACAAGAAACTATTTTTTCCATGAAGCTAAATACAGGGAACTCACTCCTCAACACAAAATGTGCTTTATGTAATATGTTACATAATGAGTTTTATAGTATGTATATGAATACATATTCATTTATTACATTTAAATTTCTGAGACTTTCCTAAATATTTTTTCTTCTACCAAATTTATCATTTTATCCATTTAATGGTACTTGACATATTGGATCAAATATACTCAATTTTATAATATGTGAACTATATCCAAGTTTAAAATATATCCAAAGAAAAAATATTTTTTATTCATCACAAAATTAATACCATTCGTTCTGCATGTAAGATAGGGGTAGAGATGTGTCCAAGACAGCCTGCCCTTAACTCTTTTTTATTTTTTGAGGTGGAGTTTCACTCTTGTTGCCCAGGCTGGAGCGCAACGGCACGATCTTGGCTTATGGCAACCTCCGCCTCCCGGGTTCAAGCGATTTTCCTGCCTCAGCCTTCCTGAGTAGCTGGGATGACAGGCATGTGCCATCACACCCAGCTAATTTTGTATTTTCAGTACATACGGGGTTTCTTCATGTGGGTCAGGCTGGTCTTTGAACTCCCAACCTCAGGTGATCTGCCCGCCTCGGCCTCCCAAAGGGCTGGGATTCCAGGTATAAGCCACTGCGCCCGGCCCCTTTACTCTTTTATCACCTTGTAGAGAGACCACTGGAGTTGGCCTTTTTTGACCATTCATTCAGTCAAAAAATATTTATTGAGAGCCTAGTCCACCAGACATATCCTAGATGCTGAAGATAAAAGGGTAAATAAGAAAAACTGAGATTCTGCTATCTTGGGGTTTGCTGCATAATCAATTGAACAAATACTTAATTAATCACTGGTGTGATCAGTGCTCTGGAGAAGGACTAGGCGAACGGCTACACATGAGGAAGGACCTGATTCAGTTTGGGGAATTGAGGAAAGCTTCCCCGAGGAGGTAACGTTCAACCTCAGACCCAAGGGATGAGTAGGAGGCAGCTGGATGAAGAATGGCCCAAGGCAACCAGGCACTGTGGCTCACACCTGTCATCTAAGCACTTTGGGAGGCCCAGGTGGGTCCTGAGGACAGAAATTCGAGACCAGCCTGGCCAACATGGCAAAACCCCACCTCTGCTAAAAAATAAAAAACTTAGCCAGGTGTGGGGGCACACACCTGTAGTTCCAGCCACTCAGGAGGCTGAGACAGGAGAATGGCTGGAACCCAGAAGGCGGAGGCTGTGGTGAGCTGAGATTACACCACTGCACTTTAGCTGGGTGATAGGATGAGACTCCATTTCAAAAAAAAAAAAAAAAAAACAAAAACAAACAAACAAAAATGGTTCAGGCACAGGGACAACTTAATGTAGAACTTATGCTCACCAGATAGCCCGTTTCGGTTATATCCGTTGTTCTCCCCAAACAAAACAGTGGGATACACAGGTGGGAAACTTGTACTGGTACATCCCCACTTTCTGGGGCTTTTCAGCCAGTGCTTTCCTATTCAAAGACTGGGTGGGTCCTGCAGTGTGCTCTGACACTGGAGGAGGGAGTGCATGGGGGAGTTGCTAGTTGAGCTCCTAAAGTGAAAGCACATATGCACATGGAATACTATGCAGCCATAAAAAAGAATGAATTCATGTCCTTTGCAGGGACATGGATAAAGCTGGAAGCCATCATTCTCAGCAAACTAAGACAGAACAGAAAACCAAATGCCGCATATTCTCACTTGTAAGTGGGAGCTGAACAATGAGAACACATGGACACAGGGAGGGGAACATCACACACTGGGGCCTGTTGGGGGTTGGGGACAAAAGGAGAGAGAGCATTAGGACAAATACCTAATGCACACGGGGCTTAAAACGTAGATGATGGGTTGATAGGTGCAGCAAGCCACCATGGCACATGTATACCTATGTAACAAACCTGCACATTCTGCACATGTATCCCAGAACTTAAAGTAAAAACAAACAAACAAACAAAAAATCAACCTCTAAGAACACTGCGAAGAGAAATGAAAATATAAAGAATAAGATTAGTCTCAGTAGAAATGATCCTATAGAGATTGTGAACATGCTGACATCAATTATGTCAAGCTTATGCTGAGGCTCCTAAAAACCCTGGGACATCCCCAGGCTCAGGGCAGCCATTCCTAGGACAATGAAGGCTCAGAATACTGGGTGTAGGCAAAAGGGCACCAGAGTGAGGGAGTAGAGATTTATTAAGGACTGTTCCCATCTTGTGATCCCAGAAAAATCATTTTGTGTCTTATCTATCAAGTGAGGTATTTGGAGCAGGCCACCTCCAGAGCCCCTCCGGCTTTAATATTCTCTGATCTCACTGAATCAGGAGAGGGAGAAGATATAAGTGTTGATAAATATAAATACAACAAAAAAGTATTCATAGCTTCAAGGTGGATTCCTCTGCAACAGGAAGGGAAATAGTGGATACTTCAGTGACTCTGGTTCATTGGGAACTTCAAATGAGAATGGATGTGAAAATTGTCTGTTTAGCAATTGTGCATCAATAGACCAAGATAACTGGTCATTTTTCATGTGGCAGATCTTCCTTTATCTGGGAAAAAAATACATTGCTGGGCATTCTTGGTGCCTTAAACCTTGGGTCAGTCCGTTCCCAGGAGGGAGAAACAAGGGTAAGAAACAAAAATCGTGAGGTGCTCTTCAGTCATTTTATGTCATGCTCTATGCCTTAAGATACATCAGATCGGCCGGGTGCAGCGGCTCGCACCTGTAATCCCAGCACTTTTGGAGGCCCAGGCGGGTGGATCACCTGAGGTCAGGAGTTCGAGACAAGCCTGGCCAACATGGCAAAACCCCTTCTCTACTAAAAGTACAAAAATTAGCCAGGGCATGGTGGCAGGCGCCTGTAATCCCAGCTACCCTGGGGGCTGAGGCAGGAAAATCACTTGAACCTGAGACAGCGAGGTTGTAGTGAGCCAAGATCACACCACTGCACTCCAGCCTGGGCAAGAAGAGCACGACTCCATCTCAAAAAAAAGAAAAAAGATACATCAGATGAGAAAGTGAACAGACCTATCTGTGGGTCCCTGCAGAGGCAGTAGATCCCACATTAGAAGCCCTGAAACTCAGTGTTGGCCATAGCAATGGTCTGCCATACCACGTGTTGATGAAGGACATGAAGAAGGTTTCTGAGACATTGGCAAGTGGAAAATGCATGAGCACAAGATGGTCATGTGTAGGAATAGGTATGATTAGAAGTGGAGCTCCTCAAAGTGTGGGCCGGCCATGGAGCTGGGCTTGTCAGCAGTGCCAGGAGGCTTGTTGGAATGTTAACTGTTAGGTGTCACCCCAGACCTATGGGATCTAAACCTCTGGTGGTACAGCCTGATGCTGTGTCTTTATGAATGTATACGCACTTTAAAAATAGAGAGGTAAAACCCTCGGATGTCTACAGCGGTTATCCCCAATGGTGGGACTCAGGGATATTTATTTATTTATAGATGGAGTTTTGCTCTTGTTGCCCAGGCTGGAGTGTAATGGTATGATCTTGGCTCACCACAACTTCTGCCTCCTGGGTTCAAGCAATTCTCCTGCCTCAGCCTCCAGAGTAGCTGGGCTTACAGGCATGCACCACCATGCCTAACTAATTTTGTATTTTTAGTAGAGATGGGGTTTCTCCATGTTGGTCAGGGTGGTCTCAAACTCCCGACCTCAGGTGATCCACCCGGTCGGCCTCCCAAAGTGCTGGGATTACAGGCATGAACCACTGCGCCTGGCCGGATATTTTTATATTATTATTTTTCAATGTGTATTTTTCTCTAAAATTTCTACAATAAACACATATTACTCTTATAATAAGAAAAAAAAGTGATTTGCAAAAGGAAAAAACAGATGTATTTCATGGCATGTTAGGAATGATTTCCAGATGCAAATAACAAAATAAAAGCACCACTTGTGATGAATTTCAAGTTGTCAAATAAATGAACTAAAAATTGAGCAACACAGAGCCTGTGAATTGTGTAAACTAATGCATAGCCAACATCAGCATTCAAAGAAGAGATCACTAAGAAGAAATGTATTTAAAATAAATTTGAGGCTAGAAGGCCAACAGTGAACACAGCTGTTACACATTTCTTAGCTAGTAGAAAAAAATAAAATAAAAGTTTTCAAATTCACAGCAAGGAAGGACTAAAGTAAAATCCCTAGGCATGGATGAGTCAGGGACACTGGGAAGAGACGTGTGACACGCTGGTGTTCCCTCAAGCCTGTCACTGGTGCAAAATGAATCCGTCTTTCCAAGAACAACCCTCCACATAACCTGTTCGCCCACCTCCATGCAACATACAGCACGCAGGTGGATCTGTCACCTCTGGGAAGAGTTCTCTTTTATTTCAAAGAGGAGCAGTACAGCAGCCTCAGCACAGAGCAAACTACGGGGAGGTGGATAAAACAGTTCCTTCAGTTTCACAGTCTACATTCCCACAAAGTAACACCTCCGCAGGTTACTTTGTTCAGCGTCCTATAGAGGCATAATGTCCCAGCTAAGAGGGGACCTTCCTCTACCTCCTCACTCATCACTGTCCACTTGCTTGCCAGTGTTGCCTGGTATCCCCCACCATGGCCCTTCACTGTGCCCTCTTTCCAGTCCTTCTGCCTCTCCCCTGCCCGGGAGCCCTTCGTCACCCTCCTGGATTTCTGTCACAGCCTCCCTCTTTGTCACCCCTGCTCCTGGTTTTCTCAGCCTTCAGGTGTTACCCAGCGTAACAGGACTAAACTTCCTGAAATGCAAATCTGATCGTGTGATTCCCCAATGTATAACACTTAGTCATCCGTAGAAAAAGGTCCAAATTCCATACAGTAGTTTTTACAATTTTTCCTCTTCCAGCCTTTGATGATTTCTCCAAGTTTATTTGTGACAATTTCCTCCTTGCATCACAGCCACTTTGAATTATTCTCACCTCTCTGGACAGACCACCGTCCCTCTCGCCCGTAGATACTGGATCATGTTCTTCCCACTGCCTGGAGAGCGCTTTCTTCCCATCTCAGCTTCGCGTTGCCTGCTCTTAGGCGTCCTTCAGGAGTCCTCTTCGGAATTACTTCTTCTGCCTTCTCGATTTTTCCAAGATCCCACAGCACCCCATCACAGCGCTTGTCTGCCTGTTTACAGGTCTGCCCCCTCTCCTAGGACGGGCATTCTTCTCGGGGGAATCCATAAGCAGTAGCCAGTGCAGTGCTTGACACATAGTAGTTGCTCAGTAAATATTTCTGAATTAATGCAGCTCAATTTTCAGCCTAGGGAGAGTGTATGCCTGCTCAAGAGGCATCAACTGACTCTCTTTCTTCATCACTTGTCCCAAACCACCCGATGCAACAGAAGACAGCAACATCTTTAATGCAACACTCACAGATGGGAACAATTAAACCCACATTCAAGCGTTCTTCTGTCTCCTCCATTACTGGTTGCAGAAGTGGGCCAAGCGCAGATACCCAGGAGGGACTGTTCCCAGCCACCCAGACTCACATCACGTCTTTCCCCCAGGACCCTATTTGGGAACCAGAGCTAGCTCCAAGCCGGAAAAGAAAATAAAAGAAGTTCTTCATTCATTCCTCCCCTCTTAAAAAAAAAACCTAAAAAACAAAAAACACTTTATTGGTCTCTTTCCCATCTCCATCCAGTTCTACTTCAATCCTCTTCAAAACTTGGACTAGTAATTGGACCAGTAATTGGACCGTGAAAAGGCCAGTCCATCCCCACTGCGCCCTGGGCCCCACTCCTTCACGGCCCTTATCGACTGAGTCAGCTGCGGCCTCATCACTGAGAAAAACGGGCAGTGATATCTCTTAATTACACCGAAGTTGGCTTTTTCTGCTTTCACTTTCATTCCTTGTGGCTCTCTTTGAACAGGGTTGTCAGCGGAGACACCAACAAAAAAAAGCGTTGTCTGAAGCGAGGCAGTGGCTTTTCTTGCCAGACAAAGAAAGCCGTTTTTTGCTTGTCAACATGTGGTCTATTTGTTAAACGAAGACACGACCTCCGGCCCTGACTCAGCGCACAAACACGCACATCAAATAAATGTTGGCGAGGTTAACCTCATTTCTCCTCACTTCACAGAGAATTTTATCACTCCCTTCCTCATTTTCCAGGTAGAACTGGGACAATTGCTGCAGAATTTTCCAGCCTTAGGAGAGTGACTTGGATTTTTCTGTGCCAAGGAGAAGAGTGGTGGAGCTTTGCTTTTATGTTGCACTTGCTGCATGAAGTTGGACAAGTTACTTAACACCTGCAACAGGCAGAGTTGTCAAAAAATGATCCTCACTGCTAAACTGGGCATGAGACCAGCTGCAACCCGGGGTGAACAGGTGGGTGTGGAAGCCACTTCTCCACAATGGAGGGCTTCACTCAAGCGTAGCTCCCCTGGGACCCATGTGCCCCCTGACCCCTTCCAGTGTCACGGTCCCTGAGTCCCAAGGCCAGTGCCGTGCTGAAGTCAACCCTACTCCTTCATGGAAGTCCATTGTTAAACATTCAGAGATTTTGTAAGCTGCTAGCTTGAAACTGGCCGCTGTGGGAGAATTTATGCCAAAGTAGCTGCAAACACTCCAACTCAAGGCTTCCAGCCTCCGAGAGCCAGTTTTCCAGCACATCCCTACCCAAAGCATCTGACTTTGAACTTTGGAATCTCAGACCACTCCTACGAATCTGGGAACCTGCATTCAGGCTGCGGAACATCCCTGGTGTTTGATCATCTACCCACTAACAAGATTGTACTGAAGCTGTCTGCATTCAGGCTGCGGAACATCCCTGGTGTTTGATCGTCTGTCCACTAACAAGATTGTACTGAAGCTGTCCGGCAGAGAAGGAACAGCTATGAGAGCCCAGTTTCTCCCCTGGCAGACCTCCCTGTGGAATGAGGGGGATGGTGAGCTATGCTTCTCATCCTTGGCTCACCCCTGGCTTGTATGTTTCTCCTTCCTCTAGTGAAGTCTATTTCTTTTTTTTTTTTTTTTTTTTTGGAGACAGAGTCCCGCTCTGTCGCCCAGGCTGGAGTGCAGTGGAGCGATCTCGGCTCACTACAAACTCTGCCTCCTGGGTTCACGCCATTCTCCTGCCTCAGCCTCCCGAGTAGCTGGGACTACAGGCGCACACCACTACGCCCGGCTAATTTTTGTTGTATTTTTTAGTAGAGACAGGGTTTCACCATGTTAGCCAGGATGGTCTCGATCTCCTGACCTCATGATCCGCCTGCCTCGGCCTCCCAAAGTGCTGGGATTACAGGCATGAGCCACCGTGCCCAGACAAAGTCTATTTCTTTTTTTTTTTTTTTAATTTCTATAGGTTGTTGGGGTACAGGTGGTGTTTGGTTACATGAATAAGTTCTTTAGTGGTGATATGTGAGATTTTGGTGCACCCATCACCCGATCAGAATACACGGCATCCTGTTTACAGTCTTTTATCCCTCTCCCCTCTCCCATCCTTTCCTCCCAGTCCCCAAAGTCCGTTGTATCATGCCTATGCTTTTGCGTCCTCATAGCTTAGCTCCCACATGTCAGTGGGGACATATGATGTTTGGTTTTCCATTCCTGAGTTACTTCACTTAGAATAATAGTCTCCAATCTCATCCAGGTTGCTGCAAATGCCATTAATTCATTCCTTTGGATGGCTGAGTAGTATTCCATCATATATACATATGTCACAGTTTCTTTATCCACTTGTGGATTGATGGGCATTTGGTTACATGATTTTGCAATTGTGAGTTGTGCTGCTATAAACGTGTGTGTGCAAGTATCTTTTTCATATAATGACTTCTTTTCCTCTGGGTAGATACCCAGTAGTGGGATTGCTGGATCAAATGGTAGTTCTAGTTTTAGTTCTTTCAGGAATCTCCACACTGTTTTCCATAGTGGCTTAACTCATGCCATGTGCTATTTTAAAATCCATCCAGAGCCCTGGTACAATTGCAGGTGACACAGAAAGGCAACTCAGTTTGTACCACAAATAGACTGTTTTGCAAGATGCTTCTGCACCTTGGTCATGCTCAGTTCAGAGCCTCCACTGTACAATGGGGACATAATATTGATTTCTGAGGGTACTTATGAGAGTCAAATGACCATTTGTGTGAGTGTGCTATGCAAACAGCAAAGACCCATGGAAGCTTTAAGCATTCACACACGTTGTGGTGGACAGATCACTGATGTGGCATTGAAGAGTCTTGGTTTTGGGTCTCAGCATTGCCGTTCTTTAAGAGGGTTACCCTGGGCAAGTTACTTAATCTCTCTTAATTTCCACTTTCTCATCTGAGAAATGAGTGTAGGATTGCCTACTTTATAGGGCTGTTGTAAAAACTAAGCAGGACAGTAGGGTTAGCCATGTTTGGCTTAGATCCAGACATTCATTAGGTAGTGAACATTCTAGTCCAATTTGAAAATTCTTCAACAACCCTGAGTCTGGATGCTAATTCAAGCTGAAATGCCTGGTCCTTGAATGTTCACAAATAATTAAATATAAATTCAGTCTGAGGCCAGATGTTCATAATAACAATAAAGTTCTAGGAACCTTTAAAATGGAGAACCGAAAGGGTGATAAACTCAGGGTTAAAAATATTGCTTCCTCCTTGGGCTCAGATGCCTTTATTTGCGGGATGTAGATCATGGAGGGAAGTTTTGCATATATATGTATTTGGCAAAAAGCCAAAACCACCCGATTATGTTTTGTCATTAATTAAAATTTGCAGGAGGGCAACACTTGCGAATGGTGAACATAGCTTTTATTAGACTTAGCAAAAATAAGTTAGAATTGACTGTGTTCAGTTGTGAAAAAAGATAAAAGTTATGAGTGTTTTCATTTAATTGGAATTAAAACACCATCATATACATAGGCAAATTCAGAAATACAGTCATGTAACTCACTCTCTCTCTCTCTCTCTCTCTCTCTCTCTCTCTCTCTCTCTCTCTCTCCCCCCACCCCATCCCCACATAAAATCCATCAACATCAAATCTATCAAGATCTACTGGCTGGGCACAGCATCTCATGCCTGTAATCCCAGCACTTTGGGAGGCCGAGGCAGGTGGATCACCTGAGGTCAGGAGTTCCAGAGCAGCCTGGCTAACATGGTGAAAGCTCATCTCTCCTAAAAATACAAAAATTAACTGGGCATGGTGGCGGGCGCCTGTAATCCCAGTTACTTGGGAAGCTGAGGCAGAACTGCTTGAACCTGGGAGGCAGAGGTTGCAGTGAGCCAAGATTGTGCCACTGCACTCCAGCCCGGGCGACAGAGCGAGACTCTGTCTCAAAGAAAAAAAACAAATCTACTAAGAATGCTTATATGACCTGACATAATAGTTGACTGCCAAGCAATTTATCTGGTGGCCTCATTACCAATTTAGAAAATTAAAATTTGCTGGAAATATCCAGACTGATCATATAATGGTCTATTAATTCCATTCTAACAACAAAGCAGGCTATGATCACTTTAATTAATCAGTAAGCAGTGAATGTCTATGTTAATCAGCCATACATATGGCTAGAATTCAATTCAGAGAATATTTGAGTCGCTACTCTGTGTTAGGCCCTGTCCTGGGCCACCGCATCTGATGAATTACAGTTAGTGGGAAGGCAGGGAAGGACATTGTCTCTCAAAATGTGTTAAGTGCCATCAAAGATGTATAAACAATGTATAAAAGAGATCAAGTAAAATTCCATGGGCCGGGCTCAGTGGGTCACACCTGTAATCCCAGCACTTTGGGCAGCCGAGGCAGGTGGATCACTTGAGGCCAGGAGTTTGAGACCAGCCTGACCAATATGGTGAACCCCCATCTCTACCAAAAATACAAAAGTTGGCCAGGCATGGTGGTGCATACCTGTAATCTCAGCTATTAGGGAGGCTGAGGCATGAGAATCTCTTGAACCCCGGAGGCAGAGGTTGCAGTGAGCACAGATCACGCCACTGCATTCCAGTGTGGGTGACAGAGCAAGACTCTGTCTCAAAAACATAATTCCACTGAGGAGAGACTGTATCAAAAATAGGCCTTATTTACATTAGCACCATCTGATAAAAATACGTGAGCCATATTAATAATTTAATACTTTTCTGGCAGCCACGTTAAAAAAAAAGTGAAAAGAAATACAAGGGATTTGTTTCCAAATGAAATCAATACAAAGATTATTAAGGAGACATTTTCCATTCTTTTTGTGTTCGTGTGATAAGCTTTTGAAATCCAATGTGTATTTTACGCTTACAAAACATCTCAGTGTGGACATTGCGTTTTCAGTAAAAAATATTTTATCTGTAAATAGATTAAAATGTATCAGGAAAAAGGTACATTCAACTGCCAAGTTGTCCCAATAATGGAATGAAGTGTTACTTTTTGAGCCCCAATTAAAATTAGTAAAGACTTTATAACTGCATTGACCACATGTGGTTAGTGGGTACCATATTGGGCTGTGTAGAGGCAGAACTTCCTGCAATAATGTCAATGTTCCATGGGACAGTGCAGCCTTAGAGTGTGAATGTGGGCTGCTCCTAAGGAATAAGGATACAGAGGGTGTATCCCAGGAAGAACTGACAGTTCAAAGACTTGGAAATAGGAAAGGCTTATGTGTAGCTATGGCTGCTGAATGTAGAAATAAACTGTGATGTTCATCTCAAGAAGAATTTTTGAGCACTGAGCCTTTAGGCATCTTAGATACTCTGTATTCCAATTTTTCTCCTATACTCTAGCCTATGGTAAGTTTCAGTTATTGAATAAAACTGCTAGTTGCCTTAAAAGGGGGAAATTAAGGCCAGGTGCTCATGCTTGTAATCCCCACCCTTTGGGAGGCCGAGGCAGATGGATCCAGATGAGTCTGGCCAACATGGTGAAACCCTGTCTCTACTAAAAAAATACAAAAATTAGCTGGGCGTGGTGGCATCCACCTGTAGTCCCAGTTAGGGAGGCTGAGCAGGAGAATTGCTTGAAGCTGGGAGGCGGACGTTGCAGTGAGCAGAGATTGCACCAATGCACTCCAGCCTGGTGACAGAGAAAGACTCTGTCTCAAAAAAAAAAAAAGGGGGGGGTGTTGGGGGGTGGGTGGGGGGTAGAAATTAAGCAGATGTAAATTTCTGAGAAAAGTGTATATAGTTAGACATAGATAAAGGGCACAAAACAATAGATTTTAAAAGAGGTAGAGGGATGACAGCAATTACTGGGTTACCCTAGACAACCCAGTAAGTGCCTGATCATAAAATCAATCAGGCAACAGCAAGTAACCCTGAGTCTGCATTTCAGGAGAGGGGTGATGGAGAGGTGCTGGGGCTTCAGTACCAGCTTTCTGGTTCAGCCTCTAAGGATATAGCTTGGTCTTCGTGGGTCTTCAAAGTGAGGCAAATGGCTATTAAATAGAATAAAACAAATTAAATTCCAAGACTATCAGACTCCTTGGCACCTATTCGCATAGGTGGGCATAAATCTCAGGTACAGAGTATCTGGATGCAGTGAGACCTCTAAGAATCAGATGCACAGAACACTGAGGAACATGGCAAAGCTGATGTAAATTACCGTCATGTCTGACTTACGTTCATGACACAATCAAAGCGGAGTCCTGGTTGAGTGGTTTTCATGATTTAGTCTAATGATCAATGTTGATTCCCTTTACAAACAGCACTTGGCCCAGTTACATATTTCTTCTATCCTGGGTTAAAGATGGCCTTCTAAATGCCCATTCTACCAATTTATAGGGTCTTTAAAACAGGATTTTCTGTAAAAAAGTACTTTCATTGGTTTTGATGAAAAGGGTTTGTGATGAAAGCAGAATCTCTAATAAGCATTTCATAAATGACTTGTCTTTCAAACTTAATATAAAACAGAATAAAATACATCTCCCAAAGACCTCCCTGCTGGCTTACAGATTTAAAGTCCCCTGCTCTCAATCAATCGGGCCCAAGAACTCAAAAATCTTTAAAGATGCAATCAATTAGTTATCAGTGAAAGTTGGTAAAACTGAGAAATTATTTATGGCCCAAATTTTGAAATAGTCATACTTTGAAGGGGGAGGGGAAAAAGCCACTTTGGGATCTGCATGTTCCTCTCCAGAGCACTCACTGTCAGCTCCTCCCTGCTGTCTAGAGTTCAAAAATGGAAAGAAAATCACAGGTATGAGCAAGTATGTTCACGACTGGGTGTTTTACCTTGTCTTCCAAAACTATGACAGATAGTCTAGGGCAGAATGCACCATGGAAAAGAGCCAGAAATTAGGAGGCAAACTCATTTTCCCAGGGCTGGCAGTGATCTCTCGGGTTGTCTCCTGTGTGTGTCTGTGGGCGGGGGGGGGGGGGGGGGGGTCATACACCCCCTTATACTCCCCACCTGCTATCTAAGTGAGTAGCAGTGATTTGGAATCTCAGGGTTGTAATATGATTCCCTCGTATTACGGAAAAGCAGATCCCAAATTCTAGTAGTTTAGCTACTTACCAACCAACTAATTACTTGGCAGACAGATAAATTATGTATCAGTCAAGACACTTTCTCTCATCCCTGGAGCTGCCTGAATAACCCTGCTGTGGGTATTCAGTTCTACACAGCAGGATATCCAGTTGTGAAAAACCCTCCACCAAGGGCTAACTTGCCACAGCACCTTGCTTTTGATGTCTTCATTCTTCAGGATATGAGTCTCCTTTCTTTACAGGAATTCAGGTTGTAATAAAATATGACCAAAAAAATCAAGAACCAGTTACGTACTTTGTCTCCATTCACCCTCTTGAAATGCAAGACAAATGATTTAAAAGGCGTTTTTGTGCCAGCATGCTAACTCCTGTGTCTTTTATGATAATTTTATATTTAGTTAAACTTAATTTTTCCCAACATTTTATTACAAAACTTCCAAATGCAGAGAAAACTCGAAAGAATTGTACAGCAAGTACCCATATGTTCACCAACTTATATTCTACCACTAACATTTTAATATACTTCCTTTATCACATATCAGATATCGATCTATTGATCCAACCCTCTGTCCACCTTATTTTTGAGTGCATTGCCAAGAATTGCACTCAATTTTAATGCTGTTTTAAAAAGAGAAATTGTCAGTGAAGATATTTCATTCCACGGAAGAGTATTCTCAGATTGGGCTTAGTATTTCCTGAGGATACTGGTTAAGAGCACAGACTTTGAAATCTCAAAAAGCAGTAACAAAGCTTGGCTCTGTTATGAACTAGCTGTGTGGCTTTGGACAGGTTACGTCACCCCTGAGTCTCATTACCTTCATTGGCATGCTGGAAAATGATCCTCATGTGGTTGTTATCATAAGAATTCAACATAATAGATGAAAAGTGCTTAGCACAGTGCTGGACAAATAATGACTATGTGCTGATATTGTCACCTCTTTTGTAATCCCGCAAGATCAATGATTCTGTCTGTTTTCTCCTCCATTAAATTCCCAGCCCCTAGCACAGTTCCTTATAAAAACAGATGCTGAATATATGCTTGTTGATATGAATTAGGTTGAATTTCAGAGGTTTTCCCTCCTGGGATGCAGGAACTACTTATTAATGGAGAGAGAGAGGCAAGTACAGGGGGTTTCAAAAGCCCAGGACATGAGAATGCTAGTTCAGGAAATGAGGTAAAAGCAGAGGATGAAATGAAGTATGCAAAAAATAATATAGATATATTAGTTTTGGTGATGAAGCAGAAGGGATCAGTGCCCTGTCCACATCCTCTATGTGTCAGCTTTTCAGTGCAGACCAGCAGACTGGTGGCTGCTGTACAGAATCCTTTTTGTCTAAGGTTCTCCTCCAAACCTCAGCAGGCTGTCGCGTCAGTGCACAGAGTGCAGGGCAGACCAGATATGCCAGGGAATTTACACCCCTGGAAGCGGCCCTCCACCAGTGACTGCTGGGAGTAGAAATACCCCAGCTGGTGTCAAAGTATCCCAGTGCCATCCCCTGGGGGTGGTGTAACGCTGACAGTGTGTTCCACACCATGTTAAAGTTAGCCCCTGACATTACAATCCAGTCACCCACAGGGGTAGCTGGCTTCATAAACAAGCTTCTCTCCTAGCTGCCTTCCCTTCTCCACGTCTCTCCCTTACTTTATTACAAATATTTCCTCCACCTCTGAAATGAACTGCCTTCATTTGAATTCTTGTCTTGCGGTCCACTTCTAGGGGAAGCCAAAGACAAACGTCTTTATACTTTTAGAGCTGCAGAATCTCTTCTTCAAATGGCATTCTATATCGAAGTCTAATACGTAATATTTATAAAATTAGAGGTGTCCTGACTTAGACATTTTTTGGGAGCGTGGTGGTGTTTGGAGGCCAGAGCTCTGCCTCTGTGGTCTTCCTTCCCTTCTCCCTGCCTCCCCAGCACTCACTGAAAACACCTACGTCCTCTTCCACAGCTCTGCAGAGCACAGCTCGTCAGCTGTGGTGGAGTTGATGAGGATAAGACAGGAGATATAAAGAGTAAGACAGATAAATAGAAACAAGCAGGAACAAAAAGGAAAATACGTACCTTCAAAGGCATAAAAAGCAGGGACAAATAAATAGTTTTTGCAAAGCAGTGCAGTAATTCTACAAAAAACATCTAGAGGTTTTGAAGGCTCTTGCGCATTGTCTAGTTAGTAGCCTACCACACTTAGAAAAGCAGTTGCTTTGTAGAGAATCTAAGTTGAGAACAAGTATGGGCAACACATAAGGGGCTAAGAAGAAGTGAGTCCTCAGCTTGCAAACCAAATTGCTTTTTGAAGCTGTAATAAGTAAAAAAACAATGCAGAAGAATGTTCCCAATTAGCTGCATGCTTATGGACCCATTGAATAGCTCAAGAAAAGAGGCTTGTGAGAAAATTCACCCAAATATACCCCGGAGGAAATTGTGTGTAATTGAAGAAAACTATAGGATGGCTACATAATTTATTGTCTAAATCTGGACATGACAGATTTGGACGACAGGTGTAAACTGGGATTTTCCAGGCAACTGAAATGTGATTGTCCTTATTATAACCTAATTAATGGAATTGCAACTGAAAGTATTGTGTACTAGTGGTGGACAGGAGGAGAAAGTGCATTTCAGGTCAGCCCTCTGTAAATTTGAGTGTGCATCACAATCACCTAGAAGCTGTGTAAAAACGCAGATTCCTGGCTTTAACCCCAGAGTTTTTGGCTCAGTGGTTTTGGGGTGGGACATGAAAATATGCATTTCTAGCAAGCTCCCAGGCGATGCTAATGTAGCTGGTCCACAACCACTCTTGGAGGACTGCTTAAGACCGGCAGTCCTCCACCTCGGCTGCATATCTGAATCACCTCGGATATTTTAACATATATTGATGCATGGTCCTCACCCCCACCCCAGTGGAATCAATCTCTGAGGGTGGAGCCCTGACATCTGCATTTTAAGTGTCTCTGCTGATTCTGATGCATGGTGAGAGCTGAGAAGCCCAGGATTATCTAAAAGAAAACTGAAAAACGAGAATGCATCTTGAGTCTCAGAAACTGTTTGGGAAGAGTTTTGAAGAAGTGGGGAGTCAGGTCCCTTGGCATCTGGCATCTTGGGCTCCCAGGAAACCTGTCTAGAAAAGGATCATCACAGTGGCTAGGGCTGCCCAAGGGGACAGGGCTATCCCTTTAGAGCAGCTCTGCTTCCCTTTGTATCATGTCCCAGACTCTTAAAAAGATTTTTGCTTAGAGAAAGGTATCTTTGGCACAGTGGGAGTTTAAAATGATAAATATAATGATTACCAGGATATTGGATTAGCACTTCTTTCAATTTGCAATAAAGATCGATTTTTTGTTTGTGTGTTTGTTTGACACAGAGTCTCACCCTGTCGCCCATGCTGGAGTACACTGGCATGATCCCGGCTCACTGCAACCTCCACCTCCTGGGTTCAAGTGGTTCTCTTGCCTCAGCTTCCCAAGTAGCTGGGATTACAGGCGTGCCATGACACTGGCTAATTTTTGTATTTTTAGTTGAGACGGGGTTTCGCCACGTTGGCCAGGATGGTCTTGAACTCCTGACCTCGGGTGATCCTCCCGCCTCAGCGTCCCACAGTGCTGGGATTACAGGCGTGAACCACCATGCCCGTCCAAGATCAATTTTCAATAGTCCAAGTCACCTTTGTTCAGATCACCACCAAACTCCCCTCTTAGTGGGTCTCTTTGCTTCCACTCCTCTCTACTGCTCTGCTACCACTAATCATTCTCTACAAGGCAGCCAGGATGATCTTTCAAAACATGCAGTCTTCTGGGGAAATCTTCCAGTGGTCCCCTGCTGCATGCACGATGAAACCCCAACTCCTCATCCAAGGGCAGGCTGGCCTCTCTGATTTCACTTTTACCACTGTCATCCTTGCTTACTCTCATGCAACCCAGGCATGTTGCGACTCTACTACATGCTATTCTTTCCCATCTTCAGGCCTTTGCAATGTAGACTCACCTCTGCCAAAGATGCTGTTCAACCAGATATACCTGTAACTGTTCCTTTCTCACCCTTCCAGTCTCCCCTCAAATATCAGTACCTCCAACCAGCCATCACAGCCATCTGCGTGAAGATTCCCTCCTCCCTCTACTCCTTCATCCTGCCATTTGCTCTTTTTTTCACATCATCCCATTGCTGATTTTCACAGCATTTGTCATACTCTGCAATGTTCTTGTTTCTGTCTTCCCACTAGCATGTTAGCTTTATTATCTGCTTCTTCACACCCAGTCCAAAGCTTGGAGTCCAGCATATCACATGTACTGTGTATTTAATGAATTAGTAGTTCAACAGCAACTGCCATTAAGATCATTCATTTAACCAACCACCATTTTTCGAATTCCAGGCTCACCAATGTCTGATACAGTAAGTTCCTTTTCAAACGTTTAATTTCTGACTCCCTTGTTCTTTGTTCTCGAGATCAACTTCCTTGTCCCTTCTCCTAAGCTACCTGCTCTATAAACAACTTCTCCCATTAGTCCCAATCTGTGACTCACATCTCTTTCTTATTTGGAAAGAGTCCTCTTTAATCCTGGCTACCCATTCTGTAAACTGCCCCTCCAGCCAAAACAGCTCTTCCCAATGAAACTACCCTTCCCGCCTTTGCCGTGCCCTGACATGCCCAAACATGCCTTGTACCATAACAGACAGCCTCTCCCTTCCTGCCTAATTAGCCATATTCAATTTTAAACAGTAGCCAATCAGGTCAGCTTAGATTGTGCAATCCAACTCCAGCCAATGGGGACAGGACACAGAAGCAGGGACTAACCACGTGAGGGATAAAAACCCCTTCCCTCTTTTGTTTGGTGTGCTCTCCCAGTGGCCAGAAGTACAAGCAGCACCCTTCCGCAGAAGTAAATTGCCTTGCTGAGAAAACTCTTTTCCTGAGTGCTGGTTCTCCTTTGCGGCACTGAGCACTTGTTTCTAACAACCAAAAAGTACAAACTGCTCAAAATTTGATTCTCCATGTTGACTCTCTTAAAGAGGGGAGAATGTACTGATGAGGCAGTATCCGTATTTTGGCACATTTAACAGTGACTATTTCTTCCTGGAAAAGCTATTGTTCTGATTCATGGGACAGTGTTTTCCATATCCGATTCTGGATATGATTAGTATGATTTTATTCCCTTGATCTGGTTTAGTTTTTGGAAAACCGACCCAGTGGTACGCGTAGACCTAAATATTTGAAAAACAGGATCTCAGTGAAGGCCACATGTCAACATACTACCATCCTAGGGGGCCCTATCTGGTGATCACCTGAATATAATCTATAAAAGCAATGAGCCTTGTTTCTTAACCATTGACATCTTCCTGCTTAATTTCAACATCATCTACCATGTTGATCCCGTAATATTCAAAGCTGCTATTGGTTTTTTCCAATTTCCTCTTTTGCATATGAATGATCTTCCAACATTCTTTTCATGACTAAACCATTTGGTCTCTTATCATAGACAGATGAAGACTAATTCCAGCTGGTCACCAAGACAGTCATACTCAGTCTGCTGTGCTCATCTTTTCATAAAAACATGTTTTTGTCATTTGCTGTTTGTCTGACTTACCTTGCCAACATCTCTTGGGAAAGGCTGTCTCTGATTCTCTGGAATTAAAATGGGAGATACCACAATGGACCTCTTTTGTCTTGGGACAGGAGAAGTTCTTGCAAATTTAAATATATCCTAAAAGGGAAAACAAAAGGATTGATTAAAATCTCCCATTGAAATGATGTATCAGTCTGCTCCGAGATAGAGTTCCTTTGTTGGGAAAGCATACAGCTGTTTGGAAAGTGTTCACTGTATTCCATCAAACCCTATTAGCATTACCAAGTACATTACTAGAATAATACTAAAGCTGACATTGTTATTCACTATAACTATCATTAAGCTATTTGAACACCCAACTTCCAAATCATTCTATTCACAATGACAGTCTTGATTTACTCATCCCTCATTGCTTGCATATTGCTGTTCTTAATCTGCCAAGCTACTGGATTACTCACCTGGTCAGGAATCTGGAGGACTTGCTTAGATATAAAATTTTATTTGATTTACAGCCAATAAAGAATTGGTTTTATAACAAATCCTAAGTGAAAAGAACTAAGTTAGATGCATCATATTGCCTGACTTCAAATTATACTACAAAGCTATAGTAACCAAAACAGGATGGTACTGGTATAAATCTAGATTAATGGAACAGAACAGAGAATCCAGAACTAAAGCCACATACCTACAACCAACTGATCTTCAAGAAAGTCGGCAAAAATATATGATAGGGAAATGACGCTCTATTCAATAAATGGTGTTGGCCTAAACACCCATATGGAAAATTGGATAATCATATACCTAAGAGTGAAATTGGACCCACAGCTTTCACCATATACAAAAATTAACTCAAGATGGATTAAAGACCTAAACATAAGACCTGCAACTATAAAAATTCTAGAAGAAACCCTAGGAAAAACTCTTCCAGATATTGGCCTCGGCAAAGGATTTATGGCCTAGTCCTCAAAAGCAAACATGACCAAAAAAAAAAAAAAATGGACAATTCAAATTTAATTAAACTTAAAAGCTTCTGCACAGCAAAATAAGCAATCAACAGACTAAGCAGATAACCTAGAGAATGGGAAAAATATTTGTAAAGTATGTATTCAACAAAGGACTATTATCCAGAATTTACAAGGAACTCAAACAACAAAAATGACCCAATTAAAAGTGGGTAGGCCGGGTGCGGTGGCTCACACCTATAATCCCAGCACTTTGGGAGGCCAGGGCAGGCCGATCTCCTGAGGTCAGGAGTTCGAGACCAGCCTGGCCAACATGGTGAAACCAGGTCTCAACTAAAAACACAAAAATTAGCCAGGCATGGTGGCAGGTACCTGTAATCCCAGCTACTAGGGAGGCTGAGGCAGGAGAATTGCTTGAACCCAGGAGGCGGACAGTGCAGTGAGCCAAGATTACACCACTGAACTCCATCCTGGGTGACAGAACGAGACTCCAGCTCAGAACAAACAAACAAACAAAAGAAAGTGGGGCAAACAACATGAACAGACATTCTTCAAAAGGACACGTACGACGGGCCAACAGACATATGAAAAATGCTCAATATCACTAATCATCAGAGAAATGCAAATTGAAACGACAATGCGATATCATCTTATACCAGTCAGAATGGCTATGATTAAAAAGTCTTAAACAACAAATATTGGTGAGGCTGAAGAGAAAAAAGAATGCTTATATACTGTTGGTGGGAGTGTAAATTAGTGCAAACTCTATGAAAAACAGTATGATGATTTCTCAAAGAACTGAAAACAGAACTACCATTCAACCTAGCAATCCCACTACCAGGTATATACACAAAGGAAAAGGAATCGTTATATCAAAACAATACCTGCACTTGTGTGTTTATCATAGCACTATTCACAATAGCAAAGACATGGAATGAACCTAAGTGTCCATCAACAGAAGACAGGATAAAAAAAAATGTGGGGCCAGATGCAGTGGCTCACGCCTGTAATCCCAGCCCTTTGGGAGGCTGAGGAGGGTGGATAACCTGAGGTTGGGAGTTTGAGACCAGCCTGACCAACATGGAGAAACCTCGTCTCTACTAAAAATACAAAATTAGCCGGGCATGGTGGTGCATGCCTGTAATCCCAGCTATTCATGAGGCTGAGGCAGGAGAATCACTTGAACCCAAGAGTCAGAGGTTGCAGTGAGCCGAGATCGCGCCATTGCACTCCAGCCTGGGCAACAAGAGTGAAAATCAGTCTCAAAAAAGAAAAAAAGAAAATGTGGGATATATATATATATATTTGTATCTATACATATATGTAAATATATCTATACGTATATATAAACATATCTATAAAGATGTGTACACACACAAAAACATATATACACACACACATACTCATACACACACACGCACATGCCATAAAATACTACTCAAGCCTAAAAAAAGAATAAAATCATGTCTTTTGCAGCCACATGGATGAAGCCGGAAGACATGATCCAAAGGAAATAACTCAAACAGAAAAATGCCGCATATTTTCACTTTTTGGTGGGAGCTCAACAATGGGTACTTGTGAACATACAGAGTGGAATAAGAGACAGTGGGGACTTCGGAAAGTGGGAGGGTGGGAGGAGGGTGAGAGCTGAAAAATCACCTGTTGGGTACAACGTTCACTCTTTGGGTGATGGGTTCACTAAAAGGCCACACTTCCCACTACACAGTGTGTGCATGTAAGAAGCCTGCACTTGTACCCCTTGAATATCTTTTTAGATACTCTTCCGATACTAGGTAATTTTTATCTAGGGTAATAGATAGGCATTTTCAAAATGGTTATACTTTGTTAAGAGTCTTCAAAAAAAATTTTAAAAATAAAAAATAAAAAGCAACTCTCTTCATGAGCCACTGCAAGGTCCTTACACTCACAAATGAATAGGGATAAAGGGACAATCACAAAGTCCCAAACTATGTCAGGCATTATGGAGACTTGTATTCAGTGTATTGTCAAGGGAAACGTGTTGTTATTATATGATCAGTGGGGCAACTGTTGGAATGCACTCTCCAAGTAGCATGTCACAAGTTCAGTTATTGGAGTGACACTGTCAGGGTGTTTGCTCTATGCGTAACTCATATTTTTAATTAAATGTGTTCAAAATGAAAACTTTGTATCATTTTAAATAAAACATTAGTATCACTTCACATAAAAGAAGGAAAACATAAAAATAAACATGCTGGAGACCTAATGACACCATTAAATTTGAGCTAGAAACTGTTGCCTATGGAAAGCTCTTCATCTTACAGGTAAAAAGGGGCCAGAGCGGTGTTAAAGGCGTGTTAGCACCAAGCTGAGACTTCCTCTTTGATCTGATCAGAGGACTGAAAGATAATTGAAAAAGAATATCATTTCCAATATGCAAACTGATCTTATTTAATGCCACATACTAATTAAAACTGTCTTCTGCATCATCAGAAGCAAGCATCTCAATCCTAACAACAGCTTCCTATCAAAATCATGTGATAAATGATAGTTTCATTCCATCTTTGGCCCCAAGGCCCCATAAAAGTGTGTGTGTGTGTGTGTGTGTGTGTGTGTGTGACAGTTTTAAAGGAAAATTTATGTAATAAAGTTCAAACAGGAAACAAGATAAGCTAAGGCTCTGAAAGCATCTATAAATAGCCATTCTCTTGATTTGGGTGGGAGTATAAATTCATAGCACCCTTGTGAAAAGTAATCAGGCAATATTCATTTATCGAGAGCTTTATGAATGCACATATCCCTTCACTCAGTAATTTTACTGCTAGGAACCCATCCAAACGTTACATTCAAAAGAAGAATAAAACTGTATGAAGGAAGACGTTTAGTGAGACATGATTTATAAGGGGCAAAAATGGAAAACATCCTAAATGTTCCATAGCAGGGACAAAGTTACATTTGGGTTTGTTAGTAGGCAATACTCCTAGGCTATGACCAATAAGGCAACTGTGAAGACCATGTTCCGACCACTATCATCATCACTCCAATGCCCTCACCATCACTACTCTAAACTACTATAATAATGATACAGCAAGCGTATGCTGGCCAATGTGCTGGGCACTTGGCATGAGCCCCCTCAAATATTTCCAACAGACCTCCAAAGTAAATCTTATCCCTCCTTAATCAATGAAGAAAGTTCAGAGAGGTTGCATGCAAACTGCTCCAATTTACCTAGCTAGCAGAGAGAATATTTAAGACAAGCTATGTAGGAAAATATAGAATATCATATTCAATGCATTCTATTTTGTATACACTATAGTGATCACAGAAGAATATTAAAATCTCAATGAAAGAGACTAAGTAAGAGACACTTTAGTCTCTAGGAAGTGAAAAGGACTCAATATGCAGGCAAAGAAAACTAGATTCTGTATAAGACAGAAGAAAAAGCAAGAATAATATAACAAAACGAACAAAAAAGCCAACCACCCAAAACGAACCCAACACTAAACAAAGAAACAGCATTGGCTGGGCGCAGCGGATCACGCCTGTAATCCCAGCACTTTGGGAGGCCGAGGCGGGAGGATCACGAGGTCAGGAGTTCGAGACCAGGCTGACCAACAAGGTGAAACCCCGTCTCTACCAAAAATACAAAAATTAGCTAGGTGTGGTGGCACCTGCCTGTAATCCCAGCTACTCGGGAGGATGAGGCAGGAGAATCACTTGAACCTGGGAGATGGAAGTTGCAGTGAGCTGAGATCGCGCCACTGTACTCCAGCCTGGGTGACACGGTGAGACTCCATCTCAGAAAAAAAAAAAAAAAAGAAAGAAAATTAGAGCGCGTTGTATTTACACAAAACTGATATTTAACATCTATGAAGATTCTGTTGGTTTGTTAAGGGTGGCAAAAATAGGAAATACGTAAAATATATTTGTAATATCTGAATATCATTCATTATTAAAAAAATATCTTGAGCCTCAGATGAGAGCTGGTCTAGAGAAACACTTTAAAAAGACGTAAACTTTGTGCAGATGTAAAGGACTGGTGAATGGGCTTCATCCTAGAGCAAACATAGGCCTCAGTTCATGATGACAATGTATGTCTAAATGTGTCCAAAGTAATGACAAAGCACACCGTGTCATCAATAATGAACCTTGCATAGAGTGTCATGAATTGCTTTCTTGTGTTTTCATACCCACAAATGGGTGATATTTCTGTCCTCACGGGTGTCCAGAGTGGTCAGCTCCCTGAATCCCATCCCCATCCTACCTCTGGTGTCCTCCCAGCTCACCAGCTCATCAACTCCACAGCTGCCCATCCATTTCCTTGATTATTACGGCGCATCCCAGAAGTATGGCAAGTGGCACAATTGTGTTAATCCGTGGATCTAAAGTGCCCAAGAAAAGAAGCAGGAAGCTCTGATTCGGGAAAAACAGTACCTGGAAGGGACAGGGTTCGGGGGCTGCTGGAGGTATTGATTGTAGAGAAGTCACCATGTGCATGTCGACTCTCTGGGCCCGTCACGGTGGGCATCTTAAGGAACGACTGAAGTCAGGACATCCTGCTTCTTCTGATGCTTAAGTTTTTGTCTGACATTAGGAGAAACTTCAGTGAATATTTATCCATGGCTCTGCGTTTCTGGGCCTGTGGCTCTGCTTCTATCTTTGCCTGTGATTTATGTGTATATCTATAAGTATGTGTTTGTGGCCAAGTGTCTACTTCTATATTTGTGGCTGTACCCACCTTTGATCGAGTCTGTGCTAATGAGTTTGTGTGTTCTGCCATATGTTTCTGTATGACTGGGACCGTGTAAGAACCATCATACATGATTTGACTGACATCCATATACCCTGCTTCGGGACAACTCTCTGTGTTTGTGCGTGTGGTGTACTTGCATCTGTCATTTCATGCATGAAGCCTGTGAGGGTGCCAATCCGTGGCCAGAAACTCAGAGAAGGACAACACAAAAATGGTGGTGACAAAAATAATGTAATCAATTCAAGAGACAGTTACAAAAGGCAGAAGAGCAGTGTATGGGAAAGAACTGAAGATCAGCGTAAAGGAGGGAGGTAATAAGATCTCTTGACTTCTGGTGTTGCCATTACCAAGTGGGCAAAGGCTTTTAAAAAGGCATTTTGGGGTACCAGTGCTAGAGTAGACCTGTTGACGTTGAGGAGCCTGCTGGACGTGAAGCAGAGATTTCTAGGGGACATGAGGAATTGCATTCAGGAGGGAGACAAATGTCACAATCACTCATATACAAGAGTAGCTGCAAGACATGGAGACAATGGCACAACCCAGATTATGGGAAGAGGGAAAAGGGAAAAGGGAGGAACGTAACCATCTGATGAGTTTCAGCAAAGGCCACAGAAAGTTTAGTCAGCGTAGCAGAAAAACCAGAAGCACAGAGAGGAGAATTCCAAAAAGGAACAGTGCACAGCCACGTTACACAAGGCAGAGGTCTCCTCCAAAATCACGGAGGCTGCTAGGCTTGACCATGAACAGATGACGGCTGAATTTAGAAAGAGCAGCTTTTGGTGTGTGCTAGGCGATTACATGGACAGTGAGGACTCTGGCATAGAAGAAAAGGAGAGCTATGGAAAGAAGTTCTTCAGTTAAATGGGAGACAAGGAATGGGGCTGACCTTGAGGAAGAAGGGGTCAGAGGAAAGAAAGCACAGTGGTGAAGAAAGAAACACAGAATGAATGAAGATGCAAGAGAGCAGAGGAGATGCCCACAGGAGGTGTGAGAGGAATCAGCAGTTACATCAGCCTCAGAGAAGAGGCCCAATACTGCTCCCCTCGAGACAGGACACAGAGGGGTTGAAGGAAATTTTCTCATCTGTAAAGGAGGATAATGTGCCCGTCCTCTAGGTTATGAGAATGAAATGAGAAGCTGCATGTGAAAGTGGTCTGCACTCTCTAAAGAACTGCAGAAACGGTAGAAAAATGAAGGATGAGTCTTATTAACACCAGGACGGAGGAAGTGAGAAAATGAGGGTGAGCCACTCAGTCTGTATCAGGAGTGAGTAATTCGGCTGTGGATGGCCTAAGGCCAGATCTGAAACACAGACACATGTAGACACGCAGCCCCTTCCAGCTTTCCAGATTTACTAGACGCGTGCAGATGTCAAATGTTCTCTGTGACATCAAATGCACACACTTATGCACATGCGGGTTTACACACACACCAGAATCCATCTGATAGACACACATACACACACACTCACGAGCAGATGTACATGCAACAGACATGCATCAGCTGCCTAGACCCACGGACATATGCCACACGTCTTCGCACTTCCAGTGTGCTGAACACAATCCCCTCAGTCACAGGAACAGACGTAGGCACGCAGAGGTGTGCAGAGGAGAGTGAGGTTCTGGGGCCGCCACCAACACCAGACCATGTGTGACTTGTGGGATTCCCCCCACAGCAGTCTCCGGACAGTGATCCGCAGCATCTTTAGCCTAGGTCATCCGAGGCCTGCTGCAGCCTCATCCAGCCTTGCTTCCATCACAGGGGCAGTGTTGTGTCTTCAGGGAGCCTCACGCATGCTGGATTCTATTAGAGGAGGACTGTCATCCCTACACAAAGATCTCCGGTTTCATGCAGCTAAGCAAGGTCTTCATCTTCCTGTCTTAGGGCATTTGAGGTTAAAACCTCATTTGCTTTCCTCCCTGTTTCCCAATCTCAGGGGAAGCAAGTATCACGCTGTCTGGAAGCACCACAACACTCGCCCCAAAGAACACATATCAGAAATAAAGGGGAGACCCCTGAAACAGTGAGGGGCAGGGGAGGGGTTGAGGGTGGGAAGGGAGGGTGGAGGCCCAGGGAAACAGGAAGGCAGGAAGAGAAAAAGAACGTGAGAAGGAGCGAGAGAATAGATTCATATTAACTAAGTCATTCATTCATTCTTTCATTCATTTCTTCAAAACGTATCAACCAAGCCCTTTCTCTCTGCCAGGTATAATTCTAGGCATCTCGGATGGTGCAGTGCCTAAAAGAAGCAAGTGCCCTCATGAAGCTTCAATTGTAGAGAGAGGGGGCAAACCACAGAAAGGGAAAGAGAACACATATGGCTCAAGAGAAAAAAGATCAGCAGGGAGGAGGGCTGGAAGTGCTCAGGGGGAGAGGGTGCTGATGTTTTAGACAGGGAGGCAAGAAGCGGTCCACCGAGGAGATGGCAGTGGAAGATGGAGGAAGAATGGGCCAAGGGGGCAGGAGGAGGAGGCACTGCCAGCAGCAGAAGCCTACCGGGCATGGCGGAGCTTCAGTGTGGCAGCTGCTGGCGTGGGCAAGGTGAGCGCTGTGAGGTGAAGGAGACAGTCTGGACCTGGTGAAGGGAAGTCAGACCCTGGAGAGGCACGTAGGCCATGGAGAGGGCCCTGGCTTTTACTCCGCATGAGGAGTGAGCCCTGGAAGGGTTTTGAGCTGAGGAGTCCAGTTGCAATAAAACAGATCATAGCTGCTTTGTGGAGAATAGACTCAAAGGGATAAAAGTAAATAAATTAGTTGGATTTCCTCCTTCTCCCAGGTCTGTCGTAAGATAACAAGCTACATTCACTGTAGCTCAGCGCTCATCGTCCTACGATGATTTGCCCGTCCTCTAGGTTATCAGAACGAAATGAGAAGCTGCATGTGAAAGTGGTCTGCACTCCCTGAAGAACCTACATTGTCCTGCAGTGAACACTCAGGCTCCTCCCACAATGCAAATCTGAGCATTTGATTTGTGGAAAGGGAGAGTTGGAGTCAATTTCTCTGGCTGGAGCCCCTCTCGCCTGCAGTATTTTAAAAGTATTATTGAGGTATAATTTACGTACCATGAAATTCACCCGTTTTAAGTGTGTAACACAGTGATTGTTAGGAAATTTACAGAGTTGTGCAATCCTCACCACATATAATTTTAGAACATCTCCATCACCCTTAAATGAAACCTCATGCCCATTAGCAGTCATTCCCACTTTACCACAGCCACTGGCTGTATATGTTTGTCTTTTCTGGACATTTCATGAACAGAAACCATGCGATATGTCCCCACAATATTTCCATGAACTTCACCCTCTTTCATTGCTGATGTGAAGACTAAACAGAAGGGGCTGCAGCGCCATCCACTGACTGGTCAGGAGTGTGTCAAGGTCAGCCCCCTGGCTTCCAGGTGGGACCATGCTCAGGGGACATCCCTGCCCGTATCCCTGCTGCCCAGGAAGGCTGAGGCCTCCAGCTACCTGCAGTCAGCAACTCCTCCATCAGCCTCCTTCCCCGCCCCATCCCCCTGACCTCCCTCCCCGTGAGGTATGGATGCTGATAACACCTCCCCGGTTGCGTGGTCTATTTCCCGGGAGCCAACCTCTGACACCTGCCAAAGCATGGTGCTCAATGTCAAGACCAAATGGGGAAGGTGTCCCAAAAGCGAAGAAGTGCTCACTTTTGTTATGTCTGCCAGACTGGCATTCTACAGCTGGGACCGCACTCCAAGTTTTGTCTGTCCCTGCCCCTTTCCGTCACACCCAGCCAAGGGCATAAAAGCCTTCCCTAACAGCCAACTGAAGGAAGTGGTGAGATTTGAGAGGAATGATCCTACTTCCTGCACACCTGAACACAAGGCCAGACGCAGCTTGACCCGGGCTGGCCACCTGTTGGAGGATCTCCTAAATACGCTGACATTCAAACAGACAAACAGTGTCCAGATAATTTGTCCTCATTCCCTCTTTCTGCCCTCCTGGACCCTGGCTTTGCATAATAGAAAAAGTGATAGGGAGAAATAGTGAAAACCTCATAAACAAACCACAAACCTCTATCATCTTTGTTCCCTCTCCTACTTTCATAACTTCTGGGCAAACTTGTTTGCTAAGAGGAGATATTTTTAGCAAGGCAAAGCATTGCAGAAGCTGAAATACGTCTTCCAGGCAGGCAGGGAATTAAGGGAGAACAGTGAAAGGTGAGACTCATGCAGTCAGCCCAGCCCAATTATGGACAGTCTTGTAAGTCAAGGTAAGAAGACTGGATTTGCTTCCAAGGCAATAGCGAGCCTTTGCAGGCTTCACGCAAAGATGTGATGCTTCGGGTTTGAGTTCAAGGACCTGAGGGTTATTCCTTTGGAGAGTTTGAAGCTTATATTCTAGACTCAAGATGACATAACCTGGTTCCTTCTAACCTTTATAACCCTAAGATTTGCCTGGGATCCTAGTCCTGGATTCACCAAGTCTGCCATAGAAAATACTGCCATTTATTGAGTATTTATTACATGCCAGGCACAGTGCTAAACACATTGTATGATTATCTCACTTAATCCATTCAACGACTTGCTGGCAGAACCACCATGGCTGTTTTCCTGAAGTTAAAAGATGTAAAAGACTCATCCCAAGTCATTCAGCTCTTTGGCCTCTGTAACTCCAGAACCATCTGCTCTAAAAACACTTTGCTATAAACCTCCCCAGGGTTGCTGCTGGAGACTACCTTTTCAAGGAGGTCTGTGCTTGGCTGGAGAGGTCCTTTGATCCATTTATTCAGGTATAACTAGATAATCACAGCTTTAACATTTTCCCAGAGAGAACAAATCTCCAGCCCCTGGCTAAAAGGAGCTACCTATACTGCAGGGGGACAGCTTAATTGTCTGCAAATTTTTGCAAATGAATGGAACTGCAGAAGCCAATCTCCAATTTATTCCGTTCTTGCAGCTGATCTCATTGTGCTACAAAGTTGCTAGGAGGACAGTTCTGTGCTACTCAATTCACATTTTGTATGCAATCAAACACATGGTTCAGCCAGCTTTGAAGTACCTGGGGCTACATTTAAAGTTTGCTTCATTGCCTCCTGGGGCTGAAGTTTGCCTACTTAAGGAAGAAAAACCCAACAAATATCCAACTTTCTGCAGCAAATTTAAAAGGTTGGAGAGGCAAGATACAAGCTCCCTAAATTTCCATGTATCTATTTTCCCAATATTCTAGAGGCCACATATCAGCAAAACTAAGTCACCCACTGCAGATTTACTGTATAGAATTATGCTGATAATAAAATGTGGTGATATAGAAATTATCTGTTGTTAGTTCTTCATATCATCTCATGGCAGGGGGTGTGAGGGAAGTCATTTTAAAGGGTCAGAGAAGATGATGGTTGGTGGATTCATAGGATGGCATCAAGCCAATAAGCTGTTGTAAATTACACCACTCAGTGCTTATCAAGCACCCCCATACGGGAGAAATGGGTGCAAGTCATTGTTAGAAATGGGTGCAAGTCACTGTTGCCTTGAGTCTTCATGCATGCATCCTTTTCAGTAGGGACCGCCAGCAACATCAGAAACAACATCTCCAGTAATGAAAGTCACACATCAGAGGCGTTGGGGACGGCCAATCTCAAAATTAAAATAAAAAATGCATCGAAGGTCCAATAACTAATCATCTGAATCACCATCTAAGAATCATTACATTACATTCCTAACGTAATGAATATCTCAGTCATTTCTATTAGTAGATATGCTTCGGGTAGAAAATAAACTGCTTTGCCCAAATAAGGGAGTGGAGAACAGAAGTAACAGTTTTCATCAGGGGAGTCTGAAATTGGAGAGTTAACTCCAGATGTTCTCTCTTCAGCAGCCAGCGAGATCTTTTACAAACATTCTTCTCCCCGTCATTAAGCCTACAGGGTATATAGGCTTCCCCTTGCCAAAGGATGAAGCCTCTGGGTTTCCTAAGGCCAGGAAGATCCAGCAGGCTTGGATCCCGATGACCACTCTGACCTCAAGTGCTATCACTGTCCTCCTGGCTCTGCTTCTCAGCTGCACGCACCCTCCAATTGCAGGTGCTTGTCTGAGGGCTTCTCACCTTGTGACTTCCCTTCCCGTCCCTCCCCTCTTGTGCCTGGTTAACCCCCCACCCATCCTTCTACTCTCCACTCAAGCACCACTTCTAGGCTTCCTCGGTCTCTTTTGCTATGAGGATTGGCTGCACTTTGCCTTTTTCCCCTAGAGCCCTGTCTCAGCTTCTGATCACACGTTCATTCAGTGCCACTGTGTCGTCAGTGCCAGTCTTTCATGCAAGGCTCCCAGCTCCGTAAGGGCAGACTCTACATTTTCCTGGTCTGCTGCTACGCCCCCTGGTGCCTAGCACAAGACAGGCATAGAGCAGGTGTCTAAAAAGCACTTAAAATATTACTAAATAAAGCAATTATGAAATAAATATAGAGTTATTGTAAGAATTTGAGTAATCCAGGTAACGGAGTTAGCACAGTAGCTGGTGCAGAGTATTTGCTCCACGATTGTGTCTAATAAGTAAATGAGTAAGATGTTGGTGATTTCGCTTTGATTTTGTCTTTAATAGAGAAATCTTCTCTCTAATAAGAGTAAAGCTGCCACTCTCAGTTGGATTCTTTTATCCTGGGGTGCTCAATGCTTTGTGAAGTAACCAAATCTATAGAAAATTTTTAGAAAATTCTCCCTTTTGTTAAACCAGAATCTACCGCAGGTGTCTTGGTTTTGTTTTCTGGAGTTGCATGGAAGTCCTCCCTTTTTCCTTCGATAGCATCAGCTGCCTGAGGTCAATCTGGTGTTGGCTCACGCTCCCTGCTTTTGCGTTCCTTGTAACTTCTGCCATCCAAACACCACCAGTTCCTAGAATCATGTGTACCAGACATGAGTTCCACATGTTTTCCTCCTTTATAAGTGCTGTAATTTATAAGCCGGTCTTAAAGTTCCTCCTCAAATATCCTGAAATTATCCTAATAGCCAAATATACTGACTATAAAGTTGAGAAATATTTTTAAAAAATAAACTGCACGGTGCTCACGAAGGTCTGGTAAATAGATACCTCGATGCTAAAGAAAAAGGTACAGATATTTTACTGAAAAACAATGTAACTATGTTTGATAGCCTTTAAAGTGTTCATGCTTTTTGACTAAGTAATTTAACTACTAGGAACACAGTGCAGAGAAATAATCAAAATACACACACATAATACACTCAGGTATTTACTATAATATTATGGGGAAACTAACAAAAAGGAAGTAACCACATTACCCATCAAGAGAAAGAGATAAAGGGTTAATTACACCTCCTTTTTGGCTATTTCTTCTAACTCCTAACCCACAAACACCTAAAAACACATTAAGCCCTCCAAATAGAAAAATACCACCTGTGTATACACATACCGCACAGAAACACAAATTTCTAATCACCAAGAACTTCCTCTCTCTTTTTCTCTCTGTCTTTCTGTGTCTCTGTCTCTGTCTCCCTCTCAAAGCCTGTTTGCTTGCTTTAGGATAGATGGAGCCTGGATCTCTGAATGTCTTCACACAGTGCAGTTCCCTGCCAACGGGATTGGTTTCTTGTTAACTGCTGGTTTGCTAGAGTAATTAGCCTGCCCTAACTGATACATAGACCAAATACACAATGGTTGCATGTGTGAATAAATGAAAGAAAAATTAATTAATGCAGACACAAAGGTATAGAAATCAAGAAGGAAACCCAGCGGGAGATAAAATGAATAAGTAAAGCAAAGCAGAGAGTTCTAAAATTACTGTTTCCAAAAATGGAACAAAGCCCTAGAACTCTGGAAACTTTTTTCTCCAAAGTTTTACTAAAATTATGTGGGTATAAGAAAATTTGTGCACATATTGATATTTAAGGAATAAGAGTTTTTCACTTCCTTGATATAGTGGCTTAGATCTAAATATGTATTTAACATGCATGAGATCCAGGAAAACAAGACTGAATGCTTCATCAGGGAGAAGTTCATATAGTTTATTTTTATTTCTCTTTCTCTTTAGGTTTTTGATATTCCATAAAATGATGAAACTATGAAATAGAGAGGAGTTGGTTTTATGAATTCTTGTTGAAGCCAAGTTATGACGATCTATTGATATGATCCAGGTTTTTATGATGGCTACAGCAAGTGCTTCACTGCTTCTCATCTCAACTCCATTCTCCAATCCAATGCCTGAGTGCTCTGACCAAACATAAATGTAATTATGACACTCCCTTATGTTAAGCCCTTCATATGCTCTAGTGGAGACTCTGATTGTCCTAGCATACCATGATCTGCTCTCCTGAAGAGTCAGCAACTCTCTCCCATGTGATGTATGCTGCAACCTCATGATCGACTTGCAAATCCTCAGACACATCATGCTTTCACTCAGGATCCTTCTTTGCTTCCTCCATTTGGCAAACAAATCAATATTATTTATGCTTTAGTCTAAATGTCACCTCTCCCAGGAAGTCTTCCCTGACTCTCTACTTTAAGTGTAATCACTTATTTTCTCTCTAGATTCTCACTGCACATGGGACATTCTTCTATCATGGCACTATCCAATGATATTATATCAATAGAAATTAGGGATTTTTTTTACTCTACTCCTCCCAAGACCATAAGCACATTGAAGGCAAATTTTATTCCTTGCCATTTCTATTTTTTTCTTTTTTTTTTGAGACGGAGTCCCGCTCTGTCGCCCAGGCTGGAGTGCAGTGGCGTCATCTCGGCTCACTGCAAGCTCCGCCTCCCGGGTTCACGCCATTCTCCTGCCTCAGCCTCCCGAGTAGCTGGGACTACAGGCACCCGACACCACGCCCGGCTAATTTTTTTTTTTTTTTTTTTTGCAACAACCTAATACATACATTTAGGGATTAATTTATCCAGCCAACAGATATTTATTGACCATTTTCCACGGACCAGGCATTGTGGTGGTTGCTGAGTAACAAGAAAACAGGAAAAGTCCAAGTCTAACCCAAGGTCCCAGGGTTTTGGGGGTATGCTCCAGGGTCCCAAGGTTTTGGGGTATGCACTGTGAAGAAGTAGCCCCTTGTAACTGTCACACCTTGGTTTTTTTTGTTTCAAAAATTTCAGAAAGAAGCCCGACCCTGGCAAAACAAAAGCTGGTTGGATCCAGAGATGTCTGAGTTGGAAATGTACTTCGGTTATCTATCTGTATTACCATACTACTAACCAGGCCCAGGGAGGAGCTTATTCACCACTGCCTATACATGAGTGAGTAATGTATAGACAGTAAGTATGTACAAGTATGTAGCAGCATGATCGGTGACTGAGCATGTGCTGCCTTCACTACACCTCTACATACAGTGACTCAGCTCGCCAGCCCAGTAAAAGCCCTGTTTTCATTTGTGTTCTGGGAGGCACCCCTTCGGGAACTTTCCCCAGTGCTCTTCCGCATTGCAAGGCATAAAATCCCTTGTTAAATCCTCCTTGGTTGTGGTCACTGGATTGTCACCTACCAAGTGACCAAAACCAGCTGTTGTGTGGTTAACACAAGCTACCCTGTAGCTTTTCATTTTGAAAGACAGACATGCCAATTAAACATCGTAAGTGACTCTTGAGTATTTTAAAGAAGCAGCAGTTGATGGAGTGATCAGAACGTGAGATCTGCAAGTTTCTGTACAGTTGGGCCATCCTGAAAACACATTTACTTAAACAGACTTTGTTTTCTGCTACTAGTGAGACTTAATCCAGCTCTATATTTGAAAAGTTGAACCTAAAAATGAAACAGCAACAGAAAATAACCCCACATATTCTACCATTTGCTCTAAAATGTCAACTTCCCCACGTTTGAACCGCTAGTTAAAAAATAAAACAAAAACATACGCTTTGGATGAAAATTTGCCAAACCACACTTCCAAGATGCAATTGCCTCTGAAATATTTCACGAATCTAGCAGGAGCAATAACAACACAAATCAAGACTTGCTAGTTTTACTGGAGGTGAAAAATGTTTTAAACATGTTTAGATTCTTTAGTCGGAAGCCCGTTCAACCACATGTGATGGTGATGAGAATATAATGGATACAGTTTCCCTCTATCTGCTCTGGCACTGATAAAATATTCATGTTCAATAGCTACTTGTGACCAGCTGGAGGCATCTTGCAGCGCTCTACAGGTGGGGCTTGTTTTTCTAATACACATATGTACTCCTGCCTCCACAGCTGTGTTAATTTGCGCATGTATTCCAGATGTGAGCACACGTGATCCAGGTATCATGCTTTCCTCATCTGCCTGAGCTCATAAATGTCTGGCTGGCCCCTGTTAGAAAACCCGCACTTGGAAAAAGAATTATTTTCAATTCAGTGGGTATTTATTAGGGGTTTGACACATACCTTCCCTGTGGCACTGTCACCATAAATGATACATGACTATCCACAGGCACCTAAAACTCAACATATCCTAAACTTAACTGAAAATCCGGCCCTTCCCACTTACTCCTTCCAAAGCCATGGGGTTTCCTGCATCCCTTTTCTCAGCAGTTGAGGGGTTAGACACTCACATCGTATGAAAGGCTTCTTTGGTTCCCACCATACTGCACTCACGAGCGGTTGCCAAGTCCTACAGATTCCACCTGGGAAAATTTCCCAGGAATCCATCCCTTCCCTCTTTATGACCACATTCCCTGCTATGATCCTCATCTTTTCCCTGCTTTACTGTAGGCCACCTGAGGGATCCTCGTGACTTCTGGTTTCCTTTTTGTACATGAGCCCACTGGATAGTAGAATCAGGACAACCAGGACCTCAATACTCTTAGTCTGTGCTCCCCAGGAGCAGACCCTAAGATTGAGGATTTAACAGCAAGTACTTTATTGGTGGGTCATCCCAGGAAATGTGGGCAGGAGAATGAGGAAGTGAGGCAGGGAGGGGAAGGGAGCTGATGAGGGAAGCATTAACAAGTACATTCCCACTGGAGAATTCCAGGAGGCAGGGCAGAACCTGTGACTCGGAAGGGCAAGGGAGCTGGGGGATTTATATCCCAGCTCCCATCAGTCATTTACTGAGGACTCTCCTAGGGATGGGTACACATTCTCTAGGCTTGTGATAAGGCAAATAAATGCAGAGACTGGCCTGATGTGTTCTAACTGCAAAGCCTAAGTGATACAGACAAGAGACAGCCAAGGGTCCCCAGCAAAACCCTGCCTTCGAGCCTAAAATAGCCTGAAGGCTGAAAAACTGGACTGCTGGTCCTGGATGAAGCCCACCCTTTCCCGACCAACTCTTTCTATATAATGCCCACCTGTGCACTGGGAGGATGGGGTGGAGCCTAAGGAAGTTTGTGCCCTTTGCAGTGGGGAGGAGCCTGGCCTCTCTTGTTTCTGTGGTAACCTGGGATTCAATCTATGAGGCGGGAGACCTGCAAGCAGGACCCTTTCTCGCTTTGCTGAGAGTTATTATTCCTTTTTGTCCAATAACTTCTGTTTCTCACCCTTTTATGTGGCTGTGAGCCCAGTCTTTCCTGGTTGTTTGACAAGAACTCAGTTTTAGCTGAACTAAGGGGAAAGTTCTGCAACACAAACATTTACAGGTGGGGCATGGACAGAGTTGGCTTTTCCACCTAAGGGTCCTTCCTCTGTGGTCCTTTGCCTCCTCCATTGCCACAAGCACGGTGTATAGTGGAGATGCATCATGCGGATACTTCACAACCATGGCCTTAACTACATACCCGGGGAATGAAGGAAGAGAAAGAGATAAAAAGAAAAAGAGGGGCTGGGCGCGGTGGCTCATGTCTGTAATCCCAGCACTTTGGGAGGCCAAGGTGGGTGGATCACGAGGTCAGGGAGTCAAGACCAGCCTGTCCAAGATGGTGAAACCCCGTCTCTACTAAAAATACAAAAATTAGCTGGGTGGCTGTGGTGGCAGGCACCTGTAATTCCTGCTAATCGGGAGGCTGAGGCAGGGAATTGCTTGAATCCAGCAGGCGGATGTTGCAGTGAGCCGAGATCACACCAATGCACTCCAGCCTGGGCAACAGAGCGAGATGCCGTCTCAAGAAAAGAAAAGCAAAAGGAAAAGAAAAGAAAAAAGAAAAGAAAAGAGGAGGGACAAAGAGTCAGAGGAATGAATTATGTGATTGTAAAAAAAAAAAAAAAACCCACCTAAAATTCCACTCACTACGCAAATGCTCCAGAATCAATACACAGAGAGAAAGAGAATTCAGCTGTCTCTTCACCTGTTTTCAGTTCCTCAGCCTCTCATACTGTGAATGCTCATTGCACTGAAGAGGACTCTAGTGTGTAAACATAGGAGTTTCCCTATTTTTCAGATGAAACCCTCCTAAATGCAAACTACTTCCTCTGGTGTCCAGTGGAGAAACAGAACTTGTCCTGTACTGGAAAGAAGGCTGCATTGGTCTACCTGGAAGATAGTGTGTCAATCTCCAAGGTGGATTTTTTTCTCAAAAATTTAATTCATTTAGTCAACAAGTATTTATTGAGCACCTATTATGTACCAAACTATTTATACTAGCTGAGGAGAGAATCACCACCACCACCACCACCACAACCACCACCAACCCCAACGAACTCTTTTTCAAAATTTCCCCATAGGGGTCCCTTTTCCTGGTTTCTCTGGCCAGAAGGTTGGAAATTCAACGGGACTCTTAGCTACCTGCCTGGCCAACCCCCTGCAGTATGACTAGAACCCAGTCCCAAGGCAAAGCCTAAGAAGAAAAAAATAACCTAATGTAGGAAACTCTTCTCAGTGAAATCACCTCTCCAAGTTTTGACTCTCTTCAATCCACCTACCCAACTGCTTTGGTTTGCTCTTCACATTTTTCAAATGTGTGTGTGTGTCTGTCTGTCTGTGTGTGGGGTGTGCATGCACTTGAGTGTGTGTCTGCCCAGAGTTTTAGCTTAGCATTCGGTAGGAGGGATGCACTATATGTTGGGCTCATACTGCCACACCAGATTATACTTTTTTAAAAAAAAAATCATCCACATAGAATAGGTTCATCAGAGAAACTCCAAAAAATATATTAAAACACAGAAGAAAAGTAAATTTATTTACCATCCTGTATCAGACAAACAGAATAGCATTTTAGTGGACTTCCTTCCAGGTTGTAATATACTTTTTGTTTAAGTTGAAGTGGAAGGGTGTGAGCAGTTTTGTATTTTGGTTTTTGAACCTAATGATACTTCCCAAGTTTTCTTTCCTCCCACGTCAAAGATTCTGTAAACATAATTTTAGTTGCGGCACAATACATCTTGTGGATGTATCAACATGTATTAAATCATTCCCTTGATATGCTTGTTTTTTTGTTTTGTATTGTTTTGTTTTGTTTTGTTTGAGGTGGAGTCTCGCCTTGTCGCCCAGGCTGGAGTGCAATGGCGTGATCTCGGCCCACCGCAACCTCTGCTTCCTGGATTCTAGTTATTCTCCTGCCTCAGCCTCCCAGGTAGCTGGGATTACAGGCACATGCCACCATGCCCAGCTAATTTTTTTTGTATCTTTAGTAGAGACAGGGTTTCACAACGTTGGCCAGGCTCGTCTCGAACTCCTGACCTCATGATCCACTTGCCTTGGCCTCCCAAAGTGCTGGGATTACAGGCATGAGCCATGGTGCCTGGCCTGCTTGTATGTTAAGTGCTTCCAATTGTTTCTTACTATAAATGAAAGGCAAATAAAGTGACGTTGTAGGTAGAGTTTCATTTGCTTTTGCTTGTTTTTCTGTAATGAGAATTCCTTAGAATAGATTAGCAAAAGAGGTGTTACTGGATCAAAGGTTATGAACATTTTAAAAGTCCTGTAACATATTGACAAATAACCCACCAGTGGAATAAAATCATCACTGGAAACAAATTTAATCTTGTGAAGGCGGACATTGTTCCAACACATTTCCTTGATCACAACTTTTGTGGTCCCAACCACATCTGTGTTGCCCAAACATGCCACACTGTCTCATGACTTCATGCCTTCATTGTGTCGTTTCTCTAACTGGGATACCATCTTCGCTGACTCACTACTTTCTCCCTCCTGGTCTTCACTACCTGCCTGATAACACAGATACACACAGACATACACACACATGACAATGGCTGCCTGTTGTACATTATGTGCGTCATTCTTCAGTACAGGTTAGATGATGATTTGGGGGTGGTTTCTATCAATTTCTGGTTTCATCTGCCAGGTCCCATTACCATGCAAATGCAGGCTTTATTTTTTTTTTAACTTTAATAAGTAGTATCTATTTAATTCATGCCATCTAATATCACATGGCAACCTCTTTTTTCTTTTTCCCAAAGAAGTTTTTGGAGTTTTCCTTTCCTGAGGGTGGCCCCAGAGAAGAGAAAAACCTTGGGGTTTTACCTAACACCTGAGGCATTTACTCATCGGATTGGAAGGGACACTGTTCTCCTCTCCCTGGCAGCCGAATTGCCTCATAAACTGGCAGAAGGCAGTGCTGGCTGTTGATGTGGATGGTGCAGCCACCCTGCGCTCAGCCTCGACTTCACATGTGGTGGTTCCATGGGAGATGCAGATGATGGTGGATGTCACTGGATTATTCCAGGACAGACTCAGAGAAAAACAGCGTTTGACTTTGTATCAAATACAAAACCAGGGGTCTCTTTGCTTTTTCATTCTTAGGAAAACTCAGCTCCTCAGGTAGAATCTTACGGTGATCCTGGGGAAAGCAGGCCCCAGATTGAGTTTTCCAAAAAGGGTGAAATCGATCCTCCTCTTAAAATAGCTAATGCATGCTGGGCTTCATATCTAGGTGATGGGTTGACGGGTGCAGCAAACCGCCATGGCACACGTTTACCTATGTAACAAACCTGCACATCCTGTGCGTGTACCCCGGAACTTAAAAGTTAAAAAAAGGAATGCCAAAAGAGAGAGAGAAAAAAGAATGGCACGTTCCTTTCTCAGAGAAAATGAGAGAGGGAGAAGATGCAGAGCACTGCCCTTGTATTTACGAAAAGGAAGCACTCATTGCCAGAACTCGATCGATTTGGTCCATTTTTCAGATCCTTATTTCTCCTGGTTTTATCTACATGGCTTGTTTTTGTTCGTTAGCTTCATAATGTTATGGCTGCAAACTCTAAAATTAGAAAGCTGTCTCCCACACTAACCACCAAAGTCAATTGCCCCCTTTGTTCAACCAATTCTTAAATATCTCCTACGACTGAAATTCAACATTATTCGGCTTGGGGAGTTATTCACAATATTTAACCTAAATTACACTATTTCCCCCGCCCACCCCCGCCACCGCCTGGTACATTTCTTCTTTCACTGAAGCCTTCCCCAAACCTCAAGTACTATTCTTCTTCCTTTTTTGCTAAAGACATTTTAATTAAAACACTAGGGTTGCCTTAACCTACTTAAACAATAATTTCTCTTTTATGTGGCTCTCTTTAGTGAAGTCCCAAATCAGCAAAGTGTCTTTCATTGGCCTCTCTCTTCTCTCTGCTCTGTGTTTTTTGTCGCATTACAGAGCCTCACATTTTCATTCAGCCCCAACCTCTATTCCACACCATGCAGTTTACATTAATAAATTCTTCACAATAATGTATGCGATGTCTCACGTCTCCCCACGTCATTGATTACTGTGTTCTTTGAAGGTTCCAAGGTGTGTCAGATCCACCAGGAAAAACAAGGAAAAGTTCCACATTTGATATTCTCCCACATCTGAGGTTTCCCTGGGCCCAGTGGTTTTGATGTTAGGATGGTAAAACAACAACAGCTTTAAAAAGAGAAGAGAGTGTTATAAATATTCAATGGTCGTGTAATACTCATTCTTCTTTAAAAGCCAGAAGGATCAGTCTCCTTCTTCAAAGTCTGCATTGGCAAATACAGCAACTATTTTATAATGAAACTCTGAAAAACTATTATGGGACCAAGAGAAAATTGTCAGCATACCAGCTATTCTGTGAACTTGCCCCACAGGAAAGGAGTAATTTTTTATTTCAAATTTTTTGCAAATACTTCACACTGAACTCTTTGACTGTTTTACAAGTAGGAAAATTTTTTTAAACATCAATGTGTTCTAGAAAATGACAGAGCACTTACTGTGTGCATTTTTTGAGCACTTACTGTGAATTAGGCACTAAGTCTTGCAAACATTTTCCCCCTTTGATACACAATTTCTGTGATGTATCCCATACTACAGATGAGGAAAGTGAGGCACAGGAAGGTTAAACACTCTGCTCAAGGACATACGTAATTCTGGTAAGTTAGAGAAGCCAGCATTTGAACACAGGCCATTCCGCTCAGAGCCTGGACCATCACCCACTCTACCTCTTATCTCCTGCATGTGCTGTCTTTCCACATTAAAAGTTTAATTAGCCGGGCACGGTGGCTCATGCCTGTAATCTCAGTACTTTGGGAGGCCGAGGTGGGTGGATCACTTGAGGTCAGGAGTTCGACACCAGCCTGGCCAACATGGTGAAACCCCATCTCTACTAAAAATATAAAAATCAGCCGGGCGTGGTGGCACGTGCCTGTAGTCCCAGCTACTCAGTAGGCTGAGGCAGGAGAATTGCTTGAACCTGGAGGCACTGGTTGCAGTGAGAGCTGAGTTCACGCCACAGCACTTCATCCCGGGCAACAGAGCCAGACTGTCTCAAAAAAAAAAAAAAAAAAAAAGTTCAGTTAACGCCTGTAATCTCAGTACTTTGGGAGGTTGAGGTGGGTGGATCACTTGAGATCAGGAGTTTGAGACCAGCCTAGCCAACATGGTGGAACCCCATCTCTACTAAAGATACAAAAATTAGCTGGGCGTGGTGGCACACTCCTGTAATCCCAGCTACTTCGGAAGCTGAGGCAGGAAAATTGTTTGAACCAGGGAGGCAGAGGCTGCAGTGAGCTGAGATTGTGCCACTGCACTCCAACCTGGGTGACAGAGCAGGACTCCACCTCAAAAAAAAAAAAAAAAAAAAAAGAAAAAGAAAAAAAAAAAGAAAAAGAAAAAAAAAAAAGAAAGTTTAATTAGCAAAGGAATTTTATTCACTGTCTCTTCCAGTTCAGCCTACATGTATCACATTTACCCTTTTCTGGTTAATGACCTCCATCTTCAAAATACATTCACAATATAACTATTTCTTACCCTCTTACCCTTATCCAATTCCCACCACCTTGCTCCAAGCCAAAATCATCTTTTCCTGGATCAAAACACAATCCTCCTAACTGCTCCACATCTCCTGACTATACCTCTACATCCTCTTCCTCACCACCCTCCCCCAGGGTGGCCAGAGCGGTCCTGTTGAAACGTGAACTGGGTGATGTCCCTCCTCTGCTTCGTAGCTTCCAGTGCGATCTCCTAGCACCTGGAGTGAAGCCAGTGTCCTTGTTCCGGGTTACAGTGTGTCATGTAATCTCATGTCATCTGCACTCTGCCCCTGTTACTGCAAGCTCCCCTGACTCACTCCAGCTCAGTCCAGGCACACTGGCATCCTGGAGCACACCAGACCCACCCCCACTTCAGAGCCTGCAGATTTGCTGGTCTCCCTGCCTGGGTATCTCTTCCGCCAGATAGCCACAGAATTGCTGTATTAGTTTCCAATGGCTGCTATAACAAGTCATAACAAACTCAGCGACTTAAAACAACACACATTTATTATCTTACATTTCTGGGGTCGAATGTCCCAAACAGACCTTCCTGTGCTAAAATCAAGGTGTCATCAGAACTGTGTTCCTTCTGGAAGATGTACACCAGAAGGTATCCTTGCCTTCTCCAACTGTTAAAGGCTGCCTGCATTCCTTGGCTCATGGACCCTTCCTTCATCTTCAAAGCCAGGAGCGTAGCATCTTCAAATCCCTTTCTGGCTCTGACACATTACCTCCCTCTCATAAGGACCCTGGTGATAACATTGGACCCATCAACATAATCCAAAATCCTTAACTTGAATCACATTTGCAAAGTCTATTTGGCCATATAAGGTAACACATTCACAGGTTCCAAGGAGTAGAATGTGAACAATCCTGGGGCCTTGGTTCTGTCTTCCACAGCAGTTCTTTCACTTTCCTCAGACCTTTCCTCACAAGTCACCTACTCCATGAGCCCTGTCCTGGCCACTCTACCCACTATTTCCTTATTGAGATGAAATCTCACTCTCTCTCCCAGGCTGGAGTGCAGGGGCACGATCTCGGCTTACTGCAACCTCTGCCTCCCAGGTTCAATTGATTATCCTTCCTCAGCCTCCTCAGTAGCTGGGATGACATGCATGCAAAACGACACCCAGCTAATTTTTGTATTTTTAGTAGAGATGGGGTTTGGCCATGTTAGCCAGGCTGGTCTCGAACTCCTGACCTCATGTGATTCCACCCACCTCGGTCTCCCAAAGTGCTGGGCTTAGAGGCATTAGCCACCACGCCCAGCCTCTACCCAGTATTTCTAAAACATCCTTCAAACTTCATTTCCCCTCCTGTGCTTTATTTTACTCTTTTTTTTTTTGGCAATATCACAATCTAACATACTAAATATATACATTACTATATATAATAGACATAGAGTATATAAGCATATATATGGTGTTCTATATATACTACACATATATAGTATATAAACATGTATACAATACACTATATATAATACACATAAAGTATATATCTGTATATGTATATGTATACATAAGTATATATACTTATAGTATATAGTATATGTGCATGTATGTATATATACATACCTCTATATACTTTTCTATTAAGAAGAGACAAATGATATATAAATATATATTATAAATGTAAGCCCCATAAATGCAGGGATTTTTGTCAGTTTTCCACAGCTGTACCCCTGTGCCTAGACCAGTGTCTGGCATATAGTAGGTGCTCAATCAATATTTGACAAATAATTTTTGTCCTTTACCATGAACTGAAATATAAAGGATCTGAATCATATAGGAAATGAAAAATGAGAAAGAATTCAATCATCCATGATTCACTGAGTATCTATTATGCAACTTTCACTAGTTAAATGATGTGTGAAATACAAAAAGCCTCCATTTATGGTGGTAAAGGTTGTACGCTGTACAAAAGTCCCTGCAGGAAGTGGCTGAGGGCTGAAATTTACCCTGTGTTCTGCAACCACACACCCATGGGTGCTGCAAGTGTATACCCTAAGGGGATGGCTGTTTGTAACTTGCACGAACATATGGTCAAGTCTATCCTACCTGGCTTGAGCTAACCCAAAATTCTTATGCCAGTGGATCATTAATGCTTTTTAGATACAGCAAGAATAGGTTATGAAGTTGAGAAGAACTGAAAAGAGGTAGACAAAGACAGTTTCAGACATGGGAAATGGTGATGAGGACTACAGGACCATTGTTTTCCACCTAGGAGCACAAATAGAGTTCAGCTTCTGCCCGCTACAGAAATATGTCTTGGACTGTAAGTTGGAGAATCTTGATTTCTATCTTGTCTCTAAACCAATGCTGCATGAAATGAAAAAATTCACCACCCTTCTCTGAGCATCAGTTTCCTCTCTTCTGAAATGGGTGAGATAATCCTGCCCACACAGTGAAATTTGACCTCGGTATCCAAAATATATGGTATCCCCAACACTTCCTATTTCCCTTCTGTGCTTTATTTGTATCTATGTCCCTTGTTTTCATCTATCATACCACATATTTTACTTATTTATATTATTTTTGTTTGTCTCCCCCACCCCCATACATAAGATCCATGAGGCAGGGATTTAATTTTTATCTTTCTTATTTACCTTTCTAACCCTAGTAAACCAGAACAGTCCTTGGCACCTGGTGTGTCCTCAGACAGCACACGAATTGAATGAGTGATGAGTTAATCTAGTTGAAAAGTCTAAATGAGCCTATGTGGAGCAATGAAACCCATCGAGATGCTAAATTGTGTTTACTGACTGTTAGCAGAAACAGAGATTGTGACTGCATGATCAGGGCAGTAGGCTGCATGCTAACTTGGCTTTGTAGGACAGTGTGGGTGCTTTGAATGAACCAAGTGGGAACTCGCAGGCAGAAGAAAGCATAAAACAGCAGCGATAACAGTACCACCTCCTCACTCTTACTGAGTGCTCTCCCGCGTCTGGCGCTATGCTGAGCACTTTTCAAATGAATTATCTCATTTAATACTCAAAACAGCCTTTTGGTTTTATTATTAGCTTCATGATGCAAATGAAGAAACTGAGACACAGGTAGGTAAAGTAATTGGCAAAGAATGGTTCAAAGTTAAAAGAAACGAGATTGAAAGAGTGGAATCATGGGCTGTTATGTTAAGGATTAGAAGTAATATGTAGAGGCCCGGCACGGTGGCTCACACCTATAATCCCAGCACTTTGGGAGGCTGAGTTAGGTAGATCACATGAGGTTAGGACTTCGAGACCAGCCTGGCCAACATGGCAAAACCCTGTCTCTACTAAAAATGCAAAAATTAGCCAGGCATGGTGCCAGGTGCCTGTAATCCCAGCTACTCTGGAGGCTGAGGCAGGAGAATCACTTGAACCCAGGAGGCGGAGGCTGCAATGAGCTGAGATTGCACCGTTGCACTCCAGCCTGGGTGACAAGAGTGAAACTCCATCTTAAAAAAAATGTGTAAAATGAAGATTATCATACTACCTACATCATAGAATTGTTTTTAGTGTAAAATGTGTGTGTGTACATTTATGTAATAGTTAACATTTAAAGAGCACCTACTTTGTGTAAACATACTTTGTATGAGATACTGTTCAAATATATATTCTAATATATGCAACATATTAAATATGTTAGAATAGGATCTTATATATCTTAGAAGTTAGATCTTATATGTATGAACACTATCTTTATGTATGTGTGTGTGGGTGTGTATGTGCATATATATGTATATGTGTATGTATACATACACACCCACACACATAGGTATATATAGCAATCTTCAAGTGTTAGCTATTATTTTTCTTTTAAAGTGCATTCTGTCATGACATTTGTCCTGTACCTGAAGAGATTGTTATTATCAGGCTCAAATAAGGAACAACCAGTCTCACAATTAACCTTTTTTCCCAGCATTGACGTCTTATCTGTTTCAACCTTCCCTTGATTCTCCACTCAAAAATGTTTCTTATCATAATCAAATTGCTCAAAACCACTAATAAAAATAAATTCTTGAGAGCAGCTAGAGGGAAGAAGACACATGGCACACAGAGGAAAAAGAGAAGAATGACAGCAGATGTCTTGTTAGCAACAATGCAAGTCAGAAGATAATGGAGTGAACCGTTGAAATGCTCAAAGAAAAATAAAATTTGTCAACTCAGAATTCTGTATCCAGTGAAGATATCTCCCATTATTGAAAGCAAAAGTAAGACTTTTTCAGATGCACATACAAAAGGCGAAGGAATTCATCACCAGCAGAACCTCATTGTAAGAAATGTTCAATAGTCCTTCATCCAAACCAAAAATAATGTTGGATGGATATATGAATCTACACAAAGGAATGAAGAGCACAGAAAGTGGTGTATATGTGGAAAAATATGCCTTTTTCTATGTTTAGAAGGAAAATTGATTGTTTAAAGTAAAAAATAATAGCAATGTAATGTAGAGTTTACAACCTATGAGCAACTAAAAACCAGAGGAGCAGTAGTGCAAAGGCTGGGAAAGGAGAAAATGAAAGTGTTTTACTGTAAGGTTCTTATACCATATATGAAATGCTATAATATTATTTAACACGAACTGTGATAAGTTAAAGATGTATACTACAAATTCTAAAGCAACCACTAGGATGACAAAGAATATTTCTTGAGGCTACACTTTTCTGTTTGGTCTCAAAGATTATTTCCTCTTTGTTATAAGCCAGACCCTTCAGACGGTGCTCTCTCTTATCTGGACCATCCCAATAGTATCCTAACTTGCCTTCTTTCCTGCCCTGAAGTCTCATTCTCCTTCATTCCATCCAGATATGCTTCTTGACTAGGCATTATAAAATTTTTTTTTTCAAAAGTTACCTTTAAGCTAGTACAGAGTAGGTACTAGGTGGATATTTTTTGTAAGAAGGAATGAACAAATAAAATACTGTTTCTTCTTTGTGGAATGTGGTCTACTCTACCCTCTTAGCATGATATTAAAGGCTCTCTAAAATTGGAGCTGAGAAAACTTCTGTAATTTCCTTTTTGTACTGGAATCATCTACTTTAGATCAAATGCAACTAGTTGCTCTTTACGAACAAATTTTACATTTTCCTGCTTTTGTATATAGCATCTGTCTTACCTAGAGTGCACTTCCCACATAAACTCTAAAGATGCTGCCTCTTCACAGATGCCTTCCTTGGCTATCCCAGTCAGGCAAGCTGTGAAAGTTAGGAAGGAAGGAGTTGTCACCCAGGCATCCATATTGATTACTGGGGTATTGGCTGCACCAGTGAGATCATCCTTACAGCCTTCCTTGGTAACTCTGCTGCAATTATGCATGGTTCATTATTTTATAGACTTTGATCATATGCACACTGATTCTGTGACTTTACCAATTACAAAGTTTTATTTAAAAATAAAAATAGAAGACTAGTGTTATATTTGGCAGCACCCCATAATCTTGAGCTCTCTTAGGTCTTTTTAAGGAATACAAAGAACAAAAGTTATGAGGCAAGAGCAGCATTATAACAGATTAGAGACAATGTGAGATTATTTGGATTGCCAAGAATTCTTATCCTATGAGCTTCATAAGTTCTTAGGCATATACAGAAATGTTTCATATCAGTTAGACTCAATGCTTCCTTTTAATAATAAAAACAAAGGCAACCGAGTCTCCTCCTTTATGGTGATATCAAATTTTGTTGAGAAAAACTGAGTTTGAATGAGGTTGAGCAACTTGTCCACAGTACACAGAGAAAAGTGACAAGGGAGAGTGGTATTGCTTTGAGTCTCTATCAATATTTCTCCAGAGGTACACTCAATCTTGACATTATTCAAAGGACAGGACCAAGATATTTTTATTTTCAACCGTGCTCAGAAAAAAAATATTTTATGAGAATTAGTAAATATTTTAACATGACCCTAACTTTCAAAGGCAAGGACAATTTTTCCTTTAAACAAAAACTCAGATGTTAAACTCCAGGTATAAAAAAATCATCATTTTTAAGTGCAAACTGAACAATAGCATTCAATCTACTCTTGCGGTTGATCAGAAGTAAAAATGAAAATATTGCACATAATTACGACAGTATTGTTACATGGGCTACCTTGTTAGTCCCCTCCCAACATATAATTGCACTCAGTCCAAGGGAGTTAAACCCAAATCCGCTCACTTTGCATTGACACACGACTGGAAAGCGCAGCTTCTCATATTAAGAATTTAAATTTGCGTTCAGCAGAGATACTCAGTCCTGAGAATTGAAATCATGAGTCGTGGTGGCAATAAAATACTCAGGAGATGTGGTCATAGCCCAAGGATAATTTTTCTGTAATTGCACTTTCATTTTTGTGAGCAATCCTTTAGCTATGGTACAGAGAGGATACCTTCCATCTTGTATTTCAGTAGCTATTGGATAACTTTCCCAGGAACAGGGGAATTAAGATATGCAGGTCCCAGCTGCAGATCCTTGACTGAGCCTTCTCTCTGGGATAATGTCTGATATATTCCTATTTGGTTTCTGGGCTGCTCTCAGGTAGAGCTGCAGACTAATACTATATAGCTCATGATGGTCGGTTGCTGAACTCCTGAGACCTGATGATTAACTTTTACCAGATTCACAAGGACAAAGTCCACACATAGCCTGGTACGCAATGATAGCTGGTACAGGCTAATGCCCTTACAGAGTTGTACCTGTAACTCCACATATTTCCACCATTATTCACATACGGAGTTCTTGACCTGTTAAGTTCGGCACAAGGTGACTGCATGCTTCCCCACTGCATCACACCCTCTTCCTGGACCTTTGTCTTGTTGCTACCTCCTAAAGACATGTTCAACCTTTAAAAAATTGCTAAAAACTCTGCCTTCCGGTGAACTTGAACAGATCCCCTGAAATTGGCATTAATATTGCCTTTCTCTGTACTTACGAATATTGTTTTATGGGCTTCTCTCAGTGCATTTTATTCACTGCATGCCTCTATTGCCTTTAAGAAAAGACACATTCTGGAGTCTATGTGGTTCATTCCACAGTGAGAATCATAGAGTCTTAGGCAAAACATACTGCTCATTAAAAACTTCATGAACTTGATTTTTTACTACTATCCTCTGAATTCATGGTTCTGATTCAGTTAACTAGGTTGTACCGGTCACTTCAACTAACAAGTTAGTGCACCTGTGTTGAGCATCTACCATATGCCAAGGATTTTGGCGAGGTGTTCTGTACCCAAATACATAAGCTTGAAGAACTCACAGTCTATTGGGTTAGAAAAATCATAGAAAGATAACGTGATATTTGCATTATAACATAGTTATTAATGCCTTTGAGAGGATATACCAGTGTCCAAAAGCAGGGTGAGGATAGGTATGATTCATCCCATTTGGGAGAAGTACTTTATCACTGATGATGTTTACAAATTGCCAGCACAAGATGATAAAACCATATGGCATTTAGTAAGTTTTTTGTTGTTTTATTTATCTTTTTTTGTCCGTACCTGGAATGGATCATTACTACACCAGTACCATGTTGATATACCAGTGGACAGAATTATTGAGGTGAAAGTTTTGGGAACAGTGAGTGTTTTGGAGAAGGTATAAATGATTTTTACTATTTCTTCCAATTCCATGATGTCATGTTTGTAGCTTGGCATCAGCCACAGTGTGAGTATTTATACCACAGTAATTGGCAAACACCACAAATCAGGGTTATTTTATTTCTGTTCAGAAATCTTCTTATCAAGTTGACAATAAAGTTAATTTTGGGAGGAAGAGTGGGATTTTTCTAAACAAATAAAGAAGAAGAAATGCACTGCAGACTGCAGATACTGCTCTGATGATTAATCCTACAATAGGACCTCAAGCTCACACAAGGTGTACACAGGATGATGATGATCATCATCAAACCGGTTTTCAATAACTTACAGAGTTAATTGTGATTGAGGTCTCACTTATCTTAAAAAGTAGGTATCTATATAGCTAACAGTTTGGAAGCTATAACCATAGAGGAAAAAATTGCGTATGCCCACGCCTTGACAAGTCAGAAGGAAGTCACCAACTTTAAATTTAAACCACACTTTCAGGGGAAGACAGTTGTTACTGGTTATGAAATGCTACTTCAATGAAAATACAGGACGATGGGATTTGCTGCTCAGATCCCTTTATTTGGAACTGAAGCATTCATTCTTTCAGCCACTGGGAAGTTGGAGGCTGACAGCTATAAACTAAGAGGCCTTGCCTTCTGCTGAAGACAGCACCTCTCCCAAGATTATACTCCCTTCCTGAAATGAGCCTACATTCAATGACTAGTCAATGTGGAGGCATAAGACCTCAGCTCCTTGTCCTGAGTAAGGACAACACAGAAGGGTTCTCCTCATCTTAAAGCTCTCTGCAGGGTCAGTTGAGATCTCTGTTGTAAGCGTACCACAGCCCAACTTCTCTCTCTATCCAACCTTGCATCTTTCAGGCGTGAAAATAATGTGGGTTACTCCTGAGAACATTTCCCAAAGTTTCCCTCTTGTCAACCACCATGGGAGAGGCTTTCCCAGTAACCCCATTGCAATGACAAAGAGGGCAAAGCAGGGGTCACAAGTGCTCAGATATCTTCACGTGCAGCACAGACCAGGCGTTGTTGGCCTTGCCTGGGAGCTTCTCCATTTTCTACTTTGCTTTGCAGTTAAGCCAGAGCCATGCAACGAGAATTTTGTAACTATTTGTTACAACAATGAGGATTAATTGCTGAGTAATATATCCTGAGATTTTCATGTCACCCTGCTCTTAAAAATGGGTCTACCTCTTTACCCAAATTTTGCCTATTCATAAAAGCTCACCTCAAAGATCACCTTTTCTATGAAACATTTCTGTAACTCTTCTCTCCAGGCTATTACTCGCTTGCTTAACCTTTTCAGGTATTTCCTTTCTGCCTCTTTTACGGAGTTCCCACTTCTTATCATATACTATTGCAAGTGCTTTCTGGGAATTTACTTCACTTGTTGATTTTGGTATCCATTTATTTTCTTGTCTTATACATGCTTTCCGACTGAGAACTCTTTGAGGGAAGAATTCCTTGGACAAAGGACTGAGAAGAAGGGAGTGGAGGTACAAGCGCCTAGCAAATTCCGGCATGAAGATGTGCATGGAAGAGACTATGTGCTTTGAACTGATTCCCATATTGTTTGAAATAAATTAGCATATTAAAGTACTTATGGTGGGCTGGGAGCAGTGGTTCATGCCTGTAATCCCAGCACTTTGGGAGGCCGAGGTAGGTGGATCACCTGAGGTCAGGAGTTCGAGACCAGGCTGGCCAACACGGTGAAATCCCATCTCTACTAAAAATACAAAAAATTAGCCAGGCATGGTGGTGGGTGCCTATAATCCCAGCTACTCAGTAGGCTGAGGCAGGAGAATCGCTTGAACCCGGGAGGTGGAGGTTGCAGTCAGCCTAGACTGTGCCACTCACGGCACTCCAGCCGGGGCAAAAGACGAAGACTCCACCTCAAAAAAAAAAAAAAAAAAAAAAAAAAAAAAAAAAAAAAGTACTTATGGTGTTTCCACAGGACAAATCCAAATGTGTTCAACTGGAGAAATCCACCTGATAGAGTCAATTATTTCAATAATGTAAGAAGGGCTGGAGAAGACAGAAACTGAGTAGGGAATGAAGATGAGACAGAACAAGAAGTTCGCTTTAGCAGACATAGGCAAAGACTAATGGTTTCTTTTATAGATGGAGGTTGAGTGAGTCTAGAAATTGCTAATCAAATGAAATGAGCAATAATAATGAAGAAGAGAAAAATAAGGTATTTTATAACCATCTCTGTGCTCACATTTTCATTAGTAGATACTATCACAGTGCCTTCCTTACTAACTTGGGGAAGTTTTTAGATTCCACACAAATCTTGCGCAAAAGTACCGTTACCTTTATTTTTATAAATGAAACAGTGCTGCAGAACTTTCAGATCTTCACCCACATAGTTACTGAGCAATGTTATACTTAAGAAAAATTAATGTACTAAATTTGGAGTCTCTTGGGAGATTCTAGATTTGGTGAGTGAATCTAGATAAGATCGGCTTCCTACTCTTTGGGGTAATAATAGGTGTATTTGGGAAAACCTGGATGTACCTGAATTTCCAACAACTCAAAATAAACAGAGAAAACAGAATTGTACAGCCAATAAGAGGGATAGCAGTTTTCCCTTTAAAGCGGCAAAGAAAGAAGTAGTAATAAAAGAAGAAGAAAGGAAAAAAGTAACAAAGAAAGACAGATGAAGCTTCTTTAAAGCTTCTATTGATTTGCAATATTTTATTATATCAGCCTGGTGCTCAAAAGGAACTAGGGCTGACAAGTTAACGAACTCTAGTTAGACAGTTCCAGATGAAGGTGAGGATGGCATTAGCATCTGCCTTGTTTTAATCATCTAAGACCTTGCCTCATGAAAATGTGTCCATCACTACAAGGAGCCCAGATGATCTGTACTAACAGTAGCCGTCAATCAAATGCTAGGAAGACAAAGGTTATACAAATCAACACGGTGACAGTGGGAGGCATTTAAGGCAGACCCTACTGGACTTGAATTAGAAAATTTAGGTTGTAGTCCCTGCTCTCTATTGAAGAATTGTGTCACTTTGGATAAGTTCTTTGAAATTTTCTGAGTCTAAGATTTGCTTCTATAAAACGGGAACAAGAATGTCAATTTTGACAGTCCATAATGAGAAATGAATGCAGTGATATGAATTACTTATTATTTCATGGTTCTTTAACTTGGTAGGATAATGTCAAGTGAATTAGAACTTAGAGGATTTTCAAAATAAATTTTTAATGCCAGCATTGCCTGGTATGCACAGAAAAAAATTTCTAGATTCTCTGAACTTACTAGAATTATTTGTGAAATTATATTTATAGGCACACAGGTGTGAAAGATACATTTATTCTTAAAATACTTATGAATCACTGCTTCAAACCCTTTGGAGTAAAGATTTCTTTTTCTAGATCTTTTAAAAAATGAATCATGAAACAAACAGTTATTATACACCCACCATGTGCCAGGCACTGCTATAGATGCTGGGGATATAGTATGTAGTGAACAAAACAGACAAAAAAGCCTTCCCTTATGAAGTGAATACCCTAGCAGATATATTTTTCACTATAACCTTATCTGATGAGGTATGTTTATAAAATATACAATATATAAATTGTAAGCTTACAGAAACAGAGAAACAGAAAATAATTTGTGCAAGACCAGCCCATGACTTAGTGGCTTGAGCTGACTTAGTCTCCAGCTGGAGCTCATTTCAGTACCCTCCCCAAGGAATGAAGGCAGTTGTAAGGAACTGAAATTAATGTCAGAATTATACAGTTTCTCTGTAGACATAAAATGTATTTAGGGAGTCATCCTTTGTGATTTTCATAGAGAATGGCAACATCTCATGATTTGGTCATTGGGCTTCTCAAACTACATTGAATGGGAAAAATATGCCTCCTACTACTGACTGAGAATTTACCCTAGGAAATAATTCAACATAAAGTAGATGGTTACCAAGTGCTCATGGAATTTTTTTTTTTCTGATAGCAGAAGATGGAGAAAAAGGGAGTAGGGGGAAAAGCAAAGAGGAGGAGAAGGAGAAAAGAAAGGAAGGAAAGAAGGAAGAAAGAAGAAGAGAGAGAAAGGAAGAAGGAGATCACTAAAATATTTCCCAGGGGAGAAATGTTTTATGTTTACAAATATTGTGGCTTGTCAACTACATGAAATATTGTACAGTCTTTAAAAATAATATTTACAAAGATCATGTAGCAACATAGAAAATGTTATATAATAAGTAGAAAAATTACAGTAACAAACATATATATTATGTTTATATATATGCAATATACTTGAATGAGGAATAGAAAAGAATATCCACACAGTATTTTGCTGGGGGTTCCCAAATGACTTTTTTTTTTTCAAAATGGTTTTAATGCTGTTACAGATTTCACACCACCACAGCTTAAAAAGCGTATGTTTCCGGATTTGTTTTTATTAGTCTGTATTGTAATGAATGCTGAAGTCTGGTCTATAAACCAAGTTTGCTTTGAAAATCAAGGGTCTAATTGTTGTTTTAAAGTTTAATCACCAACTCGTGCAGTCGGAGCAGACAGACGGGGAAGACTTGAGAGTCAGTCAGAGGGATTACCGAGAGTGCAGAGCCTGGGCTAGGAATGTTGCTGCCATTTCTGACTTCTCTTTGAGCAGAGACAAGCACTTATTTTTTTTTTTTTTTTTGAGATGCAGTTTCGCTTTGTCGCCCAGTCTGGAGTGCAATGACGCGATCTCGACTCACTGCAACCTCTGCCTCCTGGGTTCAAGCGATTCTCCCGCCTCAGCCTCCCAAGTGGCTGGGATTACAGGGGTGCACCACCATGCCCAACTCATTTTTGTATTTTTAGTAGAGACAGGGTCTCACCATATTGGTCGGGCTGGTCTCCAACTCCTGACCTCATGATCTGCCCGCCTCGGCCTCCCAAAGTGCTGGGATTACAGGCATGAGCCACCGTGCCCGGCCCACAAACGAATGGCTTGGCATCTCTATAGGGGTCTGATTGGGATGGTCTGAACCAGGGAACATGCTGTAGACTGGGCTGGAGGCACGAAAGAGCCTGAAATTGAGGAAAAGTGGGAGGTAGTTGGAGAGAAGTGGAGAAGCTGGGACCTGGGGTAGGAGGAAGCTGTAGGCTTTTGTGGGTGGGGTTGACGACCAGTCAAAGCCTCAAATCTACGCGAGGTGATCACAGTTTTAGTTTATGCCCAAGCCCTGACTTTTAGGTTTGAGAACCCATTCATGTTACATGCTTCTAGCCTCAAATGTGAGGGATCTTAGAGGCTCCTGGACTGTTCTCATTTCTTGCTATGCAAAGTATGGTCCTCAGAGCATCTCTTAGGATGTCGTTATAAATGCTGAGTCCTAGGCCCTATCCCAGAGACTTGAAATCAGAAACTACATTTTTTACAAGATCCTCAGGTAATCTGTATGCACGTGAAAATCTGAGATTCACTCATCTATATAAGTCCTGAAACTTGTGGACTCTACGTTTACTTAGATCCCATTTCCGACGTGTAGCCCTTATAGCAAAGTCGTGAGATAGAAGTCCATGGCAAATAAACATTCAGACTCGAATTCATTACATCCCTCATCTATATCAGGTTCTAGAAACCAAGAGTGCTCCCTAAAGGCAATCTTCCACTAAACTGTGAACCCCATTCCCCACCTCCAGAGCAGGCACCAAGCCCTGGGGTTCATTGCTGAAACTGCAGGACTCCTGTCTGGTCCCACTGGTGAGCCAAGTGATGGAGGGAATGAGTGTGATTCAGATTCCTGACGCCTGCAAGGCAGGTGCATGAAAGCCCAGAACACAAGTTCTCTGATGGCAGCAAGTTTTTCGTTCACTATTGTGCCCTAATGGATAGAATAGTGCCTGCCACACAATAGGTGCATGGTGAGTGATGATTAAACAATATGGCCATGACATCAATTATACAACGTAAAATATCTTTATAAAGTAAAATTTATGAAGGACCAAAAGTCTATACGCTAATGATCAAATAGAGATGTGACGTTAGTGGGCTGGAATTCATCCTTGGTTCTGCCATTCACTACCTGTGAGCCTGATCCTCTACATCTGTAAAATGGAGATGATAGCCACCTCAAAGTCTGCTGTAATATTTAACAAAATATACGCTTATATCTAAATCCATAGACATGGAAAGGAATTGATAAAACCCTGCCTCAGGAGTCTGTAAATTTTGTCTATAAAGAACCAGGTAGTAAATATTTTAGGCATTGTAATCCACACTGTTTGTATTGCAACTACTCAATTCTGCCCTTGTACCAAAAAAAATCTATTGATCATATATTAATGAATGGCCATGCTTATGTTCCATTAAAGCTTTATTGACAAAAACAGGTAGTGGGCTATATCTAGCCTGTGGTTGTTGCTGAAAAATCTCTGTTCTAAACTTCTAAATACATATTAGTATTTATTAACCACCAGCTTCTAAATGCTGGCAAAAAAAATTACCATAAAGCTCATTTATTTGCTTGAAGCATTTTCTACTCTACAAAATGTTAAAATATCAGATGAACATAAACAGCTTTAAACATGTTGAGCCATGTAAAAGATCCCATGTTTTTGGAAAAGTTCTGATTATATGAAGAATGTAAATACTTTGTTCTCACAACAATCCTATGAAGGGTAATAACACCTTTACTTTATAGGACAGGGGCCCAGGCTCAGAGAAGGAACCAGCTTGCCCAAGGCTGTATCAGAAACGGCTTTTGGACCTAAGGGCTACTGATCCTAGAGCAGCAGTATGTAACTAAAACTCTGGGCTTTGTGGTTCTGTGGTTCGGTGGGCAACTGTCACCTGGAAACACAAAAACGTTACAGGAAAATAAAGGGGATTGCAAATTGCGTCCAAAGAATGTCAACAACTTGCTTTTTGCTCCATTGTTTTGGTGACAACCCTGACATTTAAACTCATAGCTCTGTGAGTTATAAGCCTAATAAGGCACCAGGGAAGCACAAAACCCATGAAACTCAACAAGACACCCTCAGCATAAGGAAATAACATGTCAGAGTTGAATCTGCAATGTGTCAACACAAACTAAACAGGCAGGAATTTCGAAGGCTTTTGTTGTCGTGAGCCAAAAGGTGAGTGCACATCTGAATTAAGATAGTCAGAACAGCAGGTACTTTCTAAATATTCTAAATATTTCTAAGTATTTGCCATTACTTTCAGTGGCAAAACCGCAACTACTTTTTGCGCCAACCTAATACTTGTACCATTTCCAAATGTAGCCGCTGAAGGCTGCACACTGACGGAGGCAGTCCCAAGCATGAGGCCTATTCCAAAGTGAGTGTTCAGTAAAGGTAAAGGCCACACTATTTTCTTCTCTTGCTGCTCTTATTACTACCTATGAAACCATCTTGCTAGACAACCCAAGGGCATACATAAGACCCATTTGTAATTAGCACCCATTTTATATTCAATAATAAATGGACTGAAGTGTTTGAAAATAAACATCATTAGGTTTAAAAATTCAATGAAAGTATGAGAACATTAATAAATAACAGGAACTTGCTAATACTTTGGTGCTAGGCTTTTTTTTTTTTTTTTTTTTTTTTTTGAGACGGAGGGAGTCTTGCTTCGTCGCCCGGGCTGGAGTGCAATGACACGGTTTTGGCTCGCTGTGACCTCCGGCTCCCGCGTTCAAGTGAGTCTGCTGCATCAGCCTCCTGAGTAGCTGGGACTATAGGCACATGCCACCGCACCTGGCTAATCTCTGTATTTTTAGTAGACACAGGGTTTCGACATGTTGGGTAGGCTGGTCTCGAACTCCTGACCTCGTGATCTGCCCGCCTCGGCCTCTCAAAGTGCTGGGATTACAGGCGTGAGCCACCGTGTCCAGCTGGTGCTAAGCATTGTATATTTAAAATGAGTATAGGATATTTTAATCCTATCATTTGGACCTTGCTAGCTTTTTATATATATTTCAAAGCAATAAAATGAGTCAGACTTTTTCCAACATTGTTCATCCAATGTTTCTCAAAGCAAACTTTATCACGTCAAATTAAGTCATTGATCAGTTTCCTACATGGCATAAACAACTGAATTAAAAAAATCAATTTTACTTTGCTGGAATTATTTTCATCAGGATTAATTGTGCTGTGTGTACATTTTATGTCAACTATTTGGTTCATTGATTGTTTTTTGCCAAGTTAAATTTTACCAATGGCAACTGCTGACTTGTGGATTTTCTTTGGTAGCCTTAGTCCGCCAAAGCCAGTTTTGCGGTTGTGTATTTTTGACAGGAAGTCTTTTTTTATATTTGCATTGATTTCTAGTCAATAATAAAACCTCTTCTATGTAGTTTTGGCCATTATAATTTTATTTTGCTCTCGTTCTTTCTGCCAAGTCTAATTCTTCATAGGATTTTTTTGTGGTTTTTCATGATGCCAGCAATATTTGATCTTTTAGCCAATTTCCTATCTCCAGCAAATTTTACTGTGCCCAGTTTTTGCCATTGCTTGTTTTATTTTGTGTGCATCATTCTTAGCAGCAATATTATGAACTGAATTTGAGACTGGTGGTGTGCACTTACTTCTTGGAGCAAATACTACTGGCAAGGTAAAGACACAAAACTTAATTTCAAAGCATGGTTTAAATGTCAAGGTCAAAACAGCAATGTCAGGATATCTTGCTTTGAAAGTTATAAGTTAAGCTATACAAGACCTTGAGGAATGGGGAATCCAATTTGGACTAACAAAGACAAGGATTCCGCTTGGCTCAATCCTTGATAAAGGATCTGGGACAGAAACAGCTCCACTGTACTGCAATAAGCACTTTACAACCATCGTCACCCTAATGAGTCTTAATTAGAACTCCAGTGGAAGGAATTATCCCCTTTTACAGATTAGAACACTAAGTCTCAGAGTACCTTACCCAAAAACACACAGCTTATAAATGGTAGATCTGGAATTGAAATACTGCATTCCCTAACTACTAACGCTCTACATTGTCTAGGCTTAATATTTTTCTGAGTTTGCTTGGGGAAATGTCTTGACTGTTTTGTAGTCTCAAGACTCTGTCTGAGAAAACCGCTCTCTTATTTTTGCCTTAAACATGTAGTGAACTGGAAGACACCAGTGGCCTGGTATCTGAGTTTGGTATTTCATTAACCATTTTGCACTTAGGCCACCATCTTTTCATCATGGGGTACATGCAAAGGCCCTGGTGCCTTGTTTGTTCTCAATTGGAGCAGCCAGTACACCTGCCTTAGCTGTAGAAGGCTGTGCTGATTTGAGACAAATACGTTTAACTCTCTCAGCAAAGGATGTGAGCTGGCACTAACATAGTATTTCATGACGCCATTCAGAACACTTCTGAATTAATAGGTATTCTAAAGAATAAATTAAGGGTTCTTTGTTTACTCTGGCAAAATGCCAAATATAATGACTATTCCCCATCAAGAGCTTCAATGTGTCTTAGCATATTGAGACCTCTGAGAAGTTCTGTCAGCAAGAAAATAACGTTTCCCAAATATATGTATTTGACTATACAACCCATAGTGACATGGTTGCTCATCTCCCTAACATTTATTTCTCTCCTTCTTCTTGCTGTAGAGCTTGTATTTTGTTTAAGGCACAAATAAAACAGCCAAATGCTTGCTGTGTCAGCCTCCTTTGCAGCTAAGCATAGCTGTGTCATAACACAGTCCTGGCCTATGAGAGACAAACAGTAGACTTCTAGTGGTTTTTGATAAGACTTTCTTATTCCAAAGAGGACAAGCATGGCTGGCTGGCTCACCCTTTCCACATTCTCCCAGTCTTGCTGACATGATAGCTAGACATGTATCAGCCATCTTGCACACCATGAGGAGTGATATGGTTTGACTGTGTCCCCACCCAAATCTCAACTTGAACTGTATCTCCCAGAATTCCCACGTGTTGTGGGAGGGACCTAGGGGAGGTAATTGAATCCTGGGGGCTGGTCTTTCCTGTGCTATTCTCATGATAGTGAATAAATCTCAAGACATCTGATGGGTTTATCAGGGGTTTCTGCTTTTGCTTCTTTCTCATGTTCCCTTGCCGCCACCAAGAAAGAAGTGCCTTTTGCCCCCTGTCATGATTCTAGGGCCTCCCCAGCCATGTGGAACTGTAAGTCCAATTAAACCTCTTTTTCTTCCCAGTCTCAGCTATGTCTCTATCAACAGCATGAAAACAGACCAATATAAGGGGAAAACTATGAAGATTAAAGCCAGACAATTAAGGATGCTGAGATGAAGTAGAGGAATAGCCTGAATTTCTCATAGCACTGTTGAATAGTTGAACCAAACCCAGCATCACCTACACTGAGACTTCTCGTTAGGCAAGAAAAACACCTCTACTTACTCAACCTATTTTATTTTTTGAGATGAAGTTTTGTGCTTATTGCCCAGGCTGGAGTGCAATGGTGCGATCTCGGCTCACTGCAACCTCTGCCTCCTGGGTTCAAGGGATTCTCCTGCCTCAGCCTCCTGAGTAGCTGGGATTACAGGTGCTGCCACCACACCTGGCTAATTTTTATATTTTTAGTAGAGGCGGGGTTTCACCATGTTGGCCAGGCCGGTCTCAAACTCCTAACCTCAGGTGATCCACCCACCTCAGCCTCCGGATGTGTTGGGATTACAGGCATGAGCCACTGCACCTGGGTACTTAAGCTATTTTAAATCAGCTGTGTCACATATCTGCAGCCAAAGGTATCTCTAAAGGACATGCTCTCCATGATTGAGAAAATAAGTACATTTTTTCCCCATAATCTTGAAAGTTCAAAGGACAACTGTTTTCGAGAGACAGGTGATGGGTTCTCCTCCACAAAGATGCTCTGACAATAGGAGGTCACACAGTAATTCAGCTGCCCAGGGCATTTAAACCACAAAGAGAAGATGAATACTTCTGGACAGACATGAACGTAAAAAGGGACACAAGAGACAAACAAAAACTCCTGACCTTCCACGTCAAAACAAACTTTTCCCAGGTCACAGATCCTTCTCCAGACTACCCCTTGCTAAATTCGCCACAGTCACACACTTTTTCCTCAGCTAATAATGCAATCAGTTGGCTCCAATCTTTTGTGTACGTGCCCATCAGTTCAAAGCCAAAGATAAGCAATTTATTGGGTGTGAAGAGCGCTACCTATAACATCCAAATTGACTTCTGAAAATTGGTTTTTGCCACATTAGGATTTTAGGACAGCCTCTTCTGCCAGTTCATGTGGCCACAAAGTGTAGTAAAAATTATGATAGGTCCACAGCAGCTTTCTAAACTCATTGCAAAGGTCTGGTCTCGAAACAGCTGCAATTGGTAAAGGGTTATTAACGAGATAGTGAGACTTACCTGGAGCTATCTTTCTTGATTATTTAAAATTGACAACTCAACCTAATAAAACATAACTTGGGATAGGCAAATGGGTGGGATAATAGCTGGATGCCCTTCATTGTATTTAGCTCCCTGACCAGATGGTTAATATTAGGTATGTTAAACAACTAGTGAGCTGCTAAGAGTAAGAAAGTTCTAAGCTTTGAGGGAGTGGAAATTTCATCCATTTATAGCTAGAGGCTCATATTGAAAAGACACTTCCAACTATAGTTCTATCGAGTTTCTCTGCGAGTTGGCATCTTTTCCAATACAAATTCCATATTTCATGTTATTGGAAGGCAGCATAGAGTACTAGAGAAAACAACAGAATTTCGGTGGGGCTGATGTGTTTTGGGCTCTGTTACTCACTAGCTCTGTGATACTGGGCATGTCAGTAATCTCTCCAAATCTCAATTTCCATATGCATAACATGGGGGCAAGGATTTTGTTCCACCTCCAGCAAATGTGCAGGACTACACAGATTGGAATTGTGTTCACTTGTTTTGCCTTCTTTATAGCTCTCCTATCCTTATTGTCTTCCTTTCAAATTTCATCACAGCCTTGTTTATACTGTACGGTATAGAGTTATGTAAATTGTCCTAATGCTTTACTGAAACAGGTGGACACACAGTGACTACACATAAAAACACCAGTTGGGCTCTTCTCCCAAGAGTATTTTGAGAATCAAGTAAGATGCTGTATTTAAAACTGTGCATCCTATACCAACCCATGATTGGTATTACTTTTGTTATGGGAGAGTCTGAATTCTTATAAATGTCCAATTACTTTACATTTAGTGAAGATATTTAGAGAACATGAAAGAATATCAGCTTCTTTTGTGGTTCTGAATCATTCTGATTCATGATCAAGTTAAATTGCTCTCAAAGTTATTACTTATTTCCCTATTAAAAAAAATTCTTACTAGAAAAGTCTCTTGAAAGGGAAGACACCGTTTAAAACACACTGTCTGGGAATAGACATAAATCATTTTTCCCTTTGCATGGCCTGAAAAACAAACGTGCGAATTCACTGTTGCTGTTAAAACAGCAGCACCGAATGCTTTGCTAATTAATATTGACTCTGTGCTTGAGGGACTTTTTCTGATCTTTTCCACGTAGGTTTTTCTTATGCCAAATCTCTTGATTCTGTACTTACTTCTACAGCCTAACCTTATAAATGAAATTTCCTCTTTGAGGCTTTAGTCCATTGCTCCAGTTTAGTGAGATCTTTCTGGTGTTTTTATTTCTTTTCTGTTGTTGTTGAGACAGTCTTGTCTTGTTGCCCAGGCTGGAATGCAGTGGCACGATGGTCTTGGCTCACTGCAACCTCTGCCTCCCGGGTTCAGTCAATCCTCCTATTCTCCTGCCTCAGCCTTCCAAATAGTTTGGATTACAGGTACCCACCACCACACCTGGCTATTTTTTTTTTATTTTTATTTTTAGTAGATACAGGGTTTCACCATGTTGGCCAGGCTGGTCTCAAACTCCTGACCTCAAGTGATCCACCTGCCTCAGCCTTCCAAAATGCTGGGATTAAGGGCAGGGAGATCTTTCTGAATCTGGAAAATGTTCAACTCCTGTACTAGCTTGTTTGACAATTGATGCTGGAACGAGTTAAGACTTTTTGGGCTGTTGAGATGCAATGAATACATTTTGCATGTGAGAAAGACATAAATGTGTGGGGAGAGGGCAGAGTGGAATGTTACGAGCTGAACTTCTGTGTCCTCCTCCAAATTACTATGTTGAAGCCCTAAACCCCAATGTGATAACATTTGGAGATTGGGCCATTAAGAAGTAATTAGGTGGCCGGGCACAGTGGCTCAGGCCTGTAATCCCAGCACTTTGGGAGGCCGAGGCGGGCAGATCACCTGAGGTTGGGAGTTCGAGACCAGCCTGACCAACATGAAGAAACCCCGTCTCTACTAAAAATAGAAAATTAGCTGGGCGTGGTGGCGCATGCCTGTAATCCCAGCAATTTGGGAGCCTGAGGCAGGAGGATTGCTTGAACCTGGGAGGCGGAGGTTATGGTGAGCCGAGATCACACCACTGTACTCCAGCCTGGACAACAAGAGCCAAACTCTGTCTCAAAAAAAAAAAGGTAATTAGGTTTAGATGAGGTCATGAGGGTGGAACCCGATGATGGAATTAGTACCATTCTAAGGAGATGATCCTTGCGAGCTCTTTCTCTCTCTCTCTTTCTCTCTCTCTCTCTCTCTTTACTGTGTGAGTTTACAATGAAAAGGCAGCTGTCTGTGAACCAAGAGGACAGGTCTCCCCAAAAACCCTACCCTGCTGGTACCTGATCTGTAACTTCTGGTCTCCAGAACTGGGAGAAATAAATGTTTGTTTTCTATACTACCCAGTCACTGGTATTGTTATAGCAGCCCAAACTAAGGAGAAATCAGTATTCTCTGAAGTGGTACACTCTGTGCATTTAAAAGCATGTGTATACCCTATTCTCTAAACGCTGGTAATATGATCCTTGTTCTAGGTTGGATGGCCCTGCAGTAACACCCCTATTAGCATAGCTGTGATCCTGTGTTCAATGCCCGTCTTCAACTGTATACTAGTAGGCCTCTGAAATATAGACCATGTCTATCCCATTCACCAGTATATCTCTTGGGTCTTCTACTGAGGTTGATACACAGCAGGTGCTCAATAAATACGATTCAATGGCTAGACTGATTTGAATCCTAACTTTTCAAAGTTAAAAGACTCTATCTTGCCAGGTGCGGTGGCTCATGCTTATAATCCCAGCATTTTGGGAGGCTGAGGTGGGCAGATCACCTGACGTCGGGAGTTCGAGACCAGCCTGACCAACATGGAGAAACCCCGTCTGTACTAAAAATAAAAAATTAGCCGGGCCTGGTGGCGCATGCCTGTAGTCCCAGTTACTCGGGAGGCTGAGGCAGGGGAATCGTTTGAACCTGGGAGGCAGAGGTTGCGGTGAGCCAAGATTGCACCATTGCACTCCCGCCTGGGCAACAACAGCAAAACTCTGTCTCAAAAAAAAAAAAAAAAAAAAAAAAAAACACAAAAACAAAACAAAACTCTATCTTGCCTGGAGTCCTTACTAATAAGGACTAAAAAATAACCCACTAATTTTCTGCCAAGATTCCCATACTATTCATGTAATAATCTTCCTTGTGGGTTAGAACAAAGTCACCCCCCATTGCCGCCTCTATGTTCTGAGGGATATACTTGTTTCTGATCAAGACTGTAAGACACAAGCAGACTTTTCTGATATAATGGCACAAGACTCTCAGCTAATACAGGAGCTGTGGACACTGGACAGGTTACTTAAACCATCTGAATCTTAGTGTCCTCATCTTTAAAACGGGACTAATAACAGACTCTATTTCACAGATCTGTCCCAAGGATTGCATTAGATAGTCACAGTGCATGCAAAGTGTTCAGTGGAACATCTGGCTCCCAAGAAGGTCAGGCAGATGCAGGAGGAGGAGGAGGATAGAACGTAGTTGAAATCCCTATTCTTATTCATTTAATTCTTGAATAAATACTTGGCATAAGAGTGAGCATGAGGGCAACCAAATTTTCTCTTTATGCTTTTCATACACAGGTGTCTCAATTTTCCTGGGTTTGAATTCCTAGTCTCAGCGAATTGGGACCAAACAGCTGGCTGTCATCACCAATTTGAGCAACATGGGGCCCTGAACCACCTCCAACTGAAGAATGAGCTGAAGGGCTCTTTCCCACCATGGATGAACCGAGAGAGAAAGAACACTTTATCATCACATCACTTGTTACTCCCTTCTGCAAAAGGCAAAACCTCCTTGACCTTCACCCAGGCCACAAGATTGCTGTCGGGATCCTAATAAAATAAATTTGATGAGGCACTTCAGCTTCCTTGAAAAGGGATGAGACAGATATGTCATTTTTATTAGTCCAAACGTGAAAGTACTTTTAAAAAGCATTCTAGCTACTGAAATGTGCGACTCAACTTTATCCAGTTGACATTGTCTATCAGCATTAGGCTGAAATTAGAAATAAGCTTGTTTTTAATGACTTGTTTCCCCAGAGAAATTTATATAAGGTAGATATGTAACTTATTATTTTCCAACACCATGGATCATCCAAATAAATATTATGCAGTCATTAAAATCATGTTCTCAAAAACAACTTGACTGACATAAAAAATCCTCATGGTATGTTTATTTATAAAAAGGAAGAAACACATTTGCGTACATGCCATTTGTTCTCCAATCTTTTATTTATACATTTATGAGTGTAGGCAGCAAGGATAATGGTAACAATGACAACTACAAAGAGAACCAAGTAGCACCTAATTTGAGTTAATTACATGCCAGAGAGTGCTAGGTACTTTGCACACATTGTTTCACTAAATTACTACTTGCATTTGGTGGAAATATTATTTCCATTTAAGTCTCATTAAAGCACATATTTTCTGTTATTATAATTATCCCATTTTACAGATGAGCAAGCTTGAGCTCAGATAAATTGTCCCTTGCTTCAGTTCCACATCCAGTATGCATCACAGTGAGGTTGATTTTGTGTCAGAGGCAAAGTTATCATAACAGAGAACAATAAGAAGAATATGAATAACCATCCATAGAAGGCAAGGTTAATAAAAGAAGGTGTGTTCGTTCATACAATGGAATATTCTAAAGCCATTCAAATTTATAGTGCAGAAGACACTACTTCTGGTATAGCTGAGTAGCCCCTGTTTGACCAATTCTCCTGTAGAAAACTGCTATAAACTTTTGGCCACATATAATAAACAACTACCTGGGGAATGTGGAGTGTGAACTTCAATGCATGAAAAACCTGGGCCGGGCACAATGGCTCACACCTGTAATCCCAGCACTTTCGTAGGCTGAGGTAGGCAGATCACCTGAGGTCAGGAGTTCAAGACCAGCCTGGCCAACATGGTGAAACCCCGTCTCTACTAAATATACAAAAATTAGCTTGCTGTGGTGGTGCACACGTGTAATCCCAGCTACTTGGGAGGCTGAGGCAGGAGAATTGCTGGAACCTGGGAGGCGGAGGTTGCAGTGAGCCAAGATCTCGCCATTGCACTCCAGCCCGGGCTGACAACAGCAAGACTCTGTCTCAAAAAAAACCAAAAAACCAAAACAAACAAACAAACAAAAAACTGGAGGCTAAACACTTGGAAGAATTTGACACTGGGTAAATTTCCCATTTTTCTGGCTTTCAGCCTGATAAGAGGACCAACCAGTGCCAGATGGGAAACTACATTCTGACTGAAAACCCATAGTCTTGGTGGCTTATAGCAGGGGTCCCCAACTCCTCGGCCATGGACCGGTACTGGTCTGTGGCCTGTTAGGAACCTGGCCGGACAGCAGGAGATGTGCCTCTGACAAGTGAGCATTACTGCCTGAGCTCCACCTCTTGTGAGATCAGCAGTGGCATTAGACTCTTATAGGAGTACAAAGTACAAACCTACAAACCCAATTGTGATCCTCACATGCGAGGGATCTAGGTCGCACGTTCCTTATGAGAATCTAACAAACGCCTGATTATGTGAGCTGGAACACTTTCACCCCCAAACCATCATCCCCGTCCCCAATATGTGGAAAAATTGCCTTCCATGAAACCAGTCCCTGGTGCCAAAAGGTTGGGGACTGCTTGTTTACAGAACAGAGAACAGAGTTCATGACAACAGTAGCTGTTGGAAATTAAGGGAGGAAAATCCAGATAGAAGAGACTCAGTGACAGGAAGCCCCAACTTCTGTGTATGAATTCTGCCCAAAACTCTGCCGATGTTGACCCCCGAACCATGCACGCGTGAGCAGTCTCCAGGTATCCCTATTTGAGCTGACTCTCATCTCAGGTCAGATGGAGGATGCAAGTTTGACTTTAGCCAAGCCAAAAACAAACAAAGCCAATAAACGAACAAAATGTTCCTTTAAGGAACAGAACAGAACAGAATGGTCAATAAGCATACATATGGGTAGTTAGGGTAACGCAAATTAAATCCACAATGGGATGCCACTACACACTCACCAGAATCGCTAAAATTAAAAAGATCAGTAACAGCAAATGTTTGTGAGGATGCAAAGCCGTCACTGCTCTCACGCGTTATCCGGAAGAGGATCGACCAATTCAGAAAAATAAGTGAACACTTCTGATAACACTCAATATGAGTCTACCCCATGACATACCCTTTTACTGCTAGGAGTCTACCCAAGCGAAAGAAAAACAGGTCTATACACAGAATTGTGCATGAACGTTTTTATAGCAATTTTATTCATTGTAATCAAAAGCTGGAACCAACTCAGACATCCATCAATAGGAGAGTAGATAATAAATATGGTCTATACAAGTGACCAGGTGACAGAATATTACCTAGCAACAAAGAGAAATGAATGCTGATGTATGAGCATGAATGAATCTAAAAAATCTTATGCTGGCCAGGTGTGATGGCTCACACCTGTAATCCCAGCACTTTGGGAGGCCAAAGTGGGCAGATCACTTGAGGTCAGGAGTTCGAGACCAGCCTGGCCAACATGGCAAAACCATAGATCTAGTAAAAATACAATAAATTAGCCAGGCATGGTGGTGTGCACCTGTAATTCCAACTACTCAGAAGGCTGAGACACAAGAATCGCTCGAACTCAGGAAGCAGAGGTCCAGTGAGCCAAGACTGCATCACTGTTCTCCAGCCTAGGTGACAGAGTGAGACTCTGTCTCAAAAAAAAAAAAAAAAAAAAAAAAGAAAAGAAAAAAAAGAAAAGAAAAGAAAGAAAAAGAAAATCTTATGCTGAGTGAAAGAAATCAAACAAAAATATATATACCATACGATTTCATTCATATAAAATTCTAGAACCAATGAAACTTGAAACAAGTCTATGATGGGAAAAATCAGAATATTGGTGGCCTCTAGGAAGGTCATGAAGAAACTTTCTGAGGTCATAATGATGGTTTCTATCTTGATGGGGGTTTGGGTTGCACAGTTGTATTCAGTTGGCACAAAAGTAATTGCGGTTTTTGCCATTACTTTTAATGTCAAAAACAGCAATTACTTTTGCACCAAAGTAATATATGTTTGTCAAAATGTAAACATGACGCATAAGCTTTGTGGGTTTCATAGTATGTAAATTTTCCTCTGAAGAAGAAAATAACCAAAAGCAAATATTGAATTCTAATTAACAATATGCATGCAGATCTATTTAGGGGGTGGAGTGTTACATATCTGTTGCTTACTTTGAAATGCATAAAAAGTAAGGTGGATGTATAGAGGCAGGGACTGTGTGTGTGTGTGTGTGATGTGTATATTTATATATATAAAGCAAGTATATGGAAATGTCAAATGTAAACTGTAGAATCGAGGTTATGGGCACATGGTGGTTTAGTGTAAAATTCTTTCAACTTTATGTTTGAAAATGTTCACAATAAAATACTGGAAACGTCACGGTTCAGAAATGATTTTATGAAATGTCAGGACAGGCTCCCTTAATGCCATGCAAGGATCTTTGTCTAGCCAAGGAGACACCAGTCCTGCCAGTCTAAGCATCCCAATCCCCAGCAACAAGCTCTGAATGAATAAGCCATGGCAATGGATTCTGATCCAGACACTTACAATACTTAGAAATGAGGGTGAATGCTTCAGTCATTTCCTAGTTTTACATGGAACATTTGGGAAATTTGGCTCTATCATTTTCTTTTTGGAATATTATCAAACAATGCTCAAAAGCTCTTTGTGCCTGAGTAAAAAAGCCTGGTCATGCCATCCTGTTGAGTTTGATACCCATATGGGCCACTTGGTCTCATCATAGCTCATTTACTTTTTTTTCCTTCCAATTTTATGTTCATCAGGCAGGATGTCTGGAATCAGCAGAACTCACGTTCTGGCTCTGCCATTTGTCAGCTTTCAGCCATTTTGCATACTTCCCTTAACACATTTAGATTATTTTCCCCTCTCATTCCTGGTTTGGTTTTTGTCACGAAGCTGATCCTGCCACTTAAAGGTATAATGTAGCTCCTCGTATGTGTTTAGAGGATTTTTGCAGCAATTCTGCCCATGAATATGTGCAGTATCAAAGAGCTTTAACTGATTTGACTTCTAACACAAACTCTCCATTTGCAGAGCTAACTCATGAATCCATAAGCTTCACCAGAAGCACAGGGAAATCTGATCACAAAGCACAAGTCAAAGTATTCCCAAGCAAGATTGATATGTCTCTATTGGAAAACTCAAACAATCTAAAATACAGCATTTCCTTGTAATTACTTTGCCGGGACCGCCTCGCCTAACTCAGTACAGATACAGTGCTAACGTCCACCTCACACAGAACATCAAAGTTCATCTGAATCCAAACATGATGAGAGTGCAGCAAGGGAACAAGGTACGCACTGGATGCAATGCTCAGCAACCACAACCCTGTTCCCTTTGCATCCACAACAATCTTATCAGACTCTGCCTAGGCCATTCTAGGTCAAGAACATTGTCCTTCACCCCAAGGTTAAGACAGGAAAATGACTGGGAAAGAAGAACCCAGCTCACATGCTACATGTAACTAGCGCTAACAGGGAGAGCTCAGGTGGTAAACCTTGGTCATGCCATTGTCACAAGTTCATCTTCACGGGGCCACATAGTCACTCTCTTTGTGGTCCCCTGAGACAAGAACTGGGGTGAAACTCTTTTATTTGGGAGGTTATGCCAGGAATCACAAGTGAGGGAGTTGGGAAGTAAGACAGGGTGTGGACACAAGCCAATAAAGGGTGCATTCATGGAAAGACTTCCACTGTGGGCAACTGGAGCTCAATCCTACTGGGGACTCTCTAAGAGACAGTGAGAAACATCCCCCAGAATTGTCCATTAAGGGTCAAGGATGCTGGACCCAAGGATGTTTATCTACAGATCTTACCCCTCATTGGCTGAGGATCCCCTATGGCCATTATCAGCCCAGCAAGCTGTAAGGTGAGAGGCAGTGGCTGCCTTGCTTAGGCTGCACGTGTCCTCAGAAGTGAGCCTCATTATAAGTGTTGGACACCAACAGGGTCTCTTTTTTGCTGTTTGTCTAATTTTGCGTCTTTCAGACAGTCCACGTGATGTCTGGAATCAGAAGACCTGAGGTAAAATATGGACTATTTATCAGGAACTCACTTAAGCTTTGGCTTTAGCTTCCTTTTCTGCAAATGGAGCTGGTAATAGCACCAGTGAGGACTGTGTGAGACGATGGCTATGAAGGAAGGCTCCAAAGACTCCTGTTCATAGAAATCAGTCATTGCAAAAAATAACAGATGCTAGCAAGGATGTGGAGAAAAGGAAACTCATACACTGTTGGTGTAAAAGTAAATTAGTATAGCCATTATGGAAAACAGTATGGATATTTCTTAAAAAATCACTAAAAATAGAACTACCGTATGATCCAGCAATCCCACTACTTGGTATTTATACCAAGGAAAGAAAATCAGTCTATCAAAGGGATACATGCACCCTAATGTTTATTGTAGCACTATCTACGATAGCAAAGATATGGAACGGACCTTGTGCCCATCAGTGGATAAATGGATAACGGATTAAAAAATTGTGGTATATTTACACAATGAAATACTATTTGGCTATAAAAAAGAACGAAATCATATTATTTGCTGCAACCTTAATGGAACTGGAGATAGTTATGTCAAATGAAATATGCCAGACACAGAAAGAGAAATATCGCACATGCTCACTCACAGATGGGACCTAAAATATGGAGAAAAAGAGCGCAATGGTGGTTACCAGAGGCTGGGAAGGATGCAGATGTTTGTCGGTCTGGGAGGGTAAGTGAAGAGAAATTAGTTAAGTACAAACAGGCAGTAGACAGAAGGAAGAAGTTTTAATGTTAATAGTAAAGTACGGTGACTACAGCTCACACCAATGTATTGTACATCTCAAAATAGCTAGAGGGGAGGACTAGAAATGTTCTCAACACATAGAAATGATAAATGATTGTGATGATGGATATTCTAAATTCCCTGACTTGACCATTACACATTCTGTACATGTAACAAAATACCACATATATCCTAAAAATATGTAAAAATATTATGTGTCAATAAAAAACTTAAAAATAAATCTGTCACTGGTAGACAATTGCTATGCTGTACTGTATATTATATATATTACATATACATACTATGCTATAGTATAGCACATATATCATGTTATACTAAGTATATTATATTAAATATATGATCATATCTTAAAACTTTTGTGAAGAGCTATAGTGTCAGGGTAACTGACTAAGCAGGCCACATTTTCTCTGTTTCGTCAAGTTCAATATATTTTTACAGGAATAAAATCTGCAATAGGGGATTCAGCTTCTTTAAATGCAGCTGTTGTATTCTCAGGAGAGTTTTAGGGAGGGCTCACAGGGAACAAAATGTGGGGAATTCTCATCGCCATGTGTGTGAATGCCTGCCTAACTTTTGTGATAGGTTATTAAACAGCAGCATCTAATTAAATACAGAAAAAGGTCAAGATTCCAATATTCTGTTTAATATAAAATGGAGGTAGTATGGTGTGGTAATTAAGAAAGCTCTCTCTCTCTCTCTCTCTCTCACACACACACACACACACACACACACACACACAGACACACACCCCAAAGAGAGAGCCCATTCCTTGATGCTGAGTCACCCGGGTTCAACCTCGAACTCTGTTTCTTACTAGCACAGTGATTTCGTGCAAGCTCTGGAACCAGACGACCTGTACTCAAATCCAAGCTTCACAATCACTAGCCACGCAAGCCTGCCTGGATAATTTCATGTCTCTCAGGTTGTGCTTCCTTACCTGTAAAATGGGGTTCATGGGGTTCCAGGTTGTCACGAGGAGTTCGTGAGCTACCAGCACAGTGCTGGACTCAACACAAGCACTTAGGACACCTTCACATCGTTACCATTTGAAAAGTGTTTCTTTCACATCCTAGTAAATGCAACTACTCTCTGAAAGGCCACATCATCTTAAAATATCTGCATTTCATTCTAATGTATATTTAAAAGGAATATGAGAGCCCACAGAAATGTTAGAAATCCTCCAGGGCAGTCTTTCTACAACTTTCCTCCAATGTAGGGGATCTTGTTAAAAATACAGACTCTGATTCAGTAGATCTGGGGTAAGGTCTGGGATTCTACATTTCTACTAGTGAGGGGTGTTCTTAGGGGAATTTTAGGGAGGTCCAAAAGGGAGCAAAATGTGGGGAATTCTCATAACGACATTGCTCCATGCACAGATCAAGCTTGGAGGCAATTAAACCCCTCATTTCCCAAATGGGACCCAGAACACCTAAGATCACACAGCTGGTAAAAGAAGACTCATATCCAGAATCCAACTGTTCTGACTTCAAGTTTGTGATCCCATTGACAAAAACACACAAACATCTCTAGCTTTTGACAGAAAATTCTTCCCAGCTGGTTGCAGAGAGGACAGGCATTTCTAATGATTTTCCATATAAGAGGTACCCAATGGTGAGTTAGAATCCTCCAGGAAAAACTAATTGTGTTTATGGTCTGGAAGACAGGATCATATTGTAATGTACATGCCCAACATATGCATTATTTCTAGCATTATATATAAACACAACAGCAATCTAACCATTGTCAACAGATTAACTAAACGATTGCAAACTTTGAAGTATCTTTGGAACACCTTGGACAAGTGAGTTTGGTTTCTTTAACCGCATCTTTTATAAACTGAATACAGAGCAAGGATTTCCACTGAAGGTTTAGCACCCAAATTGAGATTAGCTTTAAGGGTAAAATACATGCACAATTTCAGAAACTAAGTACCAAAAAGATGGAACAATTTTCGACTTGACTAAATGTTGAAATAATCATATTTGCATGCACTGGGTTAAATAAAATATACTATTAAATTAATTTTATATATTTATTTTTAGTTTTTAAAAGCTTATCCAAGAAAATTTAGAATTGCATATGTGCTTTAAATTATATGTCTCTTTGACGTTAGTTTAGAGAGATGGATGATTAGATGACCACATAGATGATGGAGCATAGAATCAATTCTGTGTATTTTACTTATAATCTATGCATAATATAAATGGGATATTTACAACTCACATACTTATAAACTATTTCAGAACTCTGTCATGCCTACTGTCTCAAATTTATTATATATGCACCTATATATGCTATGTATTTTTAAATGTTTATTCAAATATTTAACATGGTTAAATTTTCTCCACATAGTCTTCTCCTATCAACTTACTTTTCTATGTTTATGACTTGAAACAACTATTCAGTCCAGCTTGCTCGTACCTGAAAGCCAACTTCATGAATTATTAGTTTTCCAGTGGCACAGGGGAAGCGACCACAGCTCCCTGAAGTGAACAAGCCTCCCTTCCTCACTGACAGGTGTCTATTAATGGGTCAGTGAGGGCAGACGTTGCTCTCCTCCTGCTCAGAGAGCAAAGGGTCTGGCCCTTTAACCAAGGCTTGGAGGAGCTCTCAGGGAAGAGCTACATGGTAGTCAGGAGCACAGGTTTACAACTGGGCTCTTAATAGGAAGGGGAGCATCTCTGGGCAGACTATTTAACCTCCTTGATTCCCAGTCTCCTTATCCGAGAAAGGGGGATCATGAAAGCCCACACCTTGCAGGGTTATGTGAGGATTAAATAATACGCTGCTGAAGGAGGCTTTTGCTTATTGCCTGAATGAAGCATTCAGTCCACAATTGCTGTGTTGTAGAGGCTTCTAACACTCATGTATAATCAGGTCTCTGCTTTTCTGAGAATGTTCAGAATGACACTTTCCTGATCCCTTTGCAATTAAATGAGGCTATACATTATTATGATCAATAAATCACAGTAAGAGGCATGGTGTCTCATGCCTAGGAGAGCCTTCAGTTGTGAATGCAGAATCTGGAATGTTCTTTTCCTTTGCCAGGAGAACTCAGGTGCATCATGTTAAGACGGTGCTATCATGACCTCATGTGGCATGACTGCGTGAAGCATAACTCCCCTCCTAACTTAAATTGGTTGTATATCATGAGCAATAAATAAACTCCTGTTGTTTAGGTCATTGATATTTGGGGGGGGGGGGGCTGTTTATTACTGTAGTATAACCTAACCCTGCCTGATTTATATACTATTGCTTAAGACAACTCCTTTGCTGAACTAGGTTTTTACATTTGAATTTCCAAGGCTTTCCCTTGGCTCCTGATTTACAATCCCTCACAGATAAATAGTTCAGTCATTCCCTTCAATGTAATTGAAGGTCAATCATCTTCTTGGGCGTCTCAGCATTGTCCAGTCACACTAGCGCTTTCCTTCCTGAGAAAACTTGGATTATATTAGTCATGTTTGCTTTTCTAAAGCAACTTTTACTTCTAAAATAACTTTTATCACCAAGATAGTTTTTTTAATACTGCACCAAGGCTATTAAAAAGAATGGAAACTACAGATCATAAAAACATCAACAGTAAAACACTCATTTCCGTGCAAGTTGTGAAATGAAATCAATGTATCTTAACTTATTCTTTAAGAAGAAAAGAAGATAAAGGGAAAGTTCCAATTTTTGTTATCATTTAATCCAACTTTATGAATTCCTTGGTACTTATGGCCAGAAGGCACCTCAAAGGTCATCGTACCCAACACCCTTAAACTGTCAGTATCAAGTTGATAGTGGCTTGTATCAAATATTTAGTTATAGGGAAAGAGACCACATGTATTTCCAAGAGTGAGTTTTTAAAGGATAGTTAATGATTTTAAAGTTCTCTAGAAGCAAAGAAAGCTGAGATTTGTTGCTGCAAGAGCAGAATTTCTTAATAAGCATGCCAAGAAGCAAGAGGATTTCAGAACAGCTAGTGTGATATTTTAGGTGAAAACAATTTTTCTATCTAGAGAAGCATCAAGTGCCTTGAAAAAAAGGGAAGTTGTCCTCAAAATTTTGGGAAATTTTTAAAGTGCCATTGGCCCAATTTTTCTTCATTTCCTTACTTTTATTTCTTTTTCTGGTATCCATCAACTACACTGATTGCCGATTTCTGTCTGCATTTCTAGAGAGAGCAAGAATCAACATTTAGTTCAAATGGTTTGTTTTCCTCTAAAAGACAATTGCTTGCTGCCTGCCCTTGTGAGAGACAGAGCCTATCGTGTTAAATCTAAGGAGATGCATGGACCAGTTCCTGTCCACTCTGAACAGGGTTAGCACTGGAATGGGTGTCAGAGTGAGCCTTTGGGGAGAGCCAATCAGGGTGAGGATGGCCCCAGCCCAGGAAAAGACAAGAGGATGAGGCTGGAGGAAGCAGTGATAGTCTTTCTGAGAGGCAGCATGGCATAGTAGATAAGATTCTAGTAACACATTTCCTGAGTTTGAATCTTGGCTTTGCATTTTTTAGATAGGTGACTTTGGATGGTGACTTACCCTCTTCATGCCTCAGCTTTTCATCTTCAAAATAAGAATGACAATAACAATTTCTACCTTAGGGGGGGCTGTTACATACATGAAATGTTCACATAAAACAATGCCTGGCACGTAGTAGGTGTTTCTATAGGTGATTCTTAGAAAAGAAAACGGTATTGCAAAAATTATGTGATCATATTTACAAATTATTTTTATTAATCAGAAATCTGAAACTCACATTTCCACTAAAGAGTGCCACAGTTCCACTAAAGAGCCCTGTGGATGAATACTGATTGGTGTTAGAACTCTGATAAATAAGGGTGGCCTCATCTGAATGACATTGAGACCACTGATTACTCCTTTATTGGAAAATGCGCATTGACAAAAATAATTCAAGATGCAAACAAATAATTCAAGATGTACAATTAAATGAAATAATTTAATTAGATGTTTTATGGGATAAGTGAAAGACATGCCTTTGGGATTTTGAGAATCTGACTTAAATTGAAGCAGTTAATGCTTCTTGTTCTGGGATATCCAGACAACTGAACTGGGGGCATGGGAAATGGGTAACTTTTGCCTCAACAGCAAACCTTCTAAACCTTCATAGTGAAAACATTCTTAACCAGTGGGTGGCAATCATGTGTCATAATGCAAAAGACCATACTTCCTTTTGGAAAATTTAGACATTGGCCAGAAATTGAACAACAAGGGGGCAGGGAACGGTTAAGGCAGAAAAATTGGCAAGCAGGGTGTCCACAGCCCTTGCACTCCATGAACTTGCAGACTTAAAATACTGAAGCTCAAAGATGTAAACCATTCCCAACCTTTTTATGCCAACTGCCTGCTGAATTCTTCTTGCAGAGCTGTGGGGCATATTTTTTTAATTAATGGCATTAAAGATGAAGACCATGGAGGCCAGTATGTTTGGTGATGGCAAAGGCTTATTGGGAAGTCAGAAGAATGGTCAGGTGGCTGGTTCAGAGGGTCAGGCCATAGTGTTTAAAGAGGCTGGTTACAACAAAAAGAGCAACGAGTGTGAGAATTGTACCGCATACAGCCTTACCTTATTGGCTTGCTCAACATTCGCCAAACCCTGAACGTCATCACACAAGTGAGAGGGTAGCATATTTCATATGTGACTAGTCTCCAAAGTTACAGAGTCTTGGGAAGTTCCACTTAATAGCCAAGCAGCAATGAGTCAGTCAGTTTTCCTCCATAAGCCTCAGTTATTCTAGATAGATAATAAAGTGGGGATGAAAGTTATATGGCAAAACCTTAGGGTTTTTTAGACACTAAGTGAGATAATGCCTATAAAATGATTAGAATGATGTCTGGCACTTAAGAAAATGTATAGAAATATGATTCTAATTTCATTGGAAGTTGGCATCTGCTGTGTACAATTCAACCCAGCAGATCCGACTGTGGTAATGCTCTCAGCTATCCATTTCAGGTGGGGCCCTTGTTTTGCCAAGTCCTCCTTGTATCTTTCACAAAGTGGCAGTCATATGGATCTAATAGAGGAGCTGGGAGGATTGACTGAGATGATGAACTGATCATGCTCTGGTAGCCTCAGAGTTGAGAATGAGGGTGAAGGCTTCTTAAGCCCAGGCCAGGGATATTTTTCATAGGTCCTCCTTCAAACTTTTTGGCCAGAGCAGGTGGCGAAATGGAGGATAGAGGGGATGGGAGGCCTGAGACATTCCGGTATCTAGAGGCCAGAGAGAAGAAGAGAGGGGCAGGAACAGCAGGCTGACGGAAGGAGAGGAACCAAGAGAGATTACTACTCTGCTCTCTGCTTTTCCTTTTTCATTAAAATGCTTTTCTTCATCCTATTCTGTTTCAGTATTTTCCTAACCTACTTTTGTTATTCAGTCATGTTTCCCTTGACTATAATAAATCAATTGCACTAAAATTATTATAGGTTGTGCATTTTATCCCTAAAGTTAAATATTCAGTGAGGTTCTTCGATCATGAACCTTAGTTTGTGGAGGTTGTAAAACATTAATACTTCCAAACTGCAGCAAAAAATGCTTGTCGTTTGTACGTTTGTTTCCTATCATTTCTTGAGCACAATCATGTCTCAAACACTATATGGGTTCTTTTACTTGTTTGCTGTCATTGAGTCCTTGATACAACCAACTATGGATGGTTCCCATTTTATAGAACTGGAAACTATGGCTCAAAGGGATATAGTGACTTACTATAGTTCTGCATGGTAGTAGACAAGTAGACAGTAGGTATTCCTCAGTTCTCAGCCCGTGCCGTTAACCACTGTACTATGCAGAGCCTCCACAACACAATACTTATCAACATTACTCAGAGATACAGTCAGTTGCCTTCTGCTGCTGAAAGATTTGATAGGAAGAGAATGAAGGCTGCTCTTTGGAATAAGAGCAAAGATAAATGTAGCAAAGACAAAATGGCTCCTAGGGAAGTGAAACTCTACTACCTAATTGATGGTATTAGCACATCTGAAGAATGAAGGACGCTTAAAACGGTCAGTCATCCATGGCAGCTTGGAAAATAAGATGCCTCCTGGAGGCAACTTTGCAGTACTCATCCTAGAGGCAGGAAAAATTGCTGAAGCAAAGACTTCAGCATTTGGTGACAAAGACAGTCTGAACCCCTTGGTAAAGTTAGGCTTTCTTAGTCCAGTGCCTTTAAGCACTCACTCTAACCAACACTTCATGCTCACTAAGCAGCCTTCTGATTATGAATTGGTCTTCCATGAAGGGTAGAGTAGAAGCAGAAAATGTGCTGACCATGTGGACTTTGAGCATTCCAGTCTCTGTGACAGTAATTTTTCTTTGTAAATTAAAAGACTGACTTCACACCGGGCGAGAATTTGCTGATCGTTTGGACTTTGTGTATTTCAATGCATGTGATAATCATTCTGTTCTTTAAATTAATAGATTGGCTTTATACAGAGACAGAAAATGCTGACCATATGGACTTTGAGTTTCCTGGTCCTTGTCACATCATTTCTCTTTGCAAATTAAGAAATTGGTATTCAGGCTTTATAATCCCTTTTGTAAGCATCAGTCAGCCCTAAGAGGCAGTTCTTCTCTTTGGGTTGATGACTTCAGGAGGTCCTCGGTCAGAAGGCCTCCCAGCTTGGTTGGGCAACCAACTCGTTGCCTTTTGTTTAGGACTTTTCCTGGGATTAGCACTGAAAGTCTCACATCTTGGGAAGCCTGCATGTCTCCGAAAAACAAGGGCAGCTCTCTCAAGACTATCCTGGTTTTAAAACTGAAAGTCTCATGTCTTAGGAAGCTCCCGTATCTCATGCAAATTGAGAAACTGATTCCCCTAGAGCTTAGTCACTTGTTGAGAAGAACTCATCATCACCATGTAGCTGAGAAAAAGCCAAAGTGCTTTACAAATTATAGACAGGTGCCACATTCAAATTTCATATCTAGTTTTAGAAGAATCTTTAAGCTGTCACTATCGTATTACATCCTGATTTCAAATCACAATATAATCCATGAGTATTTTCCTTTACAGCTCTTATGCTTAAGACATTTTACAGAAGGCAAGCTTTACAGTAACACACAGGAGTGAAGGTGGTTGTTTTATACCTGGACTGCATCCAAACTGCAATTCTTCTTGGATGAAGTTGCTTTTAAGTCCCAAAGCCATTTTCCAGTTATTATACAGTGGTGTGGCATGGTTTAGTAGAGGCTTTGCAAGAGGAAGTTTCCCCAGCTGTGTGTCCTGTGGCACCCTTCCATCTACCACCCAAAGACAGTAGGAAGAGAGTGCAGGAAACAGCAACACATCCAAAGAGCGAGAACCTAAAAGTAGTCTTGTTTTTTTTTTTTTGTTTTTTTGTTTTTTTGTTTTTTTTTGAGACAAATCTCGTTCTGTCACCCAGGCTAGAATGCAGTGGCACGATCTTGGCTCACTGCAACCTCTGCCCCCTGGGCTTAACTGATTCTCTTGCCTTAGCCTCCCGACTAGCTGGAATTACAGGCGTGCACCACCACACCTGGCTAATTTTCATATTTTTAGTAGAGACGGGGTTTCAGCATGTTGGCCAGGCTGGTTTTGAACTCCTGATCTCAAGTGATCTGTCCACCTTGGCCTTCCAAAGTGTTGGGATTACAGGCACGAGCCACCACGCCCAGCCTGGAAGTGGTCTATATCTGTTTCTTTGAATTAGCAGCAGTTTTGTAGAAACTTCTCCATCCCATCTTACCCATCTTTGTACCAGCATTCAACATAGCTGATCAACTCACTTCTTAAGGCTTTTCCTACCTGTGCAATACTACACTGTCCTGGTTTTTCTTCTACCTTCAAGCTTTTTCTATATCCGACCATTAAATGCTGGGATTCCTCAGGGATAACTTCTAGAATCTCTTCTTTCTAAAGCTGTGCTGTCCAGTATATCACCAGGAGACAAAGGTGGCCAGTGGATAATACAAATATGGCTAAGGCACAGAAGACAAATACCACATGATCTCACTTGTATGGGAAATCAAATAAAGCTAAACTCCTAGAAGCAGTAGGATGGTGATTACCTGGGGCTGGGGGTGCAGGGGAGGGACTGGGGAGATTTTTTTTAGCTAAGAGTGCAAAGTTTCAGATAGACAAGAGAAAGAGGTTTTGAGACTATTGCACAGCATGATGACTACAGTCAATAATAATGTATTATATATTTCAAAATAACTAAGAGAGTCAATTTCAAATGTCTCAGCAAAAAAAGGATAGGTAACTGAGGTGATGGACATGTTAATTAGCTTGATTTAATTATACCATTTTATACATGTATCAAAACATAATATTGTACCTCATAAATGCATACAATTATGACTTGCCAATCAAAAATAATAGTAAGAATAATTCTTTTAATTAAATACATTTTCTCCATCAAAAAGAAATTGGCTAGTCTGAATTGGAAAGTGAGCTAACATACTGGATTTCTAAAACTTAGTATGGAAAAAGTTATCTAAAATATCTCATTGCTTTTTATGTTGCTTAAATGATGGAATGATCATTATATAATAATCAGGTTAAAGAAGATATTGCTAATATTAATTTTCCTTTTTCTTTTTACTTTTTAAATATGGCTAGCAGAACATTTACATTTACATTTCTGGCTCACATTACATTTCTACTGGATGATGTTGCTAAAAAATCTGTTCCTAAATGACTTCAACAATACTCATATAACTTTCTTTTTTTTGAGACAGTCTCACTTTGTCACCCAGGCTGGAGTGCAATGGCACCATCTCAGCTCACTGCGACCTCCACCTCCCGGGTTCAAGCGATTTTCCTATCTCAGCCTCTTGAATAGCTGGGATCACAGGTGCATGCCACCACACCCAGCTAATTTTTGTATTTTTGATACAGATGGGGTTTCATCATGTGGGCCAGACTGTTCTTGAGCTCCTGACCTCATGGTCTGCCCACCTCGGCCTCCCAAAGTGCTGGGATTACAGGCATGAGCCACCGCACCTGGCCCTCATCTAACTTTATATTGATAAATCCAGAGTGTATATTTTTAGCTCTGAAATGTGAGACTCATACACTCATCTGACTTTTTCTGGCATCTCCGCTTGGACATCTTACAAATTTTTCATACTTAGCCTGCTTCAATCTTGATTCTGTCCCTTCCACTTGCCTCTCCCCAACTTGTCTCACTGTTCCCAGGACTCTCCCTGCAAAAATGTTACACAATTGCCTTTGAAGTTGTAAGAAGGGGTCACGACTGCCTCCAGAGACTGAAGAGACAAGGAACAAATGCTCCTTGGAGCCTCCAGAAGGAACCAGTTCTGCTGACACCTTGATTTTGGCCTTGTGAAACTCATTTTGAACTTTTGGCCTCCAAAACTAAAACAGAATAAATTTGTGTTGTTTTAAGCCACAAAGTTTGTGCTAATTTGTTCATAGAGTAATTAACAGGAAACTAGTAGAGATAAACAACATCTCCCTAATCCAGACACCCTATTACAACCATTGGCAAGTCTGGTCATGCTAACTACAGCTATATCTTCAGCTAAATCATCTCTGTCCATCTCTATTGCTATAACCTTAGGCTGGGTTTATCATAACAATGTCCTAACCATTCTCTCTGCGGGGTGGTTTGAAAATGGCTGCACATTCCTTGCCAATCTTCATGAAGAGCTGAATCTATTTCCCTTCCTCTTGATTTTGAGATAATCTTGGGCTGCTTTGACGAACAGAACACAGGGGAACTGATGGTGTGTAACTTCTGGGGCTGGGCCTCAAGAGAGCCATAGCTTCTGTTTTCATATGGTTGACCTGCTCCCTTTAAAAGCCAACCACCAGGCTGGGCGTGATAGCTCACACCTGTAATTCCAGCACTTTGGGAGGCTGAGGTGGGTGGATCACCTGAGTTCAAGAGTTCAAGGCCAGCCTGGCCAACATGGTGAAACCCTGTCTCTACTAAAAATACAAAAATTAGCCAGACGTGCTGGCACGTGCCTGTAGTCTCAGCTATTAGGGAGGCTGATGCAGGAGACTCACTTGAACCTGGAAGTCAGAGGTTGCAGTGAGCCGAGATCGCACCCTGAACTCCAGCCTGGGTAATAGAGCAATACTCTGACTCAAAAAAAAAAAAAAAAAATGCCAACCACCACATAAGACATCTGATTAGCTATGAGGGAGACAAAACAGCACATAGAATCACCAAGGTGCATGCAAAGAATCACCAAGGTGCCAGGTGTATGAGTGAAGCTTTCTTGGATTTTCCAGCCTAGCTAAGTTACCAGGTGAAAAAAGCTATGTGAAAGACCCAGTTGACAACCAGCTGAATCCTGCTGGAATTCTTGACCCACAGAAACATGACCACATAGAATGATTATTTCAAGTCTCTAAGTTTGGAGTAGTTTGTTACACAGCCATAGCTAACTGAAACACCTCTCTACCTGCTTTTATGACTGTTCTAATCCCCTGTCACACAGCAGCCAGCAGGGTCATCTTGCAGTTATTCTGACGATCACTTCCTTGCTTCCTGTTACATAGAGAAGAAAACTGAACTTCCATCCTCTGTCACTCTGTATCTCATGATCCCTGGGACCATGAGACATCACAAGAATCATTGACTATTTATGATGTAACTGCTATTCGATTAGAAATTCACTTACCACATTGATACTTCTTACTGAAGCACTACGTGTCAGGCACTAAGCTAAATGTTAAGGACATGGTAGGGCACTGATAGGAACTGGAGATGGACAAAAAACAAAAAAAGAAACAACGCTTTTAAAAATGTGAAAGTGTAACAAATGCTATGAATGGAAAACACACACAAGTGAGGTACTGTGATAGAAAACTGACAGGGGGTACTCAATTTAAGTAAGTTGATAAGGGAAGGCTTCTCTGAAGAGGTGATATTTAACCAGACAGTAAAATGAGAAAGATCTTTGACATCATTATTCCTAGAGCAGGCTCTGTCTTTCCAGATGCAAAGCTCAGAAACAGCATCCATCCAAGAGAGGCCACAGCACTCCATCTGGTTCTAAAGCCTCAGCCATCCTGATAGCATCCGTTTTGCTAAAATACTTCCCTCTTCCTTTTCCCATTCTCCATAAATTGTCACCCTGCCCAGCTCACTATCTCAGTTTCGAGCTCCAAATCACAGTTCTCACAGCCTCTCTAGAGGGCCTCTCCTTCAGGTAAGCATCTCCTGGACTATTGTGACATCTCAGGGCTGACATTAGCATGGGGCATTAAGGCAGGCATTGACCATCTGAAGTTGAATTACGTTTCAATTTTGCTGGGAGACTGAGACACAGATTCTTCATAAGTGCCGTATCTGGGGTGAGGCTTCTTTATTTTTGTTCTTTCTACTCATTTCATATATTTATCACTATACTTTTTAGCTCACTGGAGTTTAACTGGAGGCGTCTGGTTTCACTTAATGCAGTGCAAAGAGCAGCATGAGCCACTTCAGTGTCACAGTCATTTGGTGACAATTTTGCATTGGGTGCCCTGAATCCTCTGCTGCTGGTCATTCAGGACATAGGAGAACATCTTCCCTAGCACACCATGGGTGAGCTGGAAGAATTTTTAGCTGGGAAAGGCATTGCTCACTCATTTTCTGTATCTGGACCTGCCAGTTACTCATCCCATTGTATTCCGGGGTTGGCACAGGGAGAAGGTCACCAGGAAACTATTTTGGAAAGAGGATTAGCATAAACCATGATGCTGGGAATTCACATGGTGTAAGGGACACAAAAAATCCACTCATCCGGACAAAGCCCCTTTGCAACCCTGATGTACAGCCTCAATTGTCTACCATTAGAGTCACCTCTTGAGTTATCTCCAGGAGATGCTGATTTAAATATTCATGTGTGTGGACCACATAATTAGAAACTGACATTACACTAGACCAGGATCCTGGAAACCTGGGCCCTAGGTCCAACTCTCCTCCACTGTGCTGTGCAACTTTGGGAAAGACTGTGGTATCAGAGAGACCAAGGCTAGATTTCTCCTTTGTAAAATGGAGAGCGCAATACCTTAGTCCCCGTATTTATTCCTATATTCTTTGTGCCAAGGAACTTGTATTAAGCACCCACTATGTGCCAGGCCCTCTGCAGGAGTGTAGGAGTGAGAGTCATTAGCCATTGAGGGGAAGAGCCTGGTTGACAGAGGCATGCTTTCAGGTGAGAGAAAATGACTATTATCAAGTAGTACCAGTTGGAATAGGTTGTTTAAGGGGAAGTAAAGAGGCTGTGGAAGGCAGTGGAAGGCAACAGTGTCCCAGCTGAAAGCAAGGGTTCACAGCAGACTGTGAAAACAGACAATAGGTACAGAATAAGACAGTTATTACCTGCTTTTAAAAAATGTAAACCTGTGCATCCTAATGCAGAGATCTGAGATGTATTTGCACAGTGAGGTGAGGATAGCATTGCACTGCGGTTAGGCATGCAGGCTCTGGATTCAGATCTGAGCTCAACTTTTCCGGAGAGTTTCATTACTTACAAGTTATGAGGCAGTGGGAATGTTACTTAACCTTTCTACACCTCGACTGCCTCTCTGGGCCTCTTTATGAATTAGGCAATATGACATGAGTTAATGGAGGGGATGCAACAAGCCTAAGTCCTGGTTTGGAGTAAGGGCTCAGTAAACATCAGGAAGACTCTACAGTTCTCTTCCCTTTCACACTTTGTCTTTTCAAAGAAGGCCTGCAATTTATAATCCAAGTAAAGTTTTGTTCCTATACAAAAATGCTGGATTTTTAAGAATGGAGACCTACGCATTTATCAACATCCACAATTTTTCAGCTGGACTGACTCTCTGGGACAAATGACCTATATTCTTTAATTTGAACCAAAGAAGTTGTGGCAACAAAATACATCTGCTTTATATCCATCTTATATTAATATATTGTTTATCAATCAAAGGGGCACTGATAAAACAGAAAATCAGCTTTTTGAGGAGTTGGGAATTTTTGAAGCCATAGAGCTTTTGGGTTATGAGACGTAAAAGTAGGCCGGGTGCGGTGGCTCACGTTTGTAATCCCAGCAATTTGGGAGGCCGAGGCTTGCGGATCACAAGGTCAGGAGATCAAGACCACCCTGGCTAACACGGTGAAACCCCGTCTCTACTCTAAATACAAAAATATTAGCTGGGTGTGCTGGCGGGCACCTGTAGTCCCAGCTACTCGGGAGGCTGAGGCAGGAGAATGGCGAGAACCAGGAGGTGGAGTTTGCAGTGAGCCAAGATCCTGCCACTGCACTCCAGCCTGGGTGACAGAGCGAGACTCCTTCTAAAAAAAAAAAAAAAAAAAACAAACAAAAAAAAAAACAAAGGCAAAAGTCTGGATTAAGAAAGTTAGTGATACAGGGAGGTTTGAGGGATAAGCACCCTGTCTTTAAGCTCTATTGCAGATGTGATGTGTGTCATGGAACCAGAAAGTCAGCCTGCTAGCCTCAGTTTTCTCCTGACTGACTTGTCATGCAACAGCCTGGCTCTACCCAGATTGGTGGCCAAACCGTCTTGTGCCTGCTCTGAATGATGGAATCTCCGAAGAGTTCAATCTCTCATAAGAAACCTAGGCCATGGCAGACACCCGAGCGCCAGTGTTACATCCTTGCAGTCACCTCTGATTTCAGCAGCAGCTGCACTGGACAGTTCTTTTTGAGCACACACTCACCTGGCTCTCCCAGAGTTCAACCTAAGCTTACATGACTGCAAATCATCCTGCCCCAGATCTCTGACACATACAGGAACTTGTTCTAAACAGAAGGCAGTTAACACCCGCTCTCCCTGCTCCCAGGCAACTCTCAATCCATGGACAGTAGGGAGACTAGGAAAAAAGGCTCCAGTCCCTCTATTTTTCAGGTGGATGACTCTGAGAATTCTGAAAAGCATTTCATAGGGTTCCCAGAGGATCTGGGAGAATTGAAGAAATGAAGCCCCTGTGTACAGAAGCAACCTCAGAAATGCTCTTTTTTGATTGGCCTCCTTCCTCTTCTCAATGTCCCCATGAACTCACTTCTGCTTCCTGGGACCACCTCTCAGATCAAGTTCCTGCACCTGACCACTTGTCCTGGGCTTTTCTTCCCGGGAATCTCCAACTAAGGCAGATACAGTAAAACCGGGACATCCATCTTTGAATGAGAATGGATTAGATTTGCACATAACAAGAGGTTCCACCAGTTAAGAAGATTAAAAAAAGCAAAGCAAAGCAAGAAAATATCCTTGCAAAGCCTTGTTAGAGTCCTGGAAGAGAGATAATCTCATCACCAGATAGTTTCTGTGAGGTCAGCGTGTGTCAGCAGTAATTCTTTCTCTCAGACTGCACGTTTGTTTTTAAGACCATCCCAGATGCTGACTTCAAAAGCTTTCTAGTTTGTAATGCACTACATAAGACTCTTCTGTTTTCTTTCCTAAATATTTAGTTCTATTTACACAGGAGACACTTACACCACAACATCAGTATGGGAACATCATTAATGTTTTCTTCCTGTGTGGTCAGGGGAGCTCAGGAGTGGAGATTGGCCCCTAAAGTCCAGCCCTCACCAGCTATGCCATCTCTTGGCAACATGGTTGGAATTTGGACAAGAGCATTTGTTAGAATAAACGACGCCCCTGTCATCAGTGAGGTCACAAGAATGCATCTGTTGGGAAAAGGGGAAATGAATTATTTGGTACCCCCATGTTGAAACATAGGAACACCAAACCGCCAGAGAAGAACAAACACTTTTCTTGAAGAATTGGCCAGCGGCACACGCAGAAAACCCCACTTGAACAAAACGTGGAGGCGCTGCTACCTGGGCCTCTTTATTTGATGAGTGCAGCGAAATCCAGTTTTTCCCCAGTAACCAACAAAGATGAGAATAGAAAAAGCTTCTGAGAGTTCTGCCATCTCCCCTCACAAAGGAGAGGGGCTAAGGTCACACCCCAAGCCCGATAAAAGACGTAACTCATGAAGTTCAACAAACTAACTTTGTATTTAGAGCTAAAGAATGACATTTAACGATTTATATTTTTAAGAATATAGTGAAGATTTCATAGTTTTAGAAGTAAATATTCTTACTTTTGAAAGTAAAGTTGCTGTGAGTCATGATAATCCAAGACATGATTATCTTTGTTTTATTTTATTTTTTTAAAAAATATCATTTGTAAGACATTTCCCCGACCCCATTTTAATGCCTTCAAAATTAGGGAGGAACCTTACCATTGATGTTAAGGAATTACTGTGTGCAGGTTTAAGCGTCAGCATTTTTCTTTCTTAGTACCATAAAAAATACAAGTGTGCTGGAAGCACACTCTGGTCTTAACATCTACCCTCACCCCTTTTCTGGAGTGGGAGGTGATCTTATCTTAGACGGTTTAAAATTAGTATTGTCAAGTCTTAAGAATATTCAAGACAGCTCAGGTCAAAGGGAATGGCCAGGAAGAAAGGCTAGAAACTGGTTTATAGATGGTTTTGTGTGTCATGCTAAGGATTTAGCCTTACAGCCTCAGTGGTGAGCCTTTTTTTTTTTTTAACAATAGAAAGTGGCAGTAAAAGATACTTGCTAACTCAATAAAAGCGGGAGTCATCCAATTACTACTTTTGAAAAAAACTTACTTTTAACTTTCTAATTAAAGCATAACATGTATCATTCATATATTAAACTGCAAAAGTGTAAGTGTACAGTTTGGTGAATTTTTTTTGAGTGAACACACCTATGTCACCACCATAAAGATGAAGACATACAACTCTGTCATGATCTCAGAAACCTCCCTCAGGCCCCTTCCAGTCATCACCTTTTCAAAGGTAACCACAAGTATTAGTCTGTTCTCAGGTTGCTAATAAAGACATACCTGAGACTGGGGTGCAGTGGCTTACACCTGTAATGCCAGTACTTTGGGAGGCCCAGGCAGGTGGATCACGAGGTCAGGAGATCAAGACCATCCTGGCCAACATGGTGAAACCCCATTTCTCCTAAAAATATAAAAATTAGCTGGGTGTGGTGGCACGTGCCTGTAATCCCAGCTACTTAGGAGGCTGAGGCAGGAGAATCACTTGAACCAGGGAGTCAGAGGTTGCAGTGAGCTGAGAATGCACCACTGCACTCCAGACTGGCGACAGAGTGAGACTCCATCTCAAAAAACAAACAAACAAACAAAAAAGAGTAAAAAAGGTTTAATGGACTCACAGTTCCACATAGCCGGGGAGGACTCACAATCATGGCAGAAGGTGAAGGATGAGCAAAGGCACATCCTACACGGCAGCAGGCAAGAGAGCGTGTGTAGGGAACTCTCTTCTATAAAACCATCAAATCTCGTGAGACTTATTCACTATCACGAGAACAGCATGGGAAAAACCCACCCCCGTGATTCAATTACCTGCCACTGGATCCCTCCCGTGACATGTGGGGATTATGGGAGCTGCACTTCAAGATGAGACTTGGATGGTGACACGGCCAAACCATATCACCACCATCCTGGCTCAATATAGATTAGTTCACATCACCATCTATAGCTCAACAGAGATTAGTTAGTTCTGCCTGCTGTTGAACTTCATTTCCATAGGATATTCCCTTCCCTATCTGGCTTCTTTCATGCAATGTTATGCCTATTAAGTTTATCCATATTTTTGAGCATAATAACAGTTGCTTTTTTTTTTGCTATGTATTTGGTATATACATATGATATATGTGCCAAAATTTATCCATTTGTCCCTTGATGGACTTTTGAGTTGTTTCCAGTTTTTAGCTATTACAAAGTGTTATTCTGGACTTTCTTGTAAGAGCCTTTAGTGTACATGTGTATACATTTGTTTTAGTTATAGATCTGGAAGTAGGATTTCTAGGTCAAGAATGTTCAGCTTTACAGTGTGTGAGAATTCTGATTGCCACACGTCCTTGCTATTGTTATTATACTTACTTTTTAAATTCTAATTAATTTTCACATGTGTGTATAATAGTATCTGAATAATTTCCGTGTAGTTTTCCTTTGCATTTCCTTGATGACTAGTGATGCTAAAAACCTTTTAATATGTTTAGTGGTCATGTAGATATCCTCTTTTGTTAAAAGCCTGTTAAATATTTCCTCCATTGTTAGTTGGGTTCTCTGCCCTTTTGTTATATTTTTGTAGGAGTTGTTAACATGTCCTAGATAAATGTCCTGTAATAGACCCATATATTACAAAGATTTTTTTTCCACTGTATAGCCTGCCTTTTCACTTTCTCAATGATGTATTTTGATGAGCACAGGTTTTTACTTTTATTGAAGTCAAATTTATCTACCTTCTCATATACATTCATTAGAGAGACTGGCTTATAATTTTTCCTTCTTTCAATGTTTATGTCAGTTATTGCAAAGAAGATTATGTTGGCCTTCAGAAAGAAGCTGGAAAGCGTTTCATTTTTTTTCTATTTTACAGAAGAGTTTGCATAAGATTAGTGTATTTTCTTCTTTAAAAGTTTGGTGGAATTTACCATGAAGCCATCTGGACTTGGAATTATCTTAGGCTACAGAGTTTTCATTTAATAAATGTAGAACTTACCAGATTTTATATTTCTTTTTTTTTGGTATGCTTTGGTACACTGATTTTTTATTTATTTTACAGAATTTGCCAGTTTTAATTTTCAAATTAATTTTTATAAATGTATTAACAATGCCTTCTTCTTTTTTCTTATTCTTGAAAGATCTCTAGTGCTGTCTCCATTTGTTTAATTAGCCATAGTGTCTTTTCTTTTTTTTTTCTTAATTACCCTTACTAGGGACTATTGATATCAAGTTACAGAACTTTCAAAGAACAAACTTTATTGACTTATCCTCTTGCATGTCTACTTTCTATGTTATAAATTGTATTTTTGTTATTTCCTTCCCTCCATTTTATTAGAGTTAAATTTGGTGTTCTCTGATTTATATATGCATTCAAGGTTGTAAATCTTTCCTCTACTTTATCTGGATTCTCAAGTTTTGTTATGTTGTATTTCCATTATATTCCATTCAAACTATTTTCTACTTCTTACTATTATTTCTTATTTTACCCATGGAATATTTCAACATATATTGCATAGTTTCTAAATATGTGGGGATCCTTTAGTTTTTTTGTTATTAATTTCTGTTTTAAATTTAAAATGGTCAGAATATACAATCTGTATGATTTCTATCTTTTGAAACTTGTTTGGATGTACTCTATGACCAGCCTACAATATATTGATAAGTATTCCACGTGAACACTGCAGAATGCATACCCTTAGTTTTTGTAAATTTTGTTAGAACCAAATTTTGTTTAGTAAAATCTATATTACAGATTTTAGTGAAATTTTTATTACTCTTTTTTATATTTAGACTACTTGTTATATCAGCTATGTAGAAATGTGTTAAAGTTTTCAGCTATGATGATGGGTTTTTCTATTTTGACTACTTCTATTATATATATTAGTTTTATTTTATACACCAGTCACCCTCTTATCTGTAGTTTTGCTTTCTGTAGTTTTAGTTACCTATAGTCAATTGCAGTCTGAAAATATTACATGGAAAACTTCAGAAAGAAATAATTTGTAAGTTTTAAATTCTGAGCCATTCTGAGTAGTGTGACTAAATATCCTGCTGTCCTGTTCTGGACATGAATCATGGCTTTGTCCGGTGTATCCACACTGTACATACTATCCCATTAGTTACTCAGTAGCTGTGTAGTTATGTCAACTGCTGAGATATCAGTGCTTGTATGCAAGTAAGCTTTATTTTACTTAATGGCCCCAAAGTTCAAGATTAGTGATGCTGGCATATTACTGTAATTGTTCTATTTTACTATTCGTTATTGTTTTTAATCTCTGATTGTGTCCAATTTATAAATTAAACTTTGTCATATTTGCATATGTATAGGAAAAGCATACTATAGTCATGCGTTACTTAACAAGGATATGTTCTGAGAAATGCATTGTTAGTTGATTCTGGCATTGTGCAAACAATACACAGTGCACTTATATAAACCTAGATGGTATAGCTTACTACACACCTAGGAAATACGGTATAGCCTATTGTTCCTAGGCTATAAACCCGTACAGTATGTTACTGTGCTGAATACTGTATGCAGTTGTAACACAATGGTATTTGTGTATTTAAACATATCTAAACACAAAAAGTACAGTAAAAATATGGTATTATAATTTTATGAGATCACCATCACATATGTGGTCCGTCATTGACCAAAACGTTGTTATGTCACACGTGACTATATACATACACAGACTTTGCTACTATCAGAGGTTTCAGGTACCCGGTCGGGGTCTCGAAATGTGTTTCCCATAGATAAGGGGGGCTGCTGTATATGTTACTGGATGCATCCTAATTTGGAATTATTATATCTGCCTGCTGTATAGTTCTATAAATATGATATAGCGTTCTTTATCTGTAGCGATACTTCTCTCCTTAAAGTCTATTTCCTCTGATAATAGCATAGCTCTATCAACTTTCTCTTGGTTAATATTTACAGGATATATTTTCTTACTTTTTTTCATTTTCTATTTTTCTGTACCCTTCCATTCAAGGTCTATCTAATTTAAGAAACATATATCTATTGCTTTAAAATTCAGCCAATCTGTTTTCAATTGGTGTGTTTATCAATTTATGCTCCTGGGTTCTCATGTGCTTCTCCTATACTTCACTTTACCTTGATAAATCTTCTTACTGTGAATTGATCTTATCTGCATTATCCTAATGTGAGTGTGTCTTCTGATACCCCAGGAGAGAGGTTGTCTGAAAATGAAGACATATAGAAAGCCAAAAAAGAAAGAAGGGAAGAAAGGATAACAGAGTCCTAGTGACACCTCCCGAGACCTAATATTAAGGTTATGATACCTTTTTAACTCCTATATTAAGTTACAGCTAAAGCCAGAACTCTCCATCCCTAGGCATTTTAACAATGAATACCATATAAAGACATATTCTGTGGTCATTCTCACTTTATTAGATGATATTATTTAATTCTTACTATGTTCCAGGCATCTTTCTAAGAGCCTCACATGAATTATCTCATTCAACTCTAATTTAACTCCTGGAAATTCGTACTATTTTTATTCCCATTTCACCAACAGAAAAAGTTAGGCCTTCGAAAAGAATGTGTCCCAAACCACAAGGCTTATGGTCTCACTGCATTGCCTCTTTCACGGTCTTCTATCGTGGAAAGAATCACCAGAATATCTTTAGGCTTTGGCCCAATCTGTACAACCTATTTTACTTTCCCAATCACCGCTTTATAAAATAGCTTTTTTATTAATCATTGCTGATGATCTGTCTTTTCTATTTTGCTATTTAAGGTTTAATTTCTTTCTTTTTTTTTTTTTTTTTTTTTTTTTTTTGAGATAAAGTCTCGCCCTGTCACCCAGGCTGGAGTGCAATGGTGCGATCTTGGCTCACTGCAGTCTCTGTCTTCTGGGTTCAAGCAATTCTGCCTCAGCCTCCCGAGTAGCTGGGATTAAAGGCGCGCACCACCATGCCTGGCTAATTTTTGTATTTTTAGTAGAGACAGGGTTTCGCCATGTTGGCCTGGCTGGTCTTCAACTCGTGACCCCAGGTGATCTGCCCGCCTTGGCCTCCCAAACTGTTGGGATTACAGGCGTGAGCCACCACAACAGCCAAGGTTTTATTTCTGAAAGTTCCATTTTGGCTTTTCTAAATGTTCTTAAATGTTGTATAGTTTGTCATAACATATTTGCTATGAAAACATGATTGTGGTTTTCTGCCATGTATGGTGGAATTCAGGGACAGATGAAAATATATGAACCTGAATTGTTAATCTTACATCTTATTTCTATAGGATGGTGTGCTGCTTCTTGCCAAAGAAATGTTGACAGTCTGGATTTATAACAATGCATTCAAAAACCTTGAAGTTTTATAACAGAAAATAATGTATCATTAGGTGCTCTGAAAGGATAATGAGGCATTTACTACTTCTTGCTCATTTTGGTAAAGGTTTCTAAAAATAAATATTAAGTCGTATGGACATGGCATACGGATCATTCATGAAGTAAGCAGAGAATGCATGATATAGTTAGCTGCTTGAATTATTTCTCTATCAATTATTCATGCTTCTAATTTATCTAACCATTTTCCTTCTCTTACAATATCTGAATTATTCTCATTTCCACATGACATGAGAGAATTAATGTTAACAAGGACAAAGTTAACAACAAAAAAAAAATTAAATGGTTGGCCAAAGAAACCATAGTCCAAATAAATCAAGGAAAGAAAGACGCCTCAGAAAAGAGGGCTGTGTCTCTTAGGGGTAACAGACTCAAAGTTTTCGGTCTGTTTCCTACAGGGATTTGAACACTTCATCCTTCATAAGACAACAAATAATGTGATGGATAATACAAGTCATAACTAGAGTTACAGGGATGGTAGCAGGAGGTTCAGATCTGGCTGCTGTGGTCCATAAGCAGAGGTTTACTTAAGAGATCTTGCTCTAAGTGGGAACTTGGCATGTTTGTGAAGAATCCGGAGTGTCTTAATGAAATCCAGATAACAGAGCCACCCACATGCAATCATTGTAAATTATGGAATTTGCAAATCTTGTAAGTATATGATGTTTCTGTAGCATTATTTTCACCATGATTAATTACAGATCTCAAAGAAAGCAAAAATGAAAAGAAATTCCTAGTACCAGGTTTACCTATTGGTATCTAGCATTTGTTTGGCTAAAAATATACATTGTTACATAATAAATCAAGAGTTATTGGTTTTACTGATGCCACAGCTCTTAATCTGATCCTCATTCCTGTAAACCTATTGCAACCCACTTATGCCATCCCTTAGAGATAGATGTGGAAGGAAACATACCATTTTCAGTGAACATAGAAGATAAGCAGCTTACTTTGGTAGGAGAATCACATGAATGACAGGGAATTGTGAGGGCTGAAAGTGACAAAGCAGGTTGGGACTCATTTCGTTGTGGCTCAGTAAGCATGGGAAGACTGACAGCCTTTGAAGAGGGCATGATATGATCACAGTTATTCTTTGGGAAGTCAATTAGATAGTAACAGGCACGCAGATTGGATCACAGGAAAAGGGAGAAAGATAAACTTAAAAGAAAGTGGCCCTGTCTTGGCTGGATAAGAGGAAATGATGTTCAAACCAGTTGTGACCACTGTAATGAAGAGTTTGCAGGTAGAAACCACATGGGAGAGAGAGAAAGGATAAGAAGTACCACTGACCTCCCAGGTGGTGAGGAACTAAAGACAAATACAAGGTGGTGGGTTCAGGTGCATGGGAAGACGAGGATGGCACTGCAAGAAACCGTGCACTTAGGAAGATGAGGTAAGGAAGTAATGAGGTAATGAGGTACAGGTGTTCAGACTCACACAGTTAACCCCAGTATGAGCGTTCAGAAACACACAGTTAACCCCGAGAGGCAAGTGAAATGTACGGGTGGAGATGCGCTGTAGACACGATGGACCTGAGGTCAGAAATGAAGCTATAAATTTGGAGACATGCTGAAGAAGAGATCTTTAAAGCTGCTAGGTTGGATAAAATTGTTGAGGATGGTAGAAAACAGCAAAGGAAAATCAAGACAGGAAATGGACAGGCACTTCCAATGGCAGGAGGAATAAGAAGAAGAACTAGAGGAAGAAAATATATGGGTTTCTATACAGAAAGAGTGGGAGAACAAGGACAGTATGGTGTCTTAAACAGCAAACGGAAGAGCATTTCAAGGACTGCCAATGCTCTGCTGGGAATTAAAGTGGTTCAGCTGCTGTAGAAGACAGTTGGGTGACTTCTCAAAGAGTTGAATATAGAATTATCATATGAGCCAGCAATTCCACTCCTAGGGGACAGTTGGGTGGTTTCTCAAAGAGTTGAACATAGAATTATCATTTGAGCCAGCAATTCCACTCCTAGGTATAAACCCAAAAGCAAGTTATAACTAGAGTTATGGCGACAGTAGGCAGAAGGAGGCCCGGGTCTGGCTGCTGTGGTCAATAAGCAGGGTTTTTTTTAAGAGATCTTGCTCTAAGTGGAAACCTAGCATGTTTGTAAAGAATCCTGAGTATCTTAATGAAATCCAGATAAGAGAGCCACCCCCATTCAATCATCATAAATTATGTAATTTGTAAATCTTGCAAGTATACAACGTTTTTGTAGCATTATTATTACTAACAATTACTATTTTTGTAGCATCATCTTAATGAAATCCAGATAATAGAGCTGCCCACACTCAATCATTGTAAATTATGTAACTCATAAATCTTGTAAGTATGCAATGTTTTTGTGGCATTATTGTCACTGTATTTACAAATAAAAAATTAGTACTCAAATACATTTGCACACAGGTTGGTAGCAGTGTTGTTCATAACAGTCAAAAAAGCCCAAATGGCCATCAACAGATGAATGGGTAAACAATTTGTGGTCCATCCACATAAAGGAATATTGCTTATCCCTAAAAAGGAATGAAGTAGTGATACATGCTATAATGTGGATGAACCTTGCAACATTATGCAAAGTAAAAGAGGCCAGTCATTCACGCCTGTAATCCCAGCACTCTGGGAGGCTGAGGCAGGCGGATCACGAGGTCAGGAGATTGACACCATCCTGGCTAACACGGTGAAACCCGGTCTCTACTAAAAAATACAAAAAATTAGCTGGGTGTGGTGGTGGGCACCTGTAGTCCCAGCTACTCGGGAGGATGAGGCAGGAGAATGGCCTGAACCCAGGAGGTGGAGCTTGCAGTGAATAGAGATCGCACCACTGCACTCCAACCCCAACCTGGGCGACAGAGTGAGACTCTGTCTCAAAAAAAAAAAAAAAAAAAAAGAGGCCAGTCATAAATGCCCAAGTATTGTATGATTTCATTTATATTATATATAAAAATAGGTGATACATAAAGCCAGGAGCTGGGGAAGGGAGAACATGCTTAACAGGTATACAGTTTCCTTTTGGGTTAACAGAACCATTTTGGAACTAGATAAAGGTAGTGGTTGCACAACATTAGAAAGTAATTAAGTATCGCTTGCTTAATTTTATGTTATGTAAATTTTACCTCAATAAAATTAAAATTAAAAATTAATTGCTTCAGAGACTTCAAGCAGCCTCAGGACTAAGAAACAGTTGAGGGAAATCAGCTGTTCAGTTTCCACGACCTTCAAAAGAGAGAATTTTCACCAAAATGTTGAGGACAGGAGCTCCATTTCGGAGTATTAAGGTATGAACTTGCAAGGAAATAGAGATGTTGAGTGAAGATGGCTTTCAACAAGACTGGGGAAGGGAGGCAGCGATTTGAAGGAGAAATAATTTGGTTTCGCCTGGGAAGATTTGACCACGTTTGGAGGCTGGGGGAGGATTCACAGAGGAGGGAAAATTTAAGATGTAAGAGTGTGAGGGGAAATGCGAAATGAAGAAAGAGGCAGAAAAGAGTGAGTTCAAGGGTACAAGTGAAGGGATATGTCATGAAAAGGAGGAAGAATCGGTCTTTCTCTGAGAGGGAGGAAAGGAGTTAGGGGTACTCAGAGATGGAAAAGGGAACTGAAATGGATGGTATGAACTTTTCTCAGCAGAGGAACCCGCAAGGCCAGCTACAGAAAACTGTAGGCACTAGAGTACAACTTACTGCTTTAGGTAAATGGAAAAGCCTTAGAGTGGTGCTCAAGGTGAAGAGCAATAAATTAAAGATGAATAATTACAGGGTAGCAATAAGGGCAGGAACCTGCAGAGAGGGAGTTGGCACAGGTCCAGGAGCGTGAATACCTCATCAACCAAGTCATTTTCGTATCACCCCCATCCTGTGTTTCAGAAATTCTTTTGCCCATCTATTGGGCTTCATATTTATACCTGCTGAGTATCAATTTATTAATTTCAGTCAATCCTTATACATGCTTGAGTTCTTTTCAAAACTCAAGGCTATTGTACAATGGGAATACCTGAGTTATGAAAGTTTCAAAGTAACCAACTTGTGTTCATATCTTGGTCTCCATCACTGAGATGAAAGCAATTAAATTCAATTAGATTTCTGCATGCGGAAATCATTCTCCAGGACGACACAGATTATATTTTAACCCTTTTGGATACAGCTATTCAACCAACCTGAATCTACTTTACTGTAATAATATTCAGTTCATATTTTTCTATTGTGACAAAAAAGATAACATATTTTGTTAAATGTTTTTTTGAGGAGTCTGAGTGCAAAAATATGTCTCCAAAATATTCTAGATGTATGACCCTGTGCTGGTCACACATAGTCTCCCCGTCTTCCTTTATTCACCTGTAAAATGAAGATAAAATAGGACCTATATTATAGAGTTATTATAAAGATTATATGACTTAATGTAAGAAATGCACTTAAAGTGGTGCCCCGCACAACGTTTGAGCTAAATAAATTGACTACGATCTGCATTATTAATATCAATATTCATTCTGTCTCCAGCATTTGCTAAGTCATTAAGAAATTATTTATTCACAGCCAGATATTGTAAGTGCTAGATTTATAGCAACGAACAAGTCAGTCAAATCTCTGCCATTATGGAGCATATTATTTTATTTATGCAGAATTTGGGAAAATACAGGGAGCTTTTTTTCTGTTTGTATTTTAAAAATTCAGTTTTTAGGTCTTCTTTCTTATCCTCCCCTTCCATGCAGAGAAAATATTACGCAAAGGCCTGAGGGAAAGAGGAAATTACAGATAACAAGGTAAATAAGACTGGTGGTCACGCTCTTACAGACTAGGCTTTGTTAACAAGGGCCAAATCGAATAAGGGACTTGGAATAAAAAAGCACTCAAGTCTCAATTATCTGTGTTAACCACGGTTTACGAGAATGGACAATGCAAGGACAGAAATAATGCATTTTGATTAGATGACTTAAATTCACAGCAGAGGCCTTTACCAAAAAAATAAATAAATAAATAAATACACAGGCCTCTGGAGTAAGAGTGAGGGGCAGGAGGTGGTCTTCAGATAAAGTCTGCTTATAGTCTGCAGACCTTTCCTTGGGTCTCACGGAGAACTACTACTGTTTAAAGCTTTATATCTTCAAAGGAAGGAAGTTGTAAAAAGTTGCTGTCAAAGGAATCCTAATTTGCCTGACTCGATGAAGGGGTTGGTTGACAGTGCACATTCTCTGTCAAAGGATTTGCTGCAGAAAGATAGACAGTTGAGGAAACCATCTGATTTCCATAAACAGCTGGGAGGCAGGAGACACAGTGTAGCCATCGGGGAAAGGGAAAGCCCTCTCTTGGATCTCATGTCCAGTCTTCTCTGATTGGCAGAAGACAGAAAGAGCAGCAGGAAGGATTTCACAATCCTCCCTTCTGAATTGTTTGTAACAAGGTTGGAGAGGAAGGGTGGCACCAGGGTCAGAGCAACAATCTCAGGCCAACTGAAGGCAGCCTCACTATCTAGGAGGCATTCTGGGGCTGTTGCTTGGAAGACAGTCTGAAGTTTTTTGAGCCCTTTTGCCTCTGAGTAGCCCTCAAATATCTGTAGTTACTCCTTCCCCTAGGGAAGCACCTGCTCTGTTAAAGGCCTTCCCAGTGGGCTATTTCCTCCAGTCTTTGAAGACAAGGAATTGCTAAGAGCTATAAGATGTGATTTTTGTTTGCATTTGAAATTTTCCTGCCTATGTTTTAATGTATTGATGTATAAAATTCTCAAAACATATATGGGATATTATTTAAAAGTTTTCTTTTCTTTTCTTTTTCTATCCTTTTTCTTAGAGAATTGACTTTCTTTGTGTGATAGAGAAAGAAAAATAAGTGTTTGCCAAATTGGTTTTCTGCTGGAAGAAAAACAGTTGTCTTATGTTTTGATGGCCGCCTACATACAATATTTGTTTTTTGATGGTTGCTACTTCCTACCTAATTAAGAAAGATAGAAGCAATTCAGCAAATAACAATATCTGCCACTGCTATGGGCCCCAGTGAGATGAAGGCTTTCCTCTTATTTTTTAAATGTGGCACTTCTAAGGGGTATGGACCAGAGGAAAAGAGGTTTCTATTTATTTATTAGAAGCCATCAAAAAAAGACAACATCAACTATGATGAGATTAGGCCTTGAGACTAGACTTGGCTTTGCTTAAACAAGCAATTGGGCTGAGAATCAAACAGCACCAACAGTCTGGCCCAACAGCAGATGCCACCCTGGCAACTATCACACATCACTCCCAGGCCAAAGGGTCCAAAAGTCCACAGGCATCTGCCCAACATGGGTAGACTGGAGGATGTATTTGGCTAGGGCCAAATAGGCTAATTTTTCTACAAACATTCAGGCTTCTGCCTGAAAACTTTGGATGAGACCATGTAATTTGATCATCCCATGTGCTGGGTGGAAAAAGACTGAATAAATGGTACCTCTTCCCCTGTTTCTTTACTGCCTAAGTTTTGGGTGTTGAGAACAGAGAATCAAATAGAGAAAATCCATGGTCTTTATCAAACACTGTATTTTCTCATCATTGGAGATGTTTTTTTCCCTTGAGAAATGCAGACCCATCTTTTTTTTTTTTTTTTTTTTTTTTTAAAGGAATCTTGATCTGTCGCCCAGACTACACTGCAGTGGCGTGATCTTGGATCACTGTGACCTCTGCCTCCTGAGTTCGAGCGATTCTCCTGCCTCAGCCTCCCAAGTAGCTGGGATTACAGGCACCTGCCACCACGCCTGGATAATTTTTGTATTTTTAGTAGAGATAGGGTTTCACCATCTTGGCCAGGCTGGTCTTGAACTCCTGATATCGTGATCCACCTGCCTCAGTCTCCCAAAGTGCTAGGATTACAGGTTTGAGCCATCGCCCCCAGCCAACCCATCTCTTACAGAGAGACTTGGCAGACATTTACATTTGGAAATCTCATGCTATTTCCATGAGATTCTACTTCCAAAGGTTCTGTTCACGAGGAAAGTTTTATTAATGGGTCATGATGACACAGGACTTGTCTACTTGCCTAAAATTTCTCTGGGAGTTTTGCATAGTTTTGTATTAATTTTTATTGCTAACTACTTTGAGATTACTCTATGTCATTTAATCTCTAATAGGAGTCATGCCGACCGCAAAGCCGGCAGTGACCAAGTATCTCCATGTGAATCTCTCTGGGAGTTGCAGATAAGAGAGGAATTGTAAAAAGAGGTTATCATCCCTATATTTACATTTAGAATTGACTAGTATTTGATTTATGGTAATAACAAGAGATAGGAGGGTAGAAGCATATCAGAGAGCCTAGAAAATGTACATTTTATTACATTATCTTGTTCTATCCTATATACTAGCTGGAAATTTACCTCTGACAACACTATATTCCATCTATGTGAAAGCCCCGAGCAGCTGCTGGGGAGCTAACTATGGCTGCAGCGATGCACTTGGGAAAGCCTGTGGATGGCCGCACTGGCTGCCACTCAACCAACTCCACGACCGCGACCTAAGACCCACCTCTGAGTCTCACTGTCCTCACTCAGAAAACGAAAAACACACCATCTGCATCCAGGCATTGTTGTGAGCTTAAATCGGGTAATGCATATATAAACAAAGTTGTAAATTATAGTTTTAAAAATATAAACGCAAGACGTTTTCTCTAGCCTATGGGACTATGAAGATGAATGAGATCAGGTCCCTGGCCTGGGAGAAATTTACATTTAGACACCTCGTGCTGTTTCCACAAGGTTCTTTTTGTAAAGGTTCTATTCACAGGAAAAGTTTTTAAAATGTGTCATGACAATACAGGGCTTGCCCACCTTCCTAAAATTTCTTTAGGAGTTTTGCTCAGCTCTGGATTTATTTTTTATTACTAACAACTTTTTAATTTCCTATGCTATTTCAGGAAATTTACTGAAAAATAGAAAAGCACAATAGTTCTGCCATAAATGTCAGTATTAGCAAAATAGCAATGACTCCACAAAATCAGAAGGCCCAGCTCAACTTCCAGTCCTGCCACTTACTGATGGATGATGGCACTGGTTAAGTTACTTAACTTTTCTGAGCCTGAGCTACTTCTGCATCTGGAATATAGGAACAGGCTAGCTATAGGAGAAAAACAGATGGATGTGTGAGGGGCTCTAAGGCCAAAGGCAATGTTCTAACATGTGGTAGGAACTCAGTGAATGATCCTTTCCATCCTTTCAAAAAATGCAATATTCCTGTAGAACTGTAGAGCATCCTATCTAATCCTTAGCTATTCACTGCTTGTGCTTATTAAGTACTTAAAAATTAAATACTCTAAATTGAGATGTGCCTTAAGCATAAAATATATACTACATTTCAATGACTTAATATGAAAAGAAGAATGTAAAAAGGTATCTTATGAATAATGTTCATATTGATTTTTTTTTTTTTTTGAGATAGAGTCACACTTGCTCCGTTGCCCAGACTAGAGTGCAATGGCATGACCTAGCAGTTCCCCTGCCTCAGCCTCCTGAGTAGCTGGGATTACAGGCATGCACCACCATGCCCAGCTAATTTTTGTATTTTTAGTAGAGATGTGGTTTCACCATCCTGGCCAGGCTGGTCTCAAACTCCGGGCCTCAAGTGATCCGCCTGCCTTGGCCTCTTAAAGTGCTGGGATTACAGGTGTGAGCCATTGTGCCTGGCCTTGATTACTTGTTGAAATGATAATATGTTAGATATATCTGTTATACATACACACACACACACACACACACACACACACACACACACTCATATATACAGTTATTATATAAATTATTAAAGTTAATTTCACTGGTTTCGTTTTTTAACATGACTATAAGAAAACTTTAAATGACATACGTGGCTTTCATTACATTTCTATTGGACCATGCTCCTGTATAAAATAAAATTTAGAATTTTCAAAAGCCAAAAAGAAGCCATTTTTAGTTATCTATACTTTCTATGGGATCAGTTTTTCCCCCAAGAATTTCAATTAAAATTAATCTCCAGAATATAGTTTTCTTAGATTCTGATCCTTAAAGTAATCTGTTATCTATTTAAATTAATGAATTGAAGGATGTCTTTTTATCTATATATGAATAGTATCCTGGAGCTAAGAGCCACATAAACATAACAATTTAGGCATGTGTCAAGATGTAACAGCCTATTATTGAATTCTAGGCCCAATTCTTGGATCCGTACAATAATTTTCAAGCTATATATTTTCTCCACTTTAGGTGACAGTTAAATGGATACTAACTTTCCTTAACAGTACCTGGGGAGGCTTTTGCCATGGAGCATGGTACTTCACAGGTTTTTTGAAGTTATCACACTTGTTAAATCAGGGCATATTAAGTGTCCACATCTTTAACTCATCATTTCTTTATGGTCACAGCAAATGTGCAGATTCATTCTCCACTGGGATTGTTGTAAAACATATTTCATGTAAGCAGGATCGATATAATCACCCAAGTCAACAGATTCCATGTCACTCCCAGTCAATGTGAGACGGTTTAGAGACAAGGTAATTAATTTACCACGAGCTTGTTGCTCTCATTTTCAGGAATTATTTAGAGCAGCAGTCCCCAGCCTTTTTCGGCACCACAGACCCGTTTCATGGAAGACAATTTTTCCATGGACTGAGGGTGTTCATGGTGGCGGTTTTGGGATGATTCAAGTGCATTACATTTATCATGCACTTTATTTCTATTATTAGTTAATTGTAATATACAATGAGATAAGTATACAACGCACCATAATGTAGAATCCATGGGAGCCCTCAGCTTGTTTTCCTGCGACTACATGGTCCTGTCTCGGGGTGATGGGAGACAGTGACAGATCATCAGGCATTAGATTCTCATAAGGAGGGTGCAACCTAGATCTCTTGCATGTGCAATTTACAATAGGGTTCACACTCCTATGAGAATCTGATGCTGCTACTGATCTGACAGCAGGCAGTGCTCAGGCAGTAATGTGGGGAATGGGGAGTGGCTATAAATACAGATGAAGCTTTGCTTGCTCACCTGCCACTCACTTCTTGCAGTGCAGCCCGGTTTCTAACAGGCCACGGACTGGTACTCAGACAGGTGGGTGGGGGACACTCTTGTTTTAAAGAAATAAAGTAAAGTCACATGTCTGCAGCGTGTCGGGTGTCTTGAAGGTTAGATGGCATCATGGCCAAAACAAACAGAGGATTCAAACAGTTGGCTCAGAGTAGAAAAAAATTGCAGTTTACATCAGTAACAAATGTGCAAAAGTATTTTTGTCTAGAACGTGTGAGATCAGGAAAGAGGGGAAAAATGTATAGAAGTGATAGCAACTTACTGGCTACTTCACTTAAGAATAATTGATCAGTGATTAAGAATCATCCATTAGCAAGGCACTGAATGAAGCATGACATTTGTTTTATTAAATGTGTCTCATGATGGCATCCACACAAGGCCAGAGTATTATGTCCATTGTACAGATGAGAAAACTGAACCTCAGAGAAGTTACGTAACTTTTCAGTATCATGTGGCTGAAAAATGTGTGATTCGTTTCTGATTTTTGGTCATTTCAGGTACCTCTTAGTATCATCCACAAAAATTTTCGCTAAATATCCCCATGAATGTATGTGTGTAGAAACAGGGGGCAATTAGCTCCAGGTTTTCCTCAAGGTACTTACCAAATAATTCCTGAGATTCTGATAGGTAGTGGATTTAAAAGTTGTAACCACCCAATGCAGTAAGAGACGTATTAGCAGGGTCGTTGGCTTTTGGGCAATTGACGATATATTTTATATTTTTATTAAAAAAATTAAAAACAAAAACAACTGTTTCTCCCAAGTGGCTCCTTCTACTGATTGCTCCTTTTATTTTTTTTTTGGAACCATTTCCATCCTGATTCTTGAAACTGGATTAGGAGCCAAAATTACGTCTTTTAAATTGCATGTTTGCAACGATGATGAACAAGCATGATAAACGAGCCTTAAATTTAGCCTTTTCAGCTTCTGTCATAACTTTTCTTCTTTGTTTTATTTTTAAGAAATTCTTGTAATGACAAAAAAGGGAAAAATATTTTTTTGCATTTAATTGAAGCAACTTGATTAAGAGACCAGTTTCCCTTTATTGAGGCAACTTGTATTGACTTCCAGTTAAGAAGGGTAAATTGTTCATAATGAACTTTTAAATACTGCCAGGTCTTTTGGAGTTTGTTAAGTGGACCTGTAGAAATAATTTCTTCTCTAGGAAGTTTAGTCAGTGCTTCCTATACAGTGAGCACCTGAGGAATAAGAGTGGTGATGGTGTAAGTTCGCCCATAATCCTGAATATATACAGGTTACAGAAATCATAGAATTTGGTCATGTTGGGCATGGATGGAGGACTGGGTCACCTCAGTTTGCCTCGTTCATTAGCTGAACATTTATCATAGGTCTGGATTTAACAATGCAATCACTATGAATAACTCCAGTTTGTTGTGAGACACTGACTGTCCCAAGTACTTTGGATGCTGTGATGGCTAATATTGATTGTCAACTCGATTGGATTGAAGGATGCAAAATATTGTTCCCCGGTGTTTCTGTGAGGGTGTTGCCAAAGGATATTAACATGTGAGTCAGTAGACTGGGAGAGGCAGACCCACCCTCAGTCTGGGTGGGCATCAACTAATCAGCTGCCAGCATAAAACCAGGCATGGAAAGAGCAGACTGGCTGAGTCTCTGGCCTCCATCTTTCTCCCATGTTGGATGCTTCCTGGCCTCGAACATCACACTCCAAGTTCTTCAGCTTTTGGACTGTTGGACTTACACCAGAGATTTGCCAGAAGCTCTGGGGCCTTCGGCCACAGACTGAAGGCTGCACCATCACCTTCCCTACTTTTGAGGTTTTGTGACTCAGACTGACTTCCTGGCTTCTCAGCCTGCAGATGGCCTACGATGGGACTTTACCTTGTGATGATGTGAGTCAATTCTCCTAATAAACTCCCCTTCATATATTCATCTATCACATTAGTTCTGTGTCTTTAAAGAACCTTGACTAATACACACGTGTTGATTCATTGAATCCTCACAGCATCCCCATGAGGTTCACACAATTATGAACCCCTTTTCCAGCTGAGGAACCTGGAGCAGAGGTAGTAAATGCAGCACTGGGATTCATGCCAAGGTGGTCTGGCCCCAGAGTGATCTTAGTGTGCTGCATGGGAGCGAGGGCCTTCAGCTCAGGAGCTCAGCATTAAGACAGGCACAAGCAGAAGAAAGCAGACTGTTTTGTTTAGTACTATGAGTAGAGAGAGCCAGGCAGGTGTCTACAGGAGCCTGGAGAAAGAACACCTAGCCAGCTGGGGGATATTCAGAGAGCTGTTCCCAAAGAAGGAAAATCTTGGCTGGTTCTGAAGCATCAATGGTGCTGACCATAGGGTAGGTGGAACCTCAGTGGAAGGAACAATGTCCAGACAGAGGAGTAGCCAGTGTGAAGGGATGGGAAAGCTTGGCCAATTCAAGAAACCACAAGTGATTTGGTATTGAAGGAGGGAGAGTTCAATGTAGGGTGTGAGAGGGGTAACTCGCTCCACTCATCCATGTATTCAAAAGGCATCCACTGAATACTCTGCGCCAGGCACTGGGCAGGGTGCTGAGGATAGAGTGGTGAACACACAGGAAGGAAGAAGGGAAAGAAACAAGGAAGGGAGGGAGGCAGGGAAGAGACTGTTCCTATATTCATCCAAGGCGGACATTAAACACCTGAACAAGAAAGTAAATACATAATTACAAATTGAGAAGAAGCCTAGGAAGGAAAAGCACTGATGCCAAGAGTGAGACCAGTAGGGGAGATCCTTTCTTGGGATGGGGACAAGAGGCGAGGGTGACAGGAAGGGAAGGCTCTTGGAGAAGGTGACAATTCCGCAGGTCAAGCCACTTAGAGATGAGCAGGAATGAGACTTGAAAGAAGGCTGCAGAGATCAGTCAGGCTAAACCACAAAGGACCTTTTCAGACATATGCTGTCTTTAGAATTTATCCCCAAGGCCAGGTGAGCTGATCAGGAAGTGAGAGCCTATTAAGCAGAGGAGCGAAGTGATCAGGTGCATTTGAGGAATAACTCCAGACTGGGAGCAGTGAAGCTGGATCCAAGCGTATATAGCCTGTGGCCCTCATAACTCTCCGTGGGAACCTGGGCCATGGGAGACTTTTGCTTTGTTCATAAGGACCAGCTGCCTGGCCGTAGGCATCTAAATTCTACCACTGTTTAGTGTGTGGGCTTCCATGTTTCAAGACGAAGCCTGGAGGTACAGTATCTTTAGTTCCCAAACCCAATGTCAGAATAAATTCCTCTAAGCCCCTTGATGTCACTTCCCAACCTGACTTCATCAAGTTCGTTAACTGATGTCAGAATTACTTGCCATGATCTATAATCAGGCAAGCTACAAGTTCTTAACTCAGAAAGAAAGAGTAAGTATGGTGTTTTTACTTTGTGAGTGTTTTCGTTGGCCAGGCCAGAAAATGAAGTTGTTGAATCCCATTTATATGGCAGATAAAGACATTTCTGCGTGAGGAACGAAGCATGGAGCTTTTCTGTGTAAACTTTTGAAACTACATACAAGGCGAACACGCATGTGTGCACACAAACACACACACGCAGACCCCTCATCCACTGTTTTTCGTTTCATCCTTGTTGGGCCATGAGAAACAGCAGATTTGGTGGGGAAAAGTCATGATTCTGTCCAGACATAACTTGGTGTGTCAAGTTCATCATGACCTTCCACAGACAGGAGAGCCCTTTTGTGCACGGAAGGTTAACCTCACTATCTTCCATAACAATTTGTCAGAGCCTGTCAAAAGACTTGGAATTAAACTGCTCTTCTGCCTACTCAGATCTAAGGTGATCTTACATAAGCCAGGCAGGTACTAGATTCTGGGAAGCCCATTAAAAATGCAGAAATAGCTTGTGAGTCTATAATTAAGTCATTAACAATCAGACCTCACAGATTTGGGGTATATGTTTTGCAGGTGAGACAGGGTCATAAGTAGCAGGTAAAAATAAGAGAGGCCAGGCTCCTTTTATTAAAGAAGAGCCAGGCTCCAGTTACCACAGCTAAAATAGGCTTAACTGTGATTATATTTGCCTTAGAGAATCTTTCCTTCCAAAACACAGTGACATGAAATGAGCAAGTGTGAAATCGCCCCTGTTTTGGTTAGGCTGGCGGTCCCACCTACCTCTCTGAGCATGCCTTCCCTTTCTTTTCATTGGCTTTACTTTCTCTTCCTGTTCCCCATCTCTGGCTTCTGTCTCAGGGCCTCAGTGAATACACTTAGCCCTCAGTTCCTTATCCTTCCTCCTGAGGTTCCAAAATTATACCATTGATGGGAACTGTCCCTTGATGTCTGGTGCTATGCCCAGGAGAACAACTCTGTGACACAGACTGTTCTTATCCCTATTTGATAGATGAGGATATTGGGATTCAGATAATTGAGTCACTTGCCCAAGTCACACAATGAGTAAGTGGCATAGCAGAAATTTGAACCCACTCATGTCCAACATAAGCCAAAACTCCCACCACTATGCTGTTCTTCCTTCAAATTTGTACTCTAGCAGCCAGTCCCACATTGTCCATTGACTCCTGGACATCTCTATAAAGATGTCCCTAGGAGCATATAAATCAACACACTCAAGCCTGACTAGACGTCTTTCCCTAACATTTCTTTCCTGACTGGTCCAATTCATCTCCATCCTCCAGGCTAGACAATCTGGAATCATCCAGATACGGGATCCTGGCTCTTTCTTCCTTTCTGGCAAATCTTGCTTCTGGTTTCCCTCCATTGCTCCCATGTTGCTCTAACTGATGCTCTCATCTCCTAGACCCATGGGCAATGGCAGCAGCCTCCCCAGTGGCACAGCCTTCTAGCAGCAAAGTGGCAGGAAGGAGAATGGGTATTTAGGCAGAGGCCAGAATTTCAATCTCATTTTTGTCAGTTTCAAGTTAGAGTCTCTTGGCAAGGTTCCCATATCTGCAGGAAGGGGTAATCTCGGTAACCCCACAGGGAGGTTGTGAGAATTAGAAATAACATAGGCTAAACATAGACTAAGATGCATGACCGTAAGAAAGCTCCATGAAATCAATTCTCAAAAAATAGTAGTAGCTATTATTTCAACTAGTAGCTCTAGTCTCTCCCTACTCCAGTCAAGGCTCCTGGATGAACACCACCAAGGACTATTTTTATCCTGCCTGTTTCTCTGCTTAAGAACCTACAGTGGCTCCATAGCTCCTGTCATATCAATCTAGAATCCCTCCTCCTGGTCTTCAGATGCTGTCTCCATCCTGTCTGCCCACATGTTCCCATGCTTTTATTTAGCATTCCCTTTCTGTTCCAGCTTCCTCTGGCCAAGAAAAGTGGACCCTGGGATGCTGGACCCTGGCTTGTGTGGGGTGTATGGGTGTGCAGGCTAATCCTTGAGGTGGAGCCAAATCATCTCCGGGAACTGCAGATTTCCTGCCTGAGAATGAGAAGATGAATTGCATCTAGGCTGCACGACAAGATCACCAACCAAAGGGCTGGGAAGAAGCAGAACACAGGGTGCAAGGGAGAGGGATGCAGAGTGGGAGCCAGATATCAAGGGTCAGAATTTACAGGCAGCCACAGGAGTGTTCTATCAGGTTCAGCCACGGGAAGAGGGAAAGTGGGAAGGGCACTGAGCTGGTCCTGACAATCTGGCATTCTGGGTTGCAGGCCTTGCTTGCCTCTGTTGTAACTGCATTTGTGGGAGTGAACATTGTGCAGGTTTACTCTGTTCCAGATGGTGAGCCAATAGAACCTACTGTTAAAGCAGAGAGCTCCAGGTTGGGCACTGCGGCTCACACCTATAATCCCAGCACTTTGGGAGGCTGAGGCAGGAGGATCACTTAAGGTCAGGAATTCAACACCAGCCTGGCCAACACGGTGAAATCCCATCTCTACTAAAGATACAAAAAGTAGCCAGGTGTGGTGGTGGGTGCCTGTAATCTCAGCCACTCAGAAGGCTGAGGCAGGAGAATCACTTGAACCCAGGAGGTGGAGGTTGCAGTGAGCTGAGATTGTACCATTGCACTCCAGCCTGTGAGACAGGACTGAGACCCTATCTCAAAAAAAAAAAAAAAAAAAAAAAGAGGAGAGCTCCAGAGCCAGAGCCATGCTGCTAAGGTCTGAGGCCCTCTTCCGCCACCTACTAGCTAAGTGTCCAGAGCAAGAAACAGCCCCATTGTGTCTCAGTCTCCTCACCCAGTAGATGCAAATGATAACAGCACCAGTAACAGTAACAGCTTCCCTTAGCATACTGTTGTGAGGATGAAAGACTTGAATAAACCCAGGGTTTAGCACATAGTAAGTATTACGTAAGCATCAGTGTTGGTCATTGCTGTAGCATCAGCTGAGTGCTATACATTACTGCTACATGTATCGTCTCATTGAATCCACAGGAAGATCCAAACAAGTCTATTATCCCTATGTTACAGACGAAAAAATCAAAACTACATAGAGGCTCAGGAGGTAAAGCAATTGACTGAAGGTAACACAGCTTAGAAGAGAAACACCATGAAGACAGGCCAACATTTCCCTCGTAGACCCTCCCAACTATGCACAATGACCCGTCCTTCAAAGTCCAGCTCATGCAGGGGTTGGAGGCACGGACTCAGGGGCCAGGCTGCCCAGGCTCAAGTCTCACTTCCATCCAGCTTGTTATTCATTTTTAGACCTTGGAAATGTCACTTGGCTCTTTGTGCCTCAGTTCCTCCATCAGTAAAATCAGTAAAAACTCACTATGAGGCAGAACACAGTAGCATCTGCCTCCAGTTGCTAAGGAGGTTACGTGAGTCAGCATTTGTAGCCCATGGAGCAACACCTGGCACATGGTTGGTGCTTTGAGGACCAGCCCAGCTCCCCTTGACCTCTCCCCTCTCCAAATGCAGAGATCATCCATCACTGTTAGCTCCCCGCCTGGTACCCAAGCATCAATGCACACATTCGTATTCCCTCCCCAACAGGAGCTGAGCTGACTCAGGCACTCACTGATTTTCTTCTCTAGCAGCTGGCCCACTTGGCTGCACACAGTAGGACCTGCAAACATACCACGTGCATATCCATTGAGGTATGTGCTCTCTTCAGAGGGATTCTTTTGCTATCTATTTTGTTTTCCTTCATTTTCTTTTTATTTTTTTTTCCTTTTTTGAGGCGTTTTTATGAAGGACACAGCTACACATCTTCACAAAGCCTTTTTTCAAATCTCATAAAATTACTGGACGTGGGAGATGAATGCCCCATTCTGCTGAAGTCTGGCAAACTGAAGGACACGGCAGCCTCCGCCCCCTTTATAAGAAGCAAAAACAATCACAGGCAAGTTTTGTCGAAAATGCGTACAGACAGCAGCAAGCGAGAAACAGCCAGGACTCAGGGGAGCTTTGTCTCTGGATGGCATCTCACAGAAACTTGAGGTACAAACAATGCGTGGCTGAGTTTTCATAATGAACCCAGCTCTCCCAGGCCCTCAAGGTGGGGTTGGTCCCGAGAACCTGCCCAGAAGATCTTCTGCTCTCTTTGAAGCAAAATACGATGACAGTATCTTTTCCAGATAGAAAGATGAGCCACCATTCACGAAGAACAATCGCCATCTAAATGCATTCAAGCCCATGGGCAAACCCCCTCACCATACCATTTCCATGTTTCTATGGAACATTGTTTTTGCTGTATATCCTGGCAACTTTGTTGCTTTAGATATTTGCCACATAATTTATATCACAGATTAGTGAGATGCTGTGACCATTGGTCATGGCTAAGTAAGAGAAAAGCTTGCCTTTGTGGTGTCAATGGATTTCCACACTGGTATGAATTCACCAATATCCAGTTTCCTCTGAAACATGACTGACGTGCCGTACATTCGTTTTTAGGTTGCCATCTATCCTTAACTCACAGCTTCACAGATGCTGAAGGGGAATTGTGAAGTTCATCCAGCCCAGGAATGGCAGATAGGTTCCACCCTCAGAAACACCACTAAATGATCAATTGATAGTAGGTTCCAGAAGCATTGCAGTGAGAAGGATACTCAGGCTAAGCCAGGGGTTATTAGCAATATCTGCCACGAGCACGGTGACAGTAGGGTGGCACATGAGCCACTTATTTGCCACTGCAGGCTGTTTAACCTCGCTATTCTGCAGATAAAGAAGCTATATGATGCTCTCAAGATCACACAGACAGCACTGGCGGGAAGGTAACTCTCACATTGCCAGTTGTACTGTCTCTGCTCCCAGCTGTGTGACCCACACTCGCTCCACCACTGAACAAAATGAGTAGATCAAGCAGGGATGTGGCTAATATGGCAGGTGGAGAAAAGGGATGTGAATTAGGGGCTGTGAAAAATCGAGGAAGACCAAGCTCGCAGGTAGGAGAGAAGGCTAGGCATGCCAAGCAGGGGCATGCCATCATTAAGTCATTGTTTGGCTGGAATCCTGCTGTGTGTCTTGCCCTCCTTTTCTCACGAAGGTGGAGTCCCTGAGCTCCTGGTGAAGAAGGCAGGAGTCAGTAGTAGCAAAAAGTCTCCGAATGGCACAATCGGGAAGCCTGAATGGCAGTTTGTGACACTTATAAAGTGTATGCATATGTGTGGGAGTGCAGGGATCTGCATGCATGTGCCTGTGGAAGGGAACAAGCACTGCTGCCTGGCAAACGAGAAGCACGATATGCAATTACACACACATATAATACAGATATACCATGTGTATGTATATACACACATACATATACACAGTATATGCGCATATATAGTATGTGTATGCCTGTACATACGTATACACATATACACACATATATATACTGAAGTCACCAAAAGTCATTGGGAAACAAAACAAAACAACAGAAGGACCATGAGTAGGTTGGGCAGCTTATCTCTGAGATACCTATGACCTGTTAAATGCAAATGTATACATATAGACATACATATACACCGTATATATATACAGAACCGTAAACAATTACATATACATATATACATATACACACATAGATATACTGAAGTCACTGAAGGTCAATGGGAAACAAAACAAAACAACAGGAGGAGCATGAGTAGGTTGGGCAGGTTAGCTTTGAGATATCTTTGATATATTAAATGTGGATGTATACATATGTGTATACATTACATGCACATATACCATATGTATGTGTACATATACACATAAGTATATGGTACATATGCCTGTATATGGTATACACATACATGTACAACATATACACATACAGCACCATATACATACATGTGGTATATGTGCATGTAATATATACATGTACACATATGTACACATACACATACACCGTATATGTATACAGCACAATATGCAGCACCATATACAATTCTAGTGGGTCACCTTTTCTGGTCTATCCACCATCCATTTCCTTTCCTCTGAAAACAGCTCCTTAATTTACTTTGAGGAACTACATTTCTTTCACTCTCAGTCCATGAGTTTTCAGGTGAATAGGGCTGACTCTGCCCTGGCTTCAGGAAAAGAAATGTGACCGAGACGTGGCCAACCAGAACATCACAACCCAATGGACACCATGTTTAGTTCAGGGGTGGACACATGATCTAACCTACGAGACTGAATTCCAAGGTTTTGCTAGCATCGTCTTGAAGAGATGCTTTCTCAGGCGACTTCAGACCAGCAGAAAGAGGGTAGTTGCTGAGACCTCCACCTTGGGAGGCAGGGAGAGATGTGACTGTCTCAATACATCTAATAAAAGGAAAATGGAGCCACGAGATGCACAGGGATTAAAGCTGATTTGGACAGCTTCAGCCACGCCTGAAGGCAGAAGTATCCCTAAAATAGTTCCATGAATTAATCCACGAACTATGCCTCAATTAGTTACATGAATCAATTAATTCCCGCTGCCCCTCATCTACATTTTTAGAGTTGGATTTCTGTCATTTGCAACAACAATAACAAAAGGAATCTTAGCCAACATAATAAATTAAAGACCCATTTTCCACATAAGACAGACAGAACCTAATGTCCTCCTTGAACCCAAGTTATCTCAAACAGATGTGTTACCTGCAAGGAGCCCTGGATGTCTTTCCCCCCGACAATCACGAGTTCTGCCATATCTTCCGCATGGGGGGTCCGTGCATGGACGAACAGAGTTTTGCCCACTGCAGTTATGTTTCTCAGAGCAACTAAGCCGCCATCGCTGTTCACCTTGAAGTATGGGCTCGAGACCTCATAGCGTAGCTTGTCGTTTCCCTTACAGTCACTGAAGGTCACTGGGAAACAAACGAAACAACAGAAGGAGCATGAGTAGGTTGGGCAGCTTATCTCTGAGATATCTCTGACCTATTAAGTGTGAATTACCACATAGTTTCCCAACCCAGAGTTCACAAATGTTACGTTTTATCCCACAGCAAGATGCCTGTGCCCAAGTGACTTTGTGCTGATGGACTTCACTCAATCAAGACATGTCCTTGACGAACTCGCATGTTCCAGGCAGGTGCTAAGCTCTGAGTGTGCACACTTGAGTGCCTTCTCAGTGGAGTGAAGAGTCAGATCTGGCAGAGTGACATTTGAGGGAAGTGATCTAATCCTGGCATGTGTGGGTGACTGAGCAGAACCACAGGGTGCTCAGGACCATTGAGGAGAGCTGCACAGAGTCAATATTTGAGCTGGGTATTGAAGATAAGTAGGAGATGAGAAGGCCCTTAAGAATGTGGAAGACATTATAGGCTATTCAAAGGCACAGGGATGAGGGCTAAATAGCAAAACAGATTCAGGGAATGAGAATTAACGATGTGCATATACATGTACATGTATATACCATATACGTGTATGCATATACATGTACATGTATATACCATATACGTGTATACATATACATGTATATGTATATACATATACGTGTATACATATACATGTACATGTATATACCATATACGTGTATACATATACATATATATACATGCCTATGCATGCGCATGGATACATGCGCATGTATATGGTGTATACATGCGCATGTATATGGTGTATACATGCGCATGTATATGGTGTATACATGCGCATGTATATGGTGTATACATGCGCATGTATATGGTGTATACATGCGCATGTATATACCTACAGCACCATATACACACATATGGTATATGTGCATGTAATGTATACATGTACACATATGTACACATACGCATGCACCATATATGTATACAGCACAATATGCAGCACCATATAGAATTCTAGTGGGCCACATTTTCTTGCCTATCCACCATCCATTTCCTTTCCTCTGAAAACAGCTCCTTAATTTACTTTGAGGAACTATATTTCTTTCATGCTCAGTCCATATGGAATAGTCCATATGTTTTTAGGTGAATAGAGGCAAACTTAAAACGGGGCAGGGATGGTGGGAATCTAGAATGGTGGGGATCTAGAAGGGAAGGGTGGAAATGAGGCTGAAAATGTCTCTGGGAAACAAGTTGGGAAAAGCCAGTAAGTTATGGTGCTTTCTGGTAGCCCTGGACGATTTGTTGTGTGGAGAGAGTCAAGATCAGGTGTGTGCTCTGCTTCCAGTGAAGAGGAGTGCTTCTCAAGGATTGGGGTGCATCAGAATCACACAGGGTGCTTTTTTTTTTTTTTTTTTTTTTTAACAGAGTCTTGCTCTGTCATCCAGACTGGAGTGCAGTGGCGCGATCTTGGCTGACTGCAGCCTCTGCCTCCCGGGTTCCAGTGATTCTCCTGTCTCAGCCTCCTGGGTAGCTGGGATTACAGATGCATGCCATCATGCCTGGCTAATTTTTGTATTTTTAGTAGAGATGGGGGTTTCACCATGTTGGCCAGACTGGTCTCGAACTCCCGACCTCAGGCCTCCCAAAGAACTGGGATTACAGGCGTGAGCCACTGTACCCGGCCCACAGGGTACTTTTTAAGAATCCAGAGGACCCAATACAATGATTATAATTTGGCAGATCTGGGTTATAGCAAGTGATTTAAAGAAGGGCAGGAAGAGAGGCCAAGAGACCCAGTTCCAACGAGTTCAGTGTTGCATCAAAGATGGCTGTACAAAATGAAGGCAGTGGTGCTGATATGGAGAGTGGACAGATGTGAGCAAAGTTCCTGCCATGGAATACCTTATTCATGTGTGGGAAGGAATAGGGAAGATGGGCCCCCTGCATGAACAAATGGAGCACAGGGCATTGACACAAGCAGAGGCTGTGACGGCTGATCATGCTCCCCTCAATGGTGATTCTGCATGTGGTACACAATTCTATTATTATGGGTATCACAACTCATTATCTGTGCATGCATTTGCCTGTCTGCCTCCTCCTGTAAACTTTGAGGCCCCTTGTGGGTAAGCATAGAATTGTACTACGTGCTTTTTGGTCTCTGCTGAACAGGCTTATTTGTTTAGTAAACCTTTAATTGAAGCATAATGTAGACACATATAAGCACATAAATCAGAACATACAACCCAATGAATTTTTACAAAGTAAGCACAACCAACTGTCCAGCAACCAGGCCATAACATGACACATTACCAGTCCCCTCCCTTCCTGAGTAAAATTCCTAACCTCTTCCCCAGAGGCTACATTATTCTAGCCTCTAATACCACAGATTGGTTTTACCTGCATTTGCATGGCATCTAATGTGGTCATACAGTATGCACTCTCTCCTATTTGGCTTCTTCATTCGACATTACATGCCACGAGATTCATCATGTGGCTGTGAGTTGTGGTAGTTTATTCTAATCACTATAACAATAATCACTGATCACTGTATAGTATCCAGGTTACTATATTTATCTTTATCTTAATCATCATAGAGTATTCCATTATGTGGCTGTATTGAGTCTCTTTATCTATCCTACTCTCGACTGGTATCTGGACTATTTCCACTTTGGGGCTCCAAATATTGTTGCTAGGAACTTTCTTGTGTACATCTTTTGGTAACAACAGCTACATAGATCCTAGCACACTGTTAAAGCCAAATAAATATCTGAGAATCTAAGCTCATCTACATAGGTCCTAGCACACTGTGAAAGCCATATAAATATCTGAAAATCTAAACTGATATTTCTACTCTGGGAAGATGATACTTAGGGTGATAATAATCATATTAACTGATAATAATAGTGGATAATGCAGATTGAGCACTTTCCACATTCAAGGGTAGGTGCTACACACTTTGCACACATCACCTTAGTTAATCTTTACAATGACAACAAATAAAGTACTATTTTGATCCCCTTCTCCTACAGTTTCTAGATAAGGAAACTGAGGCTCATGGAGTGCAAAGTTGGTGCCCAGTACACACAGGTTGTAAATGATGAGCCAGGATTTGAACCCTGGACCATTTGCCTGTCACCACTGCACATTTTCAATAAAGACAATACCCCATGGAGAATACAACCCTTCTGAAATCCTATCAAAACCTGAATACAGTAGTTCCCCCATCTCCATGGCTTGGCTTTCTTCAATTCCAGATACCCATGGTCAACACAGGTCTGAAAATATTAAATGGGAAATTCCAGAAATAAACAATTCATAAGTTTCAAATTGTGTGCCATTTTCATTATTGTTATAATTGTTCTATTTTATCATTAGTTATTGTTGTTAATATTTTACTGTGCCCAATTTGTAAATTAAACTTTAACATAGCTATGTATGTATAGGACAAATTAGCATATATAGGGTTGGGTAGTATCCACGGACTGAGGTATCTACGTAGGTCTTGTGACACATCCCCTGAGGACAAGCAGGGACTACTGTAGAGAGCTGTGATTGCCCTGCTCAGTCCTGTTTTCATGTTCCTGCCCAGTCCTGAAGAGCACTGCACGCTGCGGTGCCTTTTGATCGCTCTGCAAAGGTTCTAAGGCTTTCCGTGGTTAAGTCAGCTTTAGAGCCATCTTTGCATGGACACACAAGTGGACTCTCAGGACCCTGCGGTTCTCAGACACTTGCTCACTTTCTCTAACCATGTTGGTAGCCCAGATGAATTGAACATGCTTAGTTTCAGTTTTTGGAAGTGAACTATGAAGAAGTGACACCAAGGTTGCTTTCACTGTTATCATCAATTAGTATTCATCCACTGGAGGCAAATTACTCAAATGACAAGGCCTCACAGGAAATGACTGCTTCAATCGCCAGCATGAGGTTCCAGACTTAACCCTCGAACAGGATCACAGAAGACAGTCTCAGCTGGGGAGTGAATGGGGTAGAGGAAAAGGCATATGAAAGTTTGTGGGGGTTCTGGATTCCCAGCTAAGTTTCTTCTTCCCACCCTTTCTTCCTACCATAAATATTTACTGAGAACCTACATTATGCTAGATGCTGAGGTTATAATGTTGAACAAAGACAGGCACAGTCCCTAGTTTGAAGTCTAATGTGGAAGACAGACATCAATTTACTACTCTTATAAATAATTGGGGACCTATTACTTAGGCAGAGAAAACCATAACATATGCAAAGTCCTGCGGCATCTACCGAACTGGATGTAAGCAGTTAGATTGGCACAGACAGCAAGGGAGAATTGAAGGAAGTTAGAATGGAGATAAGCTAAGCCCAGGCAATGTGGGGTACTGGGGGCCACACAGCTCTGCTCCCTGGAGGAAGCCTTGGATTCTCCTGTTGCAACTATAAGACCAGCTTTTCTCCACCTGAGTCTCATATAATTATGGATCTTCATTGCAAAACAATACTTAGCACTCAAGGTCCTCCATGACTAGGCTGTCCATCAGCCTCCCCTCTGCCTTTGTCTTCACTGCATAGCTCACACCTCACCCACTCTTGCATCTCCCTACTCTACTGTCCCACCCTTTGTGTATAGTGCTCCCTCTCTGCAGAAGGCATTTCTCACCTTCTTCACCCTGTTAACTCTTGCTTACTCTTCAAGATTCAACTCAAGCAACTTCTTCAAGCATTCTCTTTGTGTTCCAGAATTTCCTTCCCATAGAACCTTTTATATTATATCAATCTGTCCATATTATGTATTTGTTTTTTGCACCAGAACCAAGAGCAGAAATTGAGTCTTGTTCTTTCATTCATCTTTACATCTTCAGCAATGAACAGCATGTTTTTCCACATGGGAGGCCATCAGTAATAATTCCACTTTGCTCAGTTACTCTCCAGAGCAAAATGATGATTTAGTAATGGTAGAGGATTGGAGGCGGGGCGGTGGGGGGGGGGGGTCTCCCTTCTGTGCTGTGAGCAAGAGGCTGCCGACAAGGCTGTGAATTGGGATAAGAGGCCCGTAGTGACCTCTTGATTTCATTGAACCCAGCAGCAGGGAGTACAAGGAAATGAAGAACTCAGCTATGCTCTCCCCTTGGCCCCTGGACCCCGTGTGTATCCATTTAGAATGGCACTCAGCCGCTCTGCTTAGCTCTGACCTAGCTCATTGGTGAAGTCAGAGGTGGTGCCTTATCTGTCCCAAAGATGCCAGTAAAACTTGCATAGCCCCAAAGAATGGTTGGAATCAGTGTGTGCATTTTGAATGAAGTGATGCTTGGACAGACAACAGTCATGGCACTACTATTTATTGAGTGGTCCCTGAGTGCTACGCTCTATGCAAAGGACTGTACAAGTCCATACCTCCTTTCAGCCTCATAGCAATTCTATAGCAGGGTTGCTTAACTTTTGTTTTTTTCATTATCTACTCCCCTAAGGGCTCTTTTAAGTATTTTTTTCTAATTGCCACTATTCCTGTAAAATTTTAATATCACAGATATACTTATATCTGTTTAGGTACTACAAGTATATCTATACTTTACATTTGTAAGTGCAATTTTTGTCCCCCCACCCTCGAACCTATTTCACCCCTGTGGGGGAAATATAGCCCCAATGAGAATGCACAGTCTATAAATATATAAGCATCATATTATATTTTACAGGAGAAGAGACTGAGTCTCAGAGAGATTGACTGACTAGCTCGTGGTCCCATATCCAGAAAGGCCTAGAGCGAGAACCTTCTCTGATCTGTTCATTCTGCCTCTACAGCCCAAGCTCTGGGCACATCTGCTTCCTAGGAATAGATGGGCAAGTGGAGAAAGGACAGTTGCCCCAACATGGCCCCCTTGGGCATCTCACAAACCCCTTTGGGATCATCAGAGGTACCAAGTGAGGTCACACTGAGAACAACTGCAGTTTCAGGACCTGGCACATCACCGGCACTCAATACTTTCTAAATCAAATAGCTAACAGTTGCATAATTGGGTCTTTGTATATTTTTGATACCACTTACCAACTCAGGAGTAGGTGCTTTAGGCCATGGTTCTTTCTCAAGGCTGGCCATCTAAGAAATGCTGAAGGAGCATTAAAAAGAATAGCAATACCTGCCCCCACTCTCTCCCAAGATTATGATACAACTGTGCTGAGTTGCGGTCTGTGTGCACTAGTATCTCTTAAAAGCTCCCCCTGATTAATCTAATGCAGACAGAGCCAGGAACCAGGACCTTACATTATAAACTCTTTGTCAAGGTGCCAGGTCTCCACATTTCCCAGCCATTCCTGGAAAAGAGTAGAGGTTGGGGACTGGCATGCCAGCAACTGTTATTTCCGTGCCCCAAGAAAGGGAAGTTTTAAGGGTAGGTTTCTAAGCCCTTTTCTAATCCTGGCTTGTGTGTAGGAGCCCTGTGACGTTGGGCAAACCACCTGATATGGTTTGGCTGTGTCCCCACCAAAATCTCATCTTGAATTGTAGTTCCTATAACTCCCGTGTGTCATGGGAGGAAGCCGATGGGAGGTAATTTAATCACAGGAGTGGTTACCTCCATGCTATTCTTGTGACAGTGAGTTCTGGCGAGATCTGATGGGCATTCTTCCCCTTCTCTCTGCATTTCTCCTTGCTGCTGCCATGTGAAGAAGGATGTGTTTGCTTTCCCTTCTGCCAAGATTGTAAGTTTCCTGAGGCCTCCCCAGCCATGCTGAACTGTGAGTCAATTACACCTCTTTTCTTTATAAATTACCCTGTCCCAGGTATGTCTTTATTAGTAGCATGAGAATGGACTAATATACCACCTATATTCTTTAATCCTCGACATCTTTATCCATAGAGTGGGCATCCTCCTGAAAGGTACTATAATCCTTATGGCATGTGTAAACAAGATAATGCATGCCTACACACAGAAAGCACTTAGGACAGAGCTTGTTGCTCCATGAATGAGAATGATCACCATTATTGCCATAATTCTGGGCACTAAGGAAGCTACCTTTTCCTTTTCCTACACAGCTTCCTTCTTCCAGCTGATTTTTCTACCTCCTCCTCTGTCATTCCTTCTAGTCAGGTACCTTGCTAGTCTCAGGCTGTTGCCATGGAAATGGTTACTACAGGCATCACTGCTAGGGTTAAAGGGGTGGGGCTGATGATTCTGATTCAGGCTTGCCCATTGTTGAATCCCTTCACTTGTTTTGGTGAAGCCCTACGTACTTCATGTGAACAGTTGTGAAGGAAAAACGATATTAAAGGAGTGAAATTACAGAGCCCTGCTCAAAATAGAATCAACAAAGTTTTGTTCGATATTCTCCAAACGGATTGTTGGTGAAGACAACTTCGTACAAATGTAAGGCAAGAGTTTTCCTAAAGTAATGACATTACATTACACTGTGAGCTTTACACTAATGATTGCAATAAATCTTCATGTCGTCTTCTTCACATCATCAATTTGAGGTAGGAACTTTTGGTGTTCTGTGGAAACTGAGACTTAGTGAGGTTGCATGAGTTATCCGAGGCCACGAAGTCATTATATGAACCGAGGTCAAATCCAAACTCGGGAGTGTGGTTTCTGGTTCTAGAGCCCACACTCCTGAGGGCTATGCCAGTCTTTCTAGATGAATGTGTTCTTTCCTTTAGTCATTCAGCTTCCAGACTCACAATTTCATTGCCACCTCTCATACCACATCGATTATTTACTTAATATTTTTTAACTGACTGACCCTTTAAATTATAAAATTATTTGAATGTAGTATTTATAATACCTGTTGAATATGCCAGGTATTTTTTCAAATAAATATTAAAATAAATCTAAAGAGCCAAATTCAAAAGAAGTAAGTGTGTCCTTGTATCCACTAAAAAAGTTTGTCCTTGTATCCACTAAAACCTCCACAGTGACGTTTGTTGTACCCTCTGGAAATGCTGGCTGGTACTACATTCCTTGCCATCCAACCCTCAGTTAGACAAATTCATGCCTGCATCCACTCTACTCAGGTATATAATCCAGGAAGGCTATGATATCCAAATATCAGATAAGAAATAATTTATTTAATATAAATAATGAAGTCTTGATAAAAACAGAAATTCTAGAAAGGGCAAAATCTAAATTGCTCCTGTTGCCATAGCTTTGGCAATATCTAAAGGACAGCTCTGATAAACAGGAAGACATTGACTCAAAAGAAAAACAAGCCACAACATTTTCTTTTACGTTTTCTTCTTTCTCCTGGAGAAAACAGACTCTACATTCTCACCAATTATAATCATATCCTAAATTTCCTATTAAAGGGTGCATGTGATGACATCAGCCCTGCATTGTGTTTCATGTTATTGACTTTGTTGATGCCACCAAAGTGTCAGTGATTCTCAAACTTTTAAGTAGATATCAAGACCATATGTGAATTGAGCACAGAGTTCAAAGACATATTTAAGGACAAAACTGAACAGTTTATGTCCATTTAAAAAATGCTTGTTTCTATAGAGACAACTTCCTGGGTGGCTCAGAATGACACCATGTGGATAACTGAAAGATGTGACTAAACAATTAAACTTGTGAACAAATACTCAAAACCTCTATCTGAAAGGGGAAATGAACTATCTGTACTCTTCTGAACCTATGAATGACTTCCCTACATAGTTTCTCACGGATTTGAAATAACTTCTGGAAGGCAAAAAATATACACATATAAGATACTGTACATGGAGATTTATTGGAATAAATTGCATAACATCATTCTTTGAGATAATCTTAGAACACCCTGGGAGGGCGGGGTGGAGTCGGGGGGTAGTGAAAACACCCCACCTGGGGGAAATTGCAAATTAGACAAAAGGCAACACTCAGAGTTTCAATTATGCTTTCAGCGCTTTTCCACTCAAAATGTCCCCTGGGCTTAATGCAAATGTCACAAAAAGACAAACTTCAGCTGGGAGACAAAACCACAATTGAAATGGCAAGTTTGACATGTGAATTAAGGGGCTTAATCTTCCCGACCTTGATTTTATGCTTTTCCATTTCTTTCTTTTGAAGGTGGTTCTTGGGGATGAAAATCCAAAAGGCATAGATTTCCTACCATCTAAAAATGGATAAGGGAGAAAATTAAGCTCTGTTATGATCCCAGAAAAAATGAAATGCAGATGGATTTAAACTTATCTGCCAAATATAGAACAGTCCTGCTTGCAGAGCTAGGTATGAACTAATATATGAATTTTGTGCTATTCTTATAAGCGTGCTTGGGCCAATCTGTGATTTATACACTCACATCTTATATGGGTAAATTGTCCTAGAGTTTGCATGTATTTGTAGAGGCTTTGCAAATGTGTCTGCACATAAGTTGTGGGGCCCTTTCAGAGTGGATGGTCAGATTCCACTTGTACATGTGTGCAAGGATGCATATGAATCAGAATTACAGGCTCTGAATCAGTCACCCTGGAAGTTGTAGCCCTCCCCCAGACAGATATGCACAGATCCACCTCCAGGATCTTCATACGCACACACAGAAGAGAAGGACTTGCAGTGATGTGCTAGTCTTGGAAAAAGTCTCGAGTTGTAGCATCTGCCGATTTCTGTGGTTTAAATGCTCTACACGTTGTTTATTTCAAGGTACCAATGTGCCTTCAGTTGGCTTGCAACTTTTCTAAAATTTTTACCAGCTCTCAGAAGTACCTATACTAGCTGTCTCAAGGACATGACACAGATAGGAACTGCCCCAGAGCATAAGAATGTAGATTGTCTGTTTTGCCTGAGATGGAGAGACCCAGCTATCCTGGTATTCCTTGCCTACTTGGAAAAACAGAATTCAATTCTTCCTCAGCATGAAGGTCCTGCATATTGGTTAATCTGCAAAGCCTTTGCTGGGGCATGACAATGTCTTTCTGACAACTAAAGTAGCATTTAATTCAGAAATATCAGACAGACTCTTTCCAGGATACAGGCCATCACTTAATTGCTTTTCATATCCCTCAGTATGCCACTGGCATCCAGAGGCACCACCTTCCTTTTAAAGCACTCACAGGGCTTAGTCCAGAGTCTCTTTAGACTGGTCCAAATGGAAGAAACAGGAAGCATTTCTTTTGACTTTCCTGAATACTCTCATTTCACCAGCATTCTAGTCACTCAAGCCTTCATTAACATACGTTCAATTCCACCCACATTGGGTCAGATCCATGAGTGAATCAAGAAGCACACCCTACAGACTTGATTATTTCTACTCTTCTGCTTCCTGAACATGCGTATTGGGCTTCCGTGTTCCATGTTTGGCCTAGAGTCAGCACTGACATTGCAGAGCTTCTATAAGGTTCTGGGAGTATTCTAGCCATGACTGGTTGACCCAGGAGTGAATTTCACTTCCAAAGGCTTTATAGAATTTGGTAAGTGCAGAACAAACATAAAACAGTCTTAATTCCATTCCATGCTTCAGTTCCAACTTTGATAAAATAGAGTTTCAATTCTATCATGTCAGCAGAAGATATCATAATGAATGATACAGTCCAACAATCTTCAGCAGAAACCTATTTTTGCCATGTAACCCTTAAGGGCTTCCTCTTGGAAAAAGACAGAGGCCACATCTGCTTTCAGGGGATTTTCTCCACCTACCATTAAAAACTGAGCCGTTAGCTTTGAATCTTTGTTTTGTATGTGTGTCAGTCTTACGTTCTCCTCTTGCCGTGGATTCCTTAAAACATGGCAGGTTGTTTCCTGATAGAATGCTATGCATCATCTATCCCATGGTGGTTATAATCACTACGAATTTGTGTTTCAAATTGGAATTACTTTATATATAGCACAGTGCTTGACACAGTACATACTCAACCCTGTTTGTTGAATGAATAAATAGCAGAACTGCAACTTGGCAGCTAAGCAGATTTGAAACTCCCCAAACACAACTGAGAATGATGGCATCAACTCAAGTGAAGATTTGAGTAAGTGGATTTGAAAGTCACCCATTAAGCGAAAGAAAAATCATGGATTCAGCAAGTTTGAGAATCACCAAATCTCGGATTTACAGAGATCCCTTCTTGGTATTTTCATGACTGGCACACGTCTCTGACAAGGCCCTTAGTTTTTAAACTTTATAGCAATTATGTGTAAAAGTCTCCTTCTGAATGTGCATCTCAAGGGTAAATTAATGTGAAGAGAGCTTTACTCCACTGCAACTTTCAGGGTGTTTGGCCTTGCAGTTGGGGTTGTCTAGGGACATGTGACAAAGTGTCCTGGCTAAGCCTAAATTGGGATTCAGACCCTGATTGTGTTTTGATGCCTTGACAGTCTCGTGATTTCCCAGTTACCTCTCTATTGCAAGAGCAGATATACCTGGGGAGGAAGGGGGCCTCTGAGGAGGACTACTTCTGCATGAGCACCTAGAGAGGGAGGCAGAACCAGGAGAAAGAGAGAGAGGAACACAATATTGGTTTCCTAGGCCAGCCCCATGGATCCATAGTTCAGAGAAAAGAAAGCTACATACACAACTCAAAGATTCACAAACCACAGACAACTTAGGTATTTTCAAGCACTGTTATTTTGTTTCCTAATAGCAAACTGTTATGCTGAGCAGCAGGGTGGCCCCATTTTTGAGTGGAGTACAGCTTGGCTTTGTTCTGGTAGAGAGAACACTAGAGCAGTCATAGGGTCTGTTGGCACCTTGAGGGGTACATGGCTTTGGGGATCCTGGAGATGGACTTTTCCCACAGAGGGCAGTGGGGAGGCCCTTCCTCCAAGAGTTTCCCAGGAATGTTAATAATTAAAGAGGCCAGAATGAGAGGACATGGAAGAAGAATTTGTGAATTCATGTGACAGATGCCCTGAGGTCTTCCAGAAATAACCAGAATAAAAGGCCAGGAAGGAGAATACATTGAGGTCCTACAGCTATGCAGGTGTGGGGCTACAAGCCAGAACAATGCAAATATTCATATTTGCATGACGTCATATTTGTCCAAATTCGGTCATGTGCCACATAGCGATGTTCTGATCTACAGAGGAACACATATATGATAGCAATCCCGTAAGATGATAACGGAGCTGAAAAAGTCCTATTGCCTAGTGAGGTAGCTGTCATAACGTCAGAGTGCAATGCATTACTCATGTGTTTGTGGTGATGCTGGTGTAAACAAACCTATAGCACTTTCAGTCATAAAAGTCAAGCACATAAAATTATGTGCCATATGTAATATTTGGTAATGATAATAAACAACTATGCTACTGGTTTATATATTTAATATACTATCGTTTTTATTGTTTTTTTTTTTTTTTTTTAGAGTGTACTCCTCCTTCTACCCATTAAGAAAAGGTTTACTGGCCGGGCATGGTGGCTCACGCTTGTAATCCCAGCACTTTGGGAGGCCCAGGTAGGCAGATCGCTTGAGCCCAGGAGTTTGAGACCATACTGGGCAACATGGCAAGACTCCATATCTACAAAACATGCAAAAATTAGCTGGGTGGGGTGGCTGGTGCCTGTGGTCCCAACTAACCGGGATGCTTGGGCAGGAGGATCACTTGAACCCAGGAGGCAGAGGCTGTAGTGAGCTGAGATCGGGCCACGGTACTCTAGCCTGGGTGACAGAGCGAGACCCTGTCTCAAAAAAAAAAAAAAAAAAGAAAATGTTAACTGTAAAACAGCCTCAGGCAAGTCCTTCAGGAGGTATCCAGAAGAAGGCATTGATATCATAGGAGATGGCTCCATGCGTGTTATAACCCCTAAAGACCTTTCAGTGAGACAAAATGTGGAGGCAGAATACAGTGATATTCATGATTCTGACCTTGTGTAGGCCTAGGCAAATGTATGTGTTCATGTCTCAGCTTTTAACAAAGAAGTTCAACAAGTGAAAAAGAAAAAGAGAAAACATTTAAAAATAGAAAGGTCTATAAAATAAGGATATAAAGAAAATATTTTCTATAGCTGTACAATGTGTTTGTGTTGTAAGCTAAGTGTTACCACAAGAGCCAAAAAGTTAAAAAATTAAAGTTTATAAAGTAAAAAAGTTACAGTAAGCTAAAGTTAATTTATGATTGAAGAAAGAAAGCTTTTTCTTATAAACTTAGTATAGCCTAAGTGTACAGTGTTTATAAAGTCTATAGTCCTGCACAGTAATGTCCTAGGCCTTCACATTCACTCACCACTCACTCACTGACTCACCCAGAGCATCTTCCAATCCTACCACCTCTATTCGTAGTAAGTGCCCTATACAGGTGTGCCAATTTTACCTTTTAGACTATATTTTTATTATACCTTTTCTGTGTTTAGATATGTTTAGATACACAACCACTTGCCATTGTGTTACAATTGCCTATAGCACTCAGTACAGCACCGTGCTATATATGTTAGTAGCCGAGGAGCCATAGGTTGTAAGAGATCACCTAGGTGTGTAATAGGCTATACCCTCTAGGTTTGTGTAAGTCTACTCTGTGATGTTCCAACAATGATTAAATTACCCAGTGGTGCATTCTCAGAGCATATCCCTATGGTTAAACAATGCATGACCATACTGGAGGGGCCTAAAGCAATTCAGGTTACCATTTGGAAGATCTAGTTCCTTCTGGGTGAAATAATGTGCTTGTCACTGGGTACTTTCAAGTGGAACCTATATGACTTCATCAGGAATATTGTGGAAGCAATTCCAGCATTGAATGATGTCTCTTACAACTGGGAAATTCTGTTATTCTAAAGTTCAACATACTCATCCATTAACCCATTAAAAACATCATTTTTTCACTTACAATGTACAAGACAGTAGGCAGTAAGGGATAAACGGCAACTAAAGGTGAATGTGGAATAGCATCTATTTTCATGATACTTAGCGTCTAGAAGCTTAGACCCCATAATTATTGGCAGGGCTGTCATGTTGAAGGGTCAGTGTTCCATTTCACTCCAATCCCCATAATCCGATATTTCAACCATTTTACAGAGGCAAAATGAGATAAGCTGGGAGAGACTGAGCCACCCATAGTGCAAAGGTTTACTTGTAGAACTGGGGTTTGAACTCAGGTTCACCACACTCCAAAGGCCAGGCTTTTCACTGGCCCATCATATTTCTTTTGATTACTGTATTTTTTTAAAATGCAAAAATTACTGAGTGAAAAAGAAGAGAGTTTTTTCACATAAAATTTACCAAACTGTGTTTTGCTGGGCTTGTTTCCCAACCTACTTGATTCACAAAAATGGATAAATTGACTACTGCATATCAAAACTTTGTAAAACATTAAGCTTTGGTTTATGACCCAGCTGCAGATGCTAGCAGGACATCATTTATGTTAGTTCTGCACTCTTCCAGCTGGTATAAATGGCTGTGGCATCAAAGCGTGTTGGTTCATATGAACACACCTTGGGGATTACATGAATTGTTTCCCTATATATTCAAGTCACTCTACAAAACCCTAATAGTGCTAATAGTACAGAGCCCTAATAGTATTTCATGTTTGATGTCTATCATATATAATACCTACCATTTATGAAGCATTTTCTATATGTCAGTCCGTGGACTAAATACTTGATAAACATTATTTCTTTCAATTCTCCAACAGTATCATGAAGGTAGGGGAGAAAACCTGAAGCTCAGAGAGTAAGAACATTTCTTAAGGTCACACATCTGTAAGTAGGAAAGCTGGATTGCTTTTTACAACTAATATAGAATCCAGTTCCAGGTCCTTGGGAAAGAGAGTGGATTCCTTCAAATGATGGTATCCAAAGTAAATGTTCGAAGTTATTCTACAGCTTAGCAGCACAGGACATAACAGGGAGTCAAAGAGTCTGTGTCTTGAGCTAAAAAAGGTGTCAAAATGGAATTGAGTAGAATCTTGAAGTCAGTAATTAAATCCATCAGCAAAAATCCAGACAGCAGATGCCAGAAGACCCTGTGTGTCAAAGCTTAGGAAACACTCAAGCTCTGAAGAGGGTCAAGGAAAATGAATGAATGGGGCCCAGGCAAATCCTTATGCACCCATTAAAGATAGTCAAGAACACCTAAATGTAGTCAAGAGCTGTTACTAGTGTTCTTTCTTCAATGACTGGGGAAACATAAGTTTGAAATTTGCTATCATTGATCTGTCTATAACTTTTATCAAATAACTCTTGAGATTTGAAGTTCCTACGGATCAACACCTGCTATTCCACTACGAAGTCATCACACATCCCAAGATCGCATCAAATAAAACACCATGGAGGAGAAAAGAACAGCACAGAAATTTGATCCAAGGACTTCAGAATGTCAATTTTGGTTTTCATAAATGTCATAAATGACGTGTAGCCAGTATGTAGATGAGCATCTTTTGTACAAAAAGATCCAAAAGCATTTTAAACACCCCATCCTTCCTTCCTTGTGGATATCTAGAATGCTTCTAAGCAGAGATGGCCTTGTGCTACCTTGATTCCAGGACAGGGTCCAGAAATGTTTCTAGATGGCAGGGTAGTGTTTAGGGGCTCAAGAACACCATCTAAGGCAACAATGGATCTCCTTCCTAAAGGGAATGCACAAGGCTTTGACAAGGTTGGTGGCTTGATAATAACCAGCAGGGATGCCAATCAAACTGCAGCAGACTGCAGAAGGCCAGCTTCCACACCTTGAAAATTTTCTCCTGACCTAACCTGCCCTTTGGTAATCTGGAAGATCCTTGAGGGCAAGAGCTTCCTACAGTTTTATCTCCATATCTCTGGCTAGGCTTGGTGCTAGCCCTAGAAGAGAGTTGGCAATCAAAAAATATTAGCAGACTCCTTTTGGTTGTAACCAATTAATTCATTTACCTCCTCCCTAATTGCAGTGTGTGAGATACTCATCAGCTGTGATTACAGATTGGTTCTGTCTAGTTGACAAGACTTTATCAGGAAATTAAAAGACAATGATTTGGCTTACAATACATGAAGCACAATTAATTCTTGTGTGCATACGTGGGTTTTCTGGTGTAAGCAAGAAAATAATCAGCCCTGTAGGCCATGCCTATTCATCCTCCAGTGGCCAAGTGATTTTTATTACATCCCTTAGGCCATATGGCATCATCTCTAGCTCCAGTCTCATGGGAATGAAGGATGCCTGCCAAGAGTGCCTTGCCACTTGTTAAAGGTATCTCATTTTTCTGTGATTTCTCCACTCGACAACAATAGCGCTCACATATTTCCTTAAGAAGTAAAAGCCAATGCAGCAGAAGGCTTTTGTGCTGCTTTCCACCCTATTTGAATTATCATGGGAAGTGCACAAGCCAAATGTAAATCATAGCTTTCCATCACAAGTGGCAACTTTTGCAATTGAATAATTCTTACATGGGATCTCAAGTACATTACTGTGATTATAGACAGCCCCATGTGTTTGGAAATGTTCTTTTTGCACATACCCACGGCAAGTCTAAGGTTCCTGAGATTTATTGCTCGTGCTTTTTCTTTATATATATATATATATATATATATATATATATATATATATATATACATACACACACACACACACATATATGCTGCAAGCTGAAGCATATGGTCCCCACAACTGTGATATTTACGATAATGAATCACAGATGTTTAAATGGATGTAATCTGAAAACAGTTAAATGCTAAGATGCTGGAATCTTACTGCAAACATTACAAAGTGAGGACCTTTGGATTATGTTGATTTTCAGATACTATCACCAGGAATACTACTTTACATATGCTGGGAAGATATCAGGCAGAAAAGAATGACACTTTTTTTTTTCTCTTTTTAGCAGTACGGTTTTCAAAATAACCAAGGAACTTTGAGGGTGGAGATTTGGTCATTCTATTGATCACTGAATTGCAGCGCCCTTTAGAATTAAGGGTGAGATTTCTCAGTGGATAGTCTTTAAATAGGTATACATCCTTTAACTCATATTATTTAATAGTCATTTTAAAATACAAAAATAATTAAAAATGGAATCAACTGAAGTGAAATAGGAGATGCAGCCTGTTACTATCTCAACAAGCCCTGACTTCCCCGATTAGCCACACATTTTGATTATTAAATTATTCTACCAAATTTGCAAGCTATATATACACTTAAACAGTTCAGTAGGTAGGTTTTCTCTTAATAGCTATTAAATACTTTTTACATCAGTTTATATAGATTGCTTTTTTATGACTGCATATTATCTCTTAGTATGGATCTATCTGCTCTCATTAAAGCAGTTCCCTATTGCTGAACACTGAGGTTTTCCGTTTCATTAATTACCAACTGTGTAGTAGTAAATGTAAATATACATATATATATACACAAACATATATATATACATATATATATACAAATATATATATACAAATATATATACAAATATATATATACAAATATATATACATATATATATACAAATATATATATATACATATATATATATATATATATATATATATATATTTTTTTTTTTTTTTAGATGGAGTCTCCCTCTGTTGCCCAAGCTGGAGTGCAGTGGTGCAATCTCAGCTCACTGCAACCTCTGCCTCCCAGGTTCAAGCAATTCTCCTGCCTCAGCCTCCCAAGTAGCTAGAATTACAGGCATGGGCCACCACTCGGCTAATTTTTTATTTTTAGTAGAGACAGGGTTTCACCATGTTGGCCAGGCTGGTCTTCAACTCCTGACCTCAAGTGATCTATCCGTCTTGGCCTCCCAAAGTGCTGAGATTACAGGCATAAGCCACCATGGTCGGCCACAAATACCTTTATACCTGGCTTTTATACATATATTTAAGTAGTTCAGAGCCATTCTGAAAGTGCTGATTCAAATGAAACGTCAGTTAAAATTTAGTTAGATGCTAAGTTTTTTTTTTTTTTTTTTTTTTTTATCGATTTGGGCTCTAAGAGTTGTCTCCTCACGCTAACGGTTGATAATACAATGTTTATTTTTGTTGGCCAATCTGATGGTTGGAAGAGAGTGTAGTATTAGTTTGAAAATTTTTCAATGAATGGGAAGGTTAGAGATTGTTTTATAATATCGGCAATTCTATTTCCTTTTTTTGTGTGTGTGAATTGCCTGATCTGTCAGAATATTCAGGAGTTCAACTTGTCATTACTTGTTCTTTTTGCTTTTTTCCTTATCAGACTGTGAACTTCTTGAGGGAAGAAAGTGTCTTGTTTGCCATTTTACCTCGAGTGTTTAGCAAAGGCCTGTTATATGTGTTTTATTGAATGAAGACGTGCTTATACAGATGAGGCTGATGTTTCTTTCTGTTATCACACAGCTGCTTACCAGAGTCCCAATTTCCAACAGGAAACTCAGGGCAAACCCTCCTTCTGTCTTTTGGATTCCTCCCTATGTTGTGTCTCTCTCACTAGAATAAAACCTCCATTCTTGCAGAGACCGGGCCATCCCAGCAACCCTTGTATCTCTCGCACTAGCACAGAGCTTGACAAACAGTAGCCACTCACCAGATATTTTATAAATGAATCAGACTTTTGTGATCTGTCAGATTGTCTCTATGTCAGGTATCACACTGACATCTAACTCTGAGGAATAGACAAGTTACTGACTTTCTGATTTTCTGTTCATCTGCTTTTCTGTGGTGAGATGGACAGGAGAAGAGGATTTATTTGGAGCTCTTCCTGAGGCTCTTAATCCCACTTGTGAGGATTGGGGTTTGAGGTGTGTACAGATCATGTGGAAGGGAAATGTGATTATGACACTGAAGCGTGGGCTTCATGGCTTGCTTGGTTTGTTTATGGCAGCTGCGTAAAGAAGGCTGCTCTGCTAACTCACTAGAGTGGGCCTAACTGAGATGCTGAATCCAGGAGCTGAACTCATACTCCTATAGGATGACACAAAGTTGTGAAGTCAGGCCTCCAAACCAGGAGTCTGGAATCTACAACCTGCATGTCAAATCCGGCCCACTACTGTTTTTGTAAATAAAGTTTTATTGGAATACAGCCACACTATTCACCTACATGTATATGGCTGCTTTTGAACTGCAACAGCAGAGTTGGATAGTTGCAACAGAATATCTCGCTCATAAGCCTTAAATATTTACTTTCTAATCCTTTTCAAAATAAGTTTGTTGATCACTGCTGTAGGCCAAGGTCATATTTTTTCTCGCATTTTGCAAGAGATCTGCTCTAAGCCACCTAAGTGCTCAGGCAAGTAAACTCATCCACAGTGTATTCTGCACCATCAGTTCCATGATTAACCACAAAGACAATCAGCAGAGTGGGGAAAATGATTCACAAACACCTGAATGTTATCTCTATGCATGTGTATTGTATTGCCTTTAATTTTTTAAATTACAATCTGCTGGGAGATATTTTCCATTTAAAATAAATTCTCAAGAGGCTTAACTTTTTAAATACACTTAAAAATCCATTATCTGTAGTCTTTAAATATATGGACAAGCACTTACAGAGAAAATAAATATACCCTGAAGTGCCAAATGGAACTGTATCTATAATTTCGGTATCAAAAGGAATAATTTAATTTAGAACCAAACAATTAGCTGGGAATCATGCTTAGATCAAGTTCGGGTGCAAAACTGTTTGTCTTCAAGGTCTGTTTCCCATACTTAAAGTGATCCGTTATCTTTTAATATGATTTGTCATATATATATAGTTTTTTCTTGTAGAGAGTCTGTCATTATTTTCCCCCAAATGACGAAGATGTCTAATTTTTCTGCACTGTGTAAGTGAAACCATTTGAAAATTTAGCCTCTTGGAAAATGAAATGGGAATTACATAGCCCAAAGGTGGTAGGAAAATAGCGATTTTATTTTATATTTTCCTTGGACCAGGGCTTACTTCATTAGAAGAAAGCAAAGCACTATTTCTTTGAGCAAAGGGGCCAAAAAAAAAAAAAAAAAAAGGAAAGAAACCAAACAACCCCCAAATTGTTTTAACATCTCTCTAAATTTAGATGCTATATTTGGAAAATTGAAAAGAGATAGTCACTGTGTATTTTAAGTACTTAAAAATCCAAAGAACTCAGAAAAATATTGTGTTTAAACTATAACACATATTTCATCTGTAATTTTATAAGTTATTCTTGGATAGTTTTCTGAATTCCTAAAGTTTTTTAAGCCAGTGTATCACCAATGAGTTCCTCTTTCAACTTTCAAATGGTCCTGGGTAACACAGACCTAGTCCTGGGCTGGGGAAAGGGCGTAAAATTAAAATCTAGTGATCTGAACACAAAAAGAGTGGGTGAGAAATAAAAGGAGAATAAGGCAGCGTTACTCACTCTTTCATTAATAATAACTTTGAAAATATTAATAATAGCTGTAATGAACGAAACAGTTGTTCAACCCCAACTCCCCTCTAAGAAAGAAAGGTAGATCCAGCAAAGAGCAAGACCCTTTGTTCTGCTGAACTGAACACTTGCTGGGTTTGGCTGTAGAAGTTTGGGAGAGTAAAATAGCGATTGCTGAAGAGCATTGGAAAATGAAAGCTTAACTGGGAGTAGAAGAAGAAGGGAAGAAAGGAAAGGGCCGGAAAGGTGGTAGAAGATCACACAGGTGTCCCCTGGTCCCCGAACCCTCAGTGGCATTCACCTTGCTCAGTGATATGTGTGTATGCATGTTTCTTGTGCAACCTGGTACAGGAGCCACGTTTTACCGCCCGGTTGACTCAGATGGGGAAAGAGACAGCCTTTCAAGCACAGGACCCAGAAGCAACATGGGTCATGACAGTACAAGCCCCTGGGGATTACCATATGTGAGAGGAAGGGCTTTCGATTTGCACTACTTGTAGAAGTTGAGGGCTCACCTTCTTTCAGACTAATTCCCTGGGGATTGAATGTGCTCATGAGGTCTGGTTTATATTTAATATTTATTCAGCCCTTTCCATGAGCTGAACAGTGTGCTAAGACTTTGCAAGCATGACGTCATCATTTTAAGAGCTTTTTACAACTCTGTGTGATATTACTATTATTTCTCCACTTAATAGAGGGAGAAACTGAGCCTACAGTGAAGCTGTGTGGTAGATGTAGAAAAACCTAGTCTCCAAACAACCTGCTTGGCTTCGAAGCTCACACCCCTTACTACTTTGTCCTGCTGTCTCATACTCAGTAAACTGAGCCCCAAAGATTGTGCTGTGTTCCATGAGCATGAAACAGAAGAAACGTTCCACACCATCTTTATTTATCATGACTCTGGCCAGTGAGTAAGCCATTTAAAATTAGGCGACGATGTTGCATGTTCTACGCATTAGAAGTGTGAACTAAGTGCTCTGGAAAGAAAAGAAGGAGCCATCTGGTTTGAGCTTCAGCCACAAAATGCTAAGAAATTACATTTAAGTTTCGCCTTAAAGAATGGGGAGAACCAAAGAGCTGTTTGCTACAACCAACTGCACGTAAGCTCCACTACTAGTAAATGACATTAAATATGAACAAGTAGATGTCCCCGCAGGATGTTTCTAATCATAGGTTCACAAACCCACCACTGATTCCTTTTTTAGAAAAAATAAGTATTTCTTTTGATTCAGTAGGGCTCTGGGTAACAACCATTAGGGACTTCATCAGCCCTGTTTGCAGCAGATTCACCCACAAGGAGGTATTTCTGAAAATATTCTGGACAACTACAAAGTGCAACAGAAATTTCAAAGTGGAAAGGAAAGAAAAAGGGCAGGAGAAATAAAATGTGTGTGTGTGAATGAGTGGGGTTCCTCTTCATTAAGTGCTCAAAAGGAGATAAATCAGGAGAAAGTGAGAGCACAACATTACCTATGGTTTATACTCTTGAATTAAAACAAGCAAAGGGGCCAAAAAAACCCTACATTTCCATTTCTGACAGTCGTGCATCTCTGTCATTCAAGCTTTCTCTTACAGTTAATGCAGGTGGGAGGGGTATTAACTGATCATTGAAAATAGTGTTAACCTCTCTGACCTCCAATTTGTTCTTGCAAAAATGATGGGATTGGCGTGGACCAAGGATTCTCAAAGTGCTGTGCCAGGATCAGCAGCATGAGCAGCCTTAGGAGCTTGTTAGAAATGCAGATTTTTGGCCCCTACCTGAGCCATTCTTGTTTTTTTTTTTTTTTTTTTTTTTTTTTGAGACAGAGTTTTGCTCTTGTTGCCCAGCCTGGAGTGCAATGGTGTGATCTCAGCTCACTGCAACCTCCACCTCCTGGGTTGAAGTGATTCTCCTGCCTCAGCCTCCTGAGTAGCTGGGATTACAGGCGTGTGCCGCCATGCCCAGCTAATTTTTTGTATTTTTAGTAGAGACAGGGTTTCACCATGTTGGCCAGGCTGGTCAAGAACTCCCGACCTCAGGTGATCCACCTGCCTTGGCCTCCCAAAGTGCTGAGATTACAGGCGTGAGCCACTGCACCCGGCCTGAGCCATTCTAATCAGAATCTTTGGGGATAGAGCCCAGCAGTCTGTATTTGTTCATGCTCAAGTGTGACAACACTTGATAATATTTAATTTCCTAGATGGCATAATCTCCTAAATGCTTGTACAGCTACATGACTCAGTGGGTTTATTAAATATACATTATCCACCATCAAATATGCACTAATAGATACAATTTTTTAAAAAGAACAGCTATTAAATATGCAGAGAGAATATTGGCTTTGGAGTCAGAGTGGTCCTGGGTTCAGATGTAAAGAGTACTGCTACTCAGCCATATGAGACTTTGCAGGGTATCTCTGATCCTCAATTTGATGATCTATAAAATGGGAATCATGATGCCTGCTGTCTAGAATTGTCTGGAGGAAAAAAAGTGAGAGAATGTAAAGCATCCATTACATAGAAAGACACCTACAATAGTTGCAAGTGTAATTTCATTAAAATAACAAACTCAACCACAGTTCACTGCTCCTCTCTTTGAATAAATATCATAATCTAAACAAATGAAAGAGACACCTCTTACTGATCCACTCTGCTTAAATCAAGAGCACTGGTTTTCTGTGTCACTGTCTCCAGAAGTAGCCCCTCTCAGAAGATGACAAAATACTGGATGCTAATATCAAAAGACCCAATTAAGTGTCATTCAGTCATTCATTCTCTTGAATGAAGTAGACATGGACTATGATCTGGTTTGGCTGTGTCTTCACCCATATTTCATCTTGAATTATACTTTCCATAATCCCCACATGGGGTAGAAAGGACCCGGTGGGGGTGGAATTGAATAATGGCAGTAGTTTCCCCCATGCTGTTGTCATGATAGTGAGTTCTCACGAGATCTGATGGTTTTATAAGGGGCTTCCCGCTTCACTCAGCTCTCATTCTTCCTCCTGCCACCAAGTGAAGATGGACGTGTTTGCTTCCCCTTCCACCATAATTCTACCTTTCCTGAGACCTCCCCAGCCATGCTGAACTGTGAGTCAATGAAACCTCTTTCTTCCATAAATTACTCAGTCTTGGGCATGTCTTTATTAGCAGTGTCAGAATGGACTAATATAGAATAATCTGTGAAGATGAAAGGAAGGAGGGAGAAAGAGAGGAAGGCCTCGTTCTGGCACAGGCCACCATGATCTTCTGCCTGGGTTACGGTGGTAAGCTCCTCACTGATTTCCCAATCCCTCATCCACCCATCTCCCACACCCAGTGGTCTCAACACAGCAAAGGTCCAAGTATAACATTATGTTTGTGTCACTCGTCTACTGAAAACCACCTAATTAGGAGTTAAAGTTCCTGTTCTAACCTACAGCCTTCTCCATAACATACTTTGTTGTACGCATTTTGTGCTACTCTCACCCTCACTCAGTCACTCGGCCCCACTGGTCTCCTAGTTCTTCCTCAATCCCCCAGGCATTCTCCGCCTCAGGGCCTTTGCATCTGCTGTACTTTCTGCCTACAGTGCAATTCCCCCACATTTCCAAGGCTCCCCTGCATAACTTCCTAACTTCCTTCTGGCATCTACTCAAAGGTCACCTTTGTTATCTGCCCCTTCCTGGACAGCCCATCTAACATTTCAATACATGTTTACCCTGACATTTCTCTGCTATTTTTTTTCTCCTTAGCACTTCTTATTATTAAAACGTATCCCATAGTATGTTTTTGTTATTTATACTATTTATTGTCTGCCTCTTTCACGAGAATGTAAGCTTAAGGTATCATAAAGTCCTGGAAAATACCTCATACATGGTAGCTCTCTAAACATAATGAATCAATGAAGGAATGGGTTGATTTCCTTCATTTCCGTGTCTTCTCTTAGCAACTATGATCCATCAATCACTTAATGATGAATGAAAATAGCCAAGTAAGTCGGTAGGTAGGTAGGAACAATTGAGGAAAAGGACAAATATAACCTGACTTAATGTTGTTTGGCCAAGTATAGCTATGGATAAAAGAAAGAAAGAAAAAGTTGCATGCATAATAATTTTAAGGCATTTTTCTTTTCTCTCTTTTTTTTTTTTTGACAGAGTCGTCTTGCTCTGTTGCCCAGACTAGAGTGCAGTGGTGTGATCTTAGCTCACTGCCACCCCCGCCTCCTGGGTTCAAGTGATCCTCCCATCTCAGCCTCCCAAGTTACTGGGACTACAGGCACAAGCCACCCTGCCCAGCTAATATTTTTAGTAGATACAGGGTTTTGCCATGCTGCCTAGGCTGGTCTCAAACTCCTGGACTCAAGCAATCCACCTGCCCCAGCCTCCCAAAGTGCTGGGGTTACAGGCATGAGCCACTGAGCCCGGCCTTAAGACATTTTTCTTACGAGGTATTTTTTAGCCCTTAGGGAAATTTATCATGAAAGCAATAGAGTTCAGAGCAAGAACTCTGGAATCAGAGCTCAGATTTGATTCTGGATAAAACCTGAAGAGTTATATAACCTTGGAGAAGCTAACTGCCATTTTGAACCATAGTTTCCTCACGTGTGAAATGGGTTTCATGTTAATATATATAATTCATGGATTATAGTGAAGACTACATGAGACAGCATTCATAGATCACCTGTCACGGTGCCTAGCACAGAGTAATGTGTCAATGAACATAACATCACTATGATTAGAATTTAAGTCATCATGCTGGGCGCGGTGGCTCATGCCTGTAATCCCAGCACTCTGGGAGGCCGAGGTGGGCAGATCACCTTAGGTCGAGAGTTCAAGACCAGCCTGACCAACATGGAGAAACCCCGTCTCTACCACAAATACAAAAAATTAGCTGGGCGTGGTGCATGCCTGTAATCCCAGCTACTTGGGAAGTTGAGGCAGGAAAATCGCCTGAGCCCGGGAGGCAGAGGTTGTGATGAGCCGAGATCATGCCATTGCACTCCAGCCTGGGCAATAAGAGTGAAACTCTGTCTCAAAAAAAACAAACAAACAAACAAACAAACAAACAAAAAAAATCAAAACTGGGTGTTTTGAAGAAAAATGAAATGTGCAAAATTTTAGTGGCAAATTACATTGTTCCTTACTTCAGTGAATTTCAACAAATGGCGTTATTCTATTCTAAAACATCCAAATAACTTATTGGGATGAAACCTGTTTCTGAAAATAAAGTTGCCACAATTTTGAAAAGAACCAGTTTTTAAACATCAGTAAGGGCTCCTGGCTAGCTTCAAACTCTGTTGGAGGTACAGCTCACTTCATCATTATTTGCTTCTTTAGACACTATCAGAGGGAAACCAGTGGTTACAAAAGTGAATAACCCTCATTGGGATATGGGCTGTGGACAAGGAGCAAATGGCACCACCAAGAATGGTGTTATCGAGGCTGCACTGAGCAGTCAAGCGCTTGGCTAGTCTTTTTCAAGTCACCCCATCATCCTCAGGCTTAGCCTTTGATTTGTCCCTGAAAGGCAAGCTTTGGCATTTTTTAGAGAGGAGCTATTCTGGGGGAAAGTAAGTTGTGTTAGTCAAAACCATTCAGGAGACATATCTGAACGTTTTTTCAGATGCACCTGGGAGAAAGCCTCTCGGATCAAAATTGTTTTCCTCTCTGTATTAAGGAAAGGTTGTATCATCACTGGGGTCTAAAAGCATACACTCAAGATGGCACTAAGCTCATGGTCATTTGCTATTGTGTTGGGTCTTTTTTGTTTATGTATTAAAGTGATGTGATTGAGACTTGAAAATGCCCCCACTGAGCTGCCAGTAGATGAAAATTACCAGAAAGCTTTGAGTTAAAGGAGAGCTGACGCCAGTATTGTGCAACTGAAGCACAAGCTATCTTAAGCTACCAACCTTAAGGACATGAAATGTAATGGTGAATCTGAACTGAGTACATTTCAAAAATACTTAAATTCTATTGTCAATGACATATGAAGGACTTTTGCAACATTAAAAACAAGTGAACAAAACCAACCAACCAAAAAACCAAACACCAGTGCTTAATCTTTTAATGTCTGCTATCTGATTTACTCATTATCAGTGAAGATGACTGTACAAGCTTACATAATTTCTGCCAGGCCTCTTAAATCCTCTGCCAGGAATTGTTTTAAATAACTGAGCTCACCATAAACATTTTTAAAGGAGCAAATCAAAACAAAACAAAGCAAAAGAAACAAAAAGCCTAGCTCTCTTGTTGGAGTCAGAGAACCAATTAGGGTACTTCTGGTGAGAAGGCATGCATGAGCTGTGATGAGAATTTGACACTGTTTCTGAAACAAGCTATAATGGTGAGACAACTCCTTTTTACCTGGGAGGTAGAGAAGATGAACACACAAATAATTGGAGAATTTCCTTTGCCCTTCACAACTGGAAAACACTGCTCAAAGCTCTACACAGAAATTGGGCATCTGAAGGCCTGAGGTTGTTGGTGGGAGTGGCCTAGCTCAGTGGTGGGGGCGGGGCACTGAATCATGGAAGTACCGTGCCTGCAGCTAAGCCTACCTTGGTACTTTAGTATGCCCACAGGTTACAGGAGGTAAGGAACTGGAAAGAGATGAGAATGAACAGGGAGAAAGAGTGAGGAGGGGCTGGGGCCTGGAGTTCCTATGCTTTGGTAGAAAAATTCCCTATTTTCCAAACTTAATCTTTGAGTGGAGACAATGAAATAATCATCCAAAAATCCAGCAATGTCCAGCTGTGAAGGGTAGAGCCACCGGTTAAAGCCCTGGCAGAAATTGTGTCTTCTTGTAATAATAGAATCTCATCTCCTACCCTCTGGGTTTTATTCAGGTACCTGGCTACTTAGTTAGAAACTACACTTCCCAGCCTCCATTGCAGCGGGCCATAGCCATGTGACTCAGCTCTGCTCAACAGGGAATGAAAGGGAGCATTAGGAGAAACTTCTAGTCAATGTCCTTTAAAAGGAAGATGCTCTTCTCCTGTTCCTCCCAGTCTGTTTCCTACAGCCTGGCTATGGTGCAGGAGGTAGGAATGAGGATACCACCCTGGGGATGACAAGTGCCATCTCCATCCATGCTACTTGGAATCACAAAGCTGCTGTAACTTGCTGGAGACATAATGTGAGATGATAATCCACAGCCTTTTCAAAACATGAGTCCTTGGCTGGGTGGCACAGTAGCTCACTCCTGTAATCCCAGCCCTTTGGGAGGCTGAGGTGGGCGGATCACTTGAGGTCAGGAGTTTGAGGCCAGCCTGACTAACACAGACAAACTCTACTAAAGAGACAAAAAATTTGCTGGGTGTGGTGGCGGGCACCTGTAGTCCTAGCTGCTTGGGAAGCTGAGGCACGAGAATCGCTTGAACCTGGGAGGCACACGTTGCAGTGAGCACACCAATACACTCCAGCCTGGGTGACAGAATGAGACTCAGTCTTGGGAAAAAAACAAAACAAAACAAAACAAAACAGGGGTCCTTGCATGACATTCAAAAGAAGAGTTACCTTGCTGCCCTGGAGTGGTTTATGAGGAAGAAGTATAATTCTATTTGGTTTAAGCTTCTGTTTTTGTAGCATTCTTTATTACAGCTGTTAGCCAATATCCTAACTGATTTGGATGCCCAGGTCTGAGCTGGCATAGTGTTTTGTGAATTCAAAGTTCTTCCTTTTGAGCCTCCAGAGCCTTTGGCAGCATTCTATGACCCTTTCCTCCTGCTTCCCTATCTTTATCCCTGACTCCTACAAAACCCGCTGCAAGGGAACACAGATACTCACGGTATAAGGAATGGGATTCAGCTGGCCTGGGGCTGTAGGTTTCTGCTGGTCGGACTCAGTATTCTACAGTTGCATTCATTAACCCAAGAAAATTTCCTTATCAAATCAGAATTCCCTGTCATTGACTGAGAATATTTTTTTCCCAAAGAGCATTTATTATCTACTTTAGTCTGACACATTCGATTGTCTTGATTCTCCTACCTCTTCCTTTGTTAATACGATAAGGAAGTACAGTATTTACATGGAGCAAATCCACTTAGAATTTTCCCCAAAACAAACTAAAGGAGAATATAAAAGAAGTGACAGAGAGGCATCATAGATATGTAAGCTCTTATTTATACAGAATTATTTAGGGTATGGAGTACACTGGTTAAGCCCTGTTCACATTTCTGTAACTGCTTCCAGCAAACATTCTAAGGAACCTTTGAATGGAGTAGTCACAGATGCCCAAGGGTCGTAGTAATCTTCTCTGTGCTCTAATGCTATGTGAAGAGAGAGGTAAGTTAAGTTTTAGTTCATCCACCTGTCTCTCCATTACTGCTTTCTGTAACATTCCAGGACATGATATGCACTGACCAATGTGATATATTCAAGTCTGAGAGGTTTGCAATTGAGCTATACTTGCTTGGGTATGAAATAAAGCTCCTTCTTTGTTTGCTTTTCCTTGCTCAGTAGCTGCATCAATGATAATATGTTACTAACCTGATTATACATTTATTTATTCTCCCTATACAGCATTTTCCATACTGTCCCTATTTATGAGCCTGGATTTTTGAGATAGAAAATTAAAAAAAAAAACCCACTTAAGCCAGTTAAATAGATAAATTATCAATGCAATGCTACCTGGAGTCACAAAGCTACTGAAACATTCTGAAGACACCATGAGAGATGGCAATCCACAGCCCTTGACCTTTTCCAAACTACAGTCCTCTCACCGCCCAAGAGCAATTCTCAGCTCAAAATATATTTGCATTGGCCTCAGAGGCCAGCTGGGCTTATCAAGACTGTCATATGGGACTGAACACACAGACAAATTACAAATGAGATAAATATTTACATAAGTCATTCCAGTGTTGGGGAAAGGACACTGGGGTTGGCATCAAATTAAGATTCCTATTCTAGTACCACCACATATGAGCTGAGTCATGCTGGACCAGTATTCAGTGTTTTCCTCTTTAAAGTGGGAATTTTGTTACCTACCTCTCCAGGCTTTTGCAAGAATGTCGTAAAACAATATATTTGGTACATGCTCAATAGATAAGTGTTAAGTCAATGGGTAAATTGAAGTAAAAGCCCTAAATAATCTGGTCTTGTCAGCCTTTGCTGCCTTATATCTCCTCCAATACACTAGGCACACTCCAGTGTCACGGCCTTTGCAGTTTCATTCCCTTCTGTCTAGACAGCTTTTCCTCCACATACCTACACGGCACATTCCCTCACCTCCTCCCAGTCTCTGAACGCCCCTTCTCAGTAGCATCTTTCCTGATGATCATGCCACTCACAAGCAAACCTCTTCCCCGCTTATTCTGCTTCGTTACTGTGTTACATTGATCACAACCCAACATTGAATACATTTTATTTGTTTATTGCCTGTCTGCACCAAGCGAGAATGAACACATCACAATGGCAGGGATTTTTGTCTGTTTAGCCTATTGTATTAATTTCCTGTGGCTGCTATAACAAACTATAAGCTTTGTGGCTTAAAACAACAGAAATTTTTCTCTAGCAGTTCTGGAAGCTGCAAAATCAAGATGTTGATGGGACCACACTTCCTCCATAGGTTCTAGAGGAGATTCCACCCCTTGCCTTTTTCAGCTTCCTGTGGCTCCAGGTGTTTCTTGGCTTGAGGCCACATCACTCCAAGAGTTGCCTCCGTATTCATATGGCCTTCTCCTCCTCCTGCAGTGTTGTTCCTCTGTGTGTCTCTTAAAAGCACACATGTCAATGGATTTAGGGCTCACCCAGATAATCCAGGCTCCTCTCATTATCAGATTCTTAACTACATCTTCAAAGACCCTTTTTCCAAAGAAGGTCACAATCACAGGTTCTAGGGATTAGGATGTGGACATATCTTTTTGGGGCCGACATTCAACCCATCATATCCACTGTTGTATCTTCAGTGCCTAGAAGACAGTATGGCACGTTGAAGTGCTCAGTTCACATTTGTTGAATAAATGAATGAGTCAAATACAAACAGTCCCTGGAATGTGGTTGGAACTTTTAAGGTGAGCTCCTTTTTTGTCTTCCCTTTTCTATGATATGATGTTCCTGAGGTGTACAGCTCTCCTGAGACAAATTTACTGAGATAGTAATTGCACATTCTGCCCATTTGGAAGGGCTTCCCATAGCTCCCCAGCAGTCAAAAGTGATCTTCTCCAACATGTGTCTCGAGCCTGTATCCCACCACCTGGACAGGACTCATTGACATGCACAAAATATCCTTTACATCAAATGTCCTCTGGGTCACAGCCAATCATCCGTAGGTGTAAATGGTCACACAGAACCCCTTCTGACAAGAGAAGCAAAATGCGAGATTCGCTTCTCAGAGTGGCACATCCATTAACATGGCTGCCAGATAACTCCTTAGAACTCTACTGATTTACATAAATACCTCCCAGTCAATTTCTCTTTTTCTTAAATTAAAATGAAAGTGGCAGCTCCCTGGCTGAGGCCCTGGACACGGTCTGGCAGCTCTGTTTTCATGTGAGCAATGGCATTTTGAATACTGGCCCATTGGAGCAGGAAGAGATGAAAAAATATCCATTATCATTATTGGTCACTATTTGCTTGAACATGCTGAATAACCCTCACTTGAATGCACAATAAACTCATTTAAATGGGTTGGAGGAATTCACACCAATGCAACACTACTTGTGCTAAGCAGCTCCAATAGAAGGCTAGAAATGCATTCTCAATTGCAAGAACGACTTAAGAAGATGGAATTGCGAAGCAAACGTAAGTTACTTGCCTGCTCTGTGCAGATTTCTATGCTGTGTGGTCACCACAGGGGTTTTTTGGAATAAATATAAAGTCATCTTTTTCTTCAAGGGACTTACGATCTACTAGAAGATCTTGACAACATTCTCACATAAACAGATTAAAAGCAGGTAAGTAGAGCAGTAAGAATTCACAAAGGAAGCTCTATGTGTTTTTCAGGAGACAAGTGATACATCTGAATGGTAGTAAAATCAGCTGAGGTTTGGAAGGGGTAGCTGAGAGTGAAAAGCGCTGAGGAAAGAGAGAAAAGCAAATAGGCATAGAATGAGTAAGCTGTCCCTCAAGTCATGTTCTGTCCTTAACAGATAAATGGCCAGGCGCGGTGGCTCACGCCGGTAATCCCAGAACCTTGGGAGGCCGAGGCGGGCGGATCATGCGGGCAGGAGATTGAGATCATCTTGGCTAACACGGTGAAACCCTGTCTCTACTAAAAATACAAAAAATTAGCCGGGCATGGTGGCGGGTACCTGTAATCCCAGCTACCTGGGAAGCTGAGGCAGGAGAATGGCGTGAACCCAGGAGGCGGAGCTTGCAGTTGCGCCACTGCACTCTAGCCTGGGCAACAGAACGAGACTCCCTCTCAAAAAACAAAACAAAACAAAAAAAAAAAAAAAAGAGAAAAGAAAAAAGAGACAACCTTGGGGTCGGGTGAGGTGGCTCACACCTGTAATCCTAGCACTTTGGGAGCCCAAGGTGAGTGGATCACCTGAGGTCAGTAGTGAGACCAACCTGGCCAACATGGTGAAACCGTGTCTCTACGACAAATACAAAAAATTAGCTGGGCGTGGTGGCGGGCGCCTGTAATCCCAGCTACTCGCGAGGCTGAGGCAAGACAATTGCTTGAACCTGGGAGGTGGAGGTTGCAGCGAGCCGAGATCGCAGCTTTGCACTACAGTCTGGGCAACAAGAGGAAAAACTCTGTCTCAAAAAAAAAAAAAAAAAAAAAAAAAAAAAAAAAAAAAAAAATAAGCTAAACCTGTGGATATTCCTAGGGACAAGGCATTTACATAGAATTGCCCAATAAGATGTAAAAATGACTGACATTTACTGAGCACTTACCAGGTACCAAACGCTCCGCAACATCCTCCACCCTGTATAGACCAGGGTTTTTCAGCCACAGCACTATTGACATTTTGGGCAGGATATTTTTTTGTTGTTGTTGTTCTGCATGGATGTCTTAAGCATTGCAAGATGTTTAACAGCATCTCTGAATTCTACCCACAAGATGCCAGCAGCATCCCCCAGCATGACCACCAAAAATGTCATTAGACACTGCCAAATGCCCTCAGGGGGTGAAATTGTCCCGGGTTTAGAGCTACTGGTGCACACTCTTTTATCCCATCTGCTTCTTAGAAGGACCGCAGAGGCAGCGTCATTAGCCTCATCTTATTGATGAGGACAGAGATATATGGAAACGTTAAATATGTGCTGGACGACAGCTGCTGGAGAGGGGTCCTTGCCCTTCGGAATATATAGTGCAAACTGTGTTTTTAAACATGTCATTTGTTTAATACTTATACAGTTTTTATTGTACAGAAGCATTAAAATTTTATGTAGCCAATGATATCAATTTTCAGCTTATTTTAACTTTTGGTGTCATGCTTAAACTCTGCCTGACCATAAGATAAGAAAAAATTCACCTCTGATTGATTTTTTTCCAGTGTTTTATGGTTGCCTTGAACACGTATCTTGGTATCATCAAGAATTTATTTTGATGTAAGGGCATATCTATATATATAAACATGTGTTATGTGGTTATGATATTTCTTCCCTGTTAAGAGAACTGAAGGGGTAAGAACAAGTGGTATTCTCTTAAATCCTGTTATTGGGAGTTTGTCATACAACATTTCGGTAAAATTTCTTCAAATCACCTCCCTAAGGTTATGTGCACCAACAGTTGAGCCATAGGAGCTTTGGGACTGACAAAGGAGGGGGGAAAAAAACAACTTAAATGCTAGTAACATTAAGGAGTATCTACAATAAGGAAGTTGAAAGAGAAAAGAGGGCTAAATGGAAGTTACAAGGTACATAGATAAGAGGACAAGTCCAAAGAATGTAACATAATGAAAAACAAGAAGAGGGATGCTTTCACCAGAGCGATGGACTTCAAGTATCAAATGAAGGAAAGTTTCTGCTGATGGAACGTGGAAGAATACGCGTTTTGGTGTCTGAAGGGATGTTCTTGGGAGGAGAAACTTGATTAAGATAAATATTCATGTGCGTAAGGAAAATTACAGCGGCAGAGAATGAAAGCTTCTTTAACAAGAAAAGTGTTGGTGAAAGTTAAAAATGAGAAGGGGCAGTATCTGCAAAAAAAAAAAAAAAAAGGATCAAGGGGAAATTACATGGCAGCGTTTCTTAAGTCAGGCTTAAGGCGTACATGAATGAGATTTAGGGGAGCCTGTGAAACCCCTAAGATTATATTTAATTTTTGCTTATATGTATATGTTATTCTAAGGATATGGAACATACTAAATCCATTTATGAATAACTGCTGATAACTACTTGTCAGAGGACAAGATCAATGTCTGCTAATTCATAGCAGAGGAGAATGACCCAAGAGAAGGATCTAAATTGGAAAGCTGAGAGTGGCATGAGGTATTGGATGAAACAAGGTCCAAGCAGAGGTGAGGACAGATGAAGTCAAGAGTATTTCCTGGACAGAAAAGTCTAGTAGTGAGATCTCATTTGTTTTATCATCATGCTTTATTATCACCAAGAGGACAGGCTGTCCAGAAAAAGAAAAAGTTACATGTCACTATAAAAAAACAGGACAAAACAAAATAGAAAAGAACTTCACGAAAGTGATACTCTTGCTTATTTATGAAAGTTGGAAATGCTTTTTTGCTATGTTCTTTCTTTCTCTTTTGTCAAAATGTCTTCAGTCAATATATGCTGATTTTTAAAATTACATAAGACACAAGATGTTATTAAAATCAATGCATTAATGCGTTTTAGAAAATAGTTATTCTAGGGAAAATGATACAAGCAAAGTGAGGATCTTAGGAAGGTCTGTATGACGAAATATAAAAAGTTCCAGGATCAAGAGACAAACGTGGATGGCTTTGAAGCCATAGAAAGGACAGGATTATGTCAACCTAGAAAATTTGAGCTGGTCACCAACTCTGCCATGAATTGACCATGACTGTGAGTGCTCAACTCTGAGATTCTCTTTCTCTATTTATGAAATACAACACTGATATCTTCTATACAGAGTTTCTAAGTAGGTTAAATATATTATTTATATGAGTGACTTAATAAATGCACATTCTTAGAGTTCTACTAGTATCAGATTCACCTTAGCTGATATTGTTGGCCTGATAAGAGCTGCAACTGGTAGTTAATCTCTTTGACTCCCTACCATTTAAAAATAGCCCAGAAAATGATACTGAATATTTAATGTTGTGACAGAAACTTACCTTAGAAGCCAGATAGACTGCTGAACTTCTATGTTAGATATAGCTGAGCTCAAATCCCAGCTTTTCCATATATTAGCTATGTGATTGTGGAAAAATCTCTTGTGCCCAGTATTTTCACCTATAGAACAGGGATAAGAACAACCTGGGCTCAGGCTTGTTTCATCAAGTATAAAATAAGATTGCCATTAGCTGAGACAACTGGGTGGGATTAGGGGAAGGTAAATAGAATATATTGTGCATGTACAGAACCTTTATTTAAAATGTTGACATTTTGTTTACCATGGATTTTTGCACTAATTTTTATTTTTATAAAATATTGCATTAAATATTATTTACTTTAATTACTGAGATTTTTCGTATCCCTTTAAATTTGGACCCAAAGAGAGTACCTCATTCACCTCACTCTAGTCCTAGCCCTGAAGCCAACAATTAGTGAAAACGTATTAGGGTCAATCACAATACTGAGCACTGTGAGTTTACACATTTGCTTGTCAGTGAAATATTTAGCACAATATCTAGCCTAGAGTAAGGCATTATCATCTTTACCACCCATTACCATCATTATCATCATCACTACCATCAACATCACCACCATCATCACCATCACTATCATCACCATCATCACCATCATCACCACCATCACCACCATCAGCATCACCACCACTACCATCACCATCATCACCACCGTCATTACCATCACCACCATCACCATCACTATCATCATCATCATCATCACCACCATCACCATCATCACCATCACCATCACTATCATCATCATCACCACCATCACCATCATCATTACCACCACCACCACCATCATCAACAACACCATCGTAATTATCATTACCATAATAATCAACATCACCATCACCGCCATCAGCATCACCATCACTAGAATCATCATCACCACCACCGTAATCATTACTATCACCACCATCACCATCACTATCATCATCACCACCATCACCATCACCATTACCCCCACCATCACCATCGTCATCACCATCACTATAGTTATCATTACCATAATCATCATCACTACCATCATCATCATCATCACTCTCATTATGATTTTCTAAGATATCCTAAATAAATTTCCTAATATTTCCAAGTTGCAGTTACCTCATTTTTATTACAAGGCTAACATTGCCCCCTTATAAGGCGTAAAACTTAAACAAGGTCGTTTTTGTTGTTGCTATCATTAATGTTTTTGCTGATTTCAATGTATCACCTGACTCTGCAGCAAATCCAAAGAGTGCTTGTCAAGAAATCACACATTTCTAATGAACATGGAGACTAGCCCGGCAGAGAGATAAAGCAGGACCATGCTGGGTCCTGGGCTGGCTTTTGCACAACCGCCTAAGATCTTCACACAAAGAAGTATGCACTGTGCTCAGAGCTGACATTTCTGTAGTCATAAAGCTCAGTGTTGTTCCAGTTCAGGAAGCTGATGAGTCATGGGGTAGAGGCCACTGGGAGAGGAAGAGGGTTTACTCTTTTTTTTTCTTTTTCTTACCATTTTCATTACTTCTCAACTGATTTTCGATATACAACAGGAAAGGAACATAATGACCTTCTACTCACTGCCCCACCCAGAAAACCTCAAATAACTAATTGCCTTTTTTTCCTAAAATGGAAGAATTATTTCATCTGCCCGAAGGTTTTACTTCCTTCTGCTATGCTTTTGCCCGGTAAGCCTTTTAATCTTGTAAAGCACAGCCATATGAACAAACAAGGGAGAAAACAGGAAGATGGCAACTCTCCAAGTTCATCCCATTTTGAATCTCACTTGACAAACAGCGATGCATGGTTTTGATAAAGGGTATGAGGATTGTGATTTGACCTTCCTCTTGCCACTGTGTAAAATGTAAACACAGTTTACTTTCTCATAATTAAACGATATCGATTCCCCAGCAGCCCGCGAGAGGGTTGAATCATCTTTCTCCTCAATGGATGCAGCGTGATCCCTGTTATCATCTAGTTATATCCAATCAGAAGTAAACCATGACAAGCTGGGTGGGGGAATGCAGTGGCTTCCTGCTTCCAGAAGTTGTATAACTGGGGAGAAGTATCACATCTATTTTGAAAATAGTTGTTTGGTGTGTTTTTACGATACACCATGGTGTTATAATAGGTGATATCAGATTCAGTAGTTTAAAGCAAAAAGGACTTTTTTTCTCCCTTATTTAAGAGTCTAGGTTGGCAGTCCAGAATTGGAATGGTGGCTTGATGGTATTGGGGATGCATCCTGTTGCCATGCCATCTCTTCCATGTTACCCTTTTCAGCTTAATTCAAGATGATTCACCACCACGTTTGCGTTTCAGCTGAAGAAGGGAAAAACAGGAAGGGAAAATAGACTTCTTGCCTTTCAAAGGCATGGATTAATGTGCTAACATCACGCTCACTCATGTCTTAGTGGCCATCACCCAGTTCCATGGTCATACCTAGATGCAAGGTGGCTGGAGAAAGTAGTCTTTAGCTGAGTGACCACGAGCCCAGCAAAATCTGCTGTTGCAAAACGGAGGATGACTATAGCGAGATTCACTATGAGTTCTGGCCACAGTTGAGTTGAATAAATGTTTCCCCTAGAATGGAGAGAGGGTCCTAGTTGGGGTCTCTCCATCCCTGAGCCACTTGGGTTGTGATGATAATTGATAGTGATGATTAAAATGACGGGAATAAAGATAGCAGCAGTTAACATTTACTCACTTCTTGCTTTATGCCTCTTTGTACCAAGTGCTTTGTAAACATTATGCATTCTATCTTCAGGATAATCCTACAGGATCAATAGTATAATTACCCCAATTTTACCCATGAAGAAATGGAGCCGCATCAAGTTCAGAAACTTGCCCGAGGTCATGTAGCTAGTATGTGGCCAAATGAAACCCATCTGTCTCTATGTCCAAAGTTATTCTCTTAACCACTTTACTCAGGTATTAATAGTGGTCTGAAATCCTTCAGTATTTCACAAAGCTGAACTAAACTGACAAAGTTCCCCTTAACCAGATCATCTGAGCCAGCTAAGAAGTGTTTGTTTGGGGCTTGAATACTATCAACGTAGGTATCAATGGAGATTGGTAGTTTCATTTGTCAAAGACTAATACGTTTTTCTTCCTTACAAAGAACTTGATTAATTTTTAAAAAGAGGGAAAATAAGTGAATATTTATTAAGTGCAATTTGTTCAGTATATCAGCTCTTTCTAAACATGGCTTCCAGAGTGAGAGAGAAATAACCAAAGGGGCCATTAGCTGAGTAAAGGTTGGGAGATTACGATGAAAGGCTACGCTCTCCATGGTCTCTTTGCTGGAGCTGATAGAAGCCCTAGGCCAAGAGCAGAGCAGGGAAATCCCTGCCCCTCCCTAAAGGTAGGGGGTCTCAGGCACCCCGCTGAGGCTTGATGATGCTGAATCAGAGAGCAACATGGAATCTGGAGCAGTCTAATGCAAGGGCCAGGGTTGTACTAAGTCAGGATGAGGAGGAGTTAGAGACGTGGGTCTCTAGCTATAAAGAGGCCCATCCAAGAACTGAACAGAAAAGCTAAGCCAGTGAGTGTGATGCACAAAGGATGGGTTCTGAGGTGCAGCTGCTGTCGTCTTCATGCATCAGCACATTAAAATGTTTGGGAAGAGAAGGGGAATAGAACATCCCTTCCCTCCCCACAAACAGATGGGTAATTAGATGGAGGGTGGGAGCCAGATGCTGTACTTCCCCTGAGACCAGCACCAGAGGGAATGGGCTGGCTCTGCAGAAGACATTTCCGTTCCTGAAAAGGGATATAATGATGGGGAAAGAATCAGGGCTTCAGGATCTTGCAGGGAGGGGTAACAACGGAGGGGGAGTGCTTGCTTCTTCCATGTTAATCCTCTGCAGCCCCCTCTCTGTGCACCAAAGAACGAAGCACCAGGTGACCACTGCAGTTAAGAGATTCCACCTGACTATAACCCTGTCAAAATGACGTTTCAGGAAAACCTGCTTGTTAGATCCTGCCAATGCTATGTCTGCTGGTGTTTGTTTCAGTGGCCTGTTTTCTGTGTTTTTTGGTACAATGCTGTAGACACTTCCCCAGAGGTGTAACACGTGTTCAGCTAAGTCCCATCCGAGAAGCAGCATCCTCTGAACTAGCAGACACAGTCTGATATAACATGTCTTTAATGCTGACTCAGCTGCAATTATTTGCTATTAATCCAAAATAAATTCTTATAGAAAACTTCTTAAACATGGCCCAATGCTACTTCACAATGATGATGAATTTGGGCTTGGCAAAGAGGCTGGCGAGGAAGTCAAAGATCAGTTCCTAGAGTCCTCACGGAGTCAATTTACACACCTCTCTCACCCTGGACCATTCTTTGTTTTTTTTCAACTGAGTCAAAAGCCAGTGGTAACTCAAAACCTGCAACAACTTAAATCAGTAGTTTAATAAGCGTAAGCATCTGTATGATGTAGAACGTTCTCTGAAATCAAGAACAACAGTATAGGCAGCACCAATGCTCTACGGTGGGAGAGCCCAAGACATCTGGAAAGGAGGGAACTTGGGCTGCCTTTGGGAGATAAAATGTGAAATTAACCCACAAAGAATAGTCATAAAATGTTAGCAGAAGGAAACAGATATCGAGGGCAGAAAGAGTGTAGACAGTTATTAGTAATATATTAACTGAATTAACCTACCTAAGATCAAAGGTGGAATCAGAAGATAGGGCCTGGTAAGTCTTGAGGAAACAAACAAACAAAATAGCTGGCATGGCCCAATGGAAGCCCTGTTTAAGGAAGACTTTGCTTCAGCCACGAGACTTAGAGTATCCTGAGGCAGATGGACACGTGGGGTGGTCTCAGCTAAAGGTCATTAAACCTGCAAGCCTGAGCCCTTCTCTAGCCAAGGACATGCCTAACCAGCATCTTCATTTTTACCAATAATTTGATTATCATCTCAGCATGAATTGATTTTCTGTTCCTCTGAACTTCTTCCCATTATTGCTTAATTTTTATGGGGTCAACTACTTATTATGGTCTTTATTTCAAAGTAGACTTTAATCTGCTTGATGCCAAGAACCACATAGTAACTTTTTTTTGTATATCACCCTCTTGTCATGTAGTATTGAAGTTAAGCATTTGCTTTTAAAAAATGTCTTTATAGGCTAATTTTAAATCAGACCAATTTATTGATCATACAAACATTTAGTTAAAGCTTTTTGACCTTGGGGTATTGTTCCAGAACACTGCAGAATTCTAGTCTCTGAGAATGTTAGATTATCTCTAAAGTTCTGAATTCTATCCCCACCCTGCCCCTTGACTGGTTGTAAACCAGTCTCTCTGCACGTAGAGCCCAAAGTCTCACTGATAAGAGACTCTAGCTTAAAGATATTTTTTATATATACACATATTTAACTCTGATTGTATATATCAAAATCTCCATTTAATGGAGTCTTGAAAATTGACTTTTAAAAACATTTACAAACATCCTTGGTGATTCTGATGCCCACGAAAATTTGAGAGCTGCTGATTTCAGGCCAAGCTCTTCATTTCACAAATAAGGATACTGAAACAGATAAGGCCATGCTTTCCCAGCTAGCTCACAACAGAGGCTGGACTAGGACATACTTCAACATAGTGCTGGTCTCATTCTGAAGTTTACCACTTCCTATTAAAGTATGAGGAAGTCATGTCCTTAATGAGGTTAATCAGTGCCGTTTCACTTCTACGAAATACTCTTCTTCTTCCTCAATGCTCCTTTCAGTGGAAACATACTTTTATTATATAATTTGCTAGAAATTATTTCCTCATCCCTTTCTGAAATTTTTGACATGATTGATCCTCCATCTCATTCACTACCTTCTTTTTGATTAATGGAAAAAGTTCTGGTAAATTTCTTTATATCACTCTCATCCTAGATAATGATGTGAAGCGGTTTTGTTAAATTGGCAGAATTAAAGTTTTAAATTTCTCCTTCCCTCTTCCTCAACTATGTTCAAGGCTAAGATCAGCTGTGCTCAAACTTCTATAATTCTCTCAGTTTATAGACACAATCGTTTTTATTGCCAAAATCAGGAGTCCTTTGAGTTTCACTGTGCCACACGCAATGTTCACATCAGCGGTTGCTTGAGATTACCATGCTTTCAGATCATGACTTGCCCTTTGATCACTTATTTGACCCACCCACATGTCAAGGGTAAGTTTTATATATTATGTCCTGGAGGTTGCCGTGAGATGAGGGATTGCAGTAGTCTGGTTGTTTTATAAGAGCTAAATTGGACTTGGGCAGGAAAGAGATGAAAAGCCAGACTGAACAAGGGCCTTGCAGTTCATGGCAACTGAAGTGAAGGAGTTGAAATCTGTGTTAAAGATAAATCAACATAAGGCTGGCCAATTTATATCAAAATTCTACATCTCCCCCCTTACTAGATGAATGTTAAGAGGAAGGCATATTAAGATATATACTTTTAAAGTATTTGATTTTTACCTTAAATTTGCCTTTCAGCAGTAAAAACCAAAATTATTGCAAATGTGACCCATGTAATACCTAAGAGCGTGTGATCAATTTTTCAGTTGAATGTGTCATTAATAATGCACTCTTGGTAGACATGTTGCTATTAGTTTGAAATAGTTTTCCAGGCCATCTAAGTTGTCACTGTTGCTTGGGAGAAGGCCATTGTGCAAGATGGTGTGATCAGATGTGCTTCTGGACTTTATCAAATCAAGGATGGCAGGTGCATGGCAGGGATGCTACTACTGCTTCCTCATGCCCTATCTCTGGTAGGCACCACTACTGCCCTCTTTTCCAATGAGACGAGTATGGTTTCAAAATTGTTCTCAAACCAGAGCCATTGATTAGTGCCAGCACATGAAACTAAAGCCCTTTAATTCTTGAGTCAACATATGTATGAGCCTTGGTGCTGAAATCTGATAAGAAAGTCTTCATTTTAAAAAGATATACTGTGGGGCACAGTGGCTCACACCTGTAATCCCAGTACTTTGGAGGCCAAGATGGATCACTTCAGACCAGGAGTTCAAAATCAGCCTAGGCAACATAGCAAGACCCCACCTCTACAATAAATAAATAAATAGCTGGTCCTGGTGGCATGCACCTGTAATTCTAGCTACTCAGGAGGCTGAGGTGGGAGAATCACTTGAGCCCAGGAGTTCAAGGCGGCAGTGAGCCGTGATTGTGCCACTGCACTCCAGCCTGGATGATAAAGTGAGACTCTGTCTCTAAAAAAAAAAAAAAAACCCAAACCAAAAAACCCACACAAACGACAAGGAAGAGATGGAAGCTTTTGGCTTCCTTGGCTAGACTGCCATCCAAGTTATTTGAAATCCTGAACGTAAGTCCAGGAGGGGCCCAGGTCCCAGCCCATCACAAGATGGGCTGTACCTAGAAAGATGGGAGAGATTGGTAGGCCAAGATGAGTGGGAACCACAGTAATGTATTCCTGTTTCCTCACTCCTGAGTCATTCCAAGAGAAACAAAAAGATGATGCCATCCTCCTTGAAATGCAGTTTGCATGTTTTTTCTAGGATCCTTGCTTTTCTGCAGAACAAGAGGCTATCCATTTCAAAGATGAACTTTGAAAATGCTGAATTCTAGAATGATTGGCAGTTGGCTCTCTGACTTCTAGACGCAACAGATTGGGGTTGGAACACAGATAAAGGTAAGTTGTTTCAAGGGGAAGGGAGAGGTTGCAGAGAAAAAAAAAATCATGATGTGATACAGTATATGGATAGTTCACTGCAGGGCTGAAATAAGAGAATTGCCTGACAAGAAAAGCCTCTGGGCTTCAAAAAACCTTGGAGACAAGAAATGGCTATTGAGGGGAGCTGGTAAAAAAAAAAATGGGACTGATGAGAAATTTGCTAAGCAGTTGTTGAACGGAGACGTGGGGCTAGAGAGAATTTCTATGATTAGGTCCCAGGGATTTTAACAAGGGCAGCTTCATTAAGAAACAAAGGGATTAAACTAACATCTAAACGTAAATCACATTGCCTGGTTAAAGAGTCACTGGCCAGGACGGGGATGAAAACAAGTCACTTCTGTATAGGTGGGTTAAGCTACGAGAGCCAGCATTGAGAACAGAAGCAGGCAATACCCTGCACCTTGAATACAGCATGACTGCTGAGATTTCTTCATCCTCTGCACTAATCGAGAAAATTAAAGTCTCCATTGTATCACTGGTCCACACAGCCTCATCTAGGCTCTGGGCCTAGAGAAGGTGCCAGAGAGAAACAAACAAGAAAATTGACATGACTGGATTCCCAGCCTTCAGGCACCACTTTGCTGGTCACCCTTGCCACTGCCTTACCCAGAATAAGTTTATAGGATCCTGATATTCCTGGGACATGTGGCTTCTTCATCTCCCCATCCCTCTCCAGCTCACACTGCCATGTCAAAGGCAGAACAGCACCTCCACAGTCAGCTAAGATTCAAAATCAGTGATTACTAACACAAAAGGTAATACGATATGCAAACTATATGCTTGTCTGAGGACACCCAGGGATGCAGACTTGTACTTGTGAGTGATGTCAACATAAATATAGGCCCCACAGACAGCCCCATTCCTTGAGGTCTTTTCCTTTTTCAGCTACTCACACTGCCATGTTCCAGGTATCAGTTGGATACCCATTCAGTCTTCATTCTCTCTCTCCGTCTCCCCTTTGTCTGCTTTGTACATTTTTGAAAGTTCATTTTCTCTGTGTAAGTGCAGGCCTTACCCTATATTTCAATTTCAAATTAACTTAGTAGTTCACTCTTTCATCCTTTAATAAGTTAATTTATTTATCTAATATCCAGAGGGCTCACTTAGGTCTTTGGCACTGGAGATATAAAAAGAAATGAGACAATGGAGTCTTCAAGGAACGTAGAGTCTCACTTGGAATGTTCTGACCTGATGTCCTCTCTGTCTTTGCCTTTCACCCACAGAACACCTCCTACCTTGCGGGACACAGCAACCTACTGAGTGAGCATCCAGTCCCGGTCCTGAATCTGCCCTTCATTACTCGCATTTTTTTTTTTTTTTTTGAGTTGGAGTTTCACTCTGTCTCCCAGGCTGGAGTGCAGTGGTGCGATCTTGGCTCACTGCAACCTCCGCCAGCCGGGTTCAAGCAATTCTCCTGTCTCGGGCCTCCAGAGTAGCTGGGATTACAGGCACCCACCAACATGCCCAGCTAATTTTTGTATTTTTGTAGAGACGGGGTTTCACCATGTTGGCCAGGCAGGTCTCGAACTCCTGACCTCAGGTGATCTGCCCGCCTCAGCCTCCCAAACTGCTGGGATTACATGTGTGAGCCACTGTGCCTGGCCGATTACTCAGTCTATGGACGTTTTCAGCTCTTCTAGAAGCTTCCACGTTCTTCAACATCTGCCTCTATAACTCCAGCCTCCAATTTCTCTACTTCACACTAGGGGTTCACCATACTTATCTGCCCATCTTTCACTGATTTGCCAAGAAAAAAAACAAAAAACATTCCCTCAAGTCTCCTCACCTTGGATGCCCCCAGTGCATTTCATTCTCTAAAGGCATTTCTTTATATTAAAAAGAACACGTGTGTGCGTGCTCTTACATACATGTGCATACATATACACTACATGCATATGTGCACATACACACACCACATATGCATGTACACACACGACCCTGGGTTATATTGCTTTGGTTTTGGCCCAGCTGATCAGTCTTCAATGATTGAGGAAGGAGGGTTATTGCTACAAGATGTAAAAACATAGCCGTGCTTCAATTGGCAGTGGCAGTATCATGCTCTGGCAGGGAGTGCTCTGCTGGGAGGGTAGTGTTCCAGCCAGCTAGTGTAGCAAACAATGAGACGAGGCACTGTTGACTCATCAGATCATGATGAACACTTCAAAGGGAGAAAGACCTCTCTGTGCTAGATCCAGGTTACCTTTCCAAATCCCAAGAGGCAGAATCACAAAGCAAGAGATGGGGCAACCCAACACAAAATCCTTGAGTCTCTAAGCAATAGCAAAACCCACAGACCCTTGCTGAAGAATGCAGCCATAGGGAATTCCTTGCATGGTCCTTACACTCTTTGCGATTCAACCAGTGACCAGCAACTTAAAAAGAAGCCTTTTAAAACTGGCTGATTCATGGCCTGGCACAGTGGCTCATGCCTGTAATCCTACCACTTTGGGAGGCCAAAGCGGGCAGATCACCTGAGGTCAGGAGTTTGAGACCAGCCTGGTCAACATAGTGAAACTCAGTCTCTACTAAGAATCCAAAAATTAGCTGAGCGTGGTTTTAGGGGCCTGTAATACCAGCTACAGAGGAGGCTGAGGCAGGAGAATTGCTTGAACCTAGAAGGAGGAGGTTGCAATGAGCCAGGATCGTGACACTGTATTCCAGCCTGGGAGACAGATCAAGACTCCATCTCAAAGTCTCAAAAACAAACAAACAAACAAACAAAACAAAACAAAACAAAAATTGGCTGATTCATGCCAATGAGGCAGCATATCATAAGATCTCTGCCCAGTAGATAGAAAGACAGCTAATTAATGCAACACAATCCTTCCTTTTGGGCGAGTTTAAGGGATACAGCAGTAACTGGAAGAACCAAAGAAGACAGGGAAGTTGAATCATGAGAATATTGAAGACCACAGAGGAGGGAGCAATGGAGGCTACTTCTGGGAAAACGGCAAGGTGACCAGTGCTACAGCCGCTCCTCACTGATTCACATGTCCTCTCCATAAACATTTCCTGAGTAGCCATTTTGTGTGAGGCACCTTCCTGAATGCTTTTTGTCCCTGAAAAGTGAATCCCTAAATTCTAATTCCATCAAGATAAGATGGAATAGATGGGATAAGTGTTTCCTCACATGTTTTCTGTTCCCTTTCCATAGACTTAACTCACCCAAACCAGGTGAGTCTGTCCTACACAACTTGAAAGTACCTAACTCATAAAAGTTTAAAAGAACTGGGAAATTTGGAGTTCCAGGTATGACAGAATGAGATATGGTCTCAATTCTTCACCCATTTGCGGTATTTGTAGACATTCATCACCTTGCCATGGTCTTACAGTTGGGTTATCCTTGTGACTTGGTTTGACCAGCAGGTACTATTGGATGTAGTTCAAGCAAAGGCTTGAGATATGTTTGTGTGGTTGGACTTGCCTCTTTCATTTCTGCTATCCCTAGAAAAATAAGAGACACAGGAAGAAGACCTTAGCTCAACCAATAGTCTAGAGTTAAATCCAGCAGAGGCCCAGCTTAGAGCAGCCACATTCCAGATAACACTCGGGTGTGTACACCAGAAATAAAAGCTTGCTGTGGTAAAGGAATGAAATTTTGCAGTGTTTTTGACCCAGAGGACAATAAGAAATCTGAGAGAAATGGCAAGCTAGAGATTCTGAAAAAGGGCTTTTGTGACAATGACTTTTATATACACAGTGTGCATGGTAGGTATTTGATGAGCATTTTAAACAAAGCGGCTTGGTTTTGATTGTATCAAATGTCAAAGGTTTGTCACTGACCTCCACATGAGCCAGTTCTGGGGCTCACTCTGGTTGCCAAGTGTTACTCAGGCTCAGACGTACCAATATGAAAATTCACAGCATCCTAGGGACAGTATTGATCTCTACAGAGTGCCTGGCTGAACTTGCAGGCACAGACTGTGTTTACAATTGTCTTATGTTGTCCCACAACATCTCTACAATAAGTGTAAGAGTATTACTGTATTAGTCCATTCTTACGTCACTATATAGAAGTACGTGAGACAGGGTAGTTTAAAAAGAAGAAAGGTGTAATTGGCTCATGGTTCTGTAGGCTTTACAGGAAGCATGATGCCAATGTCTGCTCTGCTTGTGGGGAGGCTTCGGGAAGCTTCCAGTCATGGTGGAAGGTGAAAGGGAGGCAGGCACAACACATGGCCAGAGCAGGTGCAAGACAGAGCAAAGAGGGAGGTGCTATGTGCTTTTAAACGACCAGATCTCATAAGAACTCACTCACTATCATGAGAACAGTACCAAGATGGTAGTAAACCATTTAGGAGAAATCTGTCCCCATGCTCCAGTCACCTCCCACCAGGTCCCACCTCCAATGCTGGGGATTGCAATTCAACATGAAATTTGGATGGGGACAAATATCCAAACCATATCAATTACCAACATTTCAGAAAGAAGAGGCCAAGGTTCAGAGAGGGTGAGGGTCCTGCCCAAGATCTCGCATATGGGAAGTGGCAAAAGTGATCTTAAACCCACATCTGATGATCTCTAAAACCACGCACCTATCTCTGTAGGGCCTGAGTGAGAATTTATCTGCAAGAGAAAGGAGGAGGAAAGCCACAAATATGTCTAATGAATACAGTTGTCATCAAAGCACCATTTATTACCTTCACTGAAACCATCAGATTCTACATTCGATGGTACTTTATTTTCCTCCAAAAGTAACTACCATGTTTTACTTACTTCAAGATCTCTGAGCAGAGTTCTGCTTTCCCTACAGAATAGGATGAATCAGCCCTCTAATTTCTTTTTGCTATAATAGAGATGCCTTTCAACTCCCCCTCCTTTAGATTCAAAAGAAGTTCTCCTAAGGTCTCAGAGATACTGACACTACAGTTCCCTGGACACCTGTGCATCCTGAAGAAGTCAAAATACATTAGGATTAAAGTAATGTATTTCTGTAAGGATTCCTTTTCAACACTTATGAGAAATACAGCAACTACTATTACTTACTGACCTTATTCAACAGGTCTTGAATTTGACATTCTCAGTCTCAGTAAGTTAATGATCCATGCATGCTGTCCTGCTCATCACTGAGACAGGGGCTGGGCACAAAAAGGAGAGGGCATGAAGACACAGGTGTTCTGGCTTTGCAAGCAGCTAAGTAGGAATATTGCAGATGCTGGAGAGTTGTGACAATTCACTGTAAGTCCCAGGGTAAAAGCAGTGATTATAACATTAGCTAATAGTTATGGAGCACATAGTGTGTTCCAAGCTCTGGGTTAAGTGCTTTATACACACATAGCATAGTATGTGTGTATAAAGCATACTATCCTGAAAAGTAGATTTTGACTGAATTGCCTAGGTTTAAATATCAGCTGTATCCCGTTTAGTTGTGCAAACCTTAGCAAGTTATGTGACCTCTTGATGCCTCAATCTTTCCATCTGTAAAGCGGGAATCATAGCTGAACCTTCTTCAGACAGTTGCTACAAACAAATGAGCTAATACATGAGTTGAAATAGTGACTGGCACAGAGCAAGTTGAAAATGAATGTTAACTGTTATCATTATCCCACTTGATAATTTCAGTAAATTTAGGAAAAAGGTGTCATTACCATCCTTATTTTACAGCGAAGAAATCTGAGGTTCTGAGAAGTTGAATATCTTATTCAAGATCACTCAGATGATAAGTAGCAGAGTCAGAATTTAAACTCATTCCTGCCAGATTCGGAGGTACATTGTCTTAAACACATTGAAACAAGCAATTCAACTTCTGATAGCACAACACATTTCCCATGTGAAGACATAGCTGAATGATACTTCAAGTCTGGGGTGGTTCCGGGAATTCTGTTCAACAAAGCAGTGTGGTTTTCAAATTAGGCTGGCTAATTCAATTGCAAGGGAAAGAAGGTTTTAGAGTTTTATCCAGGTTCCTTGCTCTTCCTTTCAAGCCCTTCCCTTGAAATCCAAATTTAGAATATTTGGGGTGTGTTTAATGGCCTCCCATGTGATTCAAGTGACCTGCCAGGTTTAGAAAACTGCTGGGACTTTTGAATTTCTACAACTGTCTGAGGTGGAAGGTCTTGTGGGCTTCCCAGTCCAGCTTCCCACCCACGGCAGAAAGTCCTTGTATCTATGGCAGATATGCCTCCAGCTACCCACTCTGTCAGGTGTCTTCAGGAAAAGCCCTCTTTACATGAAATTATTCCCGCTTCCTAGAAGCTTCTACCCATTTTTCCCTCTGCTGAAAGGTCCATGAGCAAATCCATTTCCCCCTTACAGTCAGTCCCAGGTGCTGGTGAAATATCCTATGAAGTGGACCAGGGAACACTAATTCAGAGAGACACACAACACAGAAGCAGGCATATATATTTGTGTCCATTGTTCATGGTATGCACAATCTCTCTCATACACACACCCCTGAACTGTTCCCAAATCTCCAGGCAATTAACTGTCAATTTATGTCAAGTGTGACATCATCTCACAGCAGCCCTGTCTCACAGATTCCTCTGTTGTTTCTAAAACATCTCATTTTCCTCCCACATTCTCTTCTTGGTGCCAAGGAGTTTGCATCGTCTGGTTGCTCCCTTACTGGCAGTTGTAAATTCTGTCTTCCTGGAATCCAGGGAACTCAAAGGAAGTGGGCTTCACCATCAGGTCTTGACCCTTCAACCCTCCAAACTCAGACTATGACATATAAGTTCAGATCTCCTGAGGAGCAAATGCAAGTTAAAATTGAAGACCAATTATTATATTAGGGGAAACAGCCGGGTGAGAAAAAATGGGGACGAAGCTGGGAGGAGCGGGGAGAGCTATCAAACTGAGATGAAAATCTGACCTTGAGTGAAGGAGAGAGGAAAGGAAGGCTAAGTAAAAAGTGTTCTGGACTTCTCTGCAGTCTAAGAAAGGTCCTGCAAGGCCATATGGAAGCCCTGGAGCCAAGATCAGCTGTTGAATGAGTTTGAAGATTCCCAGAAACAGATTTGCCTTAGTATCCCTCCCTTGCTGAAGTCTTTGGTGAGGAAAGATAATAAAAACCATAGCGTCAGCCCAAATACTGTCATGGGCTTCAGAGTACAGCATCTGGGGTCACATGTCAGTCGTGTTCCCTGTGGTGGAGGCTCTGGGAGGCATATTCTCAGGGCCACCATGCTTAGCAAACGAAATAACTATGATTTAAAGGAGTATCCCTTTCACTCCGGTTCATGGGGGTATCCATCAAAGCTGTTTTATTTACTTCTTCTCACTGAAAGTTGACAGAAAGACTCTTCATCCCTCAATAAATACTGGGAAATGGAGGGAATATTAGGGCCATTTGTAGAAGGAAGCTCATCAGGACAAGGAACAGAATTAGTTATAGGATTGTGATGCGTTTACTTGTATTTGTGTGGAGTGCAGCCACAGGGAGACGACCTGCAACTACTAGGTTGGTGCAAAACTAATGGTGGTTTTTGCCATTACTTTCAATGGCAAATAGTTGGGGGGATAAGAATGCATTTCTCTGGGGATATGAGACTGGCCTGAAAATCAGAAAAAATCTTCCACATAGAACTGATAGTTGAAGCCATGCAAATGCAGCTTTGAACATGGAGGAATAGTCCCTAAGCCAAGGGATACAGGAAAAAGGCAAAAAAGCAGATTCTCCGCTATGGCTCTGCCGACACTTTAGATTTTTTAGGACTTCGGAGCTCCAGAAATGTATGATAATAAATTTGTGGTATTTTAAGTCACTAAGTTTGGGGTAATTTTTTAATACAACAATAGGAACCTAATACAGTTCTAAAAGCAGAATATTGGAAAATGTCAACTTGTAGATATTATTGGCATAAATAACATCTTATTATTTATAAGATAAGTATTATTTATAAAATAAGAAGAAATTCTTATTTTACAGAGCTTGTGAAATTGGTTTATATGAATTAATTCATATACCTTCCTACAAAGCATTATTATCTCCATTTTATAGTTGGGTAAACTGAGATTAATTTTTTTCCTAATAAATTGCCTAAGATCATACACTTATTAGCTAATAAGTGCTAAAACTAGAAGTTGATTCAGGGAAATATGGCTTCATATACCATGCTGTTAGAATGCTATACTTCCTGTTCCAGAATAGTCCAATGGCAAGCAACAGCATTCAGACAGCAAGGTTAAGAGTAGGGACTGAATGTTTTGCCATGGATACCTATTTCAAGGCTGGGGTAGGAAAGGAAGAAAGTCAACAGTGTTCGAAGCTGCAGAGATTGAGAAGCATACACTGTGAATGGTCATTAGGAAGCCACTGGTAGCTGTTGAAGGGCTTACGGGAGAAAATTGGGTAGAACATTCAAAAAGGAAGGCACAATGTTGCAGCAAAGGCTGAATGTGAGCATCCCATGTGAGGAGATGCATAGAAACATAAAAGCACTTGCAAGAAAGGTAGAAAATGGATTTTTTAAAATTTTATTTTATGGTGTTTTTCATGAATTTCTTTTCTGACCTAAAGAAGGAAGGAGAACACCTGAAGAAGATGGAGAAGAAAGAACCAAATGCTGGAACAGGCTCCTTGCCTGGACCAGCAGGGGAAGACTAGTTTAAAGGGTTAAGCCCTAACAAGGAAAGACTCTTTACCCCAGGAGGAGAGCAGAGGGGGCAAAATTGCTGTGGCAGGTGGAGAATGATGAGACATTCACAGAGAGCTGACTTGATTTACCACATCACCCTCCAAGGAGGGGGTCAAGGAGAGGGCTTCAAGACTGGAGATTCATGGTGAGACGGAAGAATTTGAAATTGGACTGCAGTGTGTGAGCTGGAGACCTGGGGAAAGGTGAATTGAGCATTCTTGAGGGAATACATTTATCAGGACACAAACTTTATTCACACAGGCTGATAATTAATTTAGTTTTGAGATATGCTGGTGAAACGGAAAGTGGAAGTTTATTACTATTGCCCTCCTTTTGAATAATTTTTTAATCACTAAGTGAAAGTTCATAAACAGCTCAATGGAAAATATTCCCATAGAAATGGAGTCCTTTTGGAAACCACCTAGAATGGGTATTTGTATGTATGCAGTCCAGTCGCAGGAGGCTGGGGCTCCTGATGCACCTGAGCTCCCTTTGTGCTGAAATGGCAAAATTTAGGGGATGAGAAAAAAGCAGCAGCATGTTTTGTCCTGGAGCACTAATTACAAAGCACCAGAAGGGTTTCAAGACACTCAATTAACAACGGGAGCAGCCAATAAGAACTTCCTGACATAGACACTTTAATAAATCATTGTTTCCTTTTGGCTCTCATGAATGCTCAGTCATGAAACAAACAGATATTTTCTTGACTGTGTTGAAAAATGAGGACCAGAGAAGACAAGGAGGTTCTTGGGGACAAAGGCAACCCCAAAAGGATACAGTTCACAGTTTGAGGGCTCTGACTCTGTATATGGTAGTTTGCTTGAAAATGTCACCAAAATCTTTAAAGTCTGTTTCTTCTACTAGAGAACACGGAGACCATAACTTATCTTCCTAGATTGTTGGGAGGATTGAAAGAGATGTTTGACTTAAGAGCTCCGCACAGTGTTACCATGAAATGAGCCTTCAAAAAAATCACATTTGCATTAGTTTTAAAGTACATTATTTGGTCCTCTAAAACTTATAATACTGTGTTGTGTTTAATCATCTTCAATCCACCATCTTGTGTACAGCTCTGGATAGATGAAAACCAGGCTGGATAGCTTCTGTTTACCCAGCTCCTCCCTTCACCACCTTTCTTTGGTCCCTGGAGATTGGTCTTTACGGACCCAGCCAAAGCACTCTGTGAGTCTCTAGTTTTGACCAACAGACAAAACTCATTACAGAGGGAAGGCAGGGAGAAAAGGAATCAGGTGTTTATCCTTGCTTCTTCCCTGCTGGGTCACTGAGGGCTGGCTGTATCTCTCAAAGGAAGGTCTCAGACACGTCAGGTGGCCTTCTGCACACACACCTCACTGTCTCCACTTCAGAGAGGGCTCCCTCCTCTCCTCTTAACCCTTCAGACCAGGGCAGATAACTGTCCCTGCCATCACTAGCCCCTGGGGGTGGTGCCATCCCTTGTGGTTTCCCTGTACTTCAACTATGCATTTATAAACTGCCCCTTTATAAAATATTCCATTAATGATTAAATTTCAGTGAGTCATCTATGGGCTGCTGCAAATCTTACTTAAACATGACCCAAGGAAGTGGCCCCAAACAATGCTAGTATTCCAAGATTTCCTAAAATGGTCTCCAAAGTCCAGTTTTTTCTAATGACTGTGCCACACTTTCCCCCTGCCAATTTTAGTGATAATCTGTTCTGATCTTATTGTTTTCCTCTTTCAAAAAAGCAAGGCAGGAAAAAGCTCACCACATACTCCTTGTTGGTCTGTGCATTTGTCTGTTCTCATCCTGCTAATAGAGACATACCTAAGACTGGGTAATTTATAAAGGAAAGAGGTTTAATTGACTCACAATTCTGCACGGCTTGGGAAGCCTCAGGAAACTATGATCATGGTGGAAGAGGAAGCAAACACATCCTTTTTCACATGGCAGCATCCAGGAGAAGTGCTGAGCAAAAGGGGGAAACGCCCTTTATAAAACCATCAGATCCCATGAGAATTCACAATCATGAAAACAGCATGAGGGTAACCACCCCCATGATCCAGTCGTCTCCCCCCACGTCCCTCCCACCACATGTAGGGATTACAGGAACTATAATTCAAGATGAAATTTGGATGAGGACACAGCCAAATCATATCACTCTGCCCCTACTCTCCAAAATCCCGTGTACTCACATTTCAAAAGACAATTCTGCCCTCCCAACAGTCCCCAAAAGTCATAACTCAGTCCAGCATTAACTGAAAACTCCAAGTCCATAGTCTCATCTGAGACGAGGCCTACAAGCCTGTAAAATCCAAAGCCAGTTAGATACTTCCCAGACACAATGGGGGTACAGGCATTGGATAAATACATCTGTTCCAAATGGGAGTAACTGGCCAAAACAAAGGAGCTACAGGCCCCATGCAAGTCTAGAATCCAATAGGGCAGTCATTAAACCTTAAAGTTCAAAAATAATCCCCTTTGACTTCATGTCTCACATCTAGGGCATGATGATGCTAGAGGTGGGCTCCCATGATCTTGGGCAGCTCCACCCCTGTGGCTTTGCAGGGTACAACCCCCCTCCCGGCTGCTTTCATGGCTAGCTTTGAGTGTCTGTGGCTTTTCCAGGTGCATGGTGGTGCAAGCTGTCGGTGGAGCTACCATTTTGGGGTATGGAGGATGGTGACCCTCTTCTCACAGCTCCACTAAGCAGTGCCCCAGTGGGGACTCTGTGTGGGGGCTCCAACCCCATATTTCCCTTCTGCACTGCTCTAGCAGAGGTTCTCCATGAGTGTTCTGTCCCTGCAGCAAACTTCTGCCTGGACATCACGTGTTTCCACACATCCTCTGAAATCTAGACAGAGGTTCCCAAACCTCAATTACTGACTTCTGTGTACCTGCAGGCTCAACACTATGTGGAAGCTGCCAAGGCTTGGGGCTTGCACCCACCGAAGCCACAACCTGAGCTGTACCTTGGCCTCTTTTAGCTATGGCTGTAGTGGCTGGGACACAGGGCACCAAGTTCCCATGCTGCACAAAGCAGGGGAGACTTGGGCCTGGCCCACAAAGCCATTTTTTCCTCCAAGGCCTCCAGGCCTGCAATGGGAGGGGCTGCCATGAAGACCCCTGACATGCCCTGGAGACATTTTCCCTGTTGTCTTGGTGATTAATATTTTGCTCCTCATTACTGATGCAAATTTCTGCAACAGCCTTGAATTTCTCCCCATAAAATAGGTTTTTCTTTTCTATTGCATTGTCAGGCTACAAATTTTCTGAACTTTTATGTTCTGCTTCCCTTTTAAACATAAGTTCCAATTCCAAACCATGTCTTTATGAATACATAAAACTGAATACTTTTAACAGCACCCAAGCCACCTCTTGAAGGCTCTGCTGCTTGGAGATTTATTCTGCCAGATACCCTAAATCATCTCTCTCCAGTTCAAAGTGCCAGAGATCTCTAGGGCAGGGGAAAATGCCACCAGTCCCTGTGCTAAAACATAACGAGAGTCACCTTTGCTCCAGTTTCCAACAAGTTCCTCATCTTCATTTGAGACCACCCCAACTTGGACTTCATTGTCCATATCACTATCAGCATTTTGGTCAAAGACATTCAACAAATCTCTAGGAAGTTCTAAACTCCCACATCTTCCTGTCTTCTGAGCCTTCCAGGTCTCTAGGAAGTTCCAAAATTGCCCACATTTTCCTGTCTTCTTCTGAGCCCTCCAAACTGTTCCTACCTCTGCCTGTTACCCAGTTCCAAAGTCACTTCCACATTTTTGGGTATCTTTAGAGCAGCACCCTGCTCCCTCAGAACCAATTTGCTGTATTAGTCCATTTTTATGCTGCTAATAAAGACATACCTGAGACTGGGTAATTTATAAAGGAAAGAGGTTCAATTGACTCACGGTTCTGCAGGTCTGGGAGTTCTCAGGAAATTTACAATCATGGTGGATGGGGAAACAAACATGTCCTTCTTCACATGGTGGCAGCAAGGGGAAGTGCCAAGCAAAAGGGGGAAAAGCCCCATATAAAACCATCACATCTCGTGAGAACTCACTCATAATTAAATTACCTCCCACTAGGTTCCTCCCATTACACGTGGGGATTATGGGAACTACAATTCAAGATGAGATTTGGGTGGGGACACAGCCAAACCATATCAGTGTGCATGTGGGTGACTTAATGCTGATGGTAAAATGACTACTAAGCTTCTGGTTAATACCCTGGCCCTCACTGTGCCTCCCAGGGCTGAGGGTTGGCTGCCTTACTCATCCCAGTGTTGTCCAGCTCTGCAGCCCACAAAGGACACTGGGTCCATGCTGGAACTCTCTAGCAATCCCAGAGAGAGCAGGGCCAAGGGCAATTCAAAATGGAGCTCAATTTTGGGAACTTAGGAGCCACATTGGTGTGGAAGCCTTTAGCATAAATTTGTAAAGTGTATTCCAGAGGTATATTTAGTTGTTTTAAAAATTCTATAAGAGGAAATATATAGCTTTTGTTTTCGTTTTCCTAGCACCATTTGTTGGGGGTGATTAGACTGTGTATAATAGACAGGACAAAGCCAGACTGATGGACCAAGAGTTCCAGGCCCTCTCCTCAGAACAAGCCATTGTCTTTTGTCAACTGGAGAAGATGTCATCATCCCCTTCCCGCAACTCACCAAATGCAGCCCGGCCTGAGCAACAGAAATGCCAACTCCGAGTACCACCTGGCTAGCTAGCTGAGTTCCAGGCAGAATAATGTGTTCACAAATCAAACTCTTGCTTAGTGCATTTTCGTGCTCAGCACTGTGCTTGGTTTTGGGAGTAAAAGAAACTCAACAGCCCTATTTGGGAGTCTGAACCCCTCAGTGCCAATCTCACCTACATTCTCCACCATTTGCACATCTGCAAGCAAGTCTCAATCTCCTCCTGCCTCAGTTTCTACAGTTGTAAAATGGGTATCTGGGGCTGTCTTGAGGCATAATTTATCTAATGCACATGGAGCACTTAGCACAGGGACAGACTAAATGACCAACAATTATTATTTTAATCTATGATGAGGATAACTGGAAAAGCATCTAAGATGGAAAAGCATGAGGATAACTGGAAAAGCGCCTGGAGCTCCAGCACAGTGAAGAAAAAGGACATAGGAATCCACCGTTACAGTTGAGTGAGATACATTCTCTAATAAAGGTAGGAAGAGGGAGGCATAGGACACCAAGCAAGAAGAATCGGCCCCCACCTGGGCACGTCAAAGAAGGCTTCAGAGGCCCAGGAAGTGGAGCTGGTGTTTGTTAACTTCTTCAGAGCCCCAGCCCTTCAAAAGCCCAGGCCCCCTGGTGTACCCACTCTGGAGTTCCTGTCTAATGAAGAGTCTTTGACTGTCTCCTGAGTCATCTCCTTTTTAACTCTCCACAAATCTTATCTTGAAAAATACTTTTCTTGTCTCCCTCGTCAATGCCTTTGCATTTCTTCTTTGCTTTGTTACTGGCCTTCTGACCAGGGGCTTTCATCTCTTCACAACACAGAATCCTTACCGTGCTGTTTTCCGTCGTTTATGCAATCCCTGTTATTCTCTCCCTTCATGCATTATTTAGTCCTGGAAAGTGCTGGGGGAGAGCGCTTGGAGGAGAGATGTCAGTAAAATAAGTTGTATTCAACTGCATTATGCTGTTAAAAGCCCTAAAAGGAAACCCCCATTTTTCAGGGATGGGGGTATAGACAAGGGCAATGGTTAAGGAGGGGAAGATCTCCTTGAAAATAATATATAAAGGCCTTTGCATATAAATATGTGGAAACTGATTGCAATACATTATTCTCCAGATAGAAGAGCAAGGTCAGCAATGGATCCTGCAGATTACAAGAAAAATCCAATTTTCTTGGAGTTGAGGAATGTAAGAAACTGTAATTATTATTACAATTATTGTGCTAATGAAAATAGTATCATTACGATGATTATTTGTTGGGTGCCAACTCTATACCATTCACTGTATTAGGGGCTTTGCATGCATGATCTCATGTAAGCCACATGGCAGTCCTATGAGCAGATAGTATTATTATCCCTGTCACAGGGAGAAGGATGCCAAGGATCAGAGAGGTTAAGAGCATGCCTAGGGTCACACGGCAGCTGCAGAACTGTGACTGACACCCAGGCCTGACTACGACTGTGACCCCACACTGCCTGCCACTGTCTGGGGCCCTCTCTTCCATGGAGTCCACACAGCCCTGTGTCCTCACAAGGCGCACGGGTTTTGTCTCCACTTACTCTCCATGTAGCCCCTTGGGAGCCTTATCTCTGCTTTCCTAATGATTTGTGCATCCTCTCCCAAAGACCAGACCATCCAACCACAGCAGCCAGGGCCCCAAGGCCATCCCCCATCTCACCTCAACCACCCTACTTTATTGGAAGGAATTCTGACTCTTTATTCAAGACTTGTTTATGCTTTATACCCATCGGACTGAAAGAAATCAGAAAGACGAGTTGGGCCAAGTGATGCCGAGGGTGTGCAGACGTGAGGACTTCATGTGCGGCTATCAGAAATGTGGGCCTGGACAGCCATTCTGAGACTGACCCAGCGCCATTACAGTCAAAGTCAGTCTGGGCGTAGTTTATGTGTGGGCATCCTGCGGCCGCTGTAACAAATCCCCAGGAACTTAATGGCTTAAAGCAACACAAATGTATTATTTTATAGTCCTTGAGGTCAAAAGTCTGACATGGAGACTCTTGAAGGCTCTAGGGACAAATCTGCTTCCTTTTCTTTTACATGTTCTACATGCTGCCCACTTTCCTTGACTCCTGGCCCCTTCCTCTATCTTCAAAGACAGCAATAGAGCATCTTTAAATCTCTCTCCAACTCTGGATCTTCTGCCTCCTCCTTTTTCTGATAAGGACCCTTGTGATTATACTGGGCCCACTTACATCGTCCAACATGATCTCTCAATCTCAAAAATTTTAATCTAATTACATCTGCAAAGTCCCTTTTGCCACCCAAGGTCACATATTTGCAGTTTCTAGGTATTAGAATGTGGATATCATTGGGGTCATTATTCTGCCTGTCATACCTGTGATCCAGAAATTCCATTTCTGGGCAAATATAAGCCAAGGAACCTTTTACACCCATCTGCATGTGAATCGTAAAGGGTATTGCTGCAGTTATTCAGGGTGTTGGGAACCAGAGACAATGTGGGCATTCTACATGGAGACAATGGAAAAGTGAAGGATGTGGAAGATGCAAGGACACACAGTGAATGGAAATAACAGCCTGGATGTTTGCACCCTGACATGAATGCATCTTACAAAGAAAGCTTAGGCCGGGCATGGTGGCTCACGCCTGTAATCCTAGCACTTTGTGAGGCCGAGGTGGGAGCATCACTTGAGGTCAGGAGTTCAAAATCAGCCTGGCCAACGTGCTGAAACCCTGTCTCTACTGAAAATACAAAAACAAACAAACAAAACAGTTGGCTGGGCATGGTAGTGGGTGCCCGTAATCCCAGGGATTACTTGGGAGGCTGAGGCAGGAGAATCGCTAGAACCGGGGAGGCAGAGGTTGCAGTGAGCTATCACACCACTGCACTCCAGCCTGGACAACAGTGGGTAACTCTGTTTCAAAAAAAACCAAAAACCAAAAATGCTTAGAGAGGGAAAGCAAAAAATAAGGTGTGTGAGTATGTGACACAGGATCATTTACATCAATGAAACAGCTGAGTACAAAACTGCAACATGCATTTTGTATGACTACTGTATAAGCAAAAAGACATATTTGTGCACCTTGTTGATGGCTGCCTAGGAGACTAGAAAAGGAAATGTCATGGGATAGAAGAATAAAAAGAAATAAAAATAAGTCTTGTTCAAATATCATCCCTTCAGTGAAGCCATCCTTGACCCGCTGCAGCCTCCAGGTGGAGGGGCACAGTTCAGTGAGGGCAGGTCTTTAACAGGATTCTTGCACACTGTCTTGTGTTGGTTTGTTTACATTTCTAGCTTTACCGTGAGCGCCTTGAAAGTAGGGACTACACCTTGTTTTCCTTTGTATCTTTCAAGAGCAGCACAATGCCTGCCTCACAGTAGGTGCCTAATATGTGTTTTGTTAAATTGAACAGTGAACAGTGGGAAAACAAGACATCTGGAGCGGGTGTCTCATATGAGCTGACACTTAGAAAAATTTCTAAGGACACCCAAACAGGCTTTAAAGCTATGTTTGGAACAGAAAGTTGAATCGTAAAGCCTGATTCTTGCAGGTGAGCAAAGGAGAAGGACGGCAAAGAGGAGGGATGCAGACCGTCTGAGCATCTGCTCTGCTTCAAACTTCTCCAGACAAAATGCCAAGAAAAATGAGCATCAGAATGAAAATGCAGAGTGAACGTTGGTAGAAGGGAAGAGAAACCCCAAGTTGGGGAAAGAGATTGTAAGACAGCATTTAATTGTTCTAAATAAATCCAATCCAGAAGAGTGGCAGAAATGCTGAGACAGAGGATAGAAAGTATCTCCAACTATTTCAAAAAGTGGCAGTAAATTCTGAGATTCTGTAACGAGACTGACATTGTTCTGGGTCGAGACTCCAGAACAAATCATTAAAGTAATGGTTTTGAACACTTTAAAAAAATAAAGTGGTGATTCTTTAGACGCCTACGAGGGTTCATTAAAATCAGGTTGTGCCTGAGTGACCTGGTTTCCTTCATGGACCTTAAATGGTAAAAAGGTAGAGACCTGCAGCAGATATTTTGTACAGATTTCAGCTAAGAGCTTGACAAGCTCTTTCTCAGTGGTTGTAAACACAAGGCTGATTCTTGCTTTGACAACCAGTTCAGTTATCATACCCAAATGGCTTGGATTCATGGAATGGTGCCAATCTACCACACATAATATTAAAAACAGCTACTATGTGTTAAATGCTTACCACGTGACAGGCACTATCCTTGGCAATTCACATGGAGTTATGCATTTTCCGTCCCAGCTACCATAGGATGGAAGTGCTGTTACTACTGCACTTTGCATGTGAGGGAAGTGAGGTACTCACAGCTGAAATAACCTCCCCAGGTCCCAAGGCTAGCAACAACTTGCTCTGGAGACTCAGCTAATGCAGTATGTTTTTCGGCTAAAGAAGAGATGAGATGCTGGGCTGTGTGACTTTCAAAATGGGACTCAGAAATACAAGAGCCTCTGCAGAAATGGAATGAACAAAAGGAAATGTTTTCTCTTGTCTTACCTTTCAATCATTCCCTGCTTCTCACCCAAACACAGCTCTCACACCCAGACTCTCCACTGAATATTATGCTTGGTCTGCCCAGGCCGTTTCTCTATAGTAGATTTCTGTCATAGGGTCCTCCTCAGGGACTGTTTTCCTCCATTCTATTGATCTGTTTCCCACATGGTTTTAACCCCTGGTCCTGCTCTGTGCCTAATCAGTGTCCCCAAATTTCAATTTTGGGATTTAGCCTCACCCTACACTGCTTCACTTGGGTAGACTCTCTTCTGATAAAAATCCATCTGTACATATCTGGCACATCTGTGCAAGTCGCTGTGAAATACAAATAAGCTTATGGCAGGGCCCAGCAATAATGGGACTTCCTGGGCTAGAGGGTTAGTGCCTCAAGTAGCTGAAGAGGCTCCCCACACAGGTCATCCTCCTCTGAGCAGAGTAATCGCTGCAAACAAGGGTACAGGCCATGCAGAATCCGTCCCTGCAAGTCTGGGATTCAAAAGATACTTCCCCCCTCAAATAGGATCAGGAAAAGGTAGCATTTAAGGGGCACAGGCAGTTAAGGGGAAACAATCCAATGAACTTAAATGTTTGTGTTTTTTTACATTTAATTCTTACCTAAACAGACTTATCTATTTGGTACCATACTACGACTAGAAAGAAACCATTTGAATTCAAGGTTGAATTTGGGAAGAGTTTATATCAGAACTACACCCAGCCATCTTGTCATTTAACGCACACTAGTTGAACACCTTATAGAAACAACATGGTGAACTGGATGATGTCCAGAGTTTGTAGCCAGAGGTCTGGGTTAGATGCCTATTCTTCGATGCACTTGGTAGATGGCCATAATCTCTCTGCCCTGCACTTCTTACTTTTAAAATACAGGTGATGATACACATCTCACAGGGTTGTTGGAAACCTTATGCTTTGCTGTCCTAGGAACAGACCTTGCAACAAGGATTCAAGTGTGCGGGGTTGATGTGGAAGGTGATGGGAGCACTACATGAGAATAAGAGAACAGGAATGAGAGTGACAGTGAGAATAGGAAATGAGATAAGGCAGGGAAAGCAGCCAACAAAACGGCTGTTATCAAATCAGCTGTCAATGTGGATAACTAGAACTGAATCCTGCTGGTGAGTTATGGAAGCCAGTTTAAAACATAAGCCTTAGAGTCATCGCATTCGAAGGGTGAGGGAGTTGGGGTATTTATGCACCTGCTCCTGCTGGTCTTTGGTTGAGGCCTGGCTGTTCTCAGAATGTGTTTGTTCTTCTGCAAGTAAATTAGGCCAGTATGCCCCAGAATGGTAAAAGGAAAGGATATAGGTGGAGCACCTACAGTGTCTGCTATGGATTTTGCAACCTAGTCTATGTGAAACCTTTTAAACATTTATTTGTACATTCAACAAATATTTTAAATGTGCCTGCACTCTGAGTAAGTACTGAAGCACTGGGCATTGGAAGGTAAAAAAGTGCTCTTGCAATAATTTTAATAAAATTTCAAAGGTAAAACAAGTCATTATAGTCATTATAGTTAATACTAATGAATGCTCTAATAGGGAAATAATAGAGGGGACTTTGGTAAATACAGCACTGGAACTTAATCTATTATGCAGATCAAGGAGCTCTGCCTTACACTCAAACAGGTAAGGTTTAAGCTGAGCCCTTAAGAATATGCACTGGCACTTTGGGAGGCCGAGGCGGGTGGATCATGAGGTCAGGAGATTGAGACCATCCTGGCTAACAAGGTGAAACCCCGTCTCTACTAAAAATACAAAAAATTAGCCGGGCGCGGTGGCGGGCGCCTGTAGTCCCAGCTACTCGGGAGGCTGAGGCAGGAGAATGGCGTGAACCCGGGAAGTGGAGCTTGCAGTGAGCCGAGATTGCGCCACTGCAGTCCGCAGTCCGGCCTGGGCGACAGAGCGAGACTCCGTCTCAAAAAAAAAAAAAAAAAAAAAAAAAAAAGAATATGCACTGTTCACAATAGCAAAGACTTGAAACCAACCCAAATGCCCATCAATGATAGACTGGATAAAGAAAATGTGGCACATATATACCAGGGAATACTATGCAGCCATAAAAAAGGATGAGTTCCTGTCTTTTGCAGGATCACGGATGTAGCTGGAAACCAACATTCTCAGCAAACTAACACAAGAACAGAAAACCAAATACCACATGTTCTCATTCCTGAGTGGGAGGTGAACGATAAGAACACAAGGAAACAGGGAGGGAAACACCACACTGTCGATGGGTAGGGGTCTAGGGGAGGGATAGCATTAGGAGAAATACCTAATGTAGATGACGGATTGACAGATGCAGCAAACCACCATAGCACGTGTATACCTACGTAAGAAACCTACAAGTTCTGCACACGTACCCCAGAACTTAAAGTATAATAAAAAAAAAAAGAGAAATACTAAATGGAGGATTAAGAAAGGTGTAGAAATGGACTTTCTGACAAAATAATAAAATATGCCTTATTAGGAAGACGTTTCCTGGAGAGAAGAGTTTGCTAGCCATCTTGTTTTTGGCTGTGGCAGTCCATTCCTTCACCTGGAAGGCTCTTGAAGAACTAAAGAAAAATTTAAAAATATATTGTGCACGGACTAGCCTGATTCTCCTCAACCAGGGGTAATTTTACGATGTCCGGAGACATTTTGATTGTCATGACTGCAGTGCTGCTAGTGGTATCCAGTGTGTAGAGGCCAGGCATGCTGCTAACATTCTATAATGTACTCCCTCACAACAAAAGATTACCTAGTTCAAATTGTCAATATTGCCCAGGTTGAGAAACTATGGGCTAGCCCCATCATCTTTCCACTCTTCCAGAGAGAAGCTAGAAAGCTGCTTAAAAAAAAAAAAAAAAAAAGAATATGCAGAAAATAGCCAGAGAAAATGAGGGATTTCCTAAGGCAGGTATTCAGCTAATAGGAAGACCTTGAGGTGGGAGAGATCAGGGGTCAGGAAATTATAGCCCTAGGGTAAAATTCAGCCCCACGTCTATTTATATGAATAAAGTTCTATTGAAACACAGCCACATTCATTCTTTTATGTATCGTGTATAGGGCCATTAGATATACAGTAGCAGAGTTTACTAGTTATAAGAGAAACTATATCACCTACAAAGCCTACCTGGCCCTTTGCAGGAAAGTTTGCTGGCCTTTGGTTTACACAATGACCTAGATATCGATTCTAACACATTTTTAAATAATTAAAAATGTTTATTATTTCTTTTTCGTTTGAGAGAGAGTCTCATTCTGTTGCCCAGGCTGGAGTGCAGTGATGCGATCTTGGCTTACTGCAACTTCTGCCTCCAGGGTTCAAGCGATTCTCCTGCCTCAGCCTCCTGAGCAGCTGGGATTACCATGCCCAACTAATTTTTGTATATTTTGTAGAGATGGGGTTTTTCCATGTTGTCCAGGCTTGTCTTGAACTCTTGAGCTCAAGCAATCATCCCCACTCAGCCTCCCAAACTGCTGGGATTACAGGCGTGAGCCACTACACCCAGCCTTATTATTACTTAACACAGATATATGTAAAAACCCATTTGTGAAAGGCTCACAGCCTATTGAGGGGAACGGAGTGTCAAAAATAGTTATAACACCATATGACTGATGCTAGAACAAAAGCCTATACCAGGGCTTCTAGAGCTGCCAAGAAGAGAATAATTCATCCTGCCTGGGTGGGGCAGGGAGGATGGCTTCACAGAAGGAGAGATGGGTCTTGGAATCTAAATCCATGTTTTCAGGATAGTGGAGGGAATTACACTGCAGTGTGTTAAAAAGTGGAGAGAAACCAAAAAGCATGAAGTGTTCAGGAAAGATTTCAGTTTACCTCCCTTATGTCTCCAAGCCGCTGGCAGGGCCATGAGTATGCTTCTTAGGAGAACTGTCACTTAACCCCCTTCATCCCTACTACCAGCTTTTAAAAAAATTCTTATTTCAAGAGTTAGTCAGCAAAAACAGACAGTAACTGGACCACTAGGTCTGAGGCCTTCTTGGAAAATTACACATTTTCTAGATAAAGGATTCAGGACATGAAGGTGGAAGGTGGCAGATTTTAAGTGAAGCAATAAAAGTTGACGTGCTAGGATACTTGAATATAAAAACTGCATGTTAGGCTTCCCACTGGACAAACGGTGGACAATTGGCGCACAAGAATAAATAAGGGTAGCAACAGATTGTTACCCTACAGAATAAAAAAAGAACCCATAAAACCATAGTAATGAAACTTTTAAAATTGGAAATAAATTCTTAAGTTGGGGGGAGCTTTTCCTTAAAATAGAATGCCAACAAATAAATGTAGAAGGACTCATGCCATTAGAGAATCGCCATTTGGTAACCATAATGGTAAAATATTTTTTGGTGGGGCAGGAGGGCAAAAATTATCAAAGAAGCCTAGAATCAGTGGGTGAAAATATGAAAAGAAACAAGGTATTTGTGTAGTCTGGAAATATCTCCTTCCAAGACCCTTGTTAGTTACAAAGGAGGAAAAATTAAGTTTATATAGGAGAAACCTGGCAGACACCACCCTCTGTAAGTGGTCCAAGTTAATGTCACCAGTAAGGACACAAAAGCCTGCTACATGCTGCCTGATACAAAGCACTGTGAAGGACACAATACTGCCATGAGGTTCTTGCCACAAATGCAACAACTGCCGGAACCAACTGTGAAAGCAGGCTGGGGGGGTCTCTGTTCTCCGACCTGGCTTTCCAGTGGCCTTGCCATCACTCCAGTAGGAGCGTGAGTTCAAGGACTTCAGAAGTAAGGCAGGAAAATGCTGTTCCTGTGGGCTTCCCACGCCAAGGGGAAATGGGCACTTAATGCATTTCACTAACACATACAGAGTAATCACTTAGCTTTAGGGACTGCTTACTGAGAATTGTACTAGGTGTTGAGGATTCAGCGGGCGCAAATACGAACCAGGTATGAGCTCAGTCCCCAGGGAGCATACACCCTAATGGGGAAGTCAGTTTTAAAAAAATCATTATAGAATTTGTTATACAATTCAAGTTGTGATTAGAGCTATAAAGGGAGGGCAGACTATGAGAAAATGTAAGAGGAAAGAGAATCACCTAAAATGTGGAGGTAGAGGGGAGTTTGTGAGGATGTGATGGGGTAAAGCCATGGGGGTGGGGGTGGCAGAGATTATTTAGGTGTTGACATAGGAAGTTCCTTGCTTGTACTTTCTTTCCAGCTGTTTCTTTAACCTGGATCTAATCATGGGAGACACCGAACAAACTAACCAACCTATAATCTTCAACTATGTCATGGTCACGAAAGACAGAACAAAGATGAAGAACTTTTCCAGATTAAAGGAACCTAAAGAGACATGAGATCTGAGGCAATATTAAATCCTGGATTAGATCCTGGGCCAAAATATTTTCTTTTGCAATAAAAAAACATTAGTGCGGTAATTGGATAAATCCAAATTAAGTGTGTTGATTAGATAATTTTTAATAGCGTTAATTTGCTGATTTGATCATTGTTCTGTGATTCTATGAGAGAGAAAAAACATCCTTGTTTTTGGGAAATATCACACTGAAGATGAGGGGAAAAGGGGCATCGAGTCTGCAATTTTCTCTTCAATAGTTGGGGGAGGGAGGAATCATTAAGTAAATGTGATAATATGTTAACATTTGAAAAATTTGAACTAAAAATATAAAGGAATTACCTACATTCTTTTTGCAACTTTCCTGTAAGTCTGAATTCATTTCAAAATAAAAGGTTAAAAATAAAATCCCTGTGTATTATAAAAGACAGATTTCCAGAACAAAGGCTCTAGAATCAGAGCAATCTGGATCGGAATGTTTGAGCCCAGATTGACTGGCAGTGATGAACTCAGATATGTTATTTAGCATCTCTGAGCCTCAGTTTTCTCATTAATAAAATAGGAAAAATAGGCCAGGCGCGCTGGCTCACGCCTGTAATCCCAACACTTTGGGAGGCGGAGGTGGGCGGATCACGAGGTCAGGAAATCGAGACCATCCTAGCCAACAGTGAAACCCCATCTCTACTAAAAATACAAAAAAATTAGCTGGGCGTGGTGGCGGGCGCCTGTAGTCCCAGCTACTCGGGAGGCTGAGGCAGGAGAATGGCGTCAACCCGGGAGGCGGAGGTTGCCATGGGCCGAGATCGCACCACTGCACTCCAGCCTGGGCGACAGACCGAGTCTTTGTCTCAAACAAACAAACAAACAAACAAAAATAGGAAAAATAGTATCTACTTCTCAGGTTGATGTAAAGACAACGTAGTTACTATGAGGAAAATTTTACACAGGGCTGCACAATGCCTGAGCCTGCCTGCCAAGGTACCTCTGAGGCTAGCCAAGACGCTTGGTCAACTCGTTGACTGATTGGCTGACAGGGATATTTTCATGCCCTGAATTACTCAGGCTTTACATGTGCACTTTTTCTCCACTGGGCAGCTATGCTACCAGATTGCAACTTTGTCTTTAAAGTACTCCTCCATATGGGTGTGATGTATGTAAGGAAGACAATGTAAACCAGTGGGCTAATACTCCAAAACAGGTTTTTAAAATAAAATAAAGTTTACTGGCCGGGAGCAGTGGCTCATGCCTGTAATCCCAGCACTTTGGGAGACTGAGGCTGGCAGATCACTTGAGGTCAGTAGTTTGAGACCAGCCTGGCCAACACGGTGAAACCCCGTCACTACTAAAAATTTAAAAAATAATACTGGCCATGGCAGGAGAATCCCTTGAACCTGGAAGTAGAGGTTGCAGTGAGCCAAGATCACACCACTGTACTCCAGCTTGGGTGGCAGAGTGAGACTGCATCTCAAAATAAATGAATAAATAAATGAATAAATAAATTCACTTATCAGTATTCAATTATAAATGCTAAATAAGTTTGCAATGGAATATTTGAAAAATAAAATTAGAAGAAACGTACATTGATAGTCTCATCCAAAGATTAAATCACAAGAAAAATACTCCATAGAAAACTTAAATGAGAATAAAACCAAACTAAAAATTTTGCATCTTTGTCTCCTCCATAGGGGCTCCTTGTTCAGCTCCAAGCTCAGAAGAGCATTCTCTTTGCTAGCTCAGTTCCCAGGCTTTGGAGAGATCGTGTGGGGAGGGAAGAAGCAAAGTATTAGTAAAAAGACAAGGAGTACTTTCTGGTGGGAAAACGAGACGGGTGAGGGGTTTGGGCTGGAAGCAGAAGTGGGATGAGAGAAACTGCAGAGGGAATGTGAGACAACAGTATTCCTGGTTAGAGAGTGGATCAGTTTTAACATTTTTGAAGAAAGGGGAGCTACTTTTTATTTACTTTGAAGTCTCAGACTGCTTTCTTTGACAGTACTCAGCGATTGCTAAACTTACATCACCTGGTGCTTCCACCTTCCTTCTTAGCTCCCAGTGGGGTGATATTCTTGGAGGATAATCAAGAAGGACTTCTGGCCCCTGCCAACCATTCCCCTATATCCTCGGCTAATTCACTAAAAGTTAGTGCCACCATGTCCTAACCAGGACAGCAACAAGGAAGAAAAAAACCCAGGATCAGTCATTTCGACAGGACTGGATTCAGTAAAATTTGGCTGGGAAAAGATATTTTTCCTGTCGGATATATTTTATAACTGTAGGTTATATTTTACTTTTTAAAATGCACAGCTTCTAAATTACACTGGCTACACCTGACCTCTATTAACCACTGGAAGCTTTACATATATTTTCTCAGTCCCTTTATGAAGAAGTGTTATAAGTTGGTTTCTTTCTTTTATTTCAAATAAGGAGAATGATGTTGATAAAGCTCACCCACTTAAATCCACGTGGCGGATGGAAACAAGCCATGGCCTTTATTAATAAAGAAAACCTGTGTGGCCCTTATCCAATGTGGACAATTATCTCCTCTTTCTCTTTACTTCTCCCTGGAGGTTTAATGGGCTAAGCCGCTGTCTGCTTTTTAAGAGGGCTACCTGCTGTCACAGAATCCCCAACTGTTATCACCGAAGTACATTGGTGGTGTTTTGAGATGTCGTGTACTTGATATTTTCCTTTTCAGTCTAGTAAGCCCTTTGGGATCTTTCAAGATAAAACCACTTCATAAATGTAGCTGTATTACAGAGTAAAATGCTTTACAGGGGACTTCAAGGAAATTACATCAGCCTATGCCTCTCTTTTATGGAGCTCCACCATTGAGATTGTTTTATTAATACAGAGCAGGCCCATTATGGATTTATGAGATCTCAGTGATCTCCACTCCTTTTTCTCTTTGGCGTGTGCTCCTGTTCCAGCGTCTGAGGGTCATACTGTACAAATCCAGAGTCACGGCATTGTGCACACAAAGCGACTCGGGAGGTCTCAAAAGCCCGCAGCTCCACCGGGCACTGGTGTTCCCTGTGTGAACAGCGGTGTGTGGGACTCCCACAAAGGAGTCACTGATGTTGCACTGCTGAGTCCAACTGTGAGAGCAGGCTGGGGGTCTCTATTCTCCGACCTGGCTTTCCGGTGCCCTTGCCATTGCTCCCGTAGGATCATGAGTATGAGGGCTTCAGAAGTCAGGCAGGAAAATGCTGTTCCCCTGGGCTTCCCGTGCCAAGGGGAAATGGGTACTTCATGCATGTCACTAACACATGCAGAGTAATCATCCAGCTTTATGGACTGCTTACTGTACACTGGGAATTGTAACAGGTGTTGAGGATTTAGGGGGGAAATACGAAGCAGATATGCGCTCTCTCCCCATGGAGCATACTTCCTAATGGGGAAGTCAGGTTTAAGTAAATCATTACAGAATGAGTTATATAATGACAGTTATATAAGGGGAAGACAGACTATGGGAAAATGTAAGAGGAAACAGAGTCACTTAAAAAGTGGAGTTAGAGGGGAGTGTGTGAGGATGTGATACGGTGAAACCATAGGACGTAGGGGACAGGGATCATGTAAGAGGTATTGAGAAAGGACGTTCCTTGCTGGTACTTTCTTTCCAGTTATTTCTTTTCTTTTCTTTGAGACAGAGTTTCACTCTTGTTGCCCAGGCTGGAGTGCAATGGTGCATTCTTGGTCCACCACAACTTCTGCCTCTCAGGTTCAAGCGATTCTTCTGCCTCAGCCTCCCTAGTAGCTGGGATTACAGGTGCCCACCACCACACCTGGCAATTTTTTTTTTTTTTGTATTTTTAGTAGAGATGGGGTTTCACCATGTTGGCCAGGCTGGTCTTCAACTCCTGACCTCAGGTGATCTGCCCGCCTCAGCCTCCCAAACTGCTGGGATTACAGGTGTGAGCCACCACACCTGGCCTGTTTCTTTAACACCATACATGTTGGTTAAACGGATAAAGATCAGGAAGTTTTAGGTGTTACTAGAAAAATATACAAATGATCATTTGTTAATTACAAATAACTTTTACAAAAGGAAGAAAAATAATTACACCTTTTACTAAATTATTATTTTGCTTATATATCATTTCCCTAATCTAATTTTTTTAAAGATATGTGTCTTGGGTTCTAGGTCATTAGTGACCATTAGTAAATGAAATTATTAAAAGTTTAAGTTTGTTTCTATTTCACACGTCTTGCTTTTCACAGCGAATCAAGCTCATTACTGTTACAAGATACTGACACCTTGAGATCTGAAAAACCAAAAAATTTAATGAAACAACCAGTTTTCAGAAATGAAATGTCGACAGAAGAATCATCACTGGATGTGTTGCTTGGCCTTCATGACTTCCCTGCCCTGGCCAGGGGTTCAGAGTTTCACCCGCATCTTTGTCAGATTCTCTTCTAGACCTTCCTACTCCCACTCCCGTCTGTCTTCAGCCTTATGAGTTGCATGCATCCTATCCCTTCTCATGGACCCCATCTCTCCTAATGTGCTTTGTTGAATTTTGCAAACAAAGGCACAGGCATCTGATCGGTTTCCTATTGCTGCCATACCAAATTACTACAAACCTTGTGGCAAAAAAACAATAGGGATTTATTCTCTCATACCTCTGGAGGCCAGAAGACCTAAATCAAGGTGTCAGCAGGGCCACGCTTTTTTGGAAGTCTCTAAAAAAGGATCCTTCCTTGCTTCATCCACCTCCTGGTGGCTCTGGGAATCCTTGGCTTGGGGCCATATTGCTGTAATTTCTGCCTCTATGGTTATATCACCCTCTCCCCTGTGTATCTGTTTTCCTCTATGACTCTTACAAGGCCACTTGAAATTCAATTTAGGATACGCTCAGATAATTCAGGATTATTTGATCTCAAGACCCCCAACTTAATTACCTCTGCAAAGACTCTTTTGCCAAATAAGCTCACATTCACTGGCTCCTGGGATTTGACATGGGTGTCTTCCAGTGGGCCACATGTCATAGCATCTATGTTATTTTACCATGGATTTACATCCAGGTAACTGGTGTTTCCCATGGCATCCATAAGCCTAGGGTTTCTCCACCTTGGCACTATCGATGTTTGGGGCCAGATAATTCTTTGTGGTGGAGGTTGTCTAGTGCATTGTAGGAGGTTAAAAAGCATCACTGACCTCTACCCACTAGAAGCCAACGGCAGCCCCCATCCCAACGGTGACAACCAAAAGTCTCCAGACATTTCCTTTTATCCTCTGCAGAGGCCAAATCACCCCAACTTGAGAACCAAAGACAGGATCAATTAGCACAGTACCATAGACCAGTTTGTTCTCATTCCTGGCTGTACGTTGGAATAGCATGGGTAACTTTGAAAAATACTGAGAGCAAAGTCCACCCTAGAGGGTCTAATTTAGTTAGTCTGGGGTAAGGCCCAAGTACCAGTAGTTTTTTTTTTTTTTTTTTTTTTTTAAGTCCCCTGCTTATTCTTATGGACAAAAGACTGTGAATTGCTGATAAAGACAGTAGGGGCTTCATAATAGTTTGTTCAATTGCAGGAAGTTCATTTCAACTCTTTCACAAATCATCTGGGGCCTTCATTTTATTATGTATGGAGAAGATTTACCCAGTGGAAAGAAGCCTAAAGAAAAGAAGAACAACATATTACTTCCTCTCTCGTCTCCATTTCCCCAGAACCATAGGTTAGTGACGTTTCCTTTTCCAAGGATGGCCTCTGAGGTGGGCACCTGGGAAAATGACGGGCGGCTGTAAGCCAAAGGCCGGGGTTTTAGGCCTGGCTACCCCATCTCCTCATTGACTTGTGGTGGGAAGTCCCACTTCATCTCTGGGCCTCAGTGTCCTTGTCGGGAAGGTGGAATGTGAGCTGGGATGAAGCCTGAGTCGGATTCAGCTGCTCCGTGCTGGCGCCAGCTCAGGGGGTGTGGGGAGGCAGTGGCAGTTGCAGAGTCATGTGGCTATCGACAGATGCATAAAAACGGAGCATCTGCTTTGGCCCTCAACTGTAGCTCACAGGAGACGTTGCCAAGGCAGAACCCAATGTGGAACATTCCAGCAATGAAAAAACTATCCATATTTTGTATTACCCTTTTTACCCCTCCAAATCACAGTATAAAACAGAAACGTGTACTAAAAAAGATTTGTATGGCATTCTTCCTAGAATTAAAAATCACAATAGACTTATTTGTATTAACAATAATTTTTTTTAAAGATTAAAAAAAATTACGACCTTGCTACAGACAAATGAAAGACAAACCTTCTCTATGACGTCCTTATACAAAGAAGTTCCCTAGAAGATATCAGAAATGAGCCTCTATAAGACTTGGGTGCCAAGTGCTCTTTGTTTCTGCTTTGCACGTTCTTGTGGTTACCGTACCTGCTATACCGAAATGGAAACTGAAGGTGCTATTTTGTTTGTGAAGCCCAGAAGGTGAAAAAAGATTGTTCTTGAGATCAAGTGGATAGCTTTTGCCTGTGACTATGCCACGCTTTGCATCGGGCATATTTATAGACATAGTCCTTTTCCACTTTCTCTCCAGCTTCCCACATCTCCCCTTGGCTCCAGACTCTTATTTCTAACCACCCACTCAAGATTTCCACTGTAGAATTTAACAGGCACTCATCTCTTTCCCATGTCAGCTCCCACCCCTGTCCTCCCATTATCAAGACAAATAGGTCCATCATGAACCACCATCCTCAAGCCCAAAGCACAGAAATCCTCCTTGAATCTTTTCTCCCAATTTCCACAAACAATTCTGCAGCAACTGTCAATTATATCATCAATATATGTCCCTTATCCTACTGCTTCTCATCATCTCAGCCACACCCACCCATGCTTTGACTCTCTCTCTCACCTCTCACCTGAACCACTGCAGAGGCTCCCTTCTGATCTCCCTGCTTCTGCATTTGCCCTCCCTACTGGCATTCTTGATCCATCATCCAGAGAATGTTTTTAAAACATGAATAGGATTGCATCACCTTACTGCTCAAAACTCTTCAATAGAATGTAAAATGGTATAGCCGCTCTGGAAAACAGTTTAGCAATGTTTTTTTAAAAAATAAAACAACACATGCAATTATATAACCCAGACATTGCACTTTTGGGCGAATTCATCTCAGAGAATGAAAACCTCCATTAAAAGAAAAATCTGTACACAATTGTGCATAGCTGCCGTACTCATAAATGCTAAAACTGGAAGCAAACCAGATGTCTTTCAGCAGGTAGAGGGTTAAAAACAACAACAACCGTGTGGTACATCCATGCCACGCAGTACTACTCGGAGATATAAAGGAACTTATAAACTTATATGGCAAACAGAACCTATGCAGGTGGAATTTGGGTTGTTAATCAGCTGACCTTAAAAAGAGTCTTCTCACTTACCCAGGTGAACCCAATGCAATCACAAGGGTCCTGAAAATTAGAGATGGAGGTCGAAAAGAGTGCAAAGGAGATGTAACTACTCAGAAAATGGCTGGAGAGATCCAACTTTTGTGGCTTTGAAAATGAAGGAAGGGGCTGTGAGCCTCTAGAAACTGGGAGAGGGAAGAAAGTGGATTCTGCCCTTGGGCCTCCAGAAAGGAACCAAAGCCATTCAGACATCCATGGGTTGCTTTAAGCCACAAATTTTGTCATAAATTTTTACAGAAGAAATAGAAAACTAATACAGGAGGCAAAACATCATTTGCCAGCCCCCTCCCCTGCCAAAAATCACCATGCAGGTTTGAGTGAAATGAATGTCCTTTAATTATATTGCCATAACCAACGCTTTCCTGTGTCTGTCATCTTTTTAAACAAAACATGAATTTGAAATGTAGAAAAGATTCAGGAAGGTAAACATGAATTGTAAAGTAGAGGCTTTCCAAATAAAAGGGGAAATTTACTTGTTGTGTATGTGCCATAACTGTGAAAGATAATTATTTATATCCAAAAGGGAAATGTCAGGTATTGGTTACAGCTGTCAGATCATGAACACTGCTGGGGAAGCCTTGCTCCTCGCCAAAATACTGTCTGATGTAGATTTCAGCAACACTGTAGAAGTCTAAGCACGTTGTAAATTTGATCTTCAGTCTTCTCTTTCTGCACCAGGAAAACCTTGGGGGTAGATTTCATTCGTTCATAACCACTTTAACATCTTCCCAGGTGGAAGGTTCCATTCAGACCTCAGGCTGAGTACTCACCCAGGTGAATGCACTTGAAGGCCTTTGGGCAGGGCGTGCATCGCATTGTTGACCCCAAGTTAACCGTCTCTCTTTCCTGCTTTTCACATGACTGCTACTGGTCCCTGAAGACAATGGAGCCTGTGACCTGCGGCTGGTGCCTCCTGGGTCAAGTGACTCCTAAATGAATGTTTTGAACTTACACTTCTCTACAGAGCTTCAGACCTGGCTATCTAATGCCTGTTTAATATCTCCATGGTGAATCCCTTGACCACTCAAATTGACCATGCCTAACGTTTTACTCATTGTCTTCCTCTCAAGCCCTCTCCTCCCCGACTGTGTTTTCCATCTTGGTGAACCATTCTATCAAATAATCAAATTTTTCAGGATAATTTTGCTACATTTCTATCTGGGCCATCTCCCTGACACTGGACCATCACTGGGTCCTTTCCATTATGCCTTCTAAATTTTTCTTCACCGCATCCTCTCCTTTTTACCCCTACTGCCTCTGCTGAAATTCATGCTTAAATGGGGGAATTTAAGTCAGCTCATATTTATCAAGCATGAACGATATATCAGACACAGTTTTAAGCACTTCTAGGTGAAGCGTCTCAGCTATTCCTCCGAGGACAATTGTTAAGTAGGTATTCAAGTTATTCTCATTTTTAGAAGCAGAGGTTGGTGCTAAGAGAGGTCAAGAATCTTTTCCAAGATCTGACAGCCAGGAATGGGTAGAATTGGGATTTTAGGTTAGGTATGGCACACAGCAGACTCTGAGTACTTAGTTAGGAATCTGTGAGTTTACTAAGAGAAAGACAGAGCTGTGGTGCCTCACCCACCTCTGCCATCTCTCAGACAAGTGTGGATACCTTAGACCAAGTACATTAAGAAGAAAGTGAAGAGGCGTCTTCCACAGGACTCCTTTTGTCTTGCCTTATGAAGAAATAAACACTGGCAAAATTATGAGTGCACATTTTCCAGCTATCATGTCTCCAAAAGAAGCAATAACTGGTCATAGCAGAAAAAGTTTAAGAGATATTCATTATAGTTATACTAGAGATCATTTCTTAAGTGCTAATCATTGGCCAGATATTTCCTAGGTAATTTCTAGATATTATCCCATTTAATGCATATAACATCCTTGTGGGAAAATAAAGCTCAGAAAACTTAGGGAATTTGTAAATATCACAATAATAAGTGATTATGCATCCAGACCTTTCTGAGTCCAAAGCTGGTGTTCTTAATCACTAAAGTATACTGCCCTGCATGTTTGTTCAGCACAGAGGGTGGATTCAGAAGATAGCAGGGGGGCGTGTACATGTTATGGGTACTTGGGAGGCACCTGACTTCTCTAAATTTTATCATTTGTAAAGAGGGCATGCTATTGCCAACATACTAGTGGCCTTTATCTATCTTGAACTTCCAATATCTGACATTGTTGACTTGGAAATTTGTTTAGTTAGCAAAAAATGGTGTGATTCCAGTGCCCACAACCCTGCCAGGATTGCCATGTTTGGAAGGAAAATGTACTTATTTCTTCGGATTAGTTTTACATAAAATAATTACCAGAAACTTCTATTTGTCCCCCAAAGAAAGACCAATAGCTCTTGATTTTCCTTGCAGCTAGATTTAGTCATATGGTCAACAGCTCGCCAAGAAGATATGAGGAGAGGTGGTAGATGCAACTTTCCACTTGTGTATTTCAAGAGAAGGGATATGGCTCCCCTTTCCCCTTTCCCACTGACTGGGATAGAATGTGGATGTGGTGGTGAGTTGTCTGGGGCCATGAGGACACAGGATACATTCCACAAATGCCATAAAATAAGAGGGAAGCCAGGTTTTAAAGATTCAGCTTCCTACACATCTCTCAGATAGATTTATGTCTCTCCACCCCTGTCTCCACTTTGTCTCTAAGTGACACAGTGGGGCCACCATGTCAATCTAGAACTGCTCCTGCCTGAACCATCACTTGAGAGAGTAATATGCATCTATCTTATTGAAGCCACTGACATTTGAATCTTTGCTATGGCATCCAAACCCATATCCTAATTAATAGAAATCCACTGAGACACAAGTTATTGAAAAAGTACTTTTCAAAGCTCATCTTATGCAAACTTTCCAATGTGAAAGAACCTGGCACATTCTAGGGATAGTAAGAGATTTGGTTTGGCTCTGCTCAACACAAGCATCTGCTAAGGGAGTGGGTAAAGATAAAACCAGAGATGGCATCAGGGGCTGGGTCATGAAGGACAGGCGCTGCTGTATTAAAGAAAATGGACTTAAACTCGGGGGTAATGATGATCCAAGAGGAGTTCCAAAGGGTGTGGCAGGATATACCTGAGCTTGAAAATAATCCTTCAGCTGCCATTTGGAGCAAGGCTCTGATATGTTAAAGAAAATGGACTTAAACCTGGGGGTAATAACGATCCATGAGGAGTTCCAAAGGGTGTGGCAGGATACATCTGAGCTTGAAAATAATCCTTCAGCTGCCATTTGGAGCAGAAATTAGATATTAAAGACTAGAATTAGGAATAAAAGGTTGCAGGCAAGAGATAATGGTGGTTTAGATCTAGGATGAAGATGAGGATAGACAGAAGCAAATCTGTCAGAGAGAAGTAGAAGGTTAAATGATGAAGACCTGCCTGACTAGAGGGTAGGTGAGAGAAGCCTACAGAAACACCGAGAATCATGCCCATGTTTGTGGTTTTGGCAACAGCACGGTGAGTAGCACCCTTGATTTGCTAAAATAGAAAGCATACACTGGAAAAAAAAGTCTGGGGCTGGGTTGAGGTTAGAGGTTGGTGGGGAGATTGAGTTTAACTTTGCACTTGGAGAGTTCAATGAACTATGGGACATCCAAGAGGCAGTGTCTAGTACACAGAGTTAAAAAAAATAAATCCAAGACTGAATGTCAGTGATGACACAGACTCTTGCATATTTCATAGTAGTATTTGATTATGCTAGGTAGAGGAAACACCTAAGGCATTCTTTGTCTCTTTATTTACATTGCAAACCCCTCCTGGAGAAGAGGTTTTCCACTTCTTTCTTGTGTGACATTTTAGAGCAGAGCTTGCCTTAGATTCAGGGTGAATAATCGGAATGCAGTAGCTGCTTGCAATGAAGAGAATCCCAGCAATGACTAAATGCTGTATCTTCTAGTGCAGTTTCCTTCAAAGTTTATTTTTCTCTAACACAATTGTATCTGTTTTTGTCCCCCCACTGTATTCACAGCACCTAACACAGTGACTGATTCACAGTAGGTGCCAAATAAAAACAAAAACGAATGCATGTTTAATGAACTGCCACCTGTATATGCTTTAAAATCTGGCTACTTAGAAACTGCAGGCCAAAAATGTTTCTGATGAAAGCATGCATCACTACACCCAGTAGGGTTAACCAGGCAACCCATAATCATAAACTAAATGGATAATTATGAAGCTAAAGTATTAATCATTTATAAGTAAAAAGCAAGTACAGGCATTAAAATCCAGAACCTACTCAACTCTGATCATGTACCGATAACATCCTTCTTGAATGTTTTAGGAATTCTGGAAATCTATGTCTGCAAGTGCCTGATGCTGATTTTTCTCCTTTGCCAAACAGTGTAAGGCAGGCATCTTGCTTAATTAAACAGCAAATTAAAATCATCAATAAACTCTAAGACTGCTTGGAAAAAGAATCTGGCAGTTCCTCAAAAGGTTAAAAATAGAGTTGCCGATAACCTAGCAATTCTAATCCTAGGTAGGTGCATATCCACACCAAAGATTATAGGCATATTTTCACAGCAACGTTATTCAAAATCGCCCCAAAGTGGAAACAACTAAAATGTTCATTGAGCAATAAGTGGATAAACAAATGTGATATATCCAGGCAATGGAATATTATTTGGCAATGCAAAGACTGAAGTATTGATACACGCTACAACAGGGATGAACATTTAAAACACTATCCTAAGTGAAAGAAGGCAGGCACAAAAGATCAGATATTATATTCAGTTTCTATAAAATGTCCATAAAAGGGAATGAAACAGAGACAGAATGAGATTTTGTGGCTGCCAGGAGCTGAGGATATAATGGTGGAAAATGAGGTATGACTCAGGATAGTGTTTTTTTTTTTTTCCAGGAGATTTAAAAAATATTCTAAAGTTCATTGTGGCGACGGTTGCACAATTCTGTGAATAGACTGAAAACCATGGAGTGCTACACTTTAAAAGAGTGAATAGTATGGTATGTGAATTATATCTCAATAAAGCTGTTGTTTAAAAAAACTCTAAGAACAAGGGCTCATTTGGTACATTATTGGACATTGGTAGCCTTCAGACACAGGGAGCAAAAAAATTCTTTGGAAGAGCACACCATCACAAGCGCTTTGTGACTCTGGATAAGTTATTTCAACTCATGAATTCTTGACTTCCTCTCTTGTAGGACGGAAGTGCAGCAGGTACTGTTCTTGTGTGCTCACATCCTTGTGCGTCACCAGAGGCTTTCTGGAAACCCCTGTATCTCTGTACCTGAGGGCTTTCTCTAGCCACCAGAACATGCTCAGCCCCTTCCCTTCCACAGGGTGAACTGGAAGTTCCGGGAAGTCGACTTCCCTGAAAGCAGCTCTGAACTAATTACAAACAGGAGTCGGAAGAGCAATACCCAGCTTCCTCACTGATTGTGTGGTACAACTCAAAGGTGTGTTCTACACTGTCCCCAGACGTGCCAAGGGGGGTGGCATCCCAGGTGCCCACAGAGACAATCTACCATTCAGTGCATCCTGGTGTTGCCTTCCTTGCCTTCCCCAGCTGACTTTCTTCATTCCCTACAGTGCTTCTTGGCATTACCTCCCAAATAAACTATCTGAGCCCATAAATGTCTGAGTCTGCTTCTGAAGGAGACCAACCTGAAATAAGGGATAATCAGAGTGCATTCCTCCTAGGTCTATTGGAAGGAAGAAATAAAATATTACATGCAGAGCATTTCAGCACTATGTCTGGCCACTTAATAATTGTTACCTACTATCATCATTATTATTGTCGTTGTTATTACTAAAAACAAATAATTGACTGGAATTGTTTATCAGATCTCGGCCCATCTGGAAGCCTGTCTTGGCTTTCCTACATATGTGAGACATGCCAAGCTGGTATTGTGCTTATTATTTCACCACTGAGCACCCAGTTCATTATTTTCCATCCAATTGACTCCAGGTTTTCAAAGACTTTATCTAGCAAACTGCACAGATTAAGTAATAATTTATTTTCTCACCCATGTTTTATTAATCAAAGGCACATATAACTGCCAACCAGAGCTGCTGATCAGAATTAAATTACTAAGTTCACCATGCAGAGCTAATATCATTTCAGTCAAAAGCAAAACATCTTGATGTTTTTGTTTGTGAAGCTTTATCATTTGTAAAAGTAAGATTATATTAGATTTTCTGAAATATTTAAAATAGCTTGCAGACCTTCATTGCCACCATCAGGGTCTCCTAAGAGCTAGAAACCCCATGTTGGTCACTGGTGATCTAATAAACCAAAATTCATTAAGAAGTGTATCTGTTTTTGCTATAAAAATTGGAGCAATAAAACCTTTATGGCCATATTTGGCAATAACCTTTCTGTATATGATGAGAAAATAAAGGATAAATGGATATTTAGTAATGTATTTTTTATCTTGACCTTTTCACAATGAAATATCCACAAATCTAAGAGAGGTTGGATTACACCAAGATGCTAGCCCACGCCAAGTTTCCTGCTATAATATCAAAAGATCATAGTCTATGAGGAAAAAGAAGGAGAAAGAAATAAGCAGTTTGGAACAGTACAGCAAAGAGGATATCTAATTCTCTATCGCTTAAAACAAATGGCACTTGCTGGCAGTATGTTCACAAGCAGATGTGCTGAGTACATTTGCTTAGTCCTCTGAATTTACTCTCCCTTCTATACCCTGCTCCGTCCTTTGTCAGAGCACCTGGCAGCCTTGTCTTCTGGTTTCCAGCTGGCTTCAGTAAATTAGAAGCACTAGTGAGGAATCAGAGGTGGAGGGAGAACAAGACAGGGTGTCAGTTCTTCTGGTTTCCTTCCTAAGGCTTCATACAGATAAGCATCTTGTGGCACCAGAGAGTAGAGAATGGTGGACAGTGGACCTGGAGGGGCCAGTGGGCTGCAGTTGGCCCACCAGGATTCCTAATATGTAAAATAAATACCAAAAAGTTCACAGGGTTTGTATGAGAATTGAATCATCTGATCCACAGAAAATTGATCACATTGCCTAGCAGGTAATAAGTAAACAGATATTAGCTACTGTTATTATATTCAAGGATCTGTAGAAAAGTTATGGTTATTCTCTGCTTTTTGAAAAGCAACAAGCACTGTTTCTCCTATTGTAGGGATCTGAACTCACATTAGAGCCATCACTGCTCTAGGCAAGAGGATAACTTACGGGCATGAATGCTAGCCAACACTCATTGAAAGCTTACTATTAACCAGGGACTATGGTAATTACTTTCCAAGTGTTGTCTCAGCTTTGCATATAGAAATACCATAGCCAATGAGGTTTATCAGAGGTGCAATGATTGCTCATTGAAAACTCGGGCTAGCAGGAGTAAGAAAGCTGCCCACGCTCAGATGGTACATGACAGGTAGAAGTGGCACTTGAACTCAGGCCCATGCGCTTCTCGGGCAGCACCCACGTTCTCCTGTTAACAAGAGACCAGTTCTTCAAAGTGAATCCTGAGCCACTTGATGAGCAAGGAGTCACGTTGTCTGAGTGTGGAAAAATGTCTATGCATTTATCATTGTCAAAACTCCTTTCGAGAAAATGTGCAGTAATTGCACATTTAATTCAGCCCCAGCACAACACAATGTTCCAGTGAAGCGTATAGCCAAGTGACATGTGTTGAGATGACGACCCTGTTGGGAGGGAGTCTTGTAAACCTTGCACTAAAGAAAAATGACAAACACACACATGCAGTGGTTTATGGGGCTCATCTCTTTGTTGCACTTCTGTGGCTCCTGGGAAAGAAATGGAACACTTAGGAAGATATACTGAGCCTCCTGATTCCCATGGGTGTACAACAGCTGAGCCCGTGTGTGAATTTATGTCCTTGAATATTCATCAAAATCCCCAGGGGGAGACAGTTATGGACATCAGAGAAAGCCTGGGTCCATGATGAATGGACCCTCTCTTTGGAGTTACCTGGGCCTCCCTGCACTTGAGCCAAGCCTGGGAGAGTTGTGGGGAGCACATGGCAGCCCTGTAGATGCTGGCAGTAAGGAAACTCCTGCTTGGGCATCTCAACAAAATAGGACTCATTGCCATGGACTGAGCTCATGCCGTGGTCTCGCATAAGAACCTAAATGTGGTTCTTTTAGATGAAGCCAGCGTACCCAACGACCTCATGGTGAGCTGTGTCCTCGGCTTGGGAGGAGATGAAAAGTCCTTTCCTACTTCAGTCTTACCCATGCCAATAGCTGAATATCAGGACCCATTTCTTGTATCTATACCTCCAGCTCAGGACAGAACACCTTATAGGAAGCAGATATCAACTGACATTTCTTTCTGAATCAATGAAAAGCCACTTCTTCTTTGAGAGCACAGGCAGTCTTTCCTCTCCAGAGATTGGGATGGGGTGAGGGATGTGGGGGAAGGAGATATCCTCTTGCCAGCTCACAGTCTCACAATGATTCCACTGACTTTTGTAGAGGACAAAATCCTCACACATGTACACAAGCACACACACAAACTTGCACATCCCTCAAAACATGGCCATTGTGACCTGTGCCCTCACTCCCTGGCCATTGAAGATTGAGCCAAGGGAAGGTATCTGGGCTCAACTGGACCAATAAAATTCTTCTCGAAGATGTGAAATTCAGGACACAGAAATATGGTGATGCGCAACATCTAAGCTGAAGCATAGCAGTTGGAGAGTTCTAGATTCACACATTGCAGTGCCCAGACAGGTTTGGTTTCCTTCTCTTTATGATCAGATGCTCTTTTGTGTCCATGTGCATACAACTCTCTCACTGCTGTGGGTTTCACTGTCCTCGCCAACCACCACCAAAAAAAAAAAAAAAAAAGATGTGGGAGTTCTAACTCTCAGTGACTTTATTTGGAGATAGGGTCTTTACAGAGGTAATCAAGTTAAAATAAAGTCATGGGTAGACCTTAATCCAGTATCACTGGTATCCTGTATTAGTCCATTTTCACAATGCTGATAAAGACATGTTTATAAAGAAAAAGATGTTTAATGGACTCACAGTTACACGTGGCTGGAGAGGCCTCACAATCATGGTGAAAGGCGAAAGGCACATCTTACATCAGCAGCAAGTGAAAAAGAGAATGAGAACCAAGCGAATAGGGAGACCACTTCTAAAACCATCAGATCTCCTGAGACTTACTCACTACCACAAGAACAGTATGGTAGAAACCACCCCCATGATTCAATTATCTCCCACCCAGTCCCTCCCATAACACGTGGGAATTATGGGAGCTACAATTCAAGATGAGATTTGGGTGGGGACACAGCCAAACCATACCACGTCCTTACCAAAAAAAATGGGAGATTTGGACTCAGAGGCAGACATAGACACAGGGAGACTGGCATGCAAAGGGAAGGTTGAGATTGGGATGATGCGGCTATAAGCTAAGGAATGCCAAAGGTTTCTAGCAAACCTCCAGAAGCTGAGAGAGGCATGAACAGATTCCCCTCACAGCCCTCAGAAGAAACCAGCCCTACCTACACCTTGACCTTAGACTTCCAGCCTCTAGAAGAGATTGACAGGAAATTTATTTTGTTTAAGCCACCCAGTTTGTGGCACTTTGTTATAGGAGCCCTAGTGAACTAAGACACACCTCAACAATCTTCTTTCTTCCCTTTTCTTACCTGCTTGATACTAACCATTGTGAATTCCTTTTGCTTGCAACCAAGAGAAATCTAACACATACCCCAAGTAAACCACAGTGAACACAGATTCTGATTTCAAATGAAGCACCCAATTGGTCAGGATCTTGAACTCAGGATCCTGGCTTTTATCAGTCACTGTAACATTCATTTTGAGTCTGTAAAGCAAAGCAACTTATAATTAACACAAAGAGGCTGTAACACAGAAACCAAGGAGATGCCCTTAGACCAAAGAGGTGGTAACTAGAGAACATTCTTTTCCAGACAGAATGTGTTGAGAAAAACAATTTGCTATAAAAAAAAAGTTTTCTCTGACTGTTGCTAGCACAAATGGCAGAAAACAAAGAAGCTCTTAAAGGCAAATAAGTTGGTTTTTATCTCACCCAGTATCATAGAAAAGATCATTATAAAAAACAAATGCACGCATTGAAATATTGACCCTATTAAGAACTGTCAGGAGATCCCCATTTAGGGGTTGAATTGTGTCCCCCTAAAAGAAACGTCCAACTCCTAACCCCTGGAATCTGCAAAAGTGACCTTATTTGGGAATAGAATCTGTGCACATGTCATCGAGTTAAGAGGAAGCCGTTAGAGTGGACCTATTCCAGTATGCGTGGGGTCCATATAAGAAAATGCCATGTGAAGACAGAGACGCAGGGAGAACACTGTGTGAGGAACAAAGCAGAGATTGCAGTGATTCAGCTACAAGCCAAGGAACACCTGGGGCTGCCAGAACCTAAAAAAGGTGAGGCCGAATCCTCCCCTAGACACTCTGAAAGTAGTGTGGCCCTTGACAGCACTTTGATTTCAGACTTCTAGCTTCCAGAGCTATGAGACAAGTAGTTTCTGTTTTAAGTCACCCAGTACTTTTTCATGTCAGCCCTAAGAAACTAATACATCCCCTCATTCAAAATATCTCTTTGGGTCATAAGGAGGTTTACACAGGGTAATTTGCCAAAGATTTGAAAACTCTCTCACAATGTAGAGTTGAAAGATGTTTACAGTCACTGAATTTTCTATAGTAAGTTTGAAAGTGCTATTACTTACAAGGTCTGGACCAGATATATATCACGAAAGTAAGTAAACTTTGTCTTTCCTTCTGGTCCTCATTAAAATGTGTTCAGTAAATTGATGTCAAAATAATTAATACTCTACAATCATATTTGAACATTGGTTACATTCAAACCAGGAAGATTAGTTATATGGTACCTTTTGGTGTGTTTGTAATAAAGGTTCTGCTTTTGAGTGGTGTAAAGAAGGCAACTGAGAGAAAATTTAAAAACAAGGCATTCTAGACAACATTTTGAAAGTGACTAGTAGCAGAGTTTGCATTAGGCTGTGTCCTGGAACAACTCTGTTCTTAGAATAAAAATAAAAGATTGTCATTTTGGTTGGTTGAAGAACTCTTCCTTCACTTTCCAGCAAAGATTCTTATGCCTTTGATCTTTTGATTGTTCCCAAATAATGATGTGTTTGTTCTAAAAATAATTCTTCTTCAAGGAAGAAACACAAATGTATTTTTTGGGACTGTGATGAAGACAGCAAACTGAACTCTAAAGGGGGAAGAAGAGAAATCTATTGAAGGCATGCCATGTGTTAAATTTACTGCTGATGTTCCAAGAAAATCTTCCCCTAATATTTTTAGACTGAGATTAATGTATTTGCAGACAATTTTAGAATATAAAGAATCCTAAACTGAACTTCTGCTTTATTGTCTTGGTCCTAGAGTCAACCTTGTGGCTTAAAAATTTAGAAAGCAGATTTGGGGGAGTAAATACATAATGTTGGCTTATCCAAATAACTTACTCGGGTGCTTTGGGAATCAAAATGGTGTTTCATTTCTTTGTTTTGATAGAAGAATAACGTTAGAGTTACCGGCTTTACTAAGCATTGTATGACAATATCTTTCAATGTCCATTAAAGAATGCTTAGTAGAATAAATATTAAATTACCATGTTACATCTCCATAAATACATGTGAAGTCCACATGAATGCCAAATGAATTCAATATGGTCCTTTCTATTACAATAAATGCCCAGTGAATTCAGAGTGATGAGGCACTTAAAATGTCACACACTCCCAACTAGTTCCATCATGAATTCATTACTCCCTGTGACACTCATTCTTGTCAGGGTTTCCATTTTAAATACTACTTTCAGCAGTTTATCATAAAATTCCACTTGAGGAACTGATTCTCATTGGAAATATGGAAGATAAACTCTAAGCCTGGAAAGTAACATCAAAATAATTTGACTGTAGTGGGATTCCCACCCCTACTCCCAAACTTGCAAGCTTAATATTTGAATAAAATATCTAGTTATGGCTTTTGATATTTTATATCAAAGAAAATTAAATTTGTTAAGTTTCCTCCTTGAATAAAGAGTTCTTTTAAAATGTCTTTTTGTAAAATTTACTTAATTTTGTACCATTCTTATTAATTAAGGCAGATGTGTCAAAATTACATACAATAAGCAAATGGAAAAACCGAAACATCAAATTAAGATAATTATCGTAGTTAACACAGAAGTATGGATAATATCTGATTTCATGATCTAATATTTCCGTTTTTCCAGTATTATCCAAAATATCCAGTTTGCAACTATAATATTTTTTAATTCTGAAACGTTATACTCTTGACCGTCACCTCCTGGGTACACACTCTTGGTCACTCTTGTGTAAGAAATAAGTAGATAGACAGAATAAACACAGAAAATAGGAGGGAGAGAAAGCTGAAGAAATACAAATTGCCAACTGATGCATTTGACATCCAAGCAGGTAGTAGGAATAACCACCTACTCTGGTTGAGGTGTGATGGATCACTCAAGCTTAAAAATTAAAATACAAACTTGTCATTACTGACATCAACTAGCTAGCATTGACAGTAATCAGAGAGAGGAATAAGGAAGGGAGATAGCCTTAAACTTTCTTACAACATCACACACACACACACACACACACACACACACACACACACACACAGGCGTGCGCACTTATAAAGACTTTGGCCTAGTGTTATTAGCAACAATTTGATTGTATGTATCCAATCTGTTATGGCATCCTTTCTAATAAATATATATGCATTTTAAATGCAGATTCTGCTTAAAACACTTTCAACTTCACTCTAGTGATTGTATGTATAAATCATTTTGACGTTCAGTGAATTTCTAGGCATATGTATTTATGTTAGTGAACCATAAATCAGATATGTTGCCTTGAGATTTTGTTTTGTTACTGAATGAGTATGTTTTTTCTTTCTTTTTTTTGAGACAGAGTTTCATTCTGTCACCCACGCTGGAGTGCAGTGGTGTGATCTTGGCTCACTGCAACCTCCACCTCCTGGTTTCAAGCAATTTTCACGCCTCAGCCTCCTAAGCAGCTGGGATTACAGGCACAGGCCACCACGCCAGGCTAATTTTTGTACTTTTAGTAGAGATGAGGTTTTGCCATCTTGGCCAGGCTGGTCTTGAACTCCCTGGCCTCAAGTGATCTGCCTGCCTTGGCCTCACAAAGTGCTGGGATTACAGGCATCAGCCACCACACCTGGCCTAAATGAAGATTAAGCTTAATTTTATATGATGAAATAGGACAAGTTTAATCAGGGTGCTTGACTATCAATAAAATATTTCATAAGTAATATTACTACTTATGTTAGAACTTACATTTTTGAGAAGCTGCTGATGTTCTTCTTTCCATTATTCCATCCTTCCACCCTTCCCTCCCACATCCATTTATCCATCCCTCTCTTCCTCCCTCCCTCCCTCCATTCATCCATGTATCCATCCATCCATCCATCCATCTAGTCATTAATTTAATCAACAAATAGTTATGGAAATCTAGTATGTTCTACATGTTGCAAAAGACACAGGGGAGGGCAAAAGATCAGAAAGACTTATACTGTCCCCTCAAGAAGCTCAGTTGATCAGGGGAAAGAGAAATATAAAGTTATAAGACGCCAGGAGAAGTGCTATAAAATTCAGAATTACAAAACATACGGAAGGACAAAGGTGAAGACCACATCCTTCCTCCAAAGAGTCGTAGAAGAATTCACAGAGGAAATGACAGCCAAACTGTGGCCACCAAAGGAACTGAGAGTGTCCCTAGGAAATGACTCAGAGGAAGAGTCTTTAGGTAGGTATTTTATCTTGACTCTCTAACACGGTGCCTCTCCATGTGCCTAAATCACAGGAAATATTTTTTAGGATAATAATACTTTTGGCCTATCAAAACGCCTTGTGTCAATACCCTTTAAATATTCAGCAAGATGGAAGGAGCAGAGTGAAGTTTCCTTTCCTTGCAGATGGGACTTAGTATAGAAGAGGGAGTTTATCATCCTGCGGTATCTTCACAGCAAATGAGAAGGGGTGTCACCCAAAGCAAAACTAAACAACCGCGAAGAAAAAAAACACAAAATCCTTGATATGCACCACAGTAAATGCCCTAAGAAGATATTTTGTTATTATTGTTATTGTTCTTCCATCCTCGTAGAAACTACCGATGGTGCAGAAAGTCGTTTAGCACCCTGTAAGGGAAAGCTCTCGGTTTCAGTCAGTGGCCTAGGAAACATCATCTTAATATCCATTTCGTACTTGATCCAGGAGTGTTTCTGAAGACCTACACTGAGGCTTGACCAACTATGGTCCAAGAGCCAAATCTGACCCTTTGTTTTTTTGTATTAAGTTTTATTAGAACACAGTCACACCCATTTGTTTCCATATTGTCTGTGGACACTTTGGGGACTACACGGGCACAGTTGAGTGACTGCCACAGAAACTTCATGGCCCACAAAGTTGAAAATATTTACTATCTTGTCCTTTGCCAACACTTATTTACATTAAGTTCTACTTGAGAAATGTCTTTGTGTTATTAAAAGCTTTCTCTACACTGTTTTCTCCTCATGGATAACAAAAAGTATAATGACTGTTTCTATTTTTGTTTTGGCTCTCAGGAAGCTCAAAGAAAATGACAGCAATTATAAGTCAGACTGTCAGATTACCAGTATAATATATTTTCTACAGTTGCTACTGCCTACTTTAATTTGTATTTCCCCCTGTGTATTTTTTTAAAATTTCTCTTAACTACTTTATTGAGTGTTATTTATATACCTGCTTTACCTAATACCTTGTGAAATGAAGTAGGGAATGGAGAAGTTGTAAATAGATAGATAGGTACAAATGTATCAGTCTCTGTCTGTCTCTCTCTCTCTCTTTCTCTCTCTCATCAAATAAAACAAATAAATTCACAAGGGCCTATGAAGAAATATGTGTTGTTTTAGAAGGGAGCAGTAATGGGCAGGTACCCAGGGTTTCTCAACAGTGGTACTGCTGAAATTTTGGGCCAGATAATTCTGCTATGATAGGCAGTCCTGTATATTGTAGGATGTTAACACCACCCCTGGCCTTCACCCACTAGATGCTAGTCATGTTCTCCTCCCACTCCTGGTCCACACTGTCACAACAAAAAATTATCTCCAGACATTGCCAAATGTTCCCTGGGAAGCAATCCATGACCCTCACTCCAGTCTAGAAAAAGCAGCTCCCTTATGCATTCTCCCTTAATAACCTTCCTGACCAACTTCTCTGTTCTGTTGAGAGATCAACAATCCCATAAAGGAGTCCACCAAAGCCCACTACAGACACACAGTATCGGTAAACACGTTGAGTAGTAATCCATTTTCCACCAGGTTAACCAATGCCTCTGCAAGTCATACCAGAAGCCTGGGACTGGAGGATGTCATAAAACCAAATCCCATGAATGGAACTCCAAATTAGGGCCCTTCCACAGTCCGTTAATCATGCTGGACAAAGAAAGGTGTGGTTTGCCTTGTATTCTCAGTTCTCCTAAGACGATTCTCCTGATCTCTAATGACAGTAATGAATTACATAATGGCTGAGTAATGAATTGGGTTATTTCCTAAGGCTGGAGATCAAGAGACATTAAATACTTAATCTCAAGGGGACTCAGCTGATAAAGGGCTATCTGAGTGCATTCACTGCAGTGGAAGCCAGACCTGAATAAGATGCCAAGGACAACATTGCCTGGGCCCTCTTTCTCAACAGGTTGCAGAGTCAGCTGAAGCTGCTAATTGTAAAAGATGCAAGAAAATGTGAAGTTACCTCAATGATGTGGCAAGCCGATTGCTTGACAAAGAAAACTAAGTCATTATTAATAGCATTTTGTCTTGTTTCCCTCAAGCATCAAGACACTACCTTGAGAGACATCTGTGTAATTGATTGCAGCAGTCCAAATTCTATCTCAATTGATACAGCCTGAAGGGCAAGGCCAGGTTATATTTCTTTGTTCTCCAAAGTGTCTTGGACATAATAAGTGCTCAGTAAATATTTGATTGACTTGATAGGGGCTGGTGGTTTTATCCACAGATATTGCATCAGACATACATTGCCTAATAAAAGCCAACTCATCAGTCAGAGCCTCTTATGGAAGGAAGAAAGGGCCTATTTCACCCAGAAAGGAATTTCAGGGTCTTATGCGAATAATCACACCTTTTGTCATGAATTCTTCTTCCATTTGAGTCATATAAACTTTCACTATTGGATGCTTAGGTTTATATAAGAAAAGAAAAAATCATTCACTGGGATTTCAGTCATTTTGCCAAAATTAGATTTTCACAGTCTATCCTGCAAAGGGTACATTATGAGAACTGATCTAGCAATACTATCATATGTGGCTCATGATGCTAAAGGAATATATAACACATAAATATGGAAAAAGGAAATTGTGCCTTTATTTCTTCTCTATGCATGAGAAAAAAAGTCTGTAACAGAGACAATCAGAATGGAAGAATGGAAGCTCAGTAAGTGGGAGATGACAATAATTGTAAATGCTAAACTCTCAAATCAAATATATAATTAAATGTATACGATTCCAAAGTGCAATTAGTCATGCACCATAAGATTTTTTGGACACATATTGATAGTGCTAAGGCAGAGCTGTCATATTAAAATGGGAATCAATTAGCTCATTCTTAGTTAGGCATACAAATAAATTCAGCTTTTCCAAGGAGGTAATCAAGGATACGGGGTAGAGCACAGACTCTGAAGTTAAACAGAACTGAGTACGAGTCCAAGCATCACCACATTATAGCTCAGCAACTTTGAGCATTTGTACCTACAGGCAATGCAGGGTCATGGGAAGAGGGTGGATCTATTGGGAAACCTGAGTTCCAATCCCAGCATTGTAACTCATCAACTCTGTGACCTTGGGCATATCACATGTTCTCTTTAAACCTCAATTTCACATCTTTACAATGAGGTTATTTGACTTCTTCTTGGGCATCTTCCTTCTTTTATTGTTGTTATCTATTCCAGGCCAGTGCACATACAGCATGGTTCACATTGGCCACATCACAGGACCCATCATAAAATGAGAAAACTGCCAAGCAGGGCATGCCCTAGAATGCAGACGCACAAAGTACTTCTCCACCTAAATGGCACATCCGCTCAGAAAGCCAACTCTGACCCTCTTCCCTTAGGTCAAATCCTCTGGCGTGTGTTATAGTCTGTATTTCTATTACCAGAGCACTTATAACAGGATAGTTTTAAATGCCTACATAAAAAGGAAGATGATTAAAATTTACCACCCTCATATTGGCACAAGGTTAAATATAAAGACCAGGGAAAGACAGTGCGGAAATAGATCACACATATTGGTTATTTGATTTATGGCTGCAATTCAGTGACGGAAAGGGTGATCTTCTCAATACATTTTGCGGCAGCAACTGGAAAAATCATACATCTTGACCTCTACCTCACACCATACACAAAATTAACTTAAGATGAAAATTAATCATGAAACCTACGAAAAGCAAGCTTTTAGAAAACCTAGTGGAGAATGTCTGTGACCTTGGGGTATGCAAATATTTCTTAAACAGGACACAAGAAGCAATAAGCCTGATAGGAAAAATAAATAATTAGCCTTCATTAAAATACAGAACATCTGTTTATCAAACGACACCATTAAGAAAGTGAAAGACAAGACACAAAGGGAAGAGACTTGTAATTCATGCATCTGACAGACTTATATTCAGGATATATGAAGAACTCCTTGAATTACCACTGAGGGAAGTTTCTTTTAAATGGAAGAGAACTGTTATATTCTGGAGAACAACTTCCTGGGTATGAATATAAGTGCTTGAGACTGGAACTCAATGAGGGAGCAAGAATATAGAATAATCATGCCATGTGATAGCCCCCATATACTGGGCAGAACATTAAGAGAAGGAGAGATGGGAACAGGGATGGAAAAAGAAAACTCGGAGGTGGTTAGAGATAGAGAGCTCGGTACAAGCAACAAAAGAAAATGTGCCTGGTGCCTGGAGGACATTTAAGAATAGCCGTGTTTAATATTCCACTGGGAGTTGATACAATCTCCAAATACAACTTTCTAGAATTTCAATAAAGTGTGCTATCCACACAATGCTTTATGTAAATTTTGGCGCACAAAGGAAAGGGAAGGGCTATTTTCTACACGTGGATTGTGCAATGTAAAGATGATGAAGCAAAACAACGAAATAAGCAGAAGCTGATCTTAGAGCTAGGAGGGGACCTTTGGTAGGTGAGCACCCACCCCCGTGAAATTCCAGAAATGTCATGGATATCACTGAGCATTCTCAAGGCACAGAACAGGGTTTTGGTCCAACGCTATCTAGATTTCACTGAATGGGAGATCCCAGTTGGCATGCAGTTAACATATTTTCATTGCTCTCTCCCAACTAAAACCTAAAATTCTTTGAGAGCAAACTATGTATAGGAGCCCCAAAATATTCAATGGTTAATGAATGAATAAATAAATGAATGTGGATGAACGGAATTTAGGCATTTTGTTCACTCTGGTCAGCTTTCAGAGCTTCCTGATCACTTTTCATCCAATCTCTCATTTTACTGGTGTCTTTTCATTTGACCATTTTCCTATCGTTTGCCAGAAGTTCCCCGTCATATGCTTGTTGTATTGTCCATCTACAAAGCAACATTTCAGCCCAAATGTGCACCTTCTCCATTTGGGGATGAGTTGCACTACAGCATACAGTGATTCAAACACATTTGCAAAATAATTACCCCTCTTTCATAACTGAGGCTTTTATCTGAATAAATGTTTCCCTAATAAAGCTTGCAGCTGGGTTGAGTTTGAGAAATACAACAATTAGGAGTCATGGGACAAGAGCTCAAATAAGGGTTCCCTTTAAACACCAGCATTTGCTTCCCACATCTCTGATTAGTAGGAATAGGGCCTGTATGTGCCTGCCAACACAGCACTGATTGGTAATCAAGTGGCCACAGTATGTGTGAGCAAAAGAAAATTAGAAAACAAACGTAGACGCTGATTAGTTTTCTACAAACATCTTGAAAGATGTATGAAGCAGGAACCAGCTAAGGTGAAGCAGGTAAGAAGAATCCAGCTCTCCTTGCTTTGCCAACTTTACCTGAACCAAATCTGGAAGTAAAAAAGAAACTATGGAACAAGGCATCAAACTGATTGCAAAACTCAAATCAATCTATGGAGTAATTAGTAAGGACAACAGCAACAACCACAATCATAACTGCTAAGGTTTGGACTCAACCTCACCACCGAGCAAAACAGTGATGTTTATTAGCTCATTCTGGTGTCATAATTACTCCCCGAGGTGACTGTTAATTTTTGCCGTCTCCATTTTACAGGTGGAAAAACTGAGATTCTGCAAGGGAATAATTTGCTCAAGGCAACGTATTCAAGTGACGGAACCAGGATTTATACTGATGTCTTCCTCTCCATATTTCAGGCTTTGCATTTGACCTACTGATATGGTTTGGCTGCGTCCCCAACCCAAATCTCATCTTGAATTAATAATTCCCACACGTTGTGGGAGGGACCTGGTGGGAAATAATTGAATCATGGGGGCACTTTCCCCCATACTGTTCTCATGGTAGTGAATAAGTCTCATGAAATCTGATGGTTTTATAAGGGGAAACCCCTTTCATTTGGTTCTCATTCTCTCCTGTCTGCTGCCACATGAGACACGATTTTGCTCCTCTTCACCTTCCACCATGATTGTGAGGGCTGTGAGTCCATCAAACCTCTTTTTCCTTATTACCCAGTCGAGGGCATGTCTTTATCAGCAGCGTGAAAACGTGCGAATATACCTATAGTGGAATGAAATATATTTGAACAAGCCAAGGGGTGACAAATATTATCAACAATATTATAAGCAGCATTAGAGAAATGGGTTTAAAAAATCCAGAGATTCAAGGATGTAAGGGTAACCTTTGCAGCTAGTGGGAACCGGTGAGGAGAAAGGACTTCTTAAAAACATCCATTCTGGAGAAGACAGCAAACAACCACACTAATAGAAGAGACCCACTGTTAACATTCAATTTTTACATTTGCTTCAGTTAGAATATCTAACCCATACTTGAAAGAGTGTACTTGGGGATCTCACCTGAGTATTCGCTTTAGGTATGTGCGTAATTATTCATTGTTCTGTCAACAGGCCTCCCTCCTTCCCTCCCTCCCTCCCTCCCTCTCTCCCTCTCCCTCCCTCTCCCTTGCTCCCTTTTATTTAATTTTTTTTGAGCTAAGGTCTTACTCTGTCACCCAGGCTGGAGTGCAATGGTGCCATCTCAGCTCACTGCAACCTCCGTCTCCCTGGCTCAAGCATTCCTTCTGTCTCAGCCTATTGAGTAGCTGGAACTACAGGTGCACACCAGCACACCTGGCTAATTTTTGTATTTCTAGTAGAACAGGGTTTCACCATGTTGCCCAGGCTGATCTCAAACCCCTGAGCTCAGGTGATCCATCTGCCTCAGCCTCTGAAATGTCTGGGATTGCAGGCGTGAGCCACTGCACCCAGCCTTGTGACCACTGCTTTCTAATGCCATTTTCCACACCAGAGGAGATGCTGTCAGTGTCTTGCCAAATTCCTCAGACTGCACCCCACTTCACTGTGCTCCAGACAACCTCCCATTGCAGGATGTGCAGTTCTGTGCCTGAAGGCTTTTCCCAGAACCACAGAAGATGAATCTTCCTGTGTATGTGGCAGGTGTGATGCCCCTCTGGTTGGAAGTGTTCCCAAATCAACACCCTTTTTCTGGGAGTAGTCCTCAACCAAGAGCACTGAAATAAGTACCTCCAGCTGAAGGGAACTCCCTCCCTCCTCAGGATGGATAACTCTGAAGTGTGTCTTCTACATTACTTCCAGAGTTTTCTTACAGGATTAAACTTTAGTTGCCTACCATAGCTTAATACTGCACCCTACGTTGACTCTCCTTTCTTTTTCCTTGTCTTGTGTGCAGTACTGATGCTTCCTGCACCTTTTAAATAAACTATACACACTCACATCCTTGTCTCTTCTCGAGGACTGCAATTAAGACACACACAAACCCATGTCATCTCATGTGTCCCCACTGGACCAGTGTCTTAGACTCTGGACAACGGTGGCCTCTCAGAAGGCCCCTGCTGATGCTGGGCAGTGCCATGCTGAGACATGTTTCTAATACCACAGACTCTTTACACTTCAGACACTCTGTCAAAAGCTCAGTATTGAAATTACCTCATTATCTCATCTAAGGCTGGCAGAGACCATTGATATTTGAGAGGGCTAATCTAAAAGAAACATTGATCATTTAATCTGCTCAGTTTACTGAGTTCTATTCCCGAATCAAGTCAAATCGCCAGGAAGCTTAGCGCTCTGTAGGAGTGCATTCACCTTATCACGATTCCTTTTCATGTCTTTACTGAGGTAAGATATACAATGTAACCAGGCAAAGGCTGTTTTTACACCTCTGGAAAAATAGCTGTTGAAAAAGCTATTGCCTGTGTAACTCAATGCCCTTTTCAGTAAAGGCTCTTAAGATACATTCTTCCCAGAAATAAATGCCAAGTGGAAAAAGTATTATCTTTCCGTTTTTTGGCGTGTTGTTGCTACCGCTGTTGCAGCTGCTTTTTCTTTTTCTTCTTCTTTCAATTAAACAATGAAAATTATGTAAGCTAACACAATTCCATTGTTACAGGGTTAAGTAAAAACTCAAAGTAAATTAAGTGTTACATTTGAATAACTATATCCAATTACTGTCCTTTTATATTATACGTCTTTAAAAATATTTTTACCTCCATCCAATTGTACTTTAATCAGCTGTTTAGAAATATTTAAAAAACAAATGTGATAGATATGATGAATAAACAACATTAAATCTACAAATCATCAGAATATAAGCTCTGCTATAAAATAGGTTATATGTGGACAAACAGATATTATGGACGCTTGATTCATGATGACCTACATTTGGTTCATAGAAAAAATGAAGTTCCTGCAGTTCAGAGATAACATAGGAAGGATCAACAGGTAACCTTCTGTTTGCAACAATATATCTGTTTGCAACTGGCTTGCAATAATATACATGTTTATTCATTCAGTCAGTCACAAATTTTGTGTGTCTGCTATGTGCTAGGTATGGCATTAAGGTTAGGAATAGATCTCTGAGAAAATATACAAATGCTGACTCTGTTCTCACGGAATTCGTGATTCAGCTAGACTGTGTGTGTGTGTGTGTGTGTGTCTGTGTGTGTGTGTGTGTGCATGTGTATGTGTGTGAGACACAGAGAGAGACACAGAGGGACAGAGAGACAAAGAAAAAATAGCTTCATTTAAAGATTGCCTCGCCCAACCTCCAATGAAAAGTAAAATAGCAACAAAGGGAAGTAAGGAAACAGCTTTGGAAACCTGATTGTGAATGTTTATGTATATCTGTGAGGCTAGCACCTAGCATGAGTCACGGCTTGTACTATAGCTGCATCAGAAAAAAAAGAAAAAGCAAAACAATGCAGCAGTAGCGTGACCACCCTATCAAGAGGGAACAGGCGTTTGTGGGTTTAGTTTAATGCTAGTTACTATTTCTATTTTCTTAAAACAGAATGGAGAGCTCTGCAGTTGCCCTCTGTTTAATGATGCATGAGGTCTTGACAAGAACCTAAACACCAGCCTGTGGTTTGTTTTGGTTGTGCTGATGTCGTGCTGAGGTCACAGCCCAGGACCATGACCCCAGAGGCCCTGATAAAGGAGTATCTCCACTCTTGGCACTACCATACCTTAGTCTTCAAAGGTGAACTCTGGGAGGAGTCCATGAAGATCTACAAGCAAATGGTTGGGCGAAGTGTACCTCCCCCACTCCCCACCTGTTCTTTCCCTAAACGCACACAAGACTAAGCAGTTGTGTGGGCAATGCACTCAAGTAGAGTTGATTCTACCTATTCTCACAGTGCTCGTCCAACATATGCCTTGGTCATTGGCATCCGTAGGTAGGACAAATGTTTCAATATGAACGTTACGATCTAAAGTAGCATCACCACTCGGGGGACTAGTTAGAAATGCAAATTCTCAGTCCTCATCCCTGAACTTCTGAGTTAAAAATGCTGAAGGTGGGGGGCCTACTGTTTTAATAAACCCTATAGATCAGCAGTCTTCCAACCTTTTCAGCACCAAGGACCAGTTTTGTGGAAGCTAATTTTTTCATGGGATGGGGAAAGTTGGTGGGTGGGGTGGATTCGGGTTGAAACTGTTCTACCTCAGATCATCAGGCATTACATTCTCATAAGGAGCACACAATCTAGATCCCTGGCATGTACAATTCACAATAGGGTTCACGTTCCTGATGATACAGGAGTTAAGAAGAAATTACACAGGCAGATGGTAAGGGCATGGGAATCCTTGGTAAGGCTTTTCTTTTTAATAAAAAGCAACCCCAAATAATTTTCTAACAAAGAAAATGTAAAGTTGAGCTGCAGACATAGACAAGCAAGCTGGAGACTTGCACAGGTGAATGCTGGCAGGAACTAAGGACTAGACATGTTCAAGATGGCAGCTCCGTCTTCCTTTCTCTGCCAGCCACATGTACAGTAAGAAGCAGACAAGATGGTGCCAATCAACTGGAAAGCCCATTTGCATAAGATTAGGGTGGGGTGACCAGCCTTGCCCATGCCCTGTGTAAACATCATACCTGACAGAACCAATGGGTGAGCACTATGCAAATCAGACACTGCCTCTTTAAACCTGACTATAAAATTCAGCACAGCTGCCACCCGCTGGTCTTTTTCTGCTCCAAGACCACTTCCTCTATAGAGGAAGCTGTTTCTCTTTCTCTTCTCTTCTACGTGTTAAACCTCCACTCCTAAACTCCTCGTGTGTGTCCATGACCTAAATTTTCCTGGTACACAACAAGAAACCCCAGGGTATATACCCCAGGCAACATAGCCACTTTCTATGAGACTCTAATGACACTACCAATCTGACAGGAGGTGGAGCTCAGGGGGTTATTGCTGACTCTCCTGCTGTGGTCCATAGCCCAGAGGTTGGGGACCCCTGCTATACGTGATTCTGATATACACTCAAGTTCGAGAATCACTGCTTAAGAATCAGTTTTCTGAAATGATTTCCAAGGTAGGTCCTTTTTACTTTTTTCTTTAAACCCCAATGCTAGGAAAACACGTTGGAAACCAGCTGCATCTCATTTATTCAAATAGCACACAGATCTTGAGACCAAAAAAGCTTCATGAAAACAGTTGTAACTATTTCACCATGTCATACGGTCTGGCTTTATGTCCCCACCCAAATCTCATCTTGAATTGTAATCCAAATCATAATCCCCACGTGTTGGGGGAGGGACCTCATGGGAGGTGATTAGGTCATGGGAGCCTTCCCCTCATGCTGTTCTCATGATAGTGAGTGAGTTCTCATGGGATCTAATGGCTTTATAAGGAGCTGTCTCTCCCTTCACTCTGCACTTCTCCATCTTGCTGCCATGTGAAGATGAACGTATTTGCTTCCCCATCCACCATCATTGTAAGTTCATGAGGCCTCCCCAACCCTGCAAAACTGTGAGTCAATTAAACCACTTTACTTTATAAATCACCCAGTCTCAGGTATGTCTTTGTAGCAGTGTGAGAATAGACTAATAAAGCAAATTGGTACCGAGGGAGCGGGGTGCTGCCGTAAGGATACCCAAAAATGTGGAAGTGACTTTGGAACTGTGTAACAGGCAGAGGTTGGAACAGTTTGGAGGACTCAGAAGAACACAGGAAAATGTGGTAAAGTTTGGAACTTACTAGATACTTGTTGAATGGCTTTGACCAAAATGCTGATGGTGATATGGACAATGAAGTCCAGGCTGAGGTGATCTCAGACAGAGATGAGGAACTTGTTGAGAACTGAAGCAAAGGTCACTCTTGCTATGCTTTAGCAAAGAGACTGATGGCATTTTGCCCTTGCCCTTGCCCTAGAGATCTGTGGAACTTAAACCTGAGAGAGATGATGTAGGGTATCTGGTGGAAGAAATTTCTAAGCAGCAAAGCTTGCAAGAGGAAGCAGAGCATATAAGTTTGGAAAATTTGCAACCTGACAATGCAATAGAAAAGAAAAACCCATGTTCTGGGGAGAAATTCAAGCCTGCTGCAGAAATTTGCATAAGTAACAAGGAGCTAAATGTTAATCACCAAGACAATGGGGAAATTGCAGGGCATGTCACAGATCTTCATGGTAGCCCCTGCCATCACAGGCCCTGAGGCCTAGATGGAAAAAATGGTTTTGTGGGCTGGAGCCAGGGCCCCCCAGCTGTGTGCAGCCTAAGGACTTAGTGCTCTGTGTCCCAGCTTCTCCAGCCATGGATAAAAGGGGCCAAGGTACAGCTCAGACTGTGGCTTCAGAGGGTGCAAGCCTCGAGCCTTGGCAGCTTCCATGTGGTGTTGAGCCTGCAGATGCACAGAAATCAAGAATTGGAGTTTGGGAACATCTGCCTAGACTTCAGAAGATGTATGGAAATGCCTGGATGTCCAGGCAGAAGTCTGCTGCAGGGGCAGAGCCCTCATGCAGAACCTCTGCTAGGGAAGTGCAGAAGGGGAATGTGGGATCAGAGCCACCACACATAGTCCCCACTGGGGCACTGCCTAGTTGAGCTGTGAGAAAAGGGCCACTGTCCTCCAGACCCCAGGATGGTAGATCCATGGACAGCTTGCACAGAGCACCTGGAAAAGTCATAGACGCTGCCAGCCCATGAAAGCAGCCAGGAGGAGGGCTGTACCCTGCAAAGCCACAGGGACAAAGCTGCCCAAGGCCATGGGAACACACTTCCTGCATCAATGTGACCTGGATGTGAGACACAGAGTCAAAGGAGATTATTTTGGAGCTTTAAGAGTTAATTACTGCCTTGTTGGATTTCAGACTTGCCCGGATCCTGTAGCCCCTATGTTTTGGCCAGTTTTTCCCATTTGGAATGAGCATATTTACCCAATGCCTGTATCTCCATTGTATCTAGGAAGTACCTAACTTGCTTTTGATTTTACAGGCTCATAGGTGGAAGGGACTTGCCTTGTCTCAAATCAGACTATGGACTTGGACTTTTGGGTTAATGCCAAAATGAGTTACGACTTTGGGAAACTGTTGGGAAGGCATAATTTTGTTTTGAAATGTGAGAAACATGAGATTTGAGAGGGGCAAGTGGCAGAATGCTATGGTCTGGTTCTGTGTCCCCACCCAAATCTCATCTTGAATGGTAATCTGAATTGTAATCCCCACGTGTTGGGGGAGGGACCTCATGAGTGGTGATTGGATCATGAGGGCAGTCTCCCCATGCTGTTCTCATGATAGTGAATGAGTTCTCCCAAAATCTGATAGTTTTATAGGGGGCTTTTCTCCCCTTTGCTCTGCACTTCTCTCTCCTGCTGCCATGTGAAGGACATATTTGCTTCCCCTTCGGCCATACTGTAACTTTCCTGAGGCCTCACCAGCCATGCAAAACCATGAATCAATTAAAACCTCTTTTCTTTATAAATGACCCAGTCTGAAGTATGTCTTCATGGCTGCATGAGAATGGACTAATACAACATGTAACTGCCAATATCACTCCCCCAACCCTGAATCATTTGATTCAGCCTTCCTAAAGATTCATGCAAACCCCTTTCTCAAAGATATGTCATAAAAATATAAAAAAATATGAAATTGGTAAGTCAATATACTGATATTAAAATTAAATTAAAATGCTAACCCTTGCTTTCATTTATGCCTCTACTAAATCATGGCTTCCCAATTTCTCTACTAGTAAACTTCATTCTCTACTAGTCAACTTCTCTACTAGTAAAGTTCATTGTTTAGAATCAAGTACGGAATCTTACATTTGTTCCTATTAAGTTAATCGTTCACACTTTAGGCCACCATTTCAGCATACCAAATTATTTTTCACTTCTGAATTTGTTATGAAAAGTATCAGTCAGAATGCCATCAGCATATCAAATGTTTCAACTCATCATATTTTCATTGAAAACCTAAAGGTCTATGCTAAGGGATTAAATACTTCCTCAAGTAAATACGTCCCATGAGAAAAAACACATTTTTTCAGTAAAGTTTATGTACCTGATCTTGAGTCTACCTCACTGGACGGGCTAGATCATAGTTTCCACTCTATCCACAAGTTTTGTCTTGGGAAGCTCTGCCAGTTCTTTAGCAATGACCTATCCTCTATTTTAATGGAAAAGTTTGTGGAAAATGTTAAGATTTTTCTCTAGTAGGTCAGCTAGGAGCAGCCAAAATCACATGACTCTTCAAAAATAATCTCTTTACCTCTTCAGCGGTTGTTGCCTGAAAGCTAAACATTACAAAAATGGGACTAGTGGGACTGAGTTAGGATTTCAAAGCAAACAAACAAATACAATAATAAGGTGCCCAGCTACATTTGAATCTCAGATAAACAATTTTTTAGAATAAGTGTGTGTCAATGTTGGGCAGGACACACTTATACTAAAAATATAGCAACAATCTTTAAAATGATTTGCCTACATCTATATGACTCAAAAGCATATGCTTTTGACCACTAATGTAGAATGACTTCTGTGAGTGATTCCTTCAGCCAGTAAATCCACAACTGTCCTAAGCAAAGAAGCCACATTCTTCCCACTAACTACAGTGATTTTCCCCCCACAAGCTATCGTACAATTTACCAGAGGTCTTAACTGTGCCCCCCTTTTCATTCTGAAGATGCTTTCTGAACATCCACTTAGGGTCAAGCTCTGTACTAGACATGGAACTTGTAAGGTGATATGGTTTGGCTGTGTCCTCACCCAAATCTCATCTTGAATTGTAGCTCCCATAATTCCCACATGTTGTAGGTGGGACCATGTGGGAAATAATGAATCATGGGGATGGTTTCCTCCATACTGTTCTCTTGGTAGTAAATAAGTCTCATGAGATCTGATGTTTCTATAAGGGGTTCCTCCTTTCATTTGGCTCTCATTTTCTCTCTTGTCTGCTGCCATGTAAGTCATGCCTTTGCCTTCTGCCATGATTGTGAGGCCTCCCCAGCCACATGGAACTGTGAGTCCATTAAACTTCTTTTTCTTTATAAATTACCCAGTCTCAGGTATGTCTTTATCAGCAGCATGAAAACAGACTAATACCTAAGGCCATCTTAATTCCTAACAAACATCAAAAAAAAAAAAAAGGGGGGGACCTCAAGGTCCAATTCTAGCTTCCCCACTGCTTATAGAACTTCTAAACTTCATTTATGCCCATAGCATCAAGGGTTGAATGGCTGAAGCATTTTGAAAAGTAGGATGTGAGTCCAAGTCTTTCTGGAACAGATGTGCATTTTTAGCATTGGAAAATAGAATTATTCATATTTAGCAGTGATTCTAACCATTTTTTGTTTGTTTGTTATCAGACACGCTTTCAAAAAAGTATTATTTTCTAGTGACCTTCAATTACATGATGAGAAAATTCTGTGCAGGGTAGTCAGATAAATAAGGCTAGATATGCTTTTTGACACGAGAGAGGGAAATCAAAGTATAAATTAGGTAGAAAGCAGGTTTCTTGGGCAGAGTCACACATGTAATTACCTAATCACAGCATCTCTTTGCAATTATTCCCTAAGGGATCTTTTGAAAGAAGATATGGTGCCTACTTTGTTTGGAATTAGCTTCAGCAGAGGGTTCAACCTCTTCAGTAATAGAAACAGAACTTTTCTGTCCTGTAAAACCAGCGGAAGCTGCCCCTGTGGGGAAATGACAAAGCCACAAGTCGAACATTAGAGTCTGCAGGTAAAAGCAAGTTTTAAAGCTCAGGATTTTAATCTAATTTGGGAAGAGGAGTGATTTATGTCCTCTCTGATAGGTCATCATTTCCTAAAAAGGAAATGGACAGAGGGGGCTATTAATCCCCACTGCCCTTCTCACCTAGGGTGAACTGGAGTACTGATATATCTGGGCATCACCAATGCTTTATAGCTTTAATTTTAAGTGCTTAGTTTAATATCATTTATCTGAGGGCATAACTACTCAGAGTCCTAAGAACATCTTAATATGTTTTCTTTTTAAGAATAATTACAAACCTCGACTGCAAAGAGAGCTGACGGGGAGCTCTTTTTGCAATTATGGCTCTGAAGAGGTTCCTAATTCTAAGAAATTATTTCTAAAAAAATAAAATAGATAAATTAGATATGTATCTATATTTGGCATCCGTATACAAACCATAAAGTTACTTCAAGAAAAAGTTAAAACATTCCCATATAATCCATAGTTAAGACACCTATGTTTAATATAACATATATAAAGTGCTTAGAAAAGTACCTGGTGCATCTCTGTTAAATGTTAGCTGTTGATCTATTACAGTATTCAAAAAGAGAGAGTCCCATACAGACACACAAGAGTACACTCTCTATGATTCCATTTACATAAAGAACAGGCCGGACGTAGCGGCTCATGCTTGTAATCCCAGCAGTTTGGGAGGCAGAGGCAGGTGAATCTCTTAAGGCCAGGAGTTCGAGACCAGCCTAGCCAACTGGCAAAATGCCATCTCTCTTAAAAATACAAAGGTTATATTGGGAGGCAGAGGTTGTAGTGAGCTGAGATTGCACCAATACACTCCAGCCTGGGCAACAGAGTAAGACTCTATCTCAAAAAAAAAAAAAAAAAAAAAAAGAGACAAACTAATGCATTTTATTAGAAGTCATGATAGTGATTTCCCTTGTGGAATATGACTGAGAGGGCATGGGGCTTCCGGTGGCCAGTCATAACTCTGTTTCTCTGAGTGTTGTTATGTGTATGTGTTTGGTTTGTGAAAACTAATCAATCTATAGATTTGTTATGACTACTCCTTTCTACAGGTATGTTTCTTGGTCTCTTCGGGATGCTGTAACAGGATATGATTGACTGGGTGGCTTTTTAACAGCAGAAATTTATTTCTTATAGCTCTGGAGGTGGAAGTACAAGATCAAGGCACCAGCAAGTTTGGTGTCTGTGAGGGCTTCTTTTCAGGTTCATCAACGGCTGTCTTCTTTTTTTTTTTTTTTTTTTTTTTTTTTTTTTTGAGATGGAGTCTCACTCTGTCCCCCAAGCTGGAGTGCAGTGGCGTGACGTTTGCTCACTGCAAGCTCCGCCTCCCGAGTTCATGCCATTCTCCTGCTTCAGCCTCCCGAGTCGCTGGGACTACAGGCGCCCACTACCATGCCCAGCTAATTTTTTTGTATTTTTAGTAGAGACGGGGTTTCACCTGGCTAGACCATCTAGCCAGGATGGTCTCGATCTCCTGACCTTGTGATCCACCCCGCCTCAGCCTCCCAAAGTGCTGGGATTACAGGCAATGGCTGTCTTTTCATTGTGTCCTCATGTAGTAGAAAAGGACGAGCGAGTTCACTGGGGTCTCTTTTATAAAGACACTAATCTCATAATATCCTGAGAGTAAAGTCCTAATGATTTTACCACCTCATGAAAGCCCTACCTCCAGACACCATCACATTGGAAGCTAGGTTTCAAAATATGAATTCTGGGGAGCACAAACATTCCTTCTATGATATATGCTATACTTTAGTGAACAATTAAAAACAAATGGTATCAACCTGATTGGAATGATAGCATATTTTTTAAAGGTGATCTAATCATTTAAAAAATACAAACAATGGTTCCAAAAATAGATTATGAAAGTCATCACTACAACTACAAATCAGAGATCTCTTAGAAAGTGCCAGGCAAAAATTGAATATAATGTTATGCACTTTGGTAATATTGAACCTAGACTGAGACTGAAACATCTCTTCCCATTCCAATGTCAGAAAAATGGAGGCTTTATCAATACACAGAAGAATGGACATAAGAAGAAAAGAGGCTAAGTGTTTTCAGTTCATCTCAGAAACACTGGTCACCCCAATCTCCAACCTTTCCAGTGGTTTCCCATTGAATGTCAGATATAATAAAAAGTGTAAGCTCTTCTTACATCTGCTCTTACTTTAGTATTTAAGAACAATAAGGATGTTTATCCATTCAAATCTGTAAATTACTGAAACTTGGGGAGTTTTTACAGAGCCTACACAACTCTTACCTTGGACAATTCTTATTTATTTATGTTGAAAAAACATAATTCTCCAGATAAGGTCTTAAGAGAAATGCAAATGAAAACAACAGTAGAATATTCTATGTTGCCCAAAGGATTGGCAGATATTGAGTAAGGATGATAGTATCCCTGGTGTGTGGAATTGAATAGAACACTTTCAAATGCTCCTGGTGGCAATATAAATCTGTGTGACAGTTAATGGTCTGTGTCAAAATTTTAATTGGGCCTATCTTCAATTCAACAGTATCATTTCTATAATTCAATGCCACATGCAATGGGTCCACATGAAGAAATATCATTTATGCAATGCTTATAAGAAGTGAAAACCTAGAGGCAACCTGGATGCCCATCAATTACAGGACTGGTCAAATGAATTAGAAGACAGCAATGATGAGAAATAATATGCAGTCATCAAAAAGCCTTATGTGGATTACACACGCATACACACACACACACACACACACACATACACGACTGCCTACTTTATATTATTGAATGGAGAAAAATGACCAAATAGTACAAATGGTATGATCATAGTTCTGAAATAAAACAATCTGCTACTCTCGCTGAGAGGCATGTCACCATCCCCATCACAATGCATGAAAAGCATGAGAGATACACAGCAAAAACATAGCTACTAAATGTAAATTATTATTAGAACCATATATCTCCCCAACTAGACCATGTCTTATAGCCCCAATATCTAATACAATGACTGCTATTTAAGAAGGGTTCAAGAATTGTTTATGAAGTACCAACCAATTCTCTCAATATTCAGTAACTCATTAGCACTGGTCACTCATTCACTCAATAAGTACATTGTTGATGATCGGCTGTGTGTTAGGCAGGGTGCCTGGGCTGAGGACTGAGCGGTGAGTAACACAGGCATGGTTCCTTACCTGTTATCACTCACGACCAAAGTCATAAGCTGGCAATGACAATACAGTGTGATGAGGAATATGATGGGGAAACATGGCGTTCTATGGGATCACTTACTAGGGAAGAGTTCTTGAGGAACAGTTTCTAGGCCGAAAAGTAAAATGTAAGCTGGAGTTTCCCAGAGAAAGAAGAAGAAAAATAGTTATAGGAAGAGAAAATGGCACATATGAACATTTAACATCTGTTTTGGGTCTTCTAAATACCCGCAGCCTCTACTCACGTGAGGTATCCTTATATTACTTCAACTATAAGGCATTATGAAGATGGTAAAACATGGGCTGAAAATAGCTCAAGTTATATTCTGTATGGGAGACTGAATTTTCCCAAAATAGCCATCATATTACATCTCTCATGCTCACGATGCAAGGTAATGGTGACATGACTCTCCGTGAGTAGGAGTTTATTTTCTGTCTCCTTGACCTCAGGGGAATCTATGACTGCCCCAACTGCTATAAAATATGGTAAAGTCAAGCCTCAGTCATAAAATATCACTCATTTCTACCTTGTTCCCTTGGGATGCTCACTCTTGGCACCACCTACCATCCTGTGAGGAAGCCCAAGCAGCCACGTGGAGAGGCCATGTGTGGATACTGTGGCCAACAGCCAGAATCAACCACCAAGCACATTAAGGAATGAATAAAGGAGCCCAACCTCCAGCTATTGAGTTACCCCAGCCTTCAAGCTACCCTAACTGACACCGTGAAAAACAGAGATGAATAGTCCCCATTGAGCCCTCACAAATGACACATTTGTGAGTAAAACAAATGATTGTTATTGCTTTAAGATGGTAAGTTTATGATGGTTTCTTATACAATTATAACCGGACACTGGAATAAAACACATAGTAAAGTATTAATACAACATCTTCATCACTAATGGACCAATGATACCCCTGGATGAACATGGCTGAGATGAAAACCCCAGTTTGGTTGAAGTCCTCCTGTCCATGCCTCACACTGCTCAGAGGTTGGGTGAATAACTATGGTTACACAGATATACAGCAGAGCTAGAATCACTTCCTGGCTTATCTGTCTTCTCGAAAGCTTCAAGGCTTTTGTACCTAGAGCTTGTGAGCTTCTGTGCCTCCCTCTTCTAGGAATCTAGTGAAGACTTCTAGAGAAAGTCAAGCCTAAAATGCCATCAAGCTCAACAAGAATGAGCTTCAGAGCAGAGGGAAGAAAGTGGGGACATCATTACTAAGAATGTCATGCAGAACTTAGCAATCTGGACAGGCTGAGAATTGTTCAGGGCAAGGTTTATAATGCAAATCAGTGTTCCAACTCAGGATCTCTAAACTTTCAGGAAAACAGGCACAGGGGTGCGAAAATGTTTTAATACCTTTAAAAGCCTCATGCAAGAGATCTGCAAAACAATGGTCTTCTGGCCTTTTTTTTTCTTTTTTTTTTTTGGAAATAACGTTTTACTGGAACACTGTCATGTCCATTCATTTTAAATATTGTCTAGGGTGCTTTTGCACACTAATGGCAAGAAGTAATAGTTGCAACAAAGACCCTGTGGCCTGTAAAGTCTAAAATGTTTACTACCTGGACCTTTATAGAAAAAGTTAGGAATCCCTGGCCTAGTGGAATGTATCCATTTATGCAAGATAAAGCTGCACAGACTAATTAAAATGTCTTTTTTATTTTTATTTTTTTTCTTACCACTGTCTGGAATTCCACCAACTCTCCTGCTGGTTATCCTGTGTTGATCAGAGGCTCTGGTTGGCAGCTCTGCTAGTCTTTGCTGAATTTTTTAAAATGGGAAAACTCATTATTACCTAACAAAAGGAGTTTGTAGACAGAATGTTCCAACAGATGGACTCCATGGAGAAAACAACAAAAAAAAAGTAAGGCAAGTCCTCGGTGGTAGGAGACCTGGAGCCAGTGAATCAAGATATGGTATATTATTGAGGTCAAGGGCAGAGAGGGTGCGAGAGCTAGCAATGGGCTGCTCTTAGGTAGAGGTTTTAAATTCATGGGCTGTGGGCCATTTCTGGCTGTCTGACATGTTTGTTTCCTTTAATACCCAGCCAATATCATGTCTACATGTTGGTAGGCAGTGTTCAGGTTGGCCATGCCATACCCATTCCTAAAAACCTTCCCCTGATCTTCATCTGCCACAATGGCTGGGGACACGAATACTCACTTTGTCAACCTCCTCTGCAGCTAGTGCATGACCTGTTCTAGCCAAAAAGATTTAAGCAGAAGTCTGATAGGGGATGTCAGGGCAATGCTGATTGACATAAAGCTGGTGTAGCCCATTGTTCTTCCTTCCCAGCATACAAATGCCATGGCTGATTACCAGCTTTTCCTGATCAGTGGGTGGGACTGGCAACACAGGGCCTCCACACTCAACTGGCAATTATCTGCAGTAACAACGTCATAACTGCTCCCCTTTAAACACCAGCTAGGGGTGCTCTGAGGGGCCACCTCTCTGGGCCATTTCTCTAATTTTATGTCACCTCCTCCCTCTTTGATAAGGAGGCCAGGAGCTGATGGTATTACTGAGAGCTAAAGGAGGCAGCCCCTGACAGAGGGCCAGGGGCTCTGGTTGGCTCTGCCCTTCCCCTCAACTAGGGGAATCTTGCAGCATGAAGTCTGGCATTTCATGGCAGGGAAAGTTTGGATCTCTTAAGATGATTAATGGAAGAAAAATAAAGACTGGAAAATCCACCCACTTCAGTAATCAGAGTATTATTCGTATACGGTTCTAAAGTCTCATGCGAAGTTTTTAAGGAAAAAATAAACATCTATTTTTTTTTCAGGCATGTATCAATGAGTGTCTCCAAAGTGCTTTAAAAACAAGAATTACCAGCTTTAACGAGGGGGTAATAATAGCACTGAGAACATCTGAGAAAGTTTGTGCCTAATAAAATTCTAGATGTTAGCTGGTTCCATTGCTCAAAGCTTTCACTTCACACAGGCATTATTTATTACATCATTCTGTATTCTGAGAAGGGCTGGCCATGGTGACCTAGAAGAGGTGGTGCTACTGCACTGGAAACCTCACATTCCAGATTGATAACGGTAACTCACTCACCTTCCTAGTGCTCCCGGGCTTTATCTTAAAAGCTCTAAAATTAGGTGGATGGTGGCTTTTCGTAAGGTGCTAGAATAACCTCAAGACACGATTGACAACACAGATAGGAAGTAATGGCTCCAAGTAACAAGCGGCAGTGCAGAAATAAAAGCCACAAATGCACCGCAGCTGAGAAAAAGCCCGAAAACCGCAACCACCACCTGAGTAAATAAATATTTGTTTTGATATTGTCCTCCTGACATTACTGTATTACTAGATGGGTTTCATCCTAATTCTAAACTTCTTGTTTTGTTTTAACATTATGTTGACTTTTACGAATTGGAGGAGGGGGAGAAGTTGGGGAAAGGCTTTTATATTGTCTCTGCATGAACAAGGCTGCTATTCAGCATTATCATAAAGCAACCACATAGACATGGAGTCCTTTGATCATTATCTTCTGTTTTGCTAACCTCGAGCTTCTCAATTTACATTTACCACCTTCTTACAGAAAAGCAATGTATAACTAGTTTTTCTATGAAACAGGGAAAAGGAAATAGGGAAACTAGTTATATACCAGTTATTTAATTGGGTAATCTCCATCAACTTTGATTGAATATAAAAAACTGATTCATGACTTGTTTACCCATCAGTAGTTCTTACAAGTTTTGAGAAGCCAATTGTTACAAACATGTGTGCCTTGAATCCTAAGTAACAGAAGATATTGCTTTTGGGGTCCAGACTATGTAATTCTGTGATCATTTGCAGAGAGGAAGGGCTGGGAAAATGCAGAACCAGGATCCCAATTCCCAACCTAGGAATTTTCTCTTTATCTTAAATTACAACCAATGTTCGTTTCAAATGCAATTAATTCAGACGATTTTCTGTATCATAGACCAGGAAAAAATAAAGAGGAAGCGAAGTAAGAGGAAAGAAGCACATATTTAAGAGCCGCTTCACTGCATGTATCAGCTGTGTTCTGGTTTCATATGATTTATCTCACTGAATTTTCATGGCTATCCTACTAAGTAGGTTTTTGGATCCAAGGAAACAGACTCAGGAAAGTAAAGTGGCTTCCTTGAAGTTACAAGATAGTAAATGAAACTATGGTTTGTCTGATGCCCCACTAGATTCCATAGCCTCAGAGTACAAAAGTAGGACTCTGTGACCTCCCTAAGAGTTGGCCTTTGCCTGAAAACTTTTAGAGATGGAAACTTCACTCTTCAAACTTCAGCTTAAAATGTTCTTGTCTGGCTTTATTCCTCTCTAAAGTCTTAAGAACAATAACAGCAGTAAATATGCTTATGTACTGAACCCTTACTATAAACCAAATGTAGTTCTGAGCATACCATGCACACCAGTCCTTAAACTCACTTCACTCATGGAACAAATGTTCATCAAATTCCCACCTTGTGCCAGATACTGAGCAGTATGGACACACCCATGTGACAGAAATTATTACAGGCATACTTCCTTTTATTATGCTTCCCTTTATTGCATTTCACAGATATTGCAGTTTTTACAAATTGCAGCTTCGTGGCAACCCTGCATTGAGCAAGTCTATTGGCGCCATTTTTCCTAAAACATGTGTTCTTTGAGTCTCTATGTCAACATTTTTTTTGCAATAAAATGTTCTTTAAGGTATATACTTTCTAAAATACATGATGCTATTGCACACTTAAGAGACTACAGTATAAATATGACTCATATTCACTGGGATACAAAAAATATGTGTGACTTGCTTTATTGCAATATTTCCTTGATTGCCGTTGTCTGGAATCAAATCCTCAATATCAACAAGGTAGGCCTGTATACCCTTCTCACATTTAAGGAATCAGAAGCTCAAAAAGTAGTTAAACCCCAGGTTATACAGTGTGGCACAGACTAGCTAGTGGCTCACCAAAGAGATTTTATTTTCCTCTCGGGCACATGATTTGACTAATTTTCTAGCCTCCCTTAGGTCTAGTCAACAGAATGTGCACATAAGTAGAATTCTCACTTTCAGGCATGGGTCATAAAATTCTTCTCTGTGAGCTTTTCTCTCCAGAGCAGGAAATAAGTACCAACTTGTTAAGATCCTGAGTTTTGAAGGCATACCTGTTATAGCAGCATACATTACCTTAATTAATACATACAACAAGAAGAGGGGCAAGGCCAGAATTAGGGTCTAAATCTGATTGATTCTAGAGTCTGTGTTCTAGGATGGGGGCAACAACACTCATGTTTGCTTCTTCGAAACTTCTATACACTAATCTGAGTTCTACTCCCTGGCATGTGAAAGAATCTGCCTATGTCTTCTTCTGTAATACAGGCCTTCAGGGACTTGAATTATATTCTGTGTCTTTCCTTACCTTTCCTAGTTACTTATGTGAAAAGTTGTCCAGTCATATTTAATTTGCCAATGGCTTCTTTGAAGTACACAAAAAAGGTACAAATGCATCAGAGAAAATCAATAAGACCAAAAATTTGCTCTTTGAAAATGTCAACAAAATTGACAAATCTTACCTAAACTAACCAAGATAAAAGAGAGAAGACACAGATCACCAAATTAATAAATAACAAAGGGCATACCACCACTGATCTTACAGAAATTTAAATGATTATAAGGAAATGCTATGAATAATTTTATGCCAACAGTTAGACTATTTAGATGAAATAGAAAACATTTCTAGAATGACACAAATTACCAAACTGGTTCAAGAAGAAATTAAAAATCTTAATAGCAGAAAACAGTTAAAAACAAATAATAATAATAATAAATTGAATCAGTAATTTAGAATATTTCTGCAAAGAAAAGCTCAGACCCAGATAGATTTACAGGTAAGTTTTATCAAGCATTTAAAGAGGAAATAATACCAGTATTTTACAAACTCTCCCAAAAAATATAGGAGGAGAGAACACTTCCCAACTCATTCTATGAGGCCACTATTACATTATTACATTACTACCAAAGCCATTTAAAGATATCTAAAGAAAAAAAGACCAATATCTCTCAGGAATATAAAAACAAAATCCTCGACAACATATTTGCAAGCTATATTTAATAACATAGTTAGTAGACTGATAATGGGTCCCAAAGATGTCAGATCCTGAGCCCTGCAACCTGTAAATACTACCTGAATTGGAAAAAAATGTCTGTGCATATGTGATTGAATTAAATATTTTAGGATGGGGAGATGATCCTAGGTTATTCAGGTGGTCCCTAAATGCCAGCACTGTTTTCTTATAAATGGAATTGAGAAGGAGATTCTATGAGAGATAGAGAAGGCAATGTGACACCAGAGAAAAGGGATACTTGAAGATAGTGGCCTTGAGGATCAAAGTGATGTGACTACAAGCAAAGGAATGCCAGCTGCCACCAGAAGCTGGAAGAAGCAAGAAATGAAGCTCCCCGAGAGCTTCTGGAGAGAGTGTAGCTCTGCCAGCACTTAATTCCACCCACTGATGCCGATTTTGGACTTCTGGGCTCCAGAACTGTAAGAAAATAAATTTCTTGTTTTAAGCCACCAAATTTATGGTAATCTGTTACAGCAGCCACAGAAAACTAATACAACTTATCAAAAGGATTGTACACCTCAAGGAAAATAACCAACTAGGCTTTATTAAAGGTATGCAAGGTTGGTTTAATATTCAAGAATCAATTAATACAATAAGCTTAATTAATAGACTAGAGGACAAAAACAACAATCATCTCAAAAGATGCAGAAAAAAAATTTGATAAAATCTAACACTTATTCATGATAAAAGATTTTTAACAAATTTGAAATTGAATGGGGCTCACTCAATATGATAAAGAGCACATCTGAAAAGCCTTCAGGGAGCATCATACTTAGTGGTATAAATGTTTAATAGATGAAATACTTTCCACTTAACATCAGAAACAAGGCAATGATGTCCATTCTTAACCCTTCTGTCTGATTTTGTAAAGAAGGCTCTAACTAGTGAAATCAAGCCAAGAGAGGGGGAAAAAAGAGAGTGTGTGAGAGAGAATATAAGATTAAAAAATGGATCCTAATACCCCTGATAGTCTCTGACCAGCACCATCCACAGTGGGGCCTGCAGTGGAGACAGCCTCACCAGACAGCATTCTTTTCTTTTCCATAGGAAACTGCCTTGTTCCCACAGACTCTCAGTCTGTTTACAGATGGGGTGACTCCATTCCTAGTTGTAGGAGGGGCATTTGACTTTGACCCAGGTCATGATCACCAGTGTATGTTGTCTTTGTTGGCCACATCACTGATTCATGGACGAGCACAGGACCCATATTCATTTAAGTGAACTTCATCCTGTGCTTTGGTTTGAACTGTGTTAGACTCTTTCCATTGGAGTTTCTCTGAAGGATGGATGTGAGCCTGGAGCTGCTGGCAACTACCTTTGCATTATGAGGGGAGAACTTATGGGAAAATAAAAACATGTAAGAGGTTTGGGAAGGGGTGACGCATGGGGAATGGAGCCAACACAGACAAAAGCCAAGCAAAGAGATGAAGACGAAGTCCTGGTGGAGGGTGCCATCTGAATTTATACACCCAGCCAGGCCTGAAGCCAGCCCTATTCATGGACTTCTCGCATACATGAGGCATGCAGTGTTCTTTTGCTTCAGCCACTTTGATTTAAGTTTCTGGCACTTGCAGTAGCAAAGGCCCTGACTAACACAAAGATCGTGACCCCACCCACACACATTTTGATCTCGATATTACTCTTTCTATCAAACAAATCTCACTATTGCCCTCTTAAAATTCACAAAACGTGTTTAATAATTCCCCTCATTTGACTCTAAGTTTCAATAAGGCAAGGACTATTATTTCTGTTTGTTTTCTAGCATATTTCCTAATGCCTAGCACACTGCACATAATCAATATTTGCTGAATGAACAGAGATGCATGGATTTAGAGTAGATGAATGATGACGAACAGATGGACCTGTTCAGAATTATACCGCGGCTTAAGTTCTGCTACCAGTTTCCAGAACTTACCTTCTCCATTTCTTTTAAAATGTTGGCCACATGCACACATATGTTCACTATAGCACTATTCACAATAAACATGGAATCAAACTAAATGCCCATCAATGGTGAGCTGGATAAAGAAAATGTGGTACAAGTACACTGTGGAGTATTATGCAGCCATAGAAAAGAACAAGATCATGACCTTTTCAGGAACACAGATGGAGCTGGAGGCCATCATCCTTAGCAAGCTAACACAAGAACAGAAAACCAAATACCACAAGTTCTCACTTATAAGTTGGAGCTAAATGATGAGAATACATGGACACAAAGGGGAAACAACAGACACTGGGACCTATTTGAGGGTGGAGGGTGGGAGGAGAAAGAGGATCAGAAAAAAATAACTATTGGATACTAGGCTTAGTACGAGGCTGATCACATAATCTGTACAACAAATCTCTATGACATGAGTTTACCTATATAACTAACCTGCATATATTCTCCTGAATCTAAAATAACAGTTTAAAAAGTAAAGATGCCATATGACAAAGATGTAAAAAGTAAGATTGAAATATAACATTTAAAAAACACATTTGGAATATATAGGCCAACAAAAAATTGATATTCTTGTCATATCAATTACTATGAGTACTATAAAACAAAAAGCCAAACAGAAAAATGTACTAAGGAACATTACTTGTATTTTACTAAAGAAATGTAAATGGCCAATAAATACATGAAAAAAGTTAAACCTTATGAGCAATAAAGCCACATTAATTTTTAAAAATTTGGTTGATAAAAATGCATAGTTTTATCAAACAGGTATAATAAATGGTCCTCTAATATACTCTGGGTGGCTTTATAATTTGGGTACAAACTCTGGAGAGGAGCAATTAGTCAATATGTATCAAAAGTTACAGTGTGGGCCAGGCGTAGGGGCTCACACCCATAATAGCAGCATTTTGTCGGGGGGTTGAGGTAGGCAGATCACCTGAGGTCAGGAATTCAAGACCAGCCTGGCCAACACGTTGAAACCCTGTCTCTACTAAAAATACAAAAATTAGCCAGGCGTGGCAGTGGGTACCTGTAATCCCAGCTACTGGGGAAGCTGAGGCAGGAGGAGCGCTTGAACCTGGGAGGCAGAAGTTCCAGGGATCGGAGATAGTGCCATTGCACTCCAGCCTGGGTGACAGAGTGACACTATGTCTCAAAAAAAAAAAAAAAAAAAAGTGAAAGTGTACATACCTTTTGACCCAGAGAGACATCCTATTTCTAGGAACTTATTCCACAGAAATAAATAACCAGACAAAAACCATGCTGGCCCTGCCCATCTGCTGTCTACTCACCTCTCATCTTCAGGATGTCTCAAAAAAATCACAGAAACTGGTGCAGAGATTCTAATCACCATTTTCTCCGTGTCTTCTGTGAGAAATAATTCATCTAGTTTCATAGGTGTGAACTCGTTTAAATCAGTAGGATACACTTATAATCTTCTCAACTATCTTGGATTTCAATTTTCTCCTATTTATATTTGTCCAACCCTTTTGCAGGGTGATGATTATTTTCTTTGACCACAGAAAGGAGGTACCCGGCACCTGTGTGGTTCTGCATTTGCTCTGCCACCTTTTACCAGGGCACCAGCTGCCTCGCAGCAGGTTTGTGCACAACTGCCAAAACAAACCTCTTTTTGTGATCTTTGGCTTATTTAACATTTGCAATTGTCAGGAAGCTTTAGGATCCCATACACTTGTGATGGGTCATGGATGCTGCTCCTCACATGTGCATCCATTTACTTTACATGCCTTTTTTTTTTTTTTTTTTGACATGGAGTCTCTCTCTGTTGCCCAGGCTGGAGTGCAGTAGTGAGATCTCGGCTCACTGCAACCTCTGCGTCCTGGGTTCAAGCAATTCTCCCGCCTCAGCCTCCCAAGTATCTGAGATAACAGGCGCCAGCCACCAAGCCTGGCTAATTTTTTGGGTGTTTTTAGTAGAGCCGAGGTTTCACCATGTTGGTCAGGCTGGTCTTAAACTCCTGACCTCAAATGATCCGCCTGCCTCAGCCTCCCAAAGTGCTGGGATTACAGGCGTGAGCCATGGTACCTGGCCTATATGTTCTCTTTTAAACTGAGTTTATTAGAGAAGTTCACATTTTGTCACAATACGCTTCTTTGAATGTATCATTTTATTCTCTCCCTTTCTTTGCGTATGTCTCACTGAATCCCCCTCATTTCCACTCCTTCTTGCCTCTCTTGCCTTTCTCAACTATCTTTCAGGTTTTCACAGTTAGATAGCCAGGACTTCCCTGTGAAGAATCTTTCTTTCTTTCATTTCTGCCCTGTCTATTAACTTATCTAAAGTTTTAACATATCTAAATTTTCCTCTGAACCTGAGTTGAAATGTTCTTTCCCCAAAACTAGGGCACCTTCCTGACGTAACCCTGAGCGTTCTTCCATTGGACCCACCCAATGGAGATCAGCATGGTCAGGCTTTTGCACTGCCCCATCGGCTCCACAGGACCTGCTAGCCCCTTCTTTAGAGTTAATGCGGTCCTTTCTTCTCTCTTATTTGTAAGCGTCTTCCTTTCATTTACTTTCTCTGTTGAATGCAGCAATGTTCAGACTTCCTTCCTCACTGACCCACTCCCCATAACTTTTCCTGTCACAGTGGTTTAAAAGACAAAGGCTATGCCCTTTTATTTGCCTCCTTATGTTTGTCAACGATCACTTTTACAGTGAGTAGCTGTGTGAGTGTGGATGCGGGAATATCCTAGCTCTGTTAAGGCTTTGGATATTTTCACATAATTTTAGTTTGCTACATACTAACCAGAACTTTGGTCAATTTCATTTTATTTAAGGAACACCTAAATGTGTCACATAAAAATGTAGAAATACAAATGCTATATATTCCACAACTATCTCCTAGTAGGGAATATTTTTTAGGTCTCCTGCTCTGTTACTTCAAAATTAAAATTAAGATAAACTACAACTAAATATTTTAACAAACATAAAAATATTGTTTAAAATATTTTAACAAACATAAAAATTATTGATATGTTCTCATAAACCTCCCGAATATGCTACTGGGCTTTATGAGAATGTATCTATCATGGCATTTATCAAGGTCTTCCTTTTTATTTTTACTTTATTTATTTATTTTTTTTTTGAGACAGAGTCTCACCCTGTCACCCAGGCTGGAGTGCTGTGGCGCGATCTCAGCTCACTGCAACCTCCAACTCCCAGATTCAAACGATTCTCCTGCCTCAGCCTCCCAACTAGCTAGGATTACAGGTGCCTGCCACCATGCCCGGCTAATTTTTGTATTTTTAGTAGAGACGGGGTTTCACGATGTTGGCCAGGCTGGTCTCCAACTCCTAACCTCGTCATCCACTCGCTTCGGCCTCCCAAAGTGCTGGGATTACAGGCGTGAGCTACGGCACCCGGCCAGGGTCTTCCTTTTATTTGAATCATTTTACACGAATCTCTCACCTTCTACACTGGGCCCTGGGAGCCTGTGGGTTAACCTATTTCCGCAGCCCATATTGCATCTTAAGCATGGCAATCGATGTATATTGAAAGTGACAAATAAACGCTTGCTTTATGGAATTGAACTTTGGACTCCCAGGTAAAATCAAGAATAAAAAGGAATGTAGTCTGGAGGCATTTAAACATCCTCCTCTTTATGGAAACATCTGATATTTTAAATATGAATTATTTTAAAGTATTAATTAAAACAGAGCCCAAAAGTCTCTGCTCAGACATGCTTTGAACACCTCCTTTAAAGCACAAGCTGCCTTCTTTCATGTTCTGCTATAATTCAGACATCTCTTCCCTGTAGTTAGCCAGGATTCCAGAGGCTGTGATATAGCAGTTCCCCTTCTGATGGTCTAGTATGCCAAAAAATGCAACATGCCTATTTTGTAGAGGGTGTATGTCAGAGGGTACCTTAAAGTCTCTGATATGAGATGAGCAAATCCAAGGGAAGAATCAGCTTTACAAGGAGCTGTATTACCAGCATGTCTAAGAGAGACAATCATCAAAACTCACAGGACCCCTTTCACAAACGTCACCTGCAGCAGGCAGTAGATAAGACCACAGCCCTTGGGACATGCCATCCAGTTTGGGAGGATATTTTAGGTGCTGTACACTCTCCCTCCTCCTGTCGACCTGACAATCTAAGATTTTTCAACAATGACTGTAATTTCCCCCCTGGGCCCCTGTATTTCAGCAGAGGCTAAAACGATCCCTGTATATCACTTTGATAAGTTTGTAAAGCACTCTGGCGTCTTTGGGCAGGAAGCTGCTGAAGAAAGATACCTTCGTTACAGTTTACAAAACCATTTCCAAAATGTGCTGCTTTGGCCCTTGGAGTCAAGTTCAAAAATAGAAGCCTGTAAGACGTACCCAGAGAACCACTGTCACAAAAAGACATTCTCCCTGTAACTGGAGGGCATGCATTAGCCTGTTACATTAGACTCTTGCGATATTAAATCTATATCCTAAGACCGCCTTGATTGACCATAAAAAGGACAATTGAAAACACAGGATTTGATCATTGTACATACAATACTAGCGCTATAACCACCAAATTAGACCATTTTGCAGAGAGCATCCAGGCTTGAGTTCTGTTTAAGCTGTCTCAGGGTTACATTTCATCACTGGATTTCAAAAAGGCAACAGGATATTAAGTTGATTAGGATTCAGTGAAAGTTTAGACCACTGCACATCGTGCAAATTTAACACTGGCTTCCATTCACTGTCCCTGTTAAGTGTGGAGGAGGGAGGGAAAGACATTGAACACATTTTCTGAGGATTAAAATCAGACTTCCTGATACTCATGGTGACACCGTTTGGTGTCACTGGATTTAATGCTGTTATAAATAATGAGTTAAACAAATTTGGAGAGTCTGATTAATGAACTGCAGAAACGATTTTGTAGTAGAGAACACTGATGTCTAAATGGAGCATGTAACTTCCACATTCTCCACTCTCCTGTGAGTTGTGGACGCCAGGACAGCCGTGTTCCATTTCACCTGCCCCATGCCTTGAAATGACATGCACTTTTGCCTGTGCCAGGGCTGACCAAGCTTCAAGAAAGCAGGATTTGCCTTAAAAGATCATCATAACTTTAATTTCTTTTCTCTTTACCTTTTGAAAATATTTCCATTGATTGATAACGTCAGACTCTTTAACTACTTAGGAGTGTCTGGGTCCTTAGAGGGTTAGAAGATGGTCAGGAATCATGACTGAGACATTTGCAGTCAGTCAAGGTGAAAAAACAAAACTGGCCTATTCCACTATTTACTAGTCATGAGACAATAGAAAATTTGCTTAAAATTGCTGAACGTAGGCTCATTTTTTTCTCCCTGTAAAATGGGGATAATAAGAGTGTCTCCTTGAAGGCATCTTTATGAAGACTATACGGGTTATGATAGTTTATAGGACACACAGTTAGGACTCAATGCTTCTTAAGCATTATTATTATTATTACTAACAAATGGGCCCTGGGAGGGGCCATGATGGCTGCATGGCGGTGGTATCAGTTGTACTAAGTAGAAGCCTGCCCTAGAGTCTAGTGAAGGATCTAGCAGGACCTTGTCAGATCGCTAGAAGAAAGGAGATAATGGCTAGAGTTCTGTCCTGGTTTCTGTACGTCCCTTCCTCAGAGCTCCATGCCCACCCTCATCCTGACCAAGTCATTGCTCTTACCACACAGCAATACCTTTCTTCTCTAAATTCTCTTCTGCCAGATTTTAACAAGTGGTGTCTACATCCCCCAGCGCTGTCTACATCTCCTGCCTCTCAGTAAAATAACCCTAAGTGTGCACCACTCTGTTTCTCAGCAGTCTCCTTAAGGATTAAACTCCAGGTGCTCCGAGTGGTTACCTTCTTGCTACACAAACCTCACTAGCTAGGTGGCTTCCCCTCCCTGTCTCAATCCCCCACTCCTCTACCTGCACCCCCTTCATCTCCCAAATGACTACTTCCTTGGAACGGCTGTTGAGGATCTGCGCATGGGGTACCCACACGCAGACAAACCTCAGTGGTCCCTCCTCCCCATGCACTCCTTACTCTGTCACAGCAGCTCTCTCGTCAGCGATCGCATCTTGTGCCTGGTTACCTGCTCTGCTGGCCTCTGTGGTATAGCCACCTTAGGCTGTTTCCCCAAATTGCCTCATGTTTGACCCATCGACCCACAGTAACAAGCCATCAACTTGATGGCCTTATTCACAGAAAGTAAAATAGTTGTGGCCTGGATTTCCACATATTCCCTTTAATTACAGTCCAGGGTAAGGAGGAGGGGCAGGTATCAGACCTAGATCTGGGAAAGAAAAGGCTCCAAGCACAGTAGATCAAGGTAAAACATGCACCTGGCTGAACGACACATGCTCCTGTGGGAATGGACATCCCTGCACATTCTGAATGAGCCGGCGGCTCACATCTCCCAGAACAACGCAGCATCGAACGTTTCCCTCTCTCACTTCAGACCTGCTACCTGCCCTTTGGAAAAAATAGGTAAACTCCAATTCATTTTGTACCTAGAAACACTTTTTAGACCATTTTAAAGTCCATTTTAAAATCTGAGTTCCATTTCTACTGAGTTTTTTAAGAAAAAAATTTACTTAAACCAACACTTACTCAGAGAGTCTCATACATTAATGCAAATAATGAGATTCCCAATCCCATTCCCAATCTCATGGATTTTGAATTAGGCCTAAATTCAGATTTTACCATGTAGAGACAACAAACGTTGAAAAAGACACAATTTTGAAGCACCACTCTTTTTTTTTTTTTTTTAGTCACAGTCTCGCTCTGTCACCCAGGCTGGAGTGCAGTGGCGTGATCTCGGCTCACTGCAAGCTCCGCCTCCCGGGTTCACGCCATTCTCCTGCCTCAGCCTCCCAAGTAGCTGGGACTACAGGTGCCCGCCACCACGCCCAGCTAATATTTTGTATTTTTAGTAGAGACGGGGTTTCACCGTATTAGCCAGGATGGTTTCGATCTCCTGACCTCGTGATCCGCCCACCTCGGCCTCCCAAAGTGCTGGGATTACAGGCGTGAGCCACCGCGCCCGGCGAGTCACCACTCTCTTTCAATGCAATAACAGAAAGCACAAATTAGTTGTTTCTTCCTCCCTAGGGTCAATGGAGCAGAACCAACTAAGAGTATTTCAATCACATTATTTTATGTACTTTCCCACCTGTCATAGTCATCACTCATTTACTTTAAGAAATGTTTTGACCTAGAAGAGGGTTTTACACCAGCTGGGAAGACCCCAGTCATCTGGGGGAAGGGCCGGCCTGTTTGCCTTCATTCCTACATTTATGTCATGATTATCTGAACTCTACAACCATGGAGTTACTGGTTATTGTGGAGACCCATAAAGGTTTAGAATGGAGCAGGAAAGGATATTTAGCTGGCTCAGGTTTAATTTCTGTGAAGTATGACAGAGTCCATTCGTGCTCACTCCCTCCGCCATGATGAATTCACTAAATAGTTAAGAAAATATTAACATGCAGAAACAACATTTGAACATGTCTCAGGGGAAGGACACAGACAAGAAGAGGGAGGAGGAGTGGGCTGGAGATTAAGGGGAGAAGAGGATGAGGAAAAGCTGCTGTTCCCACAGGTTTCCATGGTGATGGCGGGATGGGATGGCTGAAGAGACGGCAGGGGCGGCCGTGGAATTAGAGCCGTGGGAGCTGGGGCTCTGAGGGCTGCACACGGAAGAGCTGGTTAGACAGTGGCTGAATCGTGGGTCACAAGCACATGAGGTTCAGGAGAGGAGTCAGCAAGTGCCGGGTGGTTCAACAAGGTGTGGGAGGTCCAGAGCACTGGGTGCGTCTAAGGCTCCAGGAAGCCAGTAGGAGCAGGTGCCCTCAGCTCAAAACAGCCACTCACGGGGCTTTTGGGGAATTTGGTGGTAAAAGCCAGGATTCCAGGACAGGAGCCTGGGGCATAGGTGTGAGGGACCTAGGCTCAGCAGACAATGGATGGCCATTGAGTAAGGGGCCGTAAGGGAAGGACCATACTTCTGAACACCCATGTTTACCAGGTGCTGTCTGCATCAAGGTGTCTGAGTGAGGCTCCTGGTGGATCTTCAGAACCCCTTATTATCTGTTTTGGGTTAACTCTTTTAATCCTGACAATTATCCTGCAGGATAGGCTCTATTACCATCCCCATTTTACAGATGGAGACACAGAGTTAGAGAAGAGGAAGGATTTAACCAGGACAGTACAGCAGGCAGGAGGCAACATCAAGATTCCGTATGTAGCCCCTGCAGAGTTCCCTCTAGGTCACTTTTTCCTAAACAGGGAAAGACAAAGAGGCTTTGGATGTCACAGGGAGCCTTTGCAGTTTTGTGATGAGGGGAGAGGCATGATGAAAAGGAAGTGCTAAATCAAGTGGTTATACTCAGCTGAACTGATAAACTATTCCTTGATGTTGCCATAAACTCTGAATCTGACTCTTTTGCAGAAGTTTCTTTTTCACACAGACCACATTATGCCTTACAGCCAGATGAGATGTGCAAATGAATGGAAGTTGCAAAGAATTTCAGCGCTCGGGGAAACTATGGAATGCAGTGAGAGAACGCTCAAAGCTCTGGTTTGGTTCTGACCTTCTTATGCTTCCCATCAACTTACGATCTAGGGACTCACCATCGTGGGAGCTACAGCCCAGGTGGGATGGGTCTGCCTTACTCTGCGGCAGTACTGAGTTCTGAGTGTACACCAACCTCAGCATCATTACCCTACTTCTAGGTTCTGGCGGAGGGCATTGCTCACCTCAAAGAAACCCCTGTCATGTTCTTTGCTCACTGGCCACACAGTCAGAGTTGATTAAACTCATCCACTGGCAAGCCTGTGGCACTGTTGACCCTCTGGGTAAGAAAGAACACCCTCACTGTGCTCTGAAAGGGACAATATGGCTTTGGAAATCCCATTCTCTAAATCTGCACCTCCAAAACCAAAAAGGTAATCCTTTTAAACACTGTGAATCATATGAGAAATATGCAAAGAGAAATAACAATGTCACATGGCCACCAATAAGTACCACTAAACACCTGTGCGGCCTGTTTAGTGGTTTGAGACTAGGAGCCTGGGAGCCTTCTTATAGGACAGAACGAATTTTCCAACAAGGATTAGCCTTGAGACTAGAGTTTAATGAAACAATCACTAACACCAGAGGCTTGGGCAAGGGAATCGGTTGACTCCAGGGAGTTCAAGGTTTGTCTGGGGAAGATATTTATCTAATAAAACATGAATAAATAATACAAAAAAAATCTAAAGTCAACAGATGCAGAGGAGCCTAGGGACAAAAGGTAGGGGCTGGAGGGATAAGAAGGTACTTTAAAAGCAATTTAATGTTTTAACTTTTCAATAGACATTCATTACTGGAGAAATGTCATCACAGGTGCAGAGAGAAGCATGTACAAGGCTGCTCATAGCTATGAGTATCGGCCAGAATAGGCTGGATTATGTAGTGATGACAAGTAGTTCCAAAGTCTGCATGATGTCAAACAACAAGGGTTTAATTCTTGCCTGTGCCACATGCTGCATGCAGGTCAGCAGCAGGATTCTGATGAGCATAGACACCCAGGGACACAGATGACTCAGACATCGGCATTTGATGGGATGCGTAAAGAGGGGTGGAGAATTGAACACCGGCAATTGTATACTTTGGCTGAGAAGGGTCGCATGCCACTACTTCCAAGTACATTTCAGTGGTCAGATCCAGTGGCATGGCCACAGCTAACTCCAAGAAGGCAGGGAGGGAAGGTATTAATAAAACCTCTTGTAACCAGGAAGCAGAAAAGGACCAGATATTGGTGCACATGAAAAATGTCCACCACATGTGTATGGGCAAAAATTGGGAAGAAATGCCTGTTTTCTCATCTATACATGATATGCGAAGTACATCTGATATCGTTTGGCTGTGTCCCCACCCAGATCTCATCTTGAATAAGATGAGATCTCCCATAATTCTCATGTGTTGTGGGAGGAACCCGGTGGGAGGTAATTGAATCATGGGGTTGGGTCTTTCTCATGCTGTTCCCCTCATCTCATGAGATCCGGTGGTTTTACAAATGGGAGTTCCCATGCATGAGCTCTCTTGCCTGCCACCACAAAAGATGTGACGTTGCTCCTCATTTGCCTTCCGCCATGACTGTGAGGTCTCCCCAGCCATGTGGAACTGTTAGTCAGTTAAAACTATTTTCTTTATAAATTACCCAGTCTCGGGTATGGCTTTATCAGCAGCATGAGAACAGACTAATACAATGTCCGTACCAAAGAATAGTTAAAAACAACTTAAAATGTTAAAACACAAATTTCAGAAAAATTCATATAGTAGTATTCCTGTTATATTTAACGCACACATTTTATTTACCTCACATAATTACCTCTTATATTTAACACTTCTAGATCACAAAATTCTACGTGTCTACACACACACACACACACACACACACACACACACACACACATATACAGTCAGTCCTCAGTTTCTGTGGGTTCCACATCTGTGAATTTGACCAATCATGGATTGAAAATATTGTTTAAAACAATAAAAATAACAATGCAACTATAAAACATAATACAAATTTTAAAATACAGTACAACTATTTACAAAGTATTTACATTGTATTACATATCATAAGTAATCTAGAGATGATTTAAAGTATAGTTGTCCCTCTGTATATGGAGAAGATTGGTTTCAGGACCCCCACATATATACCCTGACCCATGCATACTCAAGCCCCACAGTCAGCCCCGTGGAACCCTTGTGTATGAAAAAGTGACCCTCCTTATATGCAGGTTTTATATCTTATGAATACTGTATTTTCAATTTGCCATTTGGTAAAAACATGTGGATAAGTGGAGCCATTCAGTTCAAACCCATGTAGTTCAAGGGTCAACCGTATAGGGAGAATGTGCCTAGGTTTTACGCAAACATTACACTATATTATAAAAGAGACTTGAGTATCTGCAGATTTTGGTATTCACAGAGGTTTCTGGATTTTGGCCCCCACAGATACCGAGGGGTGATTGTATGTACCTAAATGTGAGAGAAAGGTCTGGAAAGTGATTCATTAAACTAATAATGTTGGTTGCCTCTAAGGGAAGAATATGTTTGGAAGGAGGAAAAGGGAATATCTGTTTTTCTGAACTATTTAAAATGAGAATGTACTCGTATCTAGACTCTGAATTGTTAAATAAGGTGTTTAAAAAATGCCTTCATCTGATGCCCATGCCTGCTGGGCAGGTGGCCCCTGTGTTAACCTGGGGTGCCATGTCCATTGTACAAAGGTAACTGAGACCGCTTTTGACCTCCCAGTGTTCCATGAGCTGCACCCACCATGTGTTCATCAACCTTGTCAATATGGGAGGAATTTCCATTACTAGCTGGTCCTACTTGGTCTTGCATCTGGCACTTTCCAGAACATTCTGGAATTTTAATTCCAAAAGAAGGCACCTCCTCCCTCAGGTTCTAGCTACCCATCACCTTTTGTATTCATGGGACAATATCCTGTGGAATGTCAAGGTTCCAGACGTTTTCCTTTTCCTTTCTTATTTCAAAACATACCTGTCTTCTGCCTGACCCTAGCTCCTTTCCTCAAGCTTCTTCTCTAGGTTAAGGATAGTGTGGTCCAATAAAATAATAAGCACAATAAATCCAACAGATATATTATTTACCCAGAATAACCTATTGTTGTAAATCAGGTAGAACATGTACCTTTCCTGAAAGGTCTTAGGGCAGAAGCACCAGTATATTTAAGACAGTAGGGAAGTGGAAAAAAATTTTTTGAAGAAGCTAATTTTTTAAAAGTAATTTGGAGGGCTCAGCCCATGGTTTGCATTCAAAGACATACTATCTCTACTTTGGGGGGAACATACTCAAAATACTAGTGAGAAATAGAATGGGAACAGAGTGCTCACTCAAGTGGAGGCCCTGCACAGCGCTGGCTATGCAGGAATCATCTACAGCAGTCCTTGGCAAGAGAGACTCCTTCCTCACACACTTGACTCAAAAGTGGCTGTTCCGGGAACCTCTTCCTCCAGTTGGAAACAGAAAATCAATGTGAGGCAACACAGGTGTTGTCATGGCTTTGGCCTCACCATGAATTTTCTGTCATAGTTTACAAAAAGGAAGAAAAGAATTGCAAGCATGGACTGTTTTGCTTTTCTCTTCTCAAAGAAAAATATATAACTGACCATTGTTGGTAATGCAGAAATGAATGGACCGACAGTTTGGATATTTCATAGATGGGTCAAGCCTCAGATTCAAGTTGCAGTGTGACTTGGGAAAATTCACTATATCTCCCTAAACAGTAGTTTTTAATCCCTACAGTAAAGGGATTATGATTAAACAGGGGTTTGTGGAGCCCTTGGGATGCTCTGGAAGTCTTCCGGGAGCCTAGTGAGGGGTAAAGAGGAGGGGGCAGCGGGGGTCACTGTGGGCCACCCCTTCCTCCTGCAAACATATCACCTAAGCTTTGGTTCGCGTTCTTTTCTGTCCTTTACTGTGACTAAATTTCCATTTAAAGAAAGGGTTCCACTGAACTAGGCAATCATCAGATCCCATTTCTGTTCTGAAATTCTATATTCCAAAATAACTTATGGAGTAGGCCTTGAATAAGAGGCCAATTAAACTAGAGTAAGGGATCTTGGTAGGAAAATTTTAGTGACAGTTGCTCTGGGTTAAATGATGCCTCCCCAAAATCCATGTTCATCCAGAACCTCAGAATGCAACCTTATTTGGAAATAAGGCCTTTGCAGATGTGACAAAGTTACGGTCATTTTAGATTAGGGTAGGCTCTAAACTCAAAGACTGGTGTCCTTACAAAAACACATGAGGACACACAGACAGAGAGGCAGAAGAGGAGGTCATGAGACAATGGAAGCAGAGGTTGGCAAGATGCACCTGCAGGGAATGCCAAGGACTGCCAGGAGCCACCAGCATCTAGGAAGGGGTGGGGAAGGATCCTCCCCTGGAGCCTTCGGAGGGAGTACAGCCCTGCCGAAACCATGAATATGGAATTCTAACCACTAGAACTGTGAGAAAACACATTTCTGTTGTTTTAAGCCATTTGAGTTAGTGGTAATCTGTTACTCCAGCTCTCGGAAACTATTAGAAGAGCCTAATGTGCACTAGACATTTTCAGGTGAGTCCCCTCATTAAAATCCTGGCAATGAGAAACCAGCCTTTGTCACAGTCCATTCTCCCCAGTCCATTAGCAAGGAAATATCCTTTTGTGGTTATTATTCTTTTAGGACATGGAAGTAAGAACTCTTACAGTACAAGTGGGTTCATGATTGCTTCAAGGGGTTTCCTGCACAAATTGCCGGAGCTTTGATGTGGTAACAAAAGCTGAAAACTCACACCAGAGAAATGGGGACTAAGGGCCAATCATGTGTTAAAGGAATCCTCATCATGGCCACCATGGAGGTCTGCTAAGCTATAAGCTTAGTGGGGAGATTATTAATCTATCAACCTTCTAGTAAAGGGCTCCTGAACATCTGAAAGCCTGAAATGAAATAATGAGAACTGCAAAAACTTCTCCATCTTCATTAAGAAAATATAGTGTCAGAGATTCTCTTTCCTTGCTTTTGTGGAGAAGATCTCTAGAGAGATAGATGTACAGGTAGGTAGGTAGGTAGATAGATCGATGACAGATATTAGACAGGTAGATAGATAGAAATATGCATGTATATATTCATATACTTATATAAACATACACATATGTGTATTTTTTCAAAGTCAGAGTATATCCTATTTAAATATTTTTCTGAAAGAAAAATTTCAACAGAGCCTGGGAAAAGAGAAAAAGGAGAGAAACTTTTGCCACACTGTACAATGCTGTAGCCAGTAGCCATGTGTGGTTACTAAGCATTTGAAATGTGGCTCGTCCTAATCGAGACATGCCACAAGTGCAAAATAAATACACACTGGATTCTAACAACTTAGTACAAAAAGGTCAAATATGTGAATAATTTATCATATTGATTACACAATGAAGTCACATTTTAGATATGGGTTAAAGTACATTATTAAAATTAATTTTACCTGGTTCTTTTTGCTTTTTTGATGCACCTACTAGAAAATTTAAACTTACTTGTGTGACTTATGTTATATTTGTATGAGACAGTACTGGTTAAGGAAAATGTGGTTTCTGATACTTTCTAGTTAGTCATCATTTTGAATATTTTTGTTCAGGAAGTTCTCATTTTTCTTAGGCTTTGTTTTTAATTTGCTGAAAAAATTATCTTACACACACACACACACACACACACACACACACACACGTGTGATTCATGGTATAACACCCAAGTCCTGTTTTTCTTTTTCTTATGGTAACTTCTTCCTCCTTAAAAACGACTATCAGATATATAATTAGTTCATATATGTTTTACTCATAAATATCTTGTTATATTATAAATTGCTGCGTGACCTGAGCAAGTTGCTTAACCTCTTAACCTCAGTATTATCTCCCATAAAAGAAGTCCATCTAGAGAGAGATGATCCATATAATCGCGATTCTCAAGCTCTTTCTCCCGTCTAAACACACCGGATGGTTACAGAACTGCTGTCAGCAGCCGTGGCTCATTGTGAATGGCACTGCCTCTGCTTCCCCCTACTTCCCTTGAAGAATCATTGACGTGCCTTTCTCAGACTCAGCGAGATGCTTCTAGGGAAGAGTCCAATTGCAGCTGCTAGAGTCAGAGCCTCTAGAATTTTGAAGAAACCTGGGTTCATTTAGGGAGAAACTGCACTCCATGGGAGAAACCTGGGTTCATTTAGGGAGAAACTGCACTCCATGGGAGAAACCTAGGTTCATTTAGGGAGAAACTGCACTCCATGGGACAAACCTAGGTTCATTTAGTTCAAATGTCGCACTCTATTCATGGGAAACGGTGGCCCACATGGAGTAATGGTCTGCTAGTCAAGTCACCCAGCTGGCCAGAAGCAGAAGGCTGGCTCTGGTAAATACTGACCACCCGTTAAACCTGCTTCACTTAAATTATGCTGTGATGGGAGAGGAGGCTGCAATGACATAGAACTCCAGGGGAAAGACTACTATGCCCACCCAGGTATCTTGAATTGCACATGTACTATGACTGACTCTCCATACATCACTCCCTTTCTCTCCGCAACCCCTGCATTTTGCTGGGAGGTATTAGGTTGGGGCAAAAGTAATGGCAGAAACAGAAATTACTTTCGCCCCAACCTAATAGTTTTCCCCCGTCTCAATTTGCCACAAAGGGTGAGAAGACAAAGGATTCAGAGCAAGGTGAACCAACGAGGGTGTCTTGGAGAAAACTCAACATCTCTCAAATTAAGCTAAAAATCATCATATCAATCTCTCTTTAGAGAGAAAATGAGAGACTAAATAGAAAGCTACTTGCAATGGATTTGGATGCCAAAGCCTTCTGAAGTACTAGGATTTCCAAAAAACATTTCCGTTCTGTGCAGACCTGAGGCATATCGGTTAGATCAAGTCATGATTGACAAAAGTTTGTATTTATTACAAAAGATGCCAAGTTATATTTAGGTGTTTGTATTTATTACAAAAGATGCCAAGTTATATACAGGTGTTTTTTTCTTCTTTAAATCTCACTCTAATTGCTTATTACCATTCAAAATATCATAATTAGCACCAGTTAATTTGTGTGCTTAAATATTTTAATAACGGGTTATAATTTTAATAGAAAAAAAAGCAGTTTGGAAGAGAATCACAGGATTCTATGACTTCCAGAAGAATAGGGAGAGAGAAAAAGAGAGACATACAGAGAAGCAGACAGACAGACTGGGCTTTAGAGCAGACAGAACTGGGGCCCCATTGTGACTTGCCACTTCCTAGCTATAGGCACTTCAGCAATCTGCATCACCTCTCTCAACCTCAGTGCTCTTATTTACGAAACATGGATAATAAACCCTACCTTCCCTATGAAGGTGCTCTAAGGGTTATTCCAGGCTTGTTACTATACAGCCCCTAACACATGAGGGATAACATATATGTTCCCTTTTCCTATATGCACAGCCCCCTAAGGAAAGGGAAAAAACCCGTTAGGGTCTGATTCCAAGTAGAAAGTTTCCACGGCAATTAAACTGTGAGAAGCATTTTCCAGTTAGCTCACGACTAAAACACCAGAATAAAACAAAAAGGATGAAAAAAGGGTTCAAGTCCTAAGCGTCAGAGAAAGATAATGGCAGGGTGGGTGGCCAGGAAGGGCCAGAATTAGGAAAAAACTAGGTGGGAAGAAACGATGAGGATAAAAATTTGGAGACCATGAGCTAGGGCTCCCACTTATGTGTGAGCAAGTCCACTGCGGGTAGGCAAAGCAATCCAAAGCTCTTCACAGGGTCAAACACCAACCCAGCCTCCAAAGAGGACAGGTGCAGGTAGATGGCATGGTGCAGCTCCCAGCTCTGAGAAACCCATGATTCAATAGGGTTGCCATGCAAACTCAACCTAACCAAGGTGCTGGGCCAAATGTTTTTCATTGAGGCATTCATTACTGCTGCTGTTTCTGACACCATGTTTGAATTAGTGTTTCTGTGGGTTATCCTATGAATAAGTCAACAGGCAGAGGCCTGAGGTGGTTTCACCACTTACTGCTCATGTGCTTTAAAGTCTCTGAATCTTGGTCATCTTGTCTTTTTCCATTACCATCTTTATAGAGTTGTTGTAAGGATTCAAAGAAATAATGTAAGAGTCAGACAGAATGCCTGAACTAGAGAAAGGAGTCAACAGTTGCTAGCCATGAAGACAAAGATGATGATGTAGATTCCAACTCTTAGAGCTTCTCCAAGACCCATCCAATTTGCCCAGACTTCGCCCTTTCCATACTGATGAGTATTTCCAACCTACTGTTGGCAGTTTATATTGGATGAACCCTCTTTATACCAACCAGACCAAGGCAGACATCTTCTGGCTTTTAAAAGAACATCTGGTGGGAAATACAGAAAACAAACATGGTAGGTTTCGTTGGGGAAATCTACCATGAATGGCTCAACAGAAGAGACAAAAATGAATGAATGCCAATGTTGTATGGCATTTCACCAGCAGTAATGAATATGACACTGATTAATGTATAGGTAGAGTTGTAGGGGGCCAAGCAAAGAAGCACGTGAGAAAAGAGGGGTGGGGGAGGTTAAGAAGCTAAACACATTCCAAGTGAAACGAGTAAATAAATCCCGAGGAAAGAAAGAAAATGAGAATTAATCAGGAGTGTGCTGAGCTGTGGCACTGCCAGGCACAATCACAGGACTTCTTAATTGCTTGTCAAAGACCAATGTATCCTGGCAAAATGATCCTCAACTAATGCTGGGACTTTTTTTTTTTTTTCTCCTAACCTGGCTTCATTTATCATGATTAGAAAACAAGTCAAAATTGATTTCTGTTTATTTTATAAGGCAAATCTCCAGAGAAGCTTTCTCCCCAGTAGTTTTGATAATTTTTACCTTAGATGGGGAATACCCTAAGAACATAAAGAACCACTTTATATTGCTTCAGGAGGTTAGGGCACATTTACGCATATCATGAAAAATGGCAGTCTCTTAAGCTTTTAACAAATCACCTCACATCCATCAAAGCAAGCCTTTTAGTTCTTTCCTGCTTTAAAATGGGCAAATTAAAGGCAGTTTGATATAGGCAAACAGCCCAAGTTTTGAAATGAGACAGACTTGTGTTTGAGTCTTGACTCTGCCACGTAATAGCTATGTGACCTTGGACAAGTCACTAAAAGAAATCTCAGCTTTATCTCAGAGAAAGTGAGGTTGCTAACACCGCTCAGATTTTCTGGGATGGTTAGGCATTGTTTGTGTGAAAAGTATCTGCACAGAGAATCTGCTCTACTGATGGAAGGCATGGAAATGGTGTCCTACAAGTTTAACGAAACCCTCACTGGACTTCAGGCTCCATGAGGGCAAGACCTTTGTCTTTTGTTTTGAGTTACATGCAGGCAATTGGCACAGGGCCTGGTATATGGTTCGTATCCATTTTATCTATGTAATACATTATACCTAGCACATGCCGCAGCCCTGTAAGTGTTTATCAGTTATTAATCCATTTAATCCAATCAATATTTGTTGGTTCTTTTATTCCTTACTGAAAAATATATTGAGCAATTATTATACCCCAAGCAACATGCCTTTTTCAGGGTGCCTTCTAGAACCTAGAGTGCAGAGGGTAGTTTCATTCATTCTTTGATCTATTCACTCACACACTTGCTTGTTCACTAAGTATTTCTGTTTTAGCTTTACACGGCTATCTCAGCCCACCATCTTTGTCAGGTCTCCTAGATGAAAAACAAGGTCAGCTTGCCCTCATCCCTGCACCCTAAGTATCCAAGAACCCCAATCATCAGACACACACACACACACACACACACACACACACACACACACACAGGAGAATACTATCTATTCCACTAAGATTTTATTAATCAGGTAAATCATATTTGAAGGCCTGCAAGGAGATTCCTAATTTGTGGGCCTCATATTGCTAGAAAATAAGCTGTGATGAGAGCAAGAAGACAGTGTCAGCAGAAGGTCAAAAAACAACCTTTTTCTTCTGTACGGACATTTTTATTCCCTAAACAGATTCCAGGAGATCATGCTCTCTTTCTGGAAGTGTAATAAAGGCAAAAAAAAAAAAAAAATCAATATACATTTTGGCTCATGTGAAACAACCTTATGAGGGGCATTAACTTGATCTCCAAGAACCTAGAAACTTCCCTTGGCATTCTGGGCTCCTGGATCATTCACAGATGAAGTTCCTTTATCCATGAAGGCCCCATTCCTGGGATTTAGTGCTTGGGATTTCCCTGCTCGTTTTGGTTTATGCTTAATCCTAACAATTAATTCTGAGTCTCCTGCCTGGGGAAGTTTCTGCCATAGAATTTCTTGGCATTTACCCAGCCAGAAAGGAAGTGATTGATTCTTCCTTCACTATTCTGCACAAAAGCTAACGGCCGGGCAGAAATATCACCTGCCTTAGCACTGGCCTCTCCCAGGCTCGCCTCTTGACCTATACTCTTGATTTCATCCCTCCCGTCTCCTCGGGGACGTTGGTTCATCAATTACTCTGTTTCTCTCTCTCATCTTCAATCACTTCCTCTCTGCTGGTTACTTCACAGCAGCTTACAAACATGTTTAAGGCTTATTTATTCGGGGAAAATAACAAAATAGAAATCCTTTTCTCAATTCTACCCACCTCTGAAGTTATTTCTTATCTCTTGCTTTTTCAAGACAGCTGAGCTTTTTGATAGAATTTATTTCCTTTCTGTCTTGTCTGTATCATCCCTGTACTTCTTGAACCAGGCCACACTTGGCTTGTGGCCTTATCAAGTCACTGAAACTCTTGTGCCAAAGATCATTAATAACCAAGTAAAACTCAACTTCAGAGTTTATTTGGCTTGGCCTGTTTGTGGTATTTCATTTATGCTGTGCTCATTCACTTATTCACATTCTCTAAGTGTCAAGCACTCAGCTATACTTGGGACAGGCATGGGCTTGTTGTCCTGGTTCTTTCTGTCCACCAGGAATAAAGATGTGATCTAAAAGGGGCCCAGCAAGAATCACTCTTGGCAGAGGGAATGGCAGCTGCAAGGACACTGGGTGGTAAGGAACATGGTATATTTGGAAAAGTCAAAGTAAGTTCATGTTTCTGGGAAATAGAAAGCAAGAGAGAGAGAGAGCAATCAAGATGGGGCAGGGGAGACATGGGAGAGCCAGACCTCACTGCCCATACGTGTAGATTTCTGATGACATTCTGAAAGCTACAGGGAAAACTGGCAACTGCTCTGCCCTCGTAATCACTTGCACATGCTCACTATCCTGAATGCCAGGGGCCAGGAAATCATGGGCCTATTATGGAGAAATAACAGCAAAGAGAACTCTACTTCTCAATCCCATTATACCGAACACATAGCGATTCACTTTGTTTTGTTTGGAGGAGGAGATTGTGGCTTTATGTCCTTGTTGACAAAGGAATGTGTCCACACTAAATGGGCCAGGTGAGAAATGCAGAGGTGCTTCACTGCATGACTATAAACCAGTGCAAAAATGCTCTCAATAAACTATAAGGCCAAATCCATGCATACTCCAAAACACGCAAACACACACACACACACAGGCACCTACACGTGCCACCCACCTGCAGGCATTGCCTCATTTATTTCTGAGTTCCGAAACTAGGGCTTGTACTAGATAATAAAATAGACAGGATATTCGTTATCATCAAACAAATCTGAAACTGAGCTTTAGATAACATAAGGATTCTGAAAGTTAAGTGCCATTTTATGATACCTTTCAATTTAGAAGTGCATTGCAGATAAAACATGGCTTTTGCGTAAACCATTGATGTATTGTATTGTTAAGATCAATGAATTATTAAAAGAATAATCTCTTAAACACCAAGAAATTGTCTTCTAGTGGACTCTAGGGACCATGGGTAGATGCATTACACATACTCATTTGACACTGCCCTTACTGTAATTTATATACACTCCGAAATACCCACCTGACATCACAGACACTTGGTCTTCCTCCCACACACTCAGCTAATGTGAGACCCTGTGGACTGAGCTTGCAGTAAAGGAAGGCACACTGTGCCCTCTATTTCTCTAGACAACTGAAGTGGACACTGTGATGGACCCTTCAGATGGTCCTTCAAAAAGGACTTGTCATCCTAGTTGATGAGTGTGATCTTGGGGGACAGTCTGAATGCTGGTCCTCTTGGGAATTACCTCAGCTGCAGAGAGCTGCCTCATCCAAGGTTTTGCCCCTTCCAGGGAAGCCCATATCTACATACTGAGTGAAGTTAAGCATACTCTTTAATAAACAAGCACTTTAATAAATAAAAATGCTAAACTGCAGCTCAGACTCTGTTTCCTAGAAAACCCAACTTGAGACAACTTCACTTAGAATTCCAGCCCCAAATAACTGGATGAAGCTTTTCTCTCCACTACTCCACCCTTCCATCATTCACTGGGAAGACCATTCCCTGCTTCATCCATCAGGTAAAATCTAGTGCTCTCATCAAGGCCCAGGTGAAATCTCCCACCTCTGTAAACATTCCCCACAGACATTTGCTCCGGGCTCTGTGACCTCAGAAACCTCTGGACTTTTAGACCACTATCTATATCATCCATGAGACCAGTGCTATAATTCAAGAGAATTATAATAGGAACCATATGTTCATTTTTTTGAGATGGAGTCTCAATCTGTCTCCCAAGCTGTAGGGCAGTGGCGAGATCTTGGCTCACTGCAACCTCTGCCTCCCAGGTTCAAGTAATTCTCCTGTCTCCACCTCCTGAGTAGCCGGAATTACAGGCACATGCCAGCATGCCCGGCTAACTTTTGTATTTTTAGTAGAGACGGGGTTTCACGATGTTGGCCAGGCTGGTCTCAGACTCCTGATCTCGGGTGATCCACCCACCTTGGCCTCCCAAAATGCTGAGATTACTGGAATGAGCCACCACGCCCGGCCATGTTCATTTTTAATTGTCTAATGTCACCTTAATAATTATAAAAAGAAATGGGTGGAATTAATTTTAACAATATGTTTCGTTTAACATTATATGACCAAAAACTATCATTTTAATATGTAATCAGTATAAAAACTATTCATGAGATTTTAAAAATAATTTTTTCTTTATTCACTCTTTGAGAACTGTATATGTTTTATATTCACAACACATCTCAATTGAGGCCAACTGTATTTCAAGTGCTCAATAGCTCCACGTGGCTTACTGTATTGGACGGTGCAGATGATAAGCATCAGAGGCATAAAGATTAACACTTAGTCCATGGACTGGCATGCAAAGGAGTTTGATAAATGTTTGCCGACTAGTGAACAATGAATAAATGGCCAATGATAAATGAATGAATAAAGAAATGATCAAGATAAACTCATAAAGGCACATCTTAGTTACCTGGCCTAAGCCTAGGATTCATTGCTATTTCCCCACCCCTTGCAGTTTCAGGACTCTACTCAGCAGGGCAGAGTATTTCTCCACGTCTTTATCCACCTTGCATTGGCAATGTACAGCATTAATAGCTAAGGGTATGGGCTTTAAGTGTCAACTTCAGAAGACAGAGCTGAGTCATTTATTAGTTGTTGAGCTTGGTTGAGTAAGTTGCATAACCTATCTGGAGGCTTATTTTCCTCATCTATAAAATGGGGATGGATAATAGCAGCTCCCAGCGTTGCTGTAAAACTAGACAGTACAGATAAATTCTCAGTAATAAAGTAGCTGAGAGAGCCAAAAGTGAGGCAGAAAACCTGGAGGAAGAGCCAGTTATAAACATAACATGAAGGAGTAATTCTTTCATTCATTCATTTATTCATTATTCATTCATTGAACTAATATTTCTTATACATCTCTGTGGTGGCCATGGAAATGCACCTCACAGATCTCTCATTGAAGGAAGTACATTGATCAGCTACCCCAGCTGCTGTGTGCTGATATCTGTGGCCACATTTCTTGCCAAGGTCATGCTTCCACATGCTGCTGCTGGCCAGTTACTTAGTTCAAAAGCTATGCTAAGGCAAACCCACTCCTGTGAATTTAAAACTTTTTTGATGGGCAACTTTGGCTCAAGTACTCTCTGACAGCACTCCCAGAATTCTTTAGAATTGCACAGCAGTGTGGCAGGGCACGGTGGCTCATGCCTGTAATCCCAGCACTTTGGGAGGCCGAGGCAGGAAATCACGAGGTCAGGATACTGAGACCATCCTGGCTAACATGATGAAACCCCATCTCTACTAAAAATACAAAAAAATTAGCTGGGCGTGATGGCGGGCACCTGTAGTCCCAGCGACTGGGGAGGCTGAGGCAGGAGAATGCTGTGAACCTGGGAGGCGGAGCTTGCAGTGAGCCGAGACTGCACCACTACACTCCAGCCTGGGTGACAAAGTGAGACTCCGTCTCAAAAAAAAAAAAAAAAAAAAAAAAAAAAGAATTGCACAGCAGTCTAAAATAATTCCACTCAATCTTTCTTTCTTTCGTCTCTTATTCACTGAGAGTCAGACCTGCATCTGGTCTGACAGCTCTTCCAGTCTCCCAACTCCCACCTCATTTGATCTCCCAGGTATATCCCCTAATAATTTTTTCACACTTTAATCCTGTCCTGGAGCTGGGCACCTTGGCTCACACCTGTAATCCCATCTCTTTGGAAGGCCAAGGCAGGCGGATTGCTTGAGCCCAGGAGTTTGAGACCAGCCTGAACAACATGGCAAAACCCAATCTCTAAAAAAAAAATACAAAAATTACCCAGGCATAGTGGGGAACCCCTGTAGTCCCAGCTTCTCAGGAGGATGAGAGGTGGGAGGATTACTTGAGTCCAGGAGGCCAAGACTGCAATAAGCTGTGATAGCGCCACTGCACTCCAGCCTGGGAGACAGAGGAAGACCTTGTTTCAAAAAAAAAAAAAAAAAAAAAAAAAAAAAAAAATCCTAATCCTAGTTCTCAGAAGACTCAGACTATCTCAATCTGCAATATGCCTGGCAGTGTTGTAAGAAGTGCTGGAAATACACCCGTTAACAAGGAAAATAAGGCTATTGCTCACCATGAAGCCTATACTTCTACAGGGAAACAGGTAAGATACGAATGAATGAATGAGAGAATGTCAGGTTGTGAAATATTATATAAACAACATAAAACAGGGTGATGCCTTAAAGTAGGCAGTGAAGAGCTCTTAAAGAGGTAGTGTTTGATCTGAGAACTGAATGACAGGAAGCACTACCCATGAAAAAATTTGCAAGAGGGATAATGCCTGCGAAGGCTTTGAGGCAGCCACAAGCTCAGTGTGTTCAAAGAGCAGAGGGGAGGCTGATCTTGTACCCCTTCAAGGCTCTCCCATGTGTACTGGCTTGACGTACTGCAAGTTGATACTGGAGAGACCTTGGAATTTCTGTGGACGTGTTCAAGCTCCTGAGTGCCTCCCTTAAAGCTATTTCATTGGCTGTACAAATGGTTAATCTAACAGTTTATAATGGACAAAACCAAGCAGAAAACACCCCTCTTTAAAAAAAAAAAAAGGGAGAGGCGTCCCTTTCCTAGTATGTAATGTTTGTTTCATCATCTACTACCTCACATAATTCAAAGTTTCTATGATGGTGAATGCATGTCATTTATCCCAACCCATACAGCGCATAATATTAAGAGTGAACCCTGATATAAAGCATGGCATCTTTGGTTGGTAATTGTGTGTCAATGTGGGTTCATCAATTGTAACAAACACACCACTTGAGGAGAACCAGTGAGTCTGGGCCTTTACTCTTAAAGAGTGAAGAAAAGACTAGCAGGAAGTTAGACTAAAGAAATGGAAAAGGACCAGATGATGAGGGGATGGTGGCAAATTTGTGTTTGAGCCTAAGTGTGATGAAGGAGGGAGGGTAACAAGCCAGGGAAGGACACAATTGAGTATATGTGTGGGTGTCTTTTCTTCTTAATATCAAAAAAGGTAAATTTTTAGAGACAGAAAGTAGTATTGGTGGATGTCAAGGGCTGGAGGTAGAGGAATGCAGAACGGCTGCTTAATGAGTATGAGCTCTCCTTTTGGGGTGATGAAAATGTTTTGAACTAGGTAGAGGTGGTGATTGCAAAGCACTGCAAATACGCTAAATGCCACTGAATTGTTCACCTTAAAATGAGTGATTCTACGTCATATAAATTTCACCTTGACAGGAAGAAGGAAAACATCATGGCTGATACAATCCAACCTCCTTACCGTGGCATAAAAGGCCCCACAAGATCATCCCCCTTCCCTACCTCTGTGTCCCCACCTTTCCCATCCGCCACCTTGCTCACGACTCCCTAGCCTGGCCTTCCTTCTTGGCATTTCTCAGACTCACCAAGGCCTTCGCCATAGTCTTCCTCTCTGGTTAGAGCACACTCACACATATTCACGTCACTTGCCTCTCATTTTATTTCTGTCTCCCTCAAATGCCCTGCTGGGAAGGCCTGCCGTGGCCATGCTAGCTACAGCCTTCCCATTACTTCCCATCGTCTCTATTTTATTTTATTTTTTTCTGGGATGTTTTCACTACCTGAATTATATTATTGTTTTCTTTTTCTCTTTTTTTGAGATGGAGGTTTTGCTGTGTTGCCCAGGCTGGAGTGCAGTGGCACAATCTTGGCTCACTGCAACCTCTGTCTCCTGGGTTCAAGCGATTCTCTTGCCTCAGCCTCCCAAGTAGCTGGGGTTACAGGTGCACGCCACCATGCCTGGCTAATTTTTGTATTATTAGTAGAGATGACGTTTCACCATTTTGGCCAGGCTGGTCTCGAACTCTTGACTTCAGGTGATCCACTCGCCTCAGCCTCTCAAAGTGCTGGGATTACAGGCTTGAGCCACCACGCCTGCCCTATTATTGTTAAGGCACTGTCTGGCCCAGTAAAATGTCAGTTGCCTTGGGGCCTGAACTCTGTTTTCTTCCAACATGGGAGAACAATCCTTTAATCCTGCCCTGGAGCTGGGCAGAGTGGCTCACACCTGTAATCTCATCTCTTTGGAAGGCCAAGACAGGTGGATTGCTTGAGCCCAGGAGTTCGAGACCAGCCTGGAGAACAAAACTGGCCTGTCCTATGTACTCATCATTGAATGAAGGAACGGATGCATGGAGGTGTACAGACAACGGATTGAGCTACTTCCTAACACAGTGACTGGGATTCAGGACATATCCAGTAAACGTCTGTTAAGGAAGTAAAAAAATAAATAAATAAAACAGGATAGTGGCTGGCTGCTCTCTCTGTGTAGACTGGATTAAAGTAGAGCAGGAAAACATGTGGGAGGTTACTGAAGTGGTGGTATTGGGAGTGAGGACGGGGGAATGATGTCACTTGGACCAGTGGAAGGAAGGAGGTTCATGCAGTCAGGAGCTTAGCGATAAGTCACATGGAAAGAAGGCAAGTGTCTCGAGATGCAGAGTGGGAAGAGTAGCTGAGGTCCAGAGGAGGTTCTACTGACCTAGACGTAAGCGAGCTAATAGGTGTTGTGCTATGGCCCAATGATTAAAAGTCAGCTGTAGAACTTCCTCGAAGAGATTCAGGTTCTGGCTTCCTGAGCTTTCGCTCAGAGGCAGCAGGGAATAGCCCAGACCTGGCAAGCATATCCAACCCATATTCTAAACTAAAGAGGTTCACTTTCCTGCATGCCAAACAGAAAGCCATTTCATCACTTTGGAAATGAGTGGTATACTGTATTTCTCCAAGTATTACCCACAGGAAAAATTAACACTTTATAATAAACTGATCACACTTGTAGATTAACAATGATTAGAAACCCATTAGTTGGCCCAGTCCACATTTCTTTCTTGGTTTGCTTTGCACACTCAGTTCTTTTTGGAGTAAAAAATCGGCATGTTATTAATACTTCCTGCTATGGCTTAGGCCATATTAAAAGTGCCTTTATCTATTTTTGGATTTCTCCTATTTTAAGCCATGTCTATCAAAACTGCTGATGCCAACACATATGTGTATGTATTTGTGTGATTTTATAAGGTATTAAAAACTGAGACTTTTCCTTTGAATATCTAATTGGCTCTAGTAATTTTGAGGTTTCTCTGTTTGAGGTTTGCTTGTTTGTTTGCTTTCATTCTGTAGTGCTAATTTACATGGAATTCAGGAATCATGGTTGTTCACATTAGAATTACAGGGACTTTGATGTCTGACCTCATCTTTTTCCCTCTTATTCATTAAAGGCATATTTCTTAGATAATGGTCAAACAAGTATATAGTAAAGTTACCGTTCACAGGTCACAATTTTTTTACAAACTTTGTCTTGGAGAGCCAAATGTCAAAATGTGTTTAGGGATTACTCTTTTAAATTCAATATCTATGAAAAATAATTACCATACTTGACACTACTGTAAAATGCCAACATTCTAAATAAAAACAACTAAAGGGTTACAAGATGCAAATTTCTAGAACTGCCTGAATGCTTTTAGTAATTTGAAAAATTCACTAAACATATTGTTACATGAAAAAAAAAGAAGAAAAACACTGAGCATTTCAAATAGTTGTTTCTCTAGTTATTTTTAATTAAATGCTAAATGACAGAACAACTTGCAGTGGTTTTGTTATACTTCTTAGATCCATCCCAAACTCTCTTCTGGTATGTGATAAAGTAATGAGGCAATAATTTGTACATTGAAATAACTGTTTTGCCCTTCCAAGTACACATCTAGTGACATGACTCACTCTACACAGACTGTCATTTACCAAAAATACTTTTGGTCTCCTCCATAAGAACTGTTTTCAGGGCAGACAGCACAATCTTTTGAATAACACTTATGAAGGAAAATCTTTGTCCATGAAAAGTGGATTTGACTTTTGAAAACAGTCAAATGTCATCCCGAACCAATGTTGGTGAATAAGCTGCGTAAGACTAGAGTGTGTGAGCATGCAGGCACAAATGCTGCATAGATGTGAACAAGTAATAATAACAAAAGCAAATTCTTATTGAGTGTTTTGTACGTCCACCACCATCCTAAGCGTTATGTGTGTTAACTCATTTAATCCTCAAGTCAGCATTAGGAGGAAATGATACCATCATTTTCATTTCACATATGAGGAAACTGAACACCAACAGGTTAAGTAATTTGCCCAAGGCTATGAGCTCATAAAGGGATGAGCTGAGGTTGGAAGGGAGGCAGTTGAGCTGCCTCCCTTCATAAAGGGACGAGCTGAGGTTGGAAGTGAAGCAGTCTGAGCTTTCAACCTCATGCAGCCCCAACTGGGCAAGATTTACAAACAAAGGATCAAAAGGATACTGACCAACAACAATTGTCTCAGAGCTGTAATTTCCTCATCTATATTTAAGGGACACGTGACCAGCAGTATCCAAGGTTATAGGGAAGCTTTAAGGAGCATTCACATATATGAATGTCCACACTGTCCCTAGCCCATGATAAGGGCCTGGTATTTCAAAATCATTTCATCTTCAGGTGGGTCATTATGTTGCCTGGTCCTATGGAAACCCAAAGTGTGATGTGTACTTTAGGTGAGAACCACGACAGTAAGTATAACCTATGGTCTGCTCAATGCCATGGTCACTGGCATTTACAGCCGCAATACAGACAGCTCTCTGTCACACTGATCACTCCTACTTCTACTGGGATGGTATTTTCTGATCCAAAAATAACAACATATGTCCGATAAGTGCATGAGCAGTTGGAGGGGTGATGGTGCAGTGTACTCAATAGGTGGGATCTTCCAGACAACCCAAAATATATGCCCAGTGAAATTCAGTATTTTCAACAATGTGTTGAGTTTCTGCTTTGCTAAATGTAGGCAAATCCAAGAGGAATACAAACAGCCCTTGAGTCTTAACCTTGAAGAGATGCCCAACTCCAGAACAGAAATTTAAAAGCTCCTAAAATGCAGTGCAGATAAAAAGAGGATGGGAAATCCTGGGTTCCACGAAATCTGCTTCTTTCTTAGAGGACCTCTTCACTACCCAGGAAATTAAGAGTCCCCAAGGGAGAGATACAGAACATAGATTCTCCACATAAGTTCCAGCATGGAACTCATTTTATTCAGAGCCTCTTACAGAGATCAGGCTCAGTAACATCATTGCTACATAATGCTGATACAGAGGCTGGGGCAGTATGACATGAGTTCTGAGATAATAAAAGAATTGAATAACACCATCACGACCAACAACAAAACTTAAAAAAAAAAAAAAAAACCCTCCTCTATGACTTAATGTCCTAGTCTTTTAGCCTTTCTGGGCTTCAAGTGCCTACCCTCCAAGTATATAAAAGAATTGCTGCCGGCCAGGCACAGTGGCTCACGCCTGTAATCCCAGCACTTTGGGAGGCTGCGGTGGGCAGATCACTGGAGGTCAGGAGTTCAAGACCAGCCTGGCCAACACGGTAAAATGCTGTCTCCACTAAAGATACAAAAATTAGCTGGGCGTGGTGGTGCATGCATATAATCTCAGCTATTCGGGAGGCTGAGGCAGGATAATTGCTTGAACCTGGGAGGCGGAGGTTGCAGTGAGCCAAGATCATGCCATTGCACTCTAGCCTGGGCTACAGAGCAAAAGTTAGTCTTGGAAAAAAAAAAAAAAAAAGAATGTCTCTCATGCTCAATTTATAGTTTGTATGAAGACTATGTAGGACAACAAATGTTACAAATGTAAGAAGACCTTGAAAACTCCACTCTAAGACTGCCATTTAATTTACTATCCTGATGGAATAATTTCATCTGTTGATGACTCCATAGCTGACACCAATGAGATTCTGGAGAAGCCTGCCTCAATTATTTATTCCGACTCTAGCAAAGGAATCGTTTTTAAAGAGGGTTGGAAATGACCATTAAGTCTGGGGCCTTCCAAGAAGGCTGAGGCTGGAGATGGTGGTGAGTGATCAAACTCACATGCCTTACTGAAAGGGCTGGGTCTTTCCAGCCTATACACTGTTCTATCCTAGATAACTGAAACTCTAGATGGCTATTGTTGAAGATCTCCTGCCTGGAGCATTTCTTTTGGGACAGGCTCTCAGGTCATTAATTTTCCATGTTAAGTATGGTCCCTCCTTACAAGCCTACATCAAAATTCCAGGAAGGAATCTCTAGCAACTGCAGCTAGCATCAACTGATTGGTGTCTCTAGAATCACGAAGGCTGGGAGACTTACTGAAACATATGAAAATGCTAGTGCTCTGCGTTTTGAAGCCAGTTTTATTAGATATAGCACTGAAACCATGTAGTCACAAATCTTCAAAAACAAAGTACTGGGAGACAGTACCCCAAAAAGCATTTGTGTTTTAAATGTATTACCTATGGAGGTCTGTGGCCCATGCCAATTTCCAAAGAAGAGTCTATACTCTCTTGAGCAAGCATCTCTTTTAATAGTCTTCCCACTCGAAAATCCTAAATCAACCATGCCCTTTAGACTTACGTATTTTAGTTGTTTTCTTTCTTTGAATTTGAAAGAAATGGACTTTCAAATGGAACTATTTTTCACAAGATATACTCAATTTTTCTTTCTACAATAATATTAAGTACAACATAGACAGAGCCAACTCTGTCATGTGTAACCCTGTCAGAACGCATCATAGAAATATCTGTCAGGTGTTAATCACAAAGATATAGATGCAACATTTGATCAACCAGCATGCTTGTATCCTGTGGATACTATAAACCAGATACATGGAAAAATTGTACTCTTTGCTTTGGCTGTTAATAAGATCCTAAATTTATAGACCATCACTCATATCTGCACATGCCAGACACAGTGGGTGCCAAGTTTCTTCCAACTTCATCCAAGTTTGCTACTTGTATTTTTTCTTCCATCAACCCGAAAGCGAGTTGCCTTAAGTCATTTGTGAAGCAAGAAAAACTAATAGATTATAGATAGATTTTAGATAGGTTGGTTGGTTGGTAGATAGGTAGGTAGGTAGAGAGAGAGAGAGAGAGAGAGATAATAGAGAGACAGACAAGCACAATTTTCCTGAATCAAGAGTGCTACAGTTAACTTCATGTAAAAACCAATTAAAAATTATTTAGAACTGAAAAAACAGTGACATTTAAAACATTCAAGGGGGTATTTTTTGAACAAAAGGAAAGAATACTTTCTGTGAGAATGATTTTCTGTGATTGAAAATAAGGTTAAGGGGAATAACCACTTGAAGAGTGACTCTCATTCATTAGAGAAGGCTTCACAGAGTAGCTTATCAACATGGTCAGCCACAATAATGATTATAGCCCAGGGAAGTAAATAAGGCAAACTGTTAGTTCAGGAAATCTATTAAAGGCACAGGATCTTAAAACACCCCAAGCAATGAAACATTAACAAACTTGGGCAAATCGAAAGCTATCCACCCTCCTCCCCAGCTTGCTCAAGACAGACATTTTATAACCGGCCACAAGACAGACTATAGAAAACAATTGCATCTAGAAGACAGAGGCAAATGGCAATGGTCCATTTACTTGCGAAGTTTACATTTCACGGGGCTTAACTACACTTAGGGGCAGCTAAATGGATCAAGTTTCAGGGCTGCTGTCCAAGGCAATAAATAATCCCCATTCAGGAACAGAAGAAACTTGAGTTTCACATATGCTAAGCATCACAGAACTTCAGTGCTAGGGGAGGTCTACAAGGCCATCTTCCTCCAAGCTTTTCTGAACCCTGCTTTAATGGCTGAGAACAGTTCCTGGAGCAGTGCTGCATGGAGGAGGCTTTCTGTCCAGGCGACCAGGAGATGCTGTGGGGGAGCAGAAGTGGCTGCCAGAGGCAGCAGGGACAGAGAGCACTGGGGCATTTGCCCTGTACTTGCCATTCTGTTTCTAGTCCAGTCCCTTCATTTGACAGAGGAGGAATTTGAAGCCTCCAGAGAAGAAGAACTTGATGACAGTCACAGGCAACCCACAGGCCCAGTCCAGCAGCTTCACAATATTCCCTGTCACAGCCAGATCAAACCTTTTGCCTTTATTCTCCCAGATTTCATGAAGCTTATATGAAAATGGCAGCCTGCAATGAGGCAATGGGAGCGCCCGTCTGATTTGCCTTTCTATGGCAAGGTCATAGAGGATACAAATCGGTAGCACCTACACACTATGTATGTTTTCTTCCCAAAAGGTTGTTCGGTGCTTTTTGGAACTTGGATCTCAGAAAAATAATGTCTTAGATGGCTAACCAAAAAGACAAAAACAAACAAAACCCACCAAGATGAGCAAGTAAATACCTGACATACAGCCCTTTGGCCAAAACCGTACTTTTCTGAAGTAACAGTGTGTTTAAGGGAAGCTGTTTAAGTTCAGAATCACAATCACCACTGCTTTCCAGAATGGGCTTCCATGCTGTTTTCAACACGTTCTTAACCTTGGGTTGCTAGGGAGGCTGGGTTCACCTGCTGGAAAAAAAAACCCTTGAGACACTCTTCTCCTTTCTTTTTTTTTCTGAGACGGAGTCTCACTCTGTTACCCAGGCTAGAGTGCAGTGGTGCGAGCTCAGATCACTGCAACCTCTCATCCGCAGGGTTCAAGCAATTCTCCTGCCTCAGACTCCAGAGTAGCTGGGACTACAGGTGTGCACCACCACGCCCAGCTAATTTTTGTATTTTTAATAGAGATGAGGTTTCACCACGTTGGCCAGACTCGTCTCGAACTCCTGACCTCACGTGATCTGCCCACCTTGGCCTCCCAAAGCGCTGGGATTACAGGCGTGAGCCACTGGCCCTCCTTTCTTTTAATCCTCTCCCCACATGTCACCTACCCAGATCCTTCCTGTCAGGCTGCATTCTTCTCTCCAGGACTCTGGGGTGGAAAAGGCAGTCCTCCAAGGATTTTCTAACCTAATCCAACCCACAGGGGCATGCTGGTGTTTGAAGACTCTTTCTCATTAACAACAATGAATGAAAATGCCTATTCCTCCCACACCATTCCCTTTCCCATTCTTTACTCTCATTTAGACCAGGAATCAGCAAACTCCTGGGCCAAATTAGACTCTTACTACTTTTGTGTAGTAGTCACAACACAGGCCAGCTGGCCTGCAAAGCTGAAAGTATGTATTATTTGGCCCTTTACAGTAAAAGTTTTCCGACCTCTGTCCTAGACCATTGGTGAAGATAAATCTTTGGGCACAAGTTCGAAAGTGGTTTCCTCCCTATATTAAAGAGAAATCTTTAGGTAGCTTCTTTGCCCTATTTAAAAGGAGGCTTCTAGGGTGAGAAACCTACACAGATATGGTTGTACAGAAACCTATCTAATAAGCACAAGTTTAAAAATAAGGATAAAGAAAGAGGTGCACACATCAAGAAAAGACATAGAAGGCATACAGAATGGAGTAGTTATCCACTACAATTACCAACCATTTTTCTTCAATGAGCAGAGTGAATATGACTTAGAAGGACAAGGAAAACATCACGGAGATAAAATGAGACCCACTCAAAGGTAGGGAAGTAAGCAACTTCCGAGTCACTTGGGAATGGACTCAAGCCCATCAGCACTTGGTTAAACATGGTTTTGACTGGAGGGTCACAGTTAGTAAGCTCTAAGGAATCACAGAGAACACAGAAAAAGGCTTAGAACAGTGCATGGAGCCGGTGTCCAATTTTCATAAATTGGAAAAGAGTAAATTCCAAAACTTTCTCATTAGAAAGTAAAAATTTTAAGCCCTGGCAGAATCATTAAGAACAAGCTCCACATGTAAAAAAAAAAAATTGCACAAATATTCTAAGTTGATAATTTTAAGAAACAGAAATGAATATGGTCAAAAAACACATGGCAAAGTTTAACTTTGCTGGTGATCAAATAAAAACAAGTTAATAAAATAGCAATAACATCCCATGTTTGTCTACCGAAATGGCAAACGTTTGCAGTGATAACACATACACTGGCAATAGTGCAGAAAACCTGGCCATCAAAACCATATGGAAATGCAAACACCAGGCACTGTGGCAATATGATTCAGCTTTGCAATGTGTACACTCTGTAACCACCAATTTCACTTCTGAAAACTTAATCTAAGGAAATAACTGAATAAGGATGTTCACTGCAGCATTATTAATAACAACAGAAATTTGATATAGTCTAAATGAATAGCTATAACAGTTTGATTATAAATATTTGTACTACAGAATATTTTTCAGCTATTAAAGAAACCTTTAAAATGAGCTGATGAAACAGATGGATATCAGTAACATAAATGAAATATACATGTGTATATTTATGACTGCATTTATAATTATAATTTTAATAGACATTATATTATGTATCTTTTACATGTTTTCTCACCAGATCTTGAAAACTCTGTTAAGTTAGCAAGAGGATAATAATGATAAAGACAGCTAATATTTACTGAGAACTTCCTCTATGCCAGGCACTTTGTCAAGTATCTTATATGGATTATATCATTAAATCCTGACATAACCCTATGAGGTAGGCACTATTATTAACCCCATTTTTTAAAGACTGAAAAGGCCATAGAAGCATAAAAACGTGCCCAAGGTTACATAGAAAGTGCATGATACATACAGACAGAATTTGAATGCACAAAATGATTCACTGAAGATCTTGTGCTTGTAACCAATGCACTACATTTTAAAGATACTATTATTTCTTCCCAGGATGAATGGATGGATAGATTAAAGAATATACAGATAGATAGAAGAAAAGGTAGAAGGACAGATGGATAGAAGGTAGGATGCAAGGCAGGATAAGTGAATGGATGGATGGCTGGATGGATGGATGGATGGATGGATGAATGGATAGATGGATGGGTGGATGGATGGATGGATGGGTGGATGGATGGATGGGTAGGTGGATGAATGAATGAGTGGGTGGGGGGGTGGGAGGTGTATATAGATGGGTGGGTGGATGGAGAGCTACAAGAATGGATAGGTGGATAGATGGATGAAGCTGTCATGAAAGAAAAAACATAAAACTGATTATTTTTCAGCAGATCTTTTATGATTTTTTTTCTTCTTTTTGCTGTTTTCAGGAGAATGACCAAATTTTCTAAAATGTTTTGTTTTTGTAACCAGACTATAGAAATATGTTTTACATTAAAATTACTTACAATGCAAAGCCATAAGAGTAGTGCTCATAATATACTATCATGCATTATGCATCCATCTTTGTATCCATCTCTTGCAAAAGTGCAGTTGGGTTCTAGGTAGAACAAGAGCTGAACAACATCCCCTTCTCTTGCTGTATATAGTACCGGAAGAAAAATTAGAATACACAGCCAAAACACAAAGTAGCCTCCTGAATGTCACCCAAGTATATATGGGTAAGTCCACCCAACTAAGAGGAAATGTGCAAATGGGATTTTCTCCCCAAAAGAAAGAGCTTTAGACTAGAGCTGTAGCTGGCTAGAAAATAAAAATTTGACGCAACTTTAGATTTTCCCCACAGCTTTGTCTTTACGTTATAAGTTGATGACTGGAGAAGAAAATAATATGGCTGCTGAAGTTTTCAAAAAGGATTTTTATCCAAAAATTGGACAAGGCTGAAAAATCTGAGAAAACAAAGTGGCCTAAGTCTTGTTGGCTGAGAAAAACTTGGAGATGCCTTTTAAGTCTGAGCTGTTTCCAGTTCAATTGCATAACAGATGAATTGGGGCAGTCAAGTTTAAATTTAACACGTTTATTTCAGCGATGACATTTCTGAGCAAATGTTCTATTAGTGTTAACTTTAGGTGAGTCAAACACCTACAGGGGACACAGGAAATAGATTCTCCCTGGCTTCTCTTGCTTCCCTCCTGTGTCCCCTGGCTTACCTTGGGTGACATGGTGTGCCTCCAAGGACTTGAAAATTACAGGCACTGGGTTGCTGCTGTTAACTAAGCATCTTGCTTTGTCTACTGCAACAGACAACAGAAGGAGTCTCATTTTGTTACTTGTCAGCTCTCCTGGTTAGAAGAACTGAATCCCAAGCTCTCTTCTAACACCCCCTCCCCAGGTTGCCTCCTTTTCTCAATAGCATGCCTCTGCTGACTGACAAACCCATCTTATACCTGCAGATTTCCTTCTCATGGGAGCCCAGGCTTTTAAAAGTGGCCTCTACTTTAAAAGTCTGTCAGCTAGTAGAATACATCTGTATTATGTTGGAAAGAAACAGCATAAGGAAAGAAACAGCGTGCATGCAGACATGCATTCAATCAACAATATTTGTATTTATTCACCTAATGAACATCTACATGGCACTTCATTATTGGTTTTAAGTGTTGTAGTCATAATAATTCATCTCATACACCCAAAAAAAAACACCTATGATGGGGGTATGATAATCAAGCCCATTTTACAGAGGAGGAAACTGAGGTACTAGGAGGTTAAATAACTTGCTCATGAACAGGCATTAAGTTGGAGAGCCAAGATTTGCATCCAAGCAGCTGGGCTCCAGTGGCTGAGCTCTTCAGCATTCTGTTATGTTCATTAAGCCCTAAAGCTGTCCCAGGCACAGAGTAAGGACAGAAAGATACAGTGAGGACCAAGATGGGGAAGACCATGAAATGCCTCCCTGTTGCTCTCTAGAGACAGCACAGCAAATATTAGAGGCTGCTCCATTCTGGGCACGAGCTCAGCTAATCCTCACAGCAGCTCTGTGAGCAAGATGCAAATTTATGACTCCCTCGTAGAGATGAGGAACTGAAATTTAAACTAAACATTACACCCAAGAGGTAACAGAAAGATGCCTACTGTCTAGACTAACAGGAGACAAAGCATGGGTTTGCTATTTCAGTGTAATCCTCATACCACCTGAATCAGAATCAGCTGAGATAGTCGATGGAAAACATGCAGATTCCTGTGTTCCAGCCTGATCATACTCATTGTGAACCACTAGGCAAAGGGCCTGGCAATCTGCATTTGCACACGTTCCCCCAGGTGACTCTGATAGACACTCAAGTGTGAGAGCTTTGCCTACAACAGCTGCTTCCTTTCTCCTGCTATTAAATACAATGATGTGATGGTGGGGATGATGGTAATTAACAACAGCTAATATAGAAAGCATTTCACATACAATAGCAATAGATCATGAGATGACACTGCCTGCTTTCATTTCTCATAGCTGCTTAGTAGGTCATATTTTCCACAACGGAACTGGCATGCACTTCAAGCCCTCTCATTTCTTATCTCTTCTCTTATGCTTTCTGAATTTAATGGTGTGAAACCCCATTGTCACAGCCTCAGGTGATGGCATTCTATAAAATCCTGTCTCTCTAACCCTTAGAAGGTGATAATAAAACCCAGATAATTGAAATTAGTGAACTTTCTCATAGGACAAATCTCTTTAGACCTCTACACATTACAGGCAAATTCTAGGATTTATTGAACCCTCCCATTAAAGGGGTAGGCTTATACATGCTTCCTTCATTTAAACAGCTCCATTTTAAGAAAATCATAGTATCCTTTTTTTCTCCTAATATCCCAAGAAGGAGAATAGGCATGATCCACATCAGAGAGAGTGAATAAAAAACCAAATGGCTTGGTAAAAATCTTACCAAGCGTATGAATAAATTTTTAAAATTAAATACCAGATTTTGTATGTATTAGACATACATACTGTTAGGTTTGTTTTTTCTAAAAGGAAGGAAGAAAGGGAGAGAGAGAGGGAAAAAGGGAGAACGGAAAGAAGGAAGGGTGATAGGAAGGGAGGGAAGGAAGGAAAAAAGCCAAAGAAAATAAAAACACCCTTAGTCCCTCTACATACTTTTTCCAGCATGGTTAAGAAATGAAGGAACACATTCTGATCATCGAGCCCTACCCTGCAGCGGTGACCATGGTTCACAGCTGGTTAGCTTGCCTGCCAGCGGCCAGGTCTGCCTGATACGCATGTGTACGGGTTTGCAATGCTGGTGGTCATTGGCAGCGGAGTTGGAGACTAGAGCCAGACTGCCTGGATTTCAGTCCCAGTGACTTCAGGAAGTGAGTGACTCTTCATGCCTGGTCTCCAAAGGAAGATGACATTAGTACCCAGGCTGGAAGGATTCCTGATATGGCAGCTGGAAGGAACCCTGCCTAGTAACACTCTACTAGTGGAGATTAATGCTTATTATTATGTTAATATCTTTGTGACACTTGTGTGCTTTATTCACACCATGGCAGTAACTCATAAAAAGACAAGTGTGAATTGAATCATAATTTACATGCTCTAAAAATTCCTGATATTTATTTTTTTAAAAAAGCTCTGATGTGAATCAGACTGAGCTGAGGACTCACTCATACCTAAATTAATAAAAACATAGATGCATGAATAGATACACATAAATAATCATACATTAAAGTTAATAATGGGGAACTTGAAAGACAGAGTTCTTGAAAGACAGGAATTAGTACTGCAGGTTAAACAGCAGAGTAAGCACTGCCACAGAAGCTGGTGGTGGGTCCAGGGTGGTGCCAGCCTCAAAAAGGGGTGAGCTCTGGAAAGAGACCTGGGTGTGGGGGTCATGAACCAGGTGACATGCTATCGTATCGCAGGGGGACACTCAGATAGTCAGCCCCCTCCTCCTCACCACTGTCAGGCAACCACACTAGGAATGTGGGTGTCTGTCTCCAAGGGCAATAGTGACTATGGAAGCTGTCTCCATGGATACCAGATGGCTTTGTTTTCTAGATGACTGTAGTGAATTCTGTAATGTGCCTGTTGTATTCCTTTTCAGGACGGAAGGACTATGTTTCCCAGGTTCTGCAGACAGCCTTCACCTGTCAGTCCTCTATGGGTTACCTTGGCTAAAGACAGTCTTTTCCTCTAAGGTCATGGCTCCTTCCCACAGCCCACATCCAAAAACAGATTGTAATGGAGTTATACAGGCTTGGCTCCCTTGCCCCAACTCAGGACCATTGTGAACAGCCATCCTGGCTTCAGAGTCCCTGTGATATTGACTGAGCCTTTGATAAGACTGTCAGACTCCAGCTTTCTTCCCCTCCCTCCCACAGCAGATGACCCCCAGAATACTCCCTAATAAACTTCCTACACACCAATCCTCATCTGAGGTCAGCTTTCCGGAGACTTCAACCCATGGCATCCAAATGGGAGCTTGAACCCCTATGCAAGATGGCCCAGAGACACGAACGGAAGCCTCTACACACCCAAGCACATGCACAAAGATTAGGATAAGCCCAGCCATTGATCACCCTTTGCTATATGCCTTTTCCATACATATTACACAACAATAAAGAAAAAAACAATACTAAAGCACTGAAAATGAATGTTATAAATACTAATGGCATCCACGCATTCCATTTGAAAGGGTCAAGATAAACCCAGAGGAAAATATGAAGAGACACTAGACACCACGGGGTAATGTCTAAAGGCTTTAAAAATTGTTCTCACAAAGTTTATCCCATTGGTTTTCAAAGCCCCAGATGTTGGGCATTATTTAATCTGATTTACAAATGGTAACACTGAGGTTCTCAGTATGAATTCCCTCATTCAAAGTCAGGAGTTGTATCTAAATTTTCTTAAAGATGTTCTTTGCCTTGGTATCATAAAACTAGAGTTGACCTTAATATCAATATTAGTCATGAAGGGCTGGCCAACTTATGAAATATACCAGCATATTGATGTATAATAGAAAGGGTATTAATTTATAATTATAAGATGTTTTTCACTACAGTAAGCATAGCAGGCTTGCTAATCAGGCACCGTTGGCCATTGACTTGGGCTATTAGAGTAGCAGCTGGCCTTCTTCAATCAACCAAGCAAGTATTATCCATAACCAGGATGGACCTGGCAAAGGTCCAAAAACAAAGCAATTTGCTACTTTCCATTTCCCTAAATCCATCACCAAAATAACAGAGCAAATGCCCCCATTCAAATCACCTTTCTATGTGCTCAGTATGAATTAGATGAAGGCCCTCGGCAGGTGAAACATTCAATATCCACATTAGTACCACCGATATATGAAGCAATCAACCCAGCGGGTACCATGTAAGTGAAACGAGAGACAGTCTAATAAGAAACTAAAAACCTTCAGACCCCTCATCCACGTAGCTTGCTGAAAGCCGGTTTACAGGGTTAATAATTTGTTCAGGTGGGAGAAGCATGAGGACGCTGCACTTGAGAAGCAAAGGCCTCTCATTGCAAAGTGGAAAATATATAGGGCGATACAAAGAGACTGAAATATACACTGATCAGTAGGTATGATCAGTATGTATCATTTGCTCACATGGCTCAAAGTGAGGTTTGAAATAATATATATACATACTGATTACATAAATAGTATATATAATCTATTAATCCATTATATGATTATATATGATCTATTAATATAATCTATTATATATTAATATATAATCTGTATGGATCTATATATAATGATACATACTGATGTTATAATATATATTATATATTTCTATAATATCTAAATATATAATATATATTTCTATAGCTAAATATAACATATATTTAGATAAATCTATTATATATTCACAAATATAATTTGCATAATTTATATATATTTATAAATTATATAATATATATTCATATTTTATATACTTATATATTATATATCATGTAAATATGTTATATACTCATATATAATCAGTATGTATCTATATATTATATATAATGAAACATACTGGTTATATTATTATATATTATAATTTATGTAAAATATATTATATCTAAATATATGTAACATATAATAGATATTTTATATTATGTATAAATATACAATTACATATAAATATAATATATAATATTGTATATAAAATATACAATATATGTATATATTATATAGTATATATTAAATATTAATATACTATAAATATATATTAAATATATTTAATTAAATTATATATTTTATATTTATTTAATATATATTTTTCTACATATATAGGAAAATATATATATAAACAGTATGTATCATTTGCTCACAAGGCTCAAAGTGAGGTTTGAGGGGCCATGATCAGATGACATTAATGGATAGAAATAACCACCATTTGCCAAGCAGAGACTGTACCAGCCTCAGATTTTCCTTCAGTGTTCCTTAAAAAAGAAACCTAAAGTGCAGAGAAGCTAAGGAGCTTTTTCTAGGTTACAGAGCTAGTAAGTATTAGAGCTGGCATCCAAATCCAAGCATTCAGGTGCCAGAGCTGGGCATCTGCCTGCCACCAATACTATGAGGACCAGAGCTGTGATGTCCACAACCATGGGCCCAGCCTGCAAAGCTCAAGGCAAGGCTTGCTTATCCCACCAGAATATGGAGCTGGTGGGAGCTGACCATAAGTTGAAACACATTGGAAATATACATCATGGATGTAGTTGGTGTCATGGTCATGGGGTAGGAGGGGATGACATCAGCAAACAGGGAAACTCAAGAAAACAGAAGCCCCTGTCACCTCAGAGAAGGTGAGGATCTCATGCAGCATTGAAAAGCCTGCCTGCTGCCTTTGAAAATGCTCAGTAAAATCAGTCCTGATCTATCTTTCAATGCCTCAATGTTAGATATTCAGGTGACACCTAGAAAGGCACAATTGCTGATGACAGACTCTTGGTGCTTTGAAATGGAAAAGATGGCAATATCTGAATTTTTATTCTCAATAACCTCCTGGAGATTTGTAAGTTCCCTGCCAACTGCTTGTGTCTCCCCAACCCCCGCCATTGGACCAACAACCATGCCCCAGGCTCCACTCGAATCTACCCAGTCTCTGAGAAAATCGTTACCAAGAAAGGCAAGCTACCAGAAGCCCCAACGCACAGAAGGGGTTCTGGAATAAATCTCCCCGTTCTCAACTCCTGTGTGTTTAGAGTGTGTTTAGAGAGGGAATTCTTTCCTTCTTGTAAGCCTCAAGTAACAGAGACAACCTTACTGAAATGTATCTGTGTGACTTTCTCTTCAAATTTTCCCAGTTGACGTCTCCTCTTTTTTGCTAGAGGCATTTGCTGTCTTAGAGATGATTAGGAGCAAAGAGAGTGAAAGATTCAACATTTAGTCTAAAGACTTTACTAAAACAAAAATCTTGAAAGCCAGGGTTTACTGAGAGAGCAAAGGGCTTTCTAATTTGCAAAAAATTTACTGTAAGCCTTGGGTAGAGATAACTGCAGATTTCAGTGAAGGAGCATTGCCACCCACCCTGAGATCCTTTTCGTCTAAGTGACACAGACTGGGGAATGCTACTGGAGAGGGAGAGGGGTTTGACGTTTCCTTGGGGCTCAGACAATCTGGCTTCTGAGGCTGATTCCACAGCCATTATGATATGGGAAGACATTTCAAAGCTGCACATATGTATTTTCAAACATTTTACTATATCTTACTTTCGATTAGTTTAGCAGAATGAGAATATATATACATATATAGAGTGTGTGTGTGTGTATATGTGTGTGTGTGTGTGTGTGTGTGTGTGTGTGTGTGTCTATGTGTATGTATGTATTTCCACCTTCCTCTCTCCTCAAGAATCATGACAGGGTTTGAGTCCTAGAGGTTCAGGTCTTCCCTGGCCCCCAGGTTACACTGGCTACTGGAAATTTAAAAAAAAAAAAATGAATAGAGGTGGCTGTGTGTAAAGCAAGTAACTTTAGGAGAGATTTGAGGAGCTCTTCAGACTGGAAAGGAGTTAGATTCTGGGGTATTTTTGCATGCTTTCTGGAATATTTACTGTGCATTTTCACATCATAAAGACTTGAGAGGGCCTACAGTTTAAATTAAAAAACAAAACAGAATTTCCCAAACTTACTTAACTTCAAAATATGTTTCCCCCCATTGCATTGCTGTTACCACTCTGCAGAATAGTGTTCCACAGACAGAAGTTTGGGAAATGCTAACATGGAACAAATGTGAACTACCATGTCCTGAGAATTCAGACCACCTAAATCAACATGGCGTAGTGCTTAAGACCAACAACTGAGATCACCTTCGTCAACCTGACTTAATTGTTCACAGAAACCTTTGTCCACGAAACATAAGGCTCTAAACCAGGAACAATTTCACTGCTTCATTTGGACAATCCATGCATATCAATTTATCTGGGACAACAGTCTCCTTAGCTAGATAAATAGCTCATCTATCAAACAATAACCTACTTGTCAGACTTATTTCAGTAAACTCATCTTGCTATGTCTAACAATCTTAAATCAAGATGTCATGAATTTACCCAATACCAATCATCTTCCTATCTTAAATTGCTTGAGGCTATACCCTCCCTACAAGCCCTATAAATATCTATTCTGACTTCCATCTTCTGGAATGTTGCTGAGATTCTGTTAAGGTAGTATTTGCCCTTATGGAAGTGAGTTCTCATAAATGTAGTCTTGTTTTAACACCAGTTATCTTCTACTTTGAGAAGTTGTATTTACTGTATAGTATATGAGCTGTTTGGGTGCATGCTTGAAATGGGGGAGCCTAAATGACGCTTGAGATAGTTCCCAGATACTTTTTTTCTATGGTCAGAGCTCAGCACTGCCCAAGTCCTCCCCTTGTTTGGGCTACCTCTCCAAACTCAGTAACTGTATGGATGCTTCTGATTTTTGTTTGTTTACAGTCCCTAGTTTAGGGAATGGGCTTCCAAACATGATACCTGTCTGCTAGACCACAAAGTGGGCTCTTGACCCAATGCCAGGCCAATCAGCTTCTCTACCAGGAATTTGAATAAAGACATCCCAAACTGGAAGGTATTTGGAGTTAAGTTATTCCTATCTTAACACTAAATGTGTGGTCCACAGACCAATGCCCAACCTCTTGTTAGGGGCCCATGACGAGTACAGAAGTTGAAAGCAATGTGACATAGTAATGTTATACCTGTTCCATCTATTTTTTTAAAAGCTTACCTTTTATGTCTTTGGATTTATTTAATTTTACAAAACTTGATTTTCATTATATTACTAAGAAAAAAGGTTCAAAACTTGAAAATAAGACAAAAATGTGGGTTGCATGTTCTTTCAATGTCGTATACAGGCATTAACTTGTCAATTCAAAGATTATTTAATTATCTAGGAAAATGTACTATTCACTACTCAATGATGGTTTCAGGCTTAACAACATTACATGTTAATTCACAGATTTCTGTCTGGCAGAGATACAAGTAATGATGGGTAGAAAAGATAACCACAGAGGTTACAGTTTTTTGTCCTGTAGGACATGATATGGTTTAGCTGTCTCCCCACCCAAATCTCATCTTGAATTGTAACTCCCACTATTTACATGTCATGGGAGGGACCGGTAGGAAGTGACTGAATTATGGAGATGGGTCTTTCCTGTACTGTTCTCGTGATAGTGAATGAGTCTCATGAGAGCTGATGATTTTAAAAAGAGGAGTTCCCCTGCACAAATTCTCTTTTTGCCACCATCCATGTAAGACGTAACTTGCTCCTCCATGCTTTTTACCTTCCACCATGATTGTGAGGCCTCCCCACTCATGTGGAACTGTAAGTCCAATAAACCTTTCTTTTGTAAATTGCCCAGTCTCGGGTATGTCTGTATCAGCAGTGTGAAAACAGACTAATACAGGACATTAACCAGCTTCGTATGTAACCTAGCAAACTTATTCTAACACTCCTTTACTATTAAATTGCATGCAAATAGCTAGTTTCTCGAATGCTCTTTGAATCATACTTATCATTTTATTGGTCCCCTTTTGCATTGTTGAGATAGATAAAATCTTTGATGTGTTCACTTTAGATATGAATGTGAGTCATGTTTTAAACTTTTTGAAAACTATATTTGACATTTTTCTTTAACAAAAGTATGTTACTGTGACACATTAAAACAAAACAAAATGAAACAAATATCGTCATTCACTGTAAAAGTTTGAAAAGCACTGTCCTAATTCTATGAGTTCCCATTGCTTAAGCCCATGGAACTTCTCTAGTTTCTGTCCTTTCTGAGACCTTGTCATTCAGGTCTTTGGATGAACCTGTGACTATGCAACTTCCTTCTATTTTAATTAAGTATCTTTCTTTAAAGTCTTGAGTTAGTCAGGATTTATCAGAATCCTAACTAAGTCATCATATTGTAATTATAGCCAACAAAACGCTTTTCAACAGATAATCCAACCTCTCCTTTGGTACAGAAGTAGGCTATACCTATCACTAAAATGTCCTGATCAAAACTGCACATCATGAAAACAAGAAGTCTGAGTTGAGCATCCAAAAGCAAAGCAGGCAACTTTTGTCATACGCAAAAACTTTGTGACACTTTCAGCTTTGGCCTCACTCATTCTAGAACTACCTTGGTCATGCCCCAAAAATGAACAAAACCTTGGAAGCATAATCAAAGCTGTCATGTGCAGACTCCAGGCCTTTATTTGGGAGGTGTATCTTCTCTCTCCCTCTTGAGTATGGCCAAAAGCCTGGTCCTAGCCCATGGCCTCCATGTCCCTTTTGGACAATGCGATTTGATTACCTGGCCACACATCCCCATGAGTATCCATCTGGCAATCCCAACTGCCCTCTAAGTTCAGTCCTCCCTATTCTTATTCTCCTTCCCCTCTTCAGTACCTAGAATTTCATGCTGAGTCTCTTTCTTAGTATAATTTATCCCCACTTACTCTCATTCTGTTTTCAATTCAACAGACTTCCTTCCATGGAAAAATGCAGTGCTAACCATATTCCTGGGAGGTTTTGACTCATATTTTGAACTGTTTTTCAAGCACTGCTTATTTCTTTTATGTTATTCAGAATCAATGTTTCCTCATTTGGAATCCCCCCTTCCTCTATGGAATTTAATGTATACATATGAAAATTTAAAACCAGTTTTAGCTAAAAATAGATCCTCTGGGAGGTCTTCAGAATCAGCTGACAGGCACAGTTAAGAGAAGCCTGGATCGCTGACAATCGTTTTGGCTTCAAATGGAAAAGAAAAAAGCTGGTGCAGCACTTGGCCACTTCTCGGGGGTGGCCTGCCAAGACATCATTTACCAAGGTGTTCACAAGTAGTAGAGGGGTTGAGGGGTGGGCTGAGCCACCACACTCTGCTGCTCCCAGAAGTGGCCGGGATGTGAAGACGCCAACTCAACATCTTAGCACGACTAAGGTTTGCAACTTTTCACGGGAATGTTCTAAGGACTGCAATCTGCAATTCTGAAATCCAAGAGACTCAGCATACCAAACATGTTTTTATAACTCATTTGGCAGCAAAACCCAACCTGAACTGACATGATGTTATTTGTGGTCCTTATTTATCCTACTGAGGGTAAACATTCATATGTTTTACTATTGAAATGCCAACCTGTTTTAATACAGGGAGCTGCCCGAGACCCCGCTCGTAGAATCGTGTAATACAATGTGTGCATCTTATTATCTTTCTAAATTCCAGAACACATCTGGACCTAAAATTGGGAGTACTAATTTCTCAAATATTTTTCATAGAGTATGTTTTTAACATTTAGCTCAAAGAGACCAAGCATGAGTGAGAAGTGGTCAGGGGTGGGGGAGAACAAGTATCCCTAGAACATGAAAATACTTAAAAGAGAGTCTCAGAAGAAGTAGGAAGAAAATATGCTCTCTTTCAGAGGAGCCAAGCTATATTGAAAATTTCGTGGGTCATCTTTGGTGGGCATCCAGCACTACCCATTCAAACAGCATCATCCCACAGAGATTTCCCACCCCAGCCTTATTCTTTTAAAGGATAAAACCAACCAACTTTTTAAAATAAAAATATTGCATGTAGCAGGCACTGCTGTCACTCCTTTGTATGTGCTATCTTGTTTAATCCTTGAAATACTATCTCCATTTCACAGATGAGAAAAATTAGGAGCTGGAAGTTTGGGTAGCTTAAAAACACCACCCATTGTGAGTGACAGAGACAGGCAATATAACCTAGGAGCCCACACCACTGTCCTGTGAAACTATCAAGGACACCCCAGTCTGTTCTCAGAGGCAATGACAGGAGCACTTTACTGTGAAAGAAGACTCCAACACCAGCTACAGCATTCCATATGGAAAGATAATGGGGTTTGGAGTCAGAGGATTGTAACACCACTGACACTTTTTAGTGAGATCTTGGGCTCTTTAGTCAATCTTTATACCCCTATCTATAACATAGAGTTTATAATCCTATTTGCAAGACATTTGAGATGATTAAATGTATCAAATGACAGCCCTCCTCCTGGATCACAGTATCTCAAACTGAAGAACCCACTCTCATTTTAGGGCTTTGACATGAGTTACTCCCTCAGCCTAAGTGTTTATACCATTGATTTTTACCTCACTGGATTCTTCTCATAGTTTAGGACTTGGCTTCTTAGAAAAATCTTCTTTGACCACCCATTCTTCAGCAGCCATGCAGAAATCTCTATCATATGACCTTGCCTTATTTCCTTCATGATACTTAACCATCGTCTTGTCATGTGCCGTTTTCCTGTGTTCTCAAGGGTTTATTATATCATGTTTGCCTTTTTCTCTCTCTGATATCATCAAAGCTCCACAGCAGGAGGCACATTTTTTATCTGATTCAAAGCTTTATCCCTTATACTTAGCACAGGGTCTGGCAAAAACTAGGTGATCATTCAGTGTTTCTTCTATAGTTGGCTAAATGAGTGGTAGGGACTCAATATACATCTTTTCCTTTTCCATTCCCTATTTCTATCTCCAGAAGGAGAATGAATTTTGTCAAATGCAGAAGTCCTTGGGGATATTTTGACTGGCAAGCATTTGTACCTCTTGCCCTTTTGCTCTCAAGCCAAAAAAATTTCCATCAACATTAAGGTGAAAAGAACAAATAGAGGGCACCTCTATTACTAGAATGTGTGTAGATTTGATCTGTAACAGAATAATAAGAACTTCTGCTTTCTCAGCCTATTTAAAGCTATGCTTAATCTTTCCCAATTTATATTTTGATGCCTTACTTATTAAAGCAGCCCAGTTTATGTAGTTCTAATACCTTAAATTAGGAGATGCTCCTGTAACATCCGTATGTTCCTGTATTCTTAATTCCTTAAAGAAAAACAGAAATGAAACAGATTTATACCAGCTCCAGAACCAAGTGAGTGAAGACACTCAACAGGTTGAAGAGTGAGGCCATATGGCAGCACTTAGAATTTGATAGTCTTAATTAAGCAATCTGCTCACCAGCATCACCAGCAAGAAACCTGGTGTGATGGCTGTCCTTATCCCCTGCCACCTAAAAAACATTTCCATTTGTGTGTATGCTGGGTTCTAAAAATTCTCAGGCTTGGGGCACAGTCTGCGGTCATAAGACGTTAGTACTTAATGGGACCTTAGCAACAGAGCACAATACCCTTAGAACGGACTGTCTGACTTTTGCCAGCCCAGCATCATTTCCTTCCTTGAGGGAATTTCATCTCCATTTCCCCAGGCCTGGCTAAGAGAAGTACAGAATTTTCTTGGATATAATAACTGGCTTAGGGATAAGCACGTAAACCAAGTTGGTCCAAGGACGGTCAGCCTTGAGATATTTGCTGGAACACTGGGAAAACAGATGCTCTGGCTCTTTTAGCTAGAAGAATAAAAGACTGGAATTGCTGGTGGCCATCTTGGAGGGAAACCCTCTGAGAGTGAAGATTGAGATCAATATTATAGAAAGCAAAGCTGGGGGATGAAGGGTGATATTGAGGATATCATTAATGCATCTAGATCCAAGTGTTTCCAAAGCCAACTCACACTGTGAAATTTTCAATCATGTGAGCTGATAATTTTATATGTTTTTGCTGAGGCTAGTTGGAGTTGTGTTACTGTTGATTACAGTCAAAACAGCCCAACTCACAAGCTCTCATTATACAAATGAGAAAAACAAAGGTCCAGGGAGGAAAACTGTCATGCAAGTCAAAGTTAGAGCTGGGATTAGACTCCAGTGATTCTGCTTCTCTTTCGGAAAACCTCTTTTAGATGCCTGTTAGTGTCAACCCTTGGATCTCCCTGGGGCTCTCCTTTCACTTATTTCATGTTCAAGTGCTCCCCAATAACACTCCTATCTCCCTTGTTGATCTCTCCTCTGATATACATACAAACTGTCCCCATCTCAGGACTTCTGAAATGGCTCCATGGCAGCCTGAGCCATGCCCACTCATCCTTTTCACCTTCCTCCTATTCTGAACTTCCAGAAAGCCAGCCACCCTGTCTGACCACATGGTTCCCTTTTCATACATTACCTGTATCAACAATTCAAAACACTGAAAACAGATTTCAAAGTCTTTGATCAACACCAGCCAGCCCATGTCCTCTCACCCCTTAGCACTGTATTCTGCTTCCTTGATAGTGAATAGCAGGTATTGTCAATAGTGTTACTGATATGACAGAAACAAGACAGCATCAAAAACTTCAAGATGGTTTTGTCTTCTATGGAACATCATTTGACTCCATGAACAGTCTTAGGAGTAATAGTGACTTCCTGAAGGTGAATTTAGATGCCCATGTGGGACAGGCAGAGTTAACTAGGAAGCCTACTGGATATCAGAAAGATAAATATTGGAGGGCCATAGCAAGCTTTCAGCTACAATCATCCCTATGCTGTTTCTGACAGCTAATATTTCAGGGACCATTATAGGTCAGCTACTATTCAAAACCCTTTACATAGATTAATATTTTAAAAAGTAATTTAAATTTTTATGGGTACATAATAGTTGTATATTTTTAGAGGGGACCTATGATGTTTTGATACAGATATACTATGTGTAATAATCAAATCAGAGTAATTGAGTATTCATCACTTCAGACCTTTATCATTTCTTTGTGTTAGGGACATTCCAATTTCATCTTATTGGGTATGTAAAATATATAATAAATTATTAATTTTTGTTACCCTATTACGCTACAAAATACTAGATTTTATTCATTCTAGCTGTATTTGTGTACCCATTAACCAACCCCACTTTATTCTCCCTCCCCAGGACCCTTCCAGCCCTTTCTTTTAGATATATATCCAGCAGTGGGACTGTTGGGCCATATAGTAGTTCTATTTTTAGTTTTTTGGGGACCATCCATAGTGTTCTGCATAGTGGCTGTAATAATTTACATTCCCACCAACAGTGTATGAGGGTTTCCTTTTCTCCACCCCCTCACCAGCACTCATGATTGCCCGTCTTTTGGATAAAAGCCATTTTAACTGCAGGGAGAGAATATGTTTATATATACATTTTTTTGCATTTCTCTGATGATTAGTGAGGTTGGACATTTTTTCATATACCTGTTACCCATTTGTCTTCCTTTGAGAAACGTCAATTCATATCTTTCGCCCATTTTTAATGAGATTTTTTTTTCTATTGAGTTGTTTGACTTCCTTATATATTCTGGCTATTAATCCCTCATTAAACGGGTGGTTCTCAAATATTTTCTCCCATTCTGTGGGTTGTCTCTTGATTTTGATTGTTTCCTTTGCTATGCAGGAAGTTTTTAACTTGGTACGATCCCATTTGTCCATTTTTGTTTCAGTTTCCCATGCTTCTCAGGTCTTAAGAAATCTTTGCCAAGACCAATGTCCTGGAGTATTTCCCCCAATGTTTTCATGTAGTCGTTTCAGAGTTTCAGTTCTTAGATTTAAGTCTTTAATTCATTTTGATTTGCTTTTTGTATATGGCAAGAGATAGGGCTCTATTATCATTCTTCTGCATATGGATATCCAGTTTTCCCAGCAGCATTTATTGAAAAGACTGTCCTTTCCCCAAGGTATGTTCTTGGCACCTTTGTCAAAAATGAGTTCACTGTAAATGCATAGATTTCTGGGTTAGCTATTCTGTCCCATTGGTCTATGCATCTGTTTTTATGCCAGTATCACACTGTTTTAGTTACTATAGCTTTGTAGTACAACTGTAAGTCAGATAACGTGATAACTCTAATTTTGTTCTTTTTGCTCAAGATGGCTTCTGCTGTTCTGGGTCTTTTGGGGTTCTGTATAAATTTTAGAATTTTTTTTCTTTTTCTGTAAATAATTTCATTGGTATTTTAATAAGGATAAAGTTACATATCAAACTCCTTGTTCTACCCCTTCCGCACTTCTCACTACTACACTTGACTTGTGTTTAAAAAGAAAAAAAAAAAAAATTCCCGCTGAGCGCAGTGGTTCACACCTAACCCAGTCCTTTGGGAGGTCGAATCAGGACGATCGTTTGAGGCCAGGAGTTCAAGACCAGCCTGGCCAACATGGCAAAACTTTGCTCTATTAAAATTACAAAAATTAGCCAGGCGTGGTGGTGCACTTCTGTAGTCCCAGCTACTCGGAAGGCTGAGGCATGAGAATAGCTTGAACCCAGGAGGCAGAGGTTGCAGTGAGTTGAGATTGCGCCACTGCACTCCAGCCTGGGTAACAGGGAGAGACTCCATCTCAAATAATAATGATAATAATTACACAATGTAGCAGTTATCACACATAGATTAATATTTAGCCCTCAAAACAGACTGTTGAGATTGCTGCCATTATAATATTAATTTTCCAGATGAGAAAATAAAACCACAGTGAGTTTTTTTGTTTTGTTTTTCCCAACTTGCCAAAGTTACTTAGTTGGTAAAGGATCGGCCTTAGATTTGAACCCAGGCAGCTGAACTGTGGCATCTCTGTCTGCTCTGAAGACGCAACACTACCCAGAAATTGGGAATTTCTAAAGGTGAAATTCTAAATGTTAATGACAAATTCCTTTTATCAAACACCTCAAATTCTCACACTAAGCAGCCAAACAGGACGTATCTGTGAGGCAAATTTAGCCCAAAGGCTGACAGTGTGATACCTCTGGTCTATTTATCTCTTCCATTCTACTGATAAGAAAACTTAGGCCAAGGGAACTCCACCTGTGTTCATGTTCCTCGTCTGAGAAGTCCTTCTCACTCTGTTACTTCTTGTGTTTCCCATTCTTTAAAGAACAAGTTAGGACCCAAGTCCAATGGAAGGATCTCTAAACATTTTGTTACATCTGTCTTTGATGTGTACATATGTTCATTTCTTATCTTACGTCATTTTATTATAGTATTTCACATTTGTTAGGTAGGATAATGCATTTATGAGGTTTCTAATCATTATTAATTGACTTACTACTAGATTGTTACAAATGGATTGGTAGGAGGGAAGGGAAAACCTGTGAAAGCATAACATTTCTACTGAGCTCTGTTTAAATATAGGAAAAACTCTTATTAATGTAAATAGGAGTCCACATTCTGACCCGATGTATCGTCAACTTCATAATGATAGAGTGAATTAGGCAATACCAGAATAATTTTCCTTGGCACATCGCAACAGATTAAAACAAATATACTACTTGAAACCCCAACCTTGTCCAGCTCTGTCCAGACTGCAGTTCAGGGGACGTTACATAACCTCACTAATCAATTAATCAGTCTCCCAACCTGAAAGTAAATACAAGCTTGTATAAAATATGTAAAGGATGTGTGAAGAATGACCAGAAAATGGGAAAAGAATTATCATTGTTATTTTTAAAAATCACAAGAAATGAAAGCAAAAGTAAAAGAATCTAGGAAGTTCTCAAGATAGAGAATGTAGACAGATAAAAGCCTAAGTCAGCTTGAACTCAGGAAACAGGCAATTCTCCACCTGTGAGGCTGCAAAGTTCATCCATTTATTACTATCCACATGAAATCTTTTCAGCAGGGTCAAAAGAGCCTTTGTTGTGACATTAAATTCACTGACAGTGTATTTCCTCCCTTAGGATGCAAAACACCTCTCACATGCTTTTTCATTAATTGCCTTCATTTTTCAAGTTCCTTGCTTGATTTATAGTCAATTAAAAGCACCCTCAAAAGCCATGACTCATGTATGTTAAGTACAAATATGATTAATGTGATTCCACACACTCCATGGAGGACCTGGCTGCTAACCAAGGTCAGTGTCATGGTGGCATGACCAAGTAACGTCTTGGTGAAAGAAACTAACAGAGAGGGTGGAAAGCTGAGAGTTAAGGGTCATGGACAATCTGGCCCTGGGTCCATCCAGAATAGAAAAAGCTAATTCTTCTATAATACAGAGACAGGATGAGCTTGGCTATGAAAAGCAACAAATACGCAGCAGCAGCAGTTCTCTCTATCTCACCCTGGTTGATAAAAGTGATGGGAAAACACACCGGCAAATTTCCTTGATGTATCACCACCAACATCAAAAAAACTAAGAGACACTAGGCCACAGAACTATGGATGAAAACCAGGGCCCTAAAATCCTGGGTTCAAATTTTGACACCACCAATTATAAGCAGTATGATCTCAGGTTCATTGTTTCACCTAGCTCAGCCTTAAATGTCCTCACCTGTAAAATGGGCAGATGAGAGTACCTTTCCCCTAAGAGCTGTTGTGAGGTTCGAGGTGGCCCTCAACACACTAGGGAGCACACAGTAACTGTCAGTTATCAAGGCCAGGGAGGCCATACTTGTCCACACTCACAGAAGCTTGCATGCCAACATATGTTCCTAATATGGTTAGGCTTTGTGGCCCCACCCAAATCTCATCTTGAACTGTCATACCCATAATCCCCACATGTCAAGGGAGAGATCGGGGGAGGTCATTGAATCATGGAGGTGGTTTCCTCTATGCTGCTCTCGTGATAGTGAGTTCTCACGAGAACTGATGGTTTTATAAAGGGCTCTTCCCCCTTATCTCGGCACTTCTCCTTCCTGCCTCCTTGTGAAGAAGGTGCCTTGCTTTCTCTCTGCCTTCCACCATGATTGTAAGTTTTCTAAGGCCTCCCCAGGCATGCTGAACTGTGAGTCAATTGAACCTCTTATCTTTATAAACTACCCAGTCTCAGGCAGTTCTTTACAGCAGTATGAAAACAGACTAATACGAGACCAGTCTGGCCAGCATGGTTAAACCCTCTTTGTACTAAAACTACAAAAAATTAGCCAGGCATGGTGGCTCATGCCTGTAGTCCCAGCTACTCAGGAAGCTGAGGCAGGAGAATCGCTTGAACCCGGGAGGCAGAGGTTGCAGTGAGCTGAGATCGTGCCACTGCACTCCAGCCTGGGCGACAAAGTGAGACTCCATCTCAAAAAAAAAAAAAAAAAAAAAAAAAAAAAGAAGAAGAAAAAGAAAAGAAAACAGACTAATACAGTAAATTGGTACCAGTAGAGTGGGGTGCTGCTATAAGGATACCCAAAAATGAGGAAGCAAATTTGGAAATGTGTAACAGGCAGGGGCTGGAACAGTTTAGAGGGCTCAGAGGAAGACAGGAAGATGTGGGAAAGTTTGGAACTTCCCAGAGACTTGTAAAATGGCTTTGACCAAAATGCTGATAGTAATATGTACGATGAAGTCCAGGCTGATGTGGTCTCAGAGGGTGATGAGGAACTTGCTGGGAACTGGAATAAAGGTAATTCCTGCTGTACTTTAGCAAAGAGACTGGCGGCATTTTGCCCCTGCCCTAGTGATCTGCAGAATTTTGAACTTGAGAGAGGTGATTTAGGGTATCTGGCAGAAGAAATTTCTAAGCAGCAAAGTGTTCAAGCATGACATGGGTGCTCTTAAAAGCATTCAGCTTTACGTATTCACAAAGAGAAGATTTGAAACTGGAATTTTTATTTAAAAGGGAAGCACAGCATAAAAGTTTGGAAAATTTGCAGCCTGAAGATGAAATAGAAAAGAAAAAAACATTTTCTGGGGAGAAATTCAAGCCAGCTACAGAAATTTGCAGAAATAAAAAGGAGCCAAATGTTAATCGCCAAGTCAATGGTGTAACAGGGCTGGTGGGTAAGAGGGAGATGTCTCCAGGGCATCTCAGAGGTCTTCAAGGCAGCCCTTCCCATCACAGGCCCTGAGGCCTAGGAGGAAAAAATGGTCTCATGGGCCAGACCCAGGGCCTTGCTGCTTTGTGCCGTCTCAGGACTTGGAGCCCTGCATTTTGGCCATGGCTAAAAGGGGCCAAAATACAGTTCAGGCTATTGTTTCAGAGGGTGCAAGCCCCAAGCCTAGGCATATTACACGTGGTGTTGGGCCTGCAGGTGCACGGAAGTCAAGAATTGAGGTGTGGGAACTTCTGCCTAGATTTCAGAGGCTTAATGGAAACACCTGGATGTCCACGCAAAAGTTTGTTGCAGAGGCAGAGCCCTCATGGAGAATTTCTGCTAAGGCAGTGCAGAAGGGAAATGTGGGGTTGAAATCCCCACACAGAGTCCCCACTGGGGCACAGCCTAGTGAAGCTGTGAGAGACAGCCACCACCCTCCAGACCCCAGAATGGTAGATCCATTGACAGCTTGCACTGTCCTCCCGGAAAAGCTACAGACACTCAACGCCAGCCTGTGAAAGCAGCTGGGAGTGGGGCTGTACCCCACAAAGCCATGGGGGTGGAACTGCCCAAGACTGTGAGAACCCACCTCTTGCATCAGGGTGACCTGTATGTGAGACACAGAGTCAAAGAAGATCATTTCAGAGCTTTAAGATTTATCTGCCCTGCTGGATTTTGGACTTGCGTGGGGCCTGTAGACCCTTCGTTTTGGCCAATTTTTCCCATTTGGAGTGAGTGTATTTACCCAATGCCCGTACCTCCATTGTATCCAGGAAGCAGCTAACTTGATTTTACAGGCCTCTAGGTGGAAGGGACTTGCCTTGTCTCAGTTGAGACTTTGGACTTGGACCTTTGGGTTAATGCCAGAATGAATTAAGACTTTCGGGAACTGTTGAGAATGTGTGATTAGTTTTCAAATGTGAAAGGGACATGAGATTTGGGAGGAACCAGGGGCGGAATAACATGGTCTGGCTCTGTGTCACAACTCAGATCTCATCTTGAATTGTAATCCCCATGATTCCCATAATCCTCACGTTTCAAGGGGGTGACCAGCTGGAGGTAACTGAATTACGGGGGCAGTTTTCTCTATGCTGTTCTCATTATAGTGAGTGAGTTCTCGTGAGAAATGATGGTTTTATAAGGGGCTCCTCCCCTTATCTCAGCACTTCTCCTTCCTGCCACCTTCTGAAGAAGGTGCCTTGCTTCCTCTTCACCTTCTGCCATGATTGTAAGCTTCCCGAGGCCACCCCTCAGCCATGCTGAATTGTGAGTCAATTAAACCTCTTTTCTGTATAAATTACCCCATCTCAGGTAGTTCTTTATAGAAGTATGAAAATAGGCTAATACACCTCCTAACATGCATATGATTGTCACATTATCTAGAAACACTCACTCTCTTTTGTCAACATGGACAGGAGTCCCTTCATGAAAATGTCTCCTAAGAAATACCCCTGCCTCTTCAGAAACAACGACATATTAAAACTTCAGAAAAGTATCAGAAAAGTGAAGAGCAAAAAGGGTGACATCAACCTAATCCCTTAGATCAATGGTTTCCACAAAAGCGAAGTAAATAAGAATATTTGGTGCATTTTTCACAAAGCAAAATTTACTCAAAGAACTGACTTTTCTTCTGTAACTAGTCTTTACTTCTTTTATGTTTATTTTTGATGCCAAGTGACCTTTTAAAAGGAAAGCCTGGCAAAAGTAAATGGCGGTAGTGTTTTCCCCTCCCTTCATTTACTTACTTTTAAAAAATTCATACCAAGTCTTACCAATTTTTTAAAATACACTCTCATCAATCTAGGATTTAAAAAAATTACTGGTCCATGAAGTTCAAATGCCCTACAATCACTGCTTTAGTCGCTTCTTCACCTGTTTGTATTTTTAATGGCCAACATGATTTTTCTTCTTAAAGCCAATTTCAGATGGCCATTATAAGAAAAGTGGATCTAGCTGAGGTCTATGAATGAAAGTAATGATAATAATAGTAACAGCAGAAATTATAAGGACAATAATAATAATAATAGCAGCTTCCATTTATTTGTGACTATGTTCTAAGCATGTTTCCCATCAGTTGAGGCATTAGCTCTAGAAGCAGGGACTACCATTAATCTTCTTTTGGAGATGAGATAATTCAAACTTGGAGGATGTGAATAACTCACTCATGGCCACAGAGCTAATAGATGACTGTGTGCACATTTGAATTCTAGTCGATATGAGTTTAAAACTGTGTGATCTTAACCACAGTATTGTAACCAATTGGAGGAAGCAACTGGAGTCCATGAGTAGGTGCTGTCCCTCCCCTAGTGTTTCTAAGATGGCACAGGGAGAGGAGCTTATAGTGTTTCTAAGAAGCTAATTCTGTTCAGTGGGAATATTTCTCTACTAAGGAAAGCAGGACATAGTCGCAGGTGCACGACCTTGCTCTCCTGCTTAAACTGACTAACTTCATCCTATGTAGGCCTTGGTTACTCCAAGACAGCTGGCTCCTTTGTGGTCCATTTCTGTCTCTATTTATGTCTCTTTCTGATATAGGCGACATCATTTTGTTAGGATCTTTGTAGAGACTGTGATCCTGCATCGATACCCATGTGTTCTTCTACGTTTGCCAGACTCCTTTGCAGTTAGGTTGGCGACATGATTAGATCTTAGAATATGAGCAGAAATGATACATGCCACTTTGGGGCTGAGGTATTTAAGCACCTGCAGTGACCTCCTCATAGTCTTTCTTATTCCCCTGTCTGCCAGCTCAGTGATAAAAGCTGGAAGCTACAAGATGGTAGGACCAAGTTGGAAGTAGCCTCGGCCATCAGGTTCTTGCATGGAGGGCAACCACTGGGAGGAGAGTTACCCAGGAGAGCAGCCCGACTGCATCTGCATGATCTGAGTGAGAAATAAACTTTCACTGTGTTAAGTCACTAGAGTTGTTTGACACCATGGCCTAGCCTAGCCTGCTCTTGTTAATGCAGGTTCTTTCCTAAACATGTGATGCAAGTTGTATTGTAGGTAAATTCAGATGCTGTGATTTCTGTCTCTACCTATGTGTCTATGTTTGCATGTGGGTGGCCTAAGAGGAATGACCCATAAAGAATGAACAAGGGTAAGAAAAAAAAGTACAGTTCTAATGGTGGCTATGTGGCCAATGAGGATCTTCTTTCTGGACACCAAAGACTGCACTCATCCCCTGCTAATAGAGGCTGGAGGTCAAGGGTATGGTTTCTCCTAATGAGCTCAATGACCACACATTTTTCCATTTGCTGGAAAAAATCTGTCTGAGCTGATGGTATCAAAGCAGACTATCCTGTTTTATAATTTTGCAGAACATAGGATAGTCAGATTTTATCACTTGGGATCTTCCCATCCCAGCTGGGTGGCTGGTCAGTTGCCCAAGACAGCTATTCTTCTAAGACTGGGGATCTTCTGTTCTGGGTGTCATGATGTAACCAGGGTTGCTGTCCAATTCTGGTGGTACTAAGATGTCAGCTCCCAGATCACACAATTGTCGTGTTTGGGGAAAAGCAAGATCTACCATGCTGGGCAATTTGAGGGAGATATGGGTGCCAGGCCTCCAGAAAACACCTCCCACAAACTTTTCACAGATTCCTTTCAGAATTCAAAGACCTTAAATGGATGCCTCCTTTCTGAGTGGTTGCCTTCTAAGCTGACTTCTCCTTTCTTCTTGTATTTTTCATTGACAAATGGGAAGAATCACATTTTCCCAGATAAACTTTCAAGACTGAGATGAAGCCAAGGAAGTTTTACCCAAGTTTCCCTGAGTTGGGAGCTTTGCATCACTCTCTGAAAGATGCAGTGAAGAGCCCACTGGTTACGTTAGAAGAAATAGCTGAATGCTATGTTTTGGTCCCAGCATATTGTTGAAAAATGGCGTTTTTAAGACAAAAGCAAGTCCAGTTAGTGGAAAGGAGAGTAGAATAAAGAGTGATTCAGATGTGAAGCAAATAAAAGGCTTCAGAACAACTGAGAGAAAGATGTATCAGAGATAACAGTGAATAAAATATTAGGGAAATAAAAGGAGTGGAGGTGACCATTAGTAACAGTTAAAGTAGAAAAAGATAAGTCATTGAAAATTGAGGAGGAAGATGAAAAAGGATAAAAGGAAATATTACTGTCTGAACAAAGATAGCAGGAAGCCATCCACAGAATAAACATTCCCCATAACCTGCTAAAAGCTGAACACACAATTGGATGAACACAAGTCTAGGGTAGGGGTAGATATACTATGTCTGTCAGGCAAAGAGACAGCACTTTCAGACAACTTTAAAGAAAAGTGAAGAGTGTAGACATCAATTGATTGATTATGCTGTGTTTACACCCCCTGCAACACAAAAGTTCACAATGATTGGTAACCAAAGCTCTTAAATATTGCAAAGATAAAGGAAAAATATGAAGTGCAAATGTCATGAGTAGGGCACAAGATGATGCTACTAATCTAGTTTTCTCACTGTGTACAACACTGACCTATATTTATATGAGACTAAAACATCCCTAACCATTTCCTGGATCTTTGGTATACAATGATTCAGGAAATGGAATCTATGCATTTAACATTTTCTGGTTCTGTTTGGTTCTTTTCGTTTTTCATTCAGATTTAGCCTTGTGCCAGTAGAGTCTTCAATTTGATAGCACACTTCACTCATTGGTTTCTTGATTAATCACGTTTTTCAGAGACAGAAGGTTTTTGTTTTGCATTATAAGAAATACGCAAAATAAACTGAGAATGAGAGAGAGGGGAGAGTGAGACTGGCTTAAAATATTGGTTGGTTAGGTATAAAAGTTTATTCAATTGAACCGCTACTTGCAAGTGGAATAAAGCAAAGCACTGCTACTACTTCTAGAAATCCAGAGTTTCCTAAACTATTTTCAATAGGCATTCTCAAGTCTATGACAATTTTCTTCCTCATTTAGGCACCATTAACCTTATCTGCAGGCTCTATACTCATAATATGTTCATTGCTTTGAGATGAACTTGAAAGTACCTAACCAGATCTGCTTTGGATTTTTTTTTTTTACCTTAGTAATATACATGGACATACGGTTTCACCAAGAGGGGCTAATCAAATTTTGCTGACCCAACAACTCATATACAAGCATAAAAATTTAAGTGTCCTCAATTCTCATATCACTGACTTTTTCTGAATGTGTTATCATTGATAATGAACCTAGTCCCATTTAGCATTTACTAGCTTACCCAGAAGCAACAACCATAACCCACTTAATTACTTAGGGGATTAAAGCACACACGCACACCGCCGCCCCCCCCCCCACACACACACACACAACTGTGATACTGCAATGTACAGTATGGCTTACTTTAAATTAAAAAGATCCCCCCAAAGTATGATTGTTTCCAGCTTCTCAGCAGCGAATTAAAAACTGTTTGCTATCGTGAAGATTACAGAAGCAATCACATTTATAGGTCTACTTTGCATACCAACTCTATTAATTTCCATACTCAGGGTCGCTTCGCATTTCCAAGCATGTTAACATAGATGCCATTTGGGATAATCACTTGGAAAAAAAATAAAAGGAAGACAGAGGAAGAGAGGAGAGGAGAGCCAGAAAAATGGTTCTCACAAATCAAGTTCTGTTTGAAATATATTGATTCTGATAAATACAAAAATGAAAAGACAAAGGAGGGTTCCTAATGGCCTGACCCAGGAGTCACACTCAGAGATCAAATGAGCAGGAAATCACATATTGGAATTCACTTATTGTGCCAGCCCTGCACCTTGTCATTACAGACTAATTATTGAAATGATTTCATTGGCGTCATTTCATCGGGAGGTGCACGGGCTTCACCTTGGACAGCTCCCTTGATGCTCAACAGTGCATCTTCATTATTGTGTTCCTTTCGACTCTTAGAGTGTGTCCCAGCCTCACAGAATAATCCAGTCAAGTGTGCTTTTTTTTTTTTTTCTTGTCTTTCCTTTAAACTTGTCAGCCACATAGCATAGGACTAAAGGAACTTAGCTAGCGTGGAACGTAAACCTGAGACCATAAGAGCCAATGTGGAATCACCTTCCTTGAAAAGACCTTGGAGCGTATGATCAGCTTATTTTAATTTTCTTCTTCTTCTTTTTTTTTTTTCTTTTTTGAGACACAGTCTCGCTCTGTCACCCAGGTTGGAGTGCAATGGTATGATCTCGGCTCACTGCAGCCTCCACCTCCTGGGTTAAAGCGATTCTTCTGCCGCAGCCTCCCGCGTAGCTGGGACTATAGGCATATGCCACCATGCCCAGCTAAGTTTTGTAACTTTAGTAGAGATGGGGTTTCACCAGGTTGCCCAGACTGGTCTTGAACTTCTGGCCTCAAGCCATCCATCCTCCTCGGCCTCCCAAAGTGGTGAGATTACAGGCATGAGCCATCACACCCGACTGCATCTGATCAGTTTAGATCAGTTGTTTCCATATTCTTCATTTCCAGTTGTTAAGCAAGGTACTCAAGAGCCTACAATGAAATAGCTATTTGTCTACCACCAATTTTAAATTCTATTGCACTAAAACTGTACTTGTTATGCATTTAGCAATGTACCCTAACACTTCTTAAAGATAAAGCAATATAATATTGACATTAAAAACAAAAAGAGATCATCACCACAGATATGAAAGATGCATATTTTAAATAAATCAATTGGAATTCAGGATGAGTTGAGCTTAATCCATAGAATAATCAGTAGAGGTTTTGAATCTTTCTAAAACCCATCTTATTAGCCTTAAGAATAAGAGTTTTTGATGTCTGTGTCTAAAAATTCCCAGAAGCCAATGTCATACTCTCACCATTATTTTGATCTAATGCTATGTATGAGAAACTACAGGTAGAACAGCAATCTGCGAGAAGGCAATGATTTTGATTTTGGGGATCTGCCCAGGGGAAATGAATTTCATTTCCTTTGCACAGTGTACAACTCTCATTGGAGGCTGACAGCCCCCTTTTCTGACAGCAGTATGGAGATACCCACTGATGATAAAATACTAAAAAGAGATGCATATCACTCTATTAACCTCTAAGTTGGCCAGGCCCTCATTCAAGAATTTCCACTTTGGGTCAAGCAGTGACATAAGAAAAATAATCAGAAAACACTTAGTTTAGGAAATACCACATCCTGAGACACAGTCATAAACATTAGTAAATTCAAATATGAGAAGAGTCTAAAAGCATCTTTGAGTGACATTGCTTACAGTTTAGAATTGACTGGTCCTCAATGAATTCAGCTGGCTGATTGATATGGAACACTTTCTGCTGAAATCCAGGAGTGCAGTCCAAATCTTCTGCAGATGTTAGCAGCAGCACCTGAGAAAACCAAAGCCATCAATATTTTAATAGCGGCTTATGTGTTTGCCCTGCTAACTTTCGCCAAATCCGCAACTTTTAGAAACAAGCTGAGGTTTTGATTTCATTTCCCAAATGAAGAGGTAAGTTGAAACTTCTCCAGTGGCTGCCAACAATTCTTTTTGGCACTGAGATTTGGAGAATACGCAAATGGAACAGCTGCTGCAGTTTCCATTAAATTGCAGTTAAAGAAATAACTTCGTCAGATTTTTACACCTGCTAAGATTCTCACCATGGTTTCCATGTGTGAAATTTTATTACAGAAACTGTCAATTTTCCATGATGCCTAAGCTAAAACCAACTTCATTTTTATACAAGCAAAGAAGCATTGTCATCTATGAAGAGGAGGAAAGAGAAAATGGAACTATTCTGTTGGAATTTACTTCTAAAAGGAATCCAGGACCTGTTAAGCCTTCACTGTGGCCCAATATGGTGACCATGAACCACCGGTGGCTACTGAGTACTTTAACAGTCATAGGTCTGAAACTGACATGTTGTAAGTATAAAATACACACTGGATTTCAATGTCTAAATAAGGAAAAGAATGTAAAATAGTCAATAATTTCATATTAATTACATGTTGAAATGACAATATTTTACATATGAAATTAAATATATGTTATTAAAATTAATTTCACCAGTTTCTTATTCCTTTTGCAAACTTGGCTACTATAAAACTTAAAATTTACAATTGCTTTCAAAGGCACAGTTCTGTCTTTGCAGATGCTTAAGACACTTCATCCAGCGGTCAAAAATTTAGGTTACGTGATTTGGAACATAATGTATGAGATGTATACGATTCTCTCCTGGGCAAGGTGTGACTTAGTGAAATAAGAAATGGTCTTAAGGTTTAGTACGCAAAGGCTATAAGGCCATAAAAACAGGTATTACCTCCCCCCAACAACCAACCACTGGTTCTACTGAGCACCTACCACACATACTGGGACAGAGAAGAGGCTCCGTAACACTTAACAAATGAAAGCTACCATTTTTGAGCCCTTAGTATTTGGCCATTAATGTGCTAAACTCACCATATGCATCATCTCCACAGCAGGCCTATGAAATGTGTAATGTTATAAGGTATATTTTATAGAAGACGAACTCGAAATTCTAGAAAGGTTAACAAGCTTGCCCAAGATCATACAGTTGGAATGGGTGAAGCCAGCATCTGAATCTAGGTTCAAGTGTCCTCAAAGGAACTCTGTCAGAGTCCTACCCATTCCCCTCAGACCTTCTGTGTCAACGTGCAGGACTTTGCATTTTTTCTTCTTTGTACGAGATATGTCTCTAAAACTTGTGGAAGGGTATTTTATCTGAGCATAGTGCCAGAAGAGAGTGTTTGGAAATTAACATCCTGGGAGTGGTCCTTAACCAATAACTGATGGGGAATGGTATGTAAATATCCCAATTCCCTCACCCCTCTGGTGAGATCACTTGGAGATACGCATTTTGTCTCCCAGTTTCCACCTGGGATTGAGTGCCAAAGTCCACCAGAGAATCTAGCTTGATAACTCACATTCATTACCTGCCTTCTCTTCCCTGACTTATTTCCTCATTCCCTATTGGTATTTTTTCTATTTTTTTTGACTTTTAAAGTTTCCTTTTTTTTTTTTTTTTTTTTTTTTTTTTGAGACCGAGTCTTGCCATGTTGCCCAGGCTGGAGTGCAACTGTGGCTCACTGCAGACCCAACCTCCTGGGCTCAAGCGATCCTCCCACCTCAGCCTCCCAAGTAGCTGAGACTACAGGCACTCGTCACCAAGCCCAGCTAATTTTTCTATTTTTTGTACTGAGGAGGTTTCACTATGTTGCACAGGCTGCTCTCAAACTCCTGAGCTTAAGTGATCCACCCACCTCGACTTCCCAAAGTGCCAAGACTACAGGCGTGAGCCACTGCACCCAGCTAGTATTTTTCTTTTCTTTTCTTTTCTTTTCTTTTTTTTTTTTTTTGAGATGGAGTCTCTCTCTGTTGCCCAGGCTGGAGTGCAGTGGCATGATCTCTGCTCACTGCAAGCTCCGCCCCCAGCTTGACGCCATTCTCCCGCCTCAGCCTCCCGAGTAAGTGGGACTACAGGCGCCCGCCACCATACCCGGCTAATTTTTTCTATTTTTAGTAGAGACGGGGTTTCACAGTGTTCGCCAGGATGGTCTCGATCTGCTGACCTCGTGATCCACCCACCTCGGCCTCCCAAAGTGCTGGGATTACAGGTGTGAGCCACCGTGCCCGGCCCCAGCTAGTATTTTTCTTAAACCAATTTCTGCCATCACTCAAATTACTTGCACTCAAATCCTCGACTCTGTGTGTTTCTTAGAAAACAAAACTTCAATATCAGACCTCAAAATCCTAACCACTGCACACAGACAGTTGAAGAAAATTCATTATCATCCCCACCAGAGAACTCAAAGCAGTGTCAAAAGGTTGGAAGCTGTGGAACCAGGGCTTCTCTCTAAATACCAGCCCTCTGAAATGCACTGAACCCCAAAGAAGGGAGCAAGAATCAATCTCAGGAGGTTCACCGTGTGGCTGGCCTGAACAACATCAGAGAAATTGAAATGGGGGAGTCATCACCCTGACCAACATCATCTCCCTCAAATCAAAGTGAAAAGAACGCTGTGGTCTGGCATCTGTACGGTTCCGCTTGTGAATCATGGATTCCCTTGTCTTGAGAGCAGGCTCTGGTTAGATCGCTCTGGAAGCAATCAAAATGCTGGCATCCCAAGTGGCACATACACAGGATGCAGATCCAGGAGTCAGAAAAATCTGCTGGCAATTTTGCAAACAGAAAATCTATAACTGGCCAACATTAATTCAGTTAAATAGCAAATGGTCAAGGGTCTCCTCCATACACCCAGTGCCTACAATTATGCGTTAACCTTCCAATTGGCTAATTCTGCTCTCAGCTCCCAGACCAGGAAACTGGATATCCTGTAGGAAGTAAAGAAGGTGAAATTTCTCCCAGAATCCTCAGCATAAAAAGTCAGGACTGAGAGAAACCACAGTTAGTGATGAGAAACAGCACTCTGCAGGTGAGCTGTGTTCTCCATCTTTGTCTATGTGTGGCTCAATCTCTGAGATTACTTTGCAGGGCCCATTCAGGATTCCTCTACAGTTACAAAATAAAAAAAATAAATAAACCTTTTCCAGCTGCTGACTCTTAGGGAAGAGGGGAGCAGTAGGAGAAGCCCCAAAGGCACAGTTTTATCTTTACAAATTCTTGGGACACTTCACCTACCAGTCAAAATTAAAGTTAAATGATTTGTAACATAAAGGTACACAGTACCCTCCTGGGCCATGGGTGACTTAGTGAGGTAAGAATTAGTCAAATCATTCATTCATTCACTCACTCCTCATTCACAAATACCTATTAGACTCCTGGGATTCAGTGAGGACTTTGCTACACATTGTCCAAAGCAATGAGAAAGGTGCCACACAGGATAAGGAGTCAATAATTGTTAAATATAATTATGGTCTCAAAAAGAAAAGAGGCATTAACAAATCATAATTTAAGTGATTCACCAAGATTAAAATTTAACTGGAAAGGAAAATATAGATCTCTCTGGGAGCATGTAAAAGTTGGGGTATAGGGAAGTCTAACTTCATCTAGAGCATCAAGGAAAGCAAAACCACAAAAGAGACATTTCTGCTGGGATCTCAAAGATGATTACGAATTATCTGCATAAAGGGAGAAGAATGCAGACTCATCTTTTAAACCAGCACACTCTTCGCTTACACGTGAATTATTTTGTGGCTCTTTGAGTTTCATGTAACACATCACTGAAATTACAAAACTGCATTTAAAAATGATTCCAGGCTAATTTAGGACTTCCCCAAAAGCTAAATATCTTACTAGTCAATAATAGTAGAATGTTCTAGTTACTGCTATTGTCTTCTGATTTCTTTTTACTGTTTTTTTTTTTTTTTTTGAGACAGAGCCTTGCTCTGTCACCCAGGTTGGAGTGCAGTGGCACGATCTTGGCTCACTGCAAGCCCCGCCTCCTGGTTTCATGCCATTCTCCTGCCTCAGCCTCCCAAGTAGCTGTGACTGCAGGTGCCAGCCACCACGCCTAGCTAATTTTCTGTATTTTTTTAGTAGATACAGAGTTTCAACATGTTGGCCAGGGTGGTCTCGATATCCTGACCTCGTGATCCGCCTGCCTCGGCCTCCCAAAGTTCTAGGATTACAGGCATAAGCCACCAAGCCCAGCCTTGCCCTTTAATTTCTTAAGAGAATTCAAAACAGTATCTATGCTTGAACTTGCCACCGATATCCGCTCTTCAATTTCATTCACAGTAACTTTGGTAAGGGGATGGAAAGCAGTAAAGCAGCACCCCTCATTGCTGTAAGAATTAGAACTTGGACATTACTCCAAAACCAGGCAAGCCCTTTCTCCAATATTATGAGATGTCACATGCATAAAAATACTACCTGGACATAGTTTTCCCCAAATCCTCTGTAAATTTTCTAGAATATATGCTCTGAGCATCATTCCAAATTTATCTTTAATGCCACGGCAATCATAGTCTTACTCTATGACATGTTTGTCCATTTATGCATCAGTGAGTACCTAAGAAATGAGAGGTAACCAAGACACCTTTGAAAGCACAGCAATAATCAAATTCTATGATTAACAAAAGATTTCTATTATCTAAAAATTACCATCAGCCTGCTACAAAGATTCACGTTTCAGACGGACTATAAGCACAGGTTTAAGCCACGTTGGTTCAGTGTGAATCTCGTTTACCAGCGGGCTATCCTTGGGCAAGTAACCTTCTGTGTCTCAGTTTTCTAAGCTGAAAAGCAGGAGTAATGGTATCTCACCCGTTATGAGGATTAAGTGAGTTAATTATTGTAAAGAGCCTTAAGTAGTTCCTGGTACATAGTACTTGCTCAATAAATGCTTGCTATTATTATTTCTATGTATTATATTTAAATCCATATTCATGATTCACTGATATTCTCCAGGGTAGACATTGACAAACTATTACCAACATATTATTACTTTTGTTGTTACTAAAAAACTGTTCAGTGAATAGACTGTTTAGACTACATACAGGGACATAGCAGGGAATCAGACAGCAGAAGATCATGGGGTGTTTGCATCTCAGGATCAGCTGCACCATCAGAACATCAGTGCCTGATATGATTGAGTTGTGTTACCTCTGTAGGACACCAAGCATCCTTTAAAGTAGCAGCTCAGAGATCTCTCTTCCATGCAAGAGCCACTACCCTAAATGTATGCACAGAAAGCAAATTCTTAAATCACACTCTTTATACCAGGTTTTCTTTTTAGCTTCCATTTATTTGCTGTAGTACAGAACTTTCGTTCTTTCTTAAAAAGAAAGGGTTTTTTTTTATCCTGACAGGTACTGATTCAAGAATATACCCAACTTTGGAGTTTGCTTCCAGAGAAAGGATTTTTTCTTTTTCTCTCCCATACTGTAGGTTGCCAACTGGCAGCATAAGGGATGGATGTGGCCAGCAGATGTGGTTAGTTTAGCCAGAGAAGTCTGTCATCAAGTTAAATTGTCATGTTATGTAGAGTGCCCCTCTCCAAGCTTTCCTTCTCAGCACCACTCCCTGGTTCTTGTTTCTGCTCACTCAATTCAGTTAAACACTTGCTTGGACATCTAGGCATTCGAGTTGGCAACTTTTGCTTTAGATTTTGCAAATACCTTTTCAAGCTATAAGAACTGTCATTGAGATTAGTCTCTGGCTACTTCTCACAATAGGACATGGTGCTGCTGCTCCATTACAATTTTAGACATGTGACTAAGCACTGGCCAACAGAATAAGGGTGGAAGGATTCTCACGTCTTCTAGACATGGCCCCTGAATGTCCTGCATGATATCTTCTCTTCTCCTATCCATGGAAATAGGAAGGAAGGACTCCCAAGGTGGCAGAGTCATCCAATAGAAAGAGCCCAGAATCAGTCATTGCACAGAAGACAGTTACTCGGGAGAACCGCCCCACAAGACACATCCACGGAACGCTGTGCAAAGTCACTGAGATTTGGTGTTGTTTGTTGCAGCAGCTGATTGTACACTAAACATCCATGGAACAAGGGCAGAAAAGTCTTTGATACCACTGACATCACAGATATATCCCAGAGGCCAGTGAAAAATATCAGGACTGAAGAAAAACATGACACAACTGTCTCCAAAGCAGCCACAAATAAAGAGAGAAACTTCCTGCCACAAATAATTAATCTCACGAGGTTGAGAACACTCTCAGGTTCCATCCCCTCTTAAACCAGCTCCAAGAAGGTATTTTCCAAACCAACACCCCAGTGTCTCTGGGATCCTTTATGCTTTCCTCTCTCCAACTCTTTTTGCTTTCTTGTCATTAGTGTTGGTTGATAGTTACTTTATCCCTGCCATAAAACATCTCTGGTTTACTCTTGTTAAAGTCAGTGTATTGAGATCAATTTGGAGGGTCTTAGATTTGTGAGGAAGAAAGGATACTGCCTCTGACTTGCAGGATGTAAAAATATCGCAGCAGTGTATTTTGATTAATTCTTTATCCTCCCAGGGAGCACAAACCCAGAGTCCTGGAAGGGTTTACAAAGGCATACTGCCTACAGGGAAAGCATGGAGGAATGGAGCATTCCAGGACATGTGCATGCACACACACACACACACACACACACGTACACACATGTGCATGTACTCATGTCCACGCCCCTGCTGAGTCTGACCTCCTTAAAATGTTCCTGGTGTTTTACAGCCCCAGGAACACAGAAAACCTGACACGTTTCTGGTCATTAAGGTCACAGACACTTACAAATGGTTTTACAGTTCTTGGGGAGGTAAAAGGGGAGACTGCTTTTAGTTTCGTCGGTCCCATTGTTGCTTTCTTTTTTCTTTTTCTTTTTCTTTTTATTTTTTTTTTGAGACGAAATCTCACTCTGTCACCCAGGCTGGAGTGCAGAGGTGCAATCTTGGCTCACTGCACCCTCCGCCTCCAGGGTTCAAGCAATTCTCCAGACTCAGTCTCCCGAGTAGCTGGGATTACAGGCATCCGCCACTATGCCCAGCTAATTTTTTGTATTTTTAGTAGTGACGGGGTTTCACCATGTTGGCCAGGCTGGTCTCGAACTCCTGACCTTGCGATTCGCCCGCCTCAGCCTCCCAAAGGGCTAGGATTACAGGCATGAGCCACCGTACCTGGCCCTATTGTTGCTTTCACACAAAATTTGAACCAACATCCTAGACTTTATTTCTAAAAGATGCTACCCAACATATTCTCCTCAAACTGTAAACAGGGAAGCTGCATGTACAGGCATCCCTCGGAGATACTGCAGGTTCGGTTCCAGACCATAGCAATAAAACAAATATTACAATAAAGTGAGTCACATGAACTTTTTGGCTTCCCAGTGCATATAAAAGTTATGTTTATACTATAATGTAGCCTATTAAGTATGCAATAGCATTATTTCTAAAAACAATGTACATACCTTAATTTAAAAATACGTTTTTACTAAAAAATGCTAATGATCTCTGAGCCTTCAACAAGTGGTTGTCTTTTTGCTGGTGAGGGTCTTGCCTCCATTTTGGTGGCTGCTGAGTGATGAGGGTGGCGGTTGTGAAGGTTGGGGAGGCTGTGGCAATTTCTTAAAATAAGAAAACAACGAGGTTTGCCAATCTATCGACTCTTCCTTTCACGAATGATTTCTCTATAGCATGTGATGCTATTTGGTAGCATCTAACCCACAGGAGAACTTTTTTTTCAAAATAGAAAGCAGTCCTCTCAAACCCTGCTGCTGCTTTATCAACTAAGTTTAGGTACGATTCTAAATCCTTTATTGTCTTTTCAACAATGTTTACAGCATCTTCACCAGGATTAGATTCCATCTCAAGAAACCACTTTCTTAGCTCATCCATAAGAAGCAGCTCCTCATCCATTCACATTTTTATCATGAGCTTGCAGCAATTCACACACATATTCAAGCTCTGCTTCTAATTCTAGTTCTCTTGCTATTTCGACCACTTCTGCACTTCCTTCCTCCACTGAAGTCTTGAACCTCTCAAAATCATCCATGAGGATTGAAATCAACATCTTCTAAACTCCTGTTATTTTTGACATTTTAACCACCCCCCATGAATCACAAATGTTCTTAGTGGGCATCTAGAATGGTGAATCCTTTTCAGCAGGTTTTTGACTCATTTTGTCCTGATCCATCAGAGGAATCACAATCTTTAGAAGCTGTAGCCTTACAAAATGTATTTCTTTGATAGTAAGACTTGAAAGTCAATATTTCTTCTGGATTCACGGGCTGAAAAATGGAAATTATATTAGCAGGTGTGAAAACAACACTAATCTCCTTATATACCTCCATTAAAACTTTTGGATGTCCAGGTACATTGTCAATGAACAGTAAGATTTGAAGGGAATATAGTTTTCTGAGCAGCAGTTCTCAATAGTGGGCTTAAAATATTGAATAAATCATGTTGTAAACAGATGTACTGTCATCCAGGCTTTGTTGTTCCTTTTGTAGAGCACACGCAGAGTAGATTCAGCACAATTCTTAAGGGCCCTAAGATGTTTGCAATGGTGAATAAGCATTGGCTTCAACTTAAAGTCATCAGTTGCATTAGTCCCAGACAAAAGAGTTTGCTTGTCCTTTACTTCTTCTCTCTAGCTATGAAAGTCCTAGATGGGATCTTCATCCAGTATAAGAATGTTTTAACCATGTAGAAAATGTATTATTTAATGTATCCGCCTTCATCAATGATCTTAGCTAGATCTTCTGGATGACTTGCTGCAGCTTCTATATCAGCACTTCCTGCTTCACCTCACACTTTATTTTATTTATTTATTTTTTTGAGACGGAGTCTCACTCTGTCACCAGGCTGGAGTGCAGTGGTGTGATCTCAGCTCACTGAAACCTCCTACTCCCTGGTTCAACCGATTCTCCTGCCTTGGCCTCCCGAGTAGCTGGTATTACAGGTACGTGCCACCACACCCAGCTAATTTTTGTAGTTTTAGTAGAGACAGGGCTTCACCATGTTGACCAGGATGGTGTTGCTCTCCTGACCTCGTGATCCACCTGCTTTGGTCTCCGAAAGTGCTGGAATCACAGGTGTGAGCCACTGTGCTTGGCTTTCACCTGACACTTTTATGTTATAGGGATCGTTTCTTTACTTAAATGTCACACACTAACCTCTGCTAGCTTCCAACTTTTCTCCTGCAGCTTCTTCACCTCTCAGCCTTCAGAAAATTGAATAGAGTTAAGGCCTTGCTCAGGATTAGGCTTTGGTTTGAGGGAACGTTGCGGCTGGTTTGATCATCTATTCAGACCACTAAAACTTTCTCCATGTCAGCAATAAGGCTGTCTTACTTTCTTATCATTCATATGTTCAGTGGAGTAGCACCTTTAGTTTCCTTCAGGAACTCTTCCTTTGCATTCACAACTTTACTCTTTGGCACAAGAAACCTAGCTTTCAGCCTACCTCAGCTTTTGACATGCCTTCCTCACTTAGCTTAATCATTTCTAGGTTTGATTTAAAGAGAGAGACATGCAACTCCTCCTTTCTCTTGAACACTTAGAGGCAAAGAAAGTACTTTATTGTAGGCTTATTCATTGGCCTAACTTCAATATTGCTGTGTTTCAGGAAATAGGATGTTTGGAGGAGAAGGAGACAGATGAGTAAAGGGCCAGTTGGTGGAACAGTCAGAACACGCACTTATCAATTAAGTTTGGCATCTTATATGGGCACAGTTTGTGGTGCCTCCCCCCACCCAAAAAAAAAAAAATCACAATAGTAACATCAAAGGTCACTGATCAGACATCACCAAAATAGACAAAGTAATAATTTAAAAAAAGGAAAGAAACCGGGAGAATTATCAAAACATGAGACAGAGACACAAAGTGATCACATACTGTTGGAAAAACAGCACCCATAAACTTGCTCAGTGCAGAGTTGTCAAGGTGAAAGCTGATCCTACAAATTGGGTTATTCTTGTCATACCCAACTAAAGCAAAGTCAAGAAGCCAGGCAAAAACACACTAGGGACACAAAGCATTGCTCCAACAATGTAATTCTCTGCAAGCCTGGCTGCTGTAACCTGAACCCAGTTTTATCTATAGCTTCAAGATAATTTGCTGCAACTCCAGGACTAATTTTCTCACTGATGCCACTCACCAGCTGAAGCTTGCCAGCTTCCCAGAACCTTACTAGTGTCAATGAACTTTCTCAAAGAGCAATACATAACATTTTTCATTGTTACAAAACCTCCAACTTTCTCTTTGTTCTTTGAACATACCAAAGACTATTTAATCTGCATAAATGCCCCAAATTGCAAGTCTTTCTTCCCAAATGAAATGCTAAATTTAGAGATTCATCTCTACATTTTTATTTTGACTTCAACACCACAAATCTTCAATTTGTAAAACATACAGTATCTGTGAAGTACAAAAAAAAAAAAAAGTGAAGCACAAGAAAACAATAAAACAAGGAAAAGCATGGGGCAAAAAGCCAAAACTAACCTAAGTCCAAATTCTGGCTGTGTGGTGATTTCTCTGGCTTTTGGTAAATTAATTCAGAGTGAATGGCCTTCACATGCTCTTTGCTAGAGAAACGGTCACTGGGAAGCTTTAATGAGATAACGCAAACAGAATAGACAGTAGTCCCCTAAAGATGTCCTCACCCTACTCCCCAGGACCTGTGAATATGTTAGATTACATGGCAAAGGGTAATTAAGGTTGGGAATCAGCTAACATTAAAACAGCATGCTTATCCTGGATTATGTAATCACGTAAACCCAATGTAATCACAGGTATCTTTGAAAATGGAAGAAAGGATAAGAGAAAGAGATGTGATGATGAAGGTGAGGGCAGAGTGATATGTTATGAGATGAACTCAGCCCCACATTGCTGACTTTGAAGATGGAGGAAGGGGCCAGGAGTCAAGGAATGTGGGTGGCCCCTAGAAACTGGAGATGGCATAAAGGGAATTCTCCCCATGAGACTCCAGAAAAGAATGCATCGCTGCCAACACCTTGATTTTAGTCCAGTGAAGCCCATTTTGAACTTCTGACATTCAAAACTGTACAATACTATGTTCGTTTTAAATTGCTAAATTTGTGGTCATTTGTTACAGCAGCCATTGGGAACTAATGCAGTCTACTATAGCCTGGCCCCACAATAGACACTCAGAAAATATGGGTTCCCTTTACTTGGTATTTTAACATGTAAATATAATTTGGGAAAACCAATGAAGAGGGCAAAATAGAGGAGTTAGAAAGGAATAGGAGAGGGAATTTGAAGGCGAGGTGGGGAAGGAAGGGAGAATAAGGGAAGGTCATGGCTTTGGAATGCTTTGACAAGGCTGTCAGAGTCAGGATGTGGCAATGAGTGTCCTAAGTGCTCCTCTCCTTGGCATAAATAAGCATTGTCTCTCATTTTTTATTTTATTTTGTTTTATTTTATTTTTTGCTATTGTTTTAGTAATTGCCTCTTTCAAATTATGGGACATTTTGATCTGCCATTATGACAGCATCATCAGGTTCATTTTAAAATTGATTTTCTTAGTGAAAATTTAACATTTCTATTATCTGCCAGGCTCTGGCCTAGATACTAGAGATGGAAAAATGAATAAAACCCTTAAAAAACTTATTATCTAGAAGGAAAGACAGACACATGGACATATAATAAACTACAACCTATGTGACTATACATTGAGAATCAGTTAAAAAGTAGCTCAGAGTAAAGATTCGCAGGCTAGACTAACTGGGTCGAAATCTCAATTTTTCCAGTTAGTTTCTATGTGACCCTGAGCAAGTTACTTAAATTCTCTTTGCCTTAGTTTCCTCATCTGCAAAACACAACTAATAATTGTGTCTACTCCCATTGGTTGTATGAGTCAATGAGTAAACACAAATCAAATGTTTCAGGACAGAAACTGGCTCACAGTAGGTGTTATGTGCTAGTTATTATTTATATTGATAGCTGATATATATTTCTTATATAATAAGTATACATTAATATTATAGTTATATTAATATAGAGGGTATGTATAAAGTATTGTGGAAATAAAGAAGAAGGAACAACATGCTCTTTGGATGAAAATAAGGACTGGGACCATGTCACAGACAAGGACATATTAGAAAGATGATTGAAACTTTTCACATGACAACCTCTAAGAACAAAGGCTCCACGCAGAAGTTTGGTCAATGCAAACACCATAGCATGCCAGTTCAAGAAACAGGGAGCCATTTGGCAGAAATAAACTCTGGGTTGTTTTCCAGATTATTTGAAGGTGTTTTGTCTCAAAATAGGACTCATGCATGCCCTCCTTCAGTTTGGATAAAACAGAGCCAAGAACAATTCACTCAGTGAAATCACAATTTTTGTCTAAATGGAATTAACTCTTTACTATTAAGATTCCAGGATTAAGCCACTGGGCTCACTTGGAAAACTTAAAAGGAAAAATACAGTTTTGTAAGAATTTAAGTTACTACACTGGGAATGCCTGGCTTGCTGGCTGGCCCTTAGGAGAAACCAGAGGATGTGCCTGCTCAGGGTTGGTGGTATTTGCATCTATTTATGAATTTTTTGTAATTAAATTAGTGATGTCGAATGCCATATAATACCTGTTTCCCTTAAGTCAAACAAAGGAGCCCCTATATGAGGTACTCTTGGGTGGGCCTTAGTAGCCTCAGGGAGTTCAAATGAGAAAATAATGAATGCCTACCATGTGGCAGGCACTGGGAACCTTGTCTGGTCTACACCAAGAAACCTTGAATCCACAGAGACAAAAGATGGGAAACAGTAAATGAATAGGTCTGTCATCTGAGGGGTCAGCCCAATAGAGGATGATGCTGGTGGCTGCAGCCAATACCTCAGCCAACCTCTGATCTCAGTTGCTGCTGCGATGAGTTTCTAAAGAAGTCAGGCTTGCCCCTTAGAGTGCCCTCAGTCTCTTTGCATTCTGCTTTGGCTCTTTCTCCTACACTGCAGGAGCTTGGCTAATGTGAGGGAAAGCAGAGATGGGAAAGGAGGGGGAGTTAATGCTCCTATGGACAGCCCTCAGTGCATTGGAAATGACAGCTGGCTGAATGCTCCCACCTGCCTTCTTGCAGACAGACACGTCTGAGAGTCATTCCCTGTGCCTCTCGAGGTCCCTGTGCACTGGCCCCTGGCTGTCTACAGCAGTGAGCTCAAGGATTCCTTAATATATTGGTTCTCTCTCCTTTCCTGCCTTCTCATCCTTCCTTACTCCTGCTTCCTGGATCACCTCCCAAAGAAAACTACCTGTACCTGGTTCTCCTCTCAGGCTCTGATTTCAGGAAAACATGCCCGCGTGTATCAATTTCATAATGCTGCTGTAACAAAGTTCTAAAATCTGAGAGGCTTAAAAATACTTTATTGGCCAGGTGCGGTGCCTCACGCCTGTAATCCCAGCACTTTGGGGGACTGAGGCAGGCGGATCACAAAGTCAGGAGATCAAGACCATTCTGGCTAACGCGGTGAAATTCCATCTCCACTAAAGATACAAAAAAAAAATAAAAATAAAAATTAGCAGGGCTTGGTGGCGGGCGCCTGTAGTCCCAGATACTCAGGAGGCTGAGGCAGGAGAATAGCGTGAACCCGGGAGGCGGAGCTTACAGTGAGCCGAGATAGCATCACCGCACTCCAGCCTGGGTGACAGAGCGAGACTCTGTCTCAAAAAAAAAAAAAAAAAATACTTTATTACCTTATAGTTCTTTTTTTTTTCTTTTTCCGAGACAGAGTGTCACACTGTCGCCCAGGCTGGAGTGCAGTGGCGCGATCTCGGCTCACTGCAAACTCCGCCTCCCGGGTTCACGCCATTCTCCTGCCTCAGCCTCCCGAGTAGCTGGGACTACAGGCGCCCGCCACCACGCCCGGCTAATTTTTTGTATTTTTAGTAGAGAGGCGGTTTAACCATGTTAGCCAGGATGGTCTTGACCTCCTGACCTTGTGATCCGCCTGCCTCAGCCTCCCAGAGTTTTATTACCTTATAGTTCTAAAGTCTGAAGCCACAGGGCTGAACTCCTTCAGGAGAATGTGTTTTCTCCAGCTAGGTCATCTACATCCTTTAGTTCACAGCCTCCTTCTTCATTCAAGCCAGCAGCATGGCCTCTTCTCACCTGTTTTTCTCTGTCTCTCTTCCTTCATCACATCGTCTTCTGTTTCTAACTCTGGCTCCTCCTACTTCCCTTCTGTAAGCTTGTGATTACATCATACTCATCTGGGTCATACAGGTAACCTTGACACATTCTGAAAATGAGGATGTAGACTTATTACGGGACCATTACTCAGCCTACCACAGCCCATGAGAAGCTTACAAGAGGGAAAGGAAAGTTCTATAAGTACAGCTGTAGTCCAAAATATCCACGAGGGAGTCATTCCATGATCACCCACATTCCTGGCAATATTTACCTGTGAAATCAGGAAAGCCTAAACGAAGACCTCACTGATGGTGCATAGTCACAGAGCCAGGCCTGGTGTTGTGTCAATTGAACAATTAGACTATGAACTTTTGTTGCCTAGAAATAATTATCAGATCCTACCCGGCCTTGCTGTAAAGTGGAACATTTTATTCCAACTGTGCAGCTCTCAACACTTTCTTCTCTGCCAGACATTAGACAAGATGTCAGATTTGTCATCACATGGGAAGGTTTTTATTAATTATCTTTCAGAACCAAAGTCCTTTTTGTAATTTACTTTTTCACACCAGAAAAATTCTTCTATTGAACTAAAATGTCTATCTTGTTAAGCTTTTTTTTTCTGCTAAAGGTTCTCACTCTGAAAAGTTCTAGAAGAAAAGAAACAAATCAAGCACAAATTGGTGTGGAAAGCAAGGAACTGATTATGTTAAGCAGAATGCCACATATCTTCCCCTGGGTCGGAGTATATGAATACATGTCTTTTCTTTAAAATCTAACTGCCTGGTAGACAGTTAAGATGTTTCCCCAAATGTTCATACAAACATTTGACCATCCTGAATTAAAAGGAATTTGAACAACTGCTCACTGAATGCCAATTGGATGTATTCTGAAGGACTCATGCATTGATGCAAGTAACATCTACTGACTGCCTACTGTGTGTCAGTGCCAAGACAATATACACTAATTGTCAATATACACAAAAAGGCAAGGTCCCTATCTTCAAGAAACACAGAACATTATAGGAAAGACTGACATGCTGATACCTTCTTTGAAAACACAACTTAAAAAGTTTAAGGGTGGAGTTAGTAATCTAATACAAGGATGCCCAATCCCCAGGCCATGGATGGGTATCCATCTGCAGCCTTTTAGGAACCGGACCACATAGCAAGAGGTGAGTGGCGGGCCCATGAGTGGAGCTGCGTCTGTATTTATAGCTGCTCCCCAGCACTTGCATTACCACCTGAGCTCCACCTCTGTTAGACCAGCAATAACATTAGAGTCTTATAGGTGCTTTGTGAACCACACATGTAACGGATCTAGGTTGCATGCTCCTTCAGAAAATCTAATGCCTGATGATCTGTCACTGTCTCCCATCACCCTAGATGAGACTGTCTAGTTGCAGGAAAACAAGTTCAGGGCTCCCACTGATTCTACACTCTGGTGAGTTGTATAACTATTTCATTATATAAGGTAATAATAATAGAAATTAAGTGTACGATAAATGTAATGTGCTTGAATCATCCCCAAATCCTCCCCTCCCCCATGTCCCTGGTACATGGGAAAATTGTCTTCCATGAAACCAGTCCTAGTGCCAAAAAGTTGGGGACTTCTGACCTCATAGAAACAGCAAAATAGAGATTAGAATTAACTGAGTCCTCATGGAGGGGTGAGTAAGGTCACTGGAGAAAGCACTGTTCTGGACAACTCCCATTTAGCTGATTTTTGCCTGTGCACTCTTATATTTTAAACAAATAAAGAGTGGTACAGTGTGAAGAACTACAAATGAGGATAGGCCTTGAACTCCCAAGGACTTGAAATTCAAGGACTACCATCATTTGTAGTCCTTGAACTGTCTCTTCGGTGCAGCTACTGGTTACTACTCAGAAGGACTCAGATGTCTCAAGACTGAGCTACCCTGATGATTAAAAAATTCCTTGTCTTTGATAACAACTTTTTAAAAGGCAAGAATTTTTGAGAAGATAGGAATGTGTGTGTATACATATATGTGTATATATATGTGTGTGTGTGTATATATATATATATATATATATGTGTATATATATATATATATATATATATACATATATATATATATATATATGTAGAATGCAAGACTGGCTCAGATTTCAAGGGAGAAATACAGGGAGGGAGGGAATTCTTCTAGCAGTGAGGGGTACCCAAGGGCATCCTAGTGAGTGTTTAATGACCAGCTCCCCAAGAAATAAATGACTTGATTTCTGAGTTTTGACAATGTCCAGGGCATAAATGCTCCCATCATGGCTAATTTCAAGCTACTAATGTGAAATCACTGAATACGGAGTTGTGAAGAGCTGTGTACAACTGTCTTTCATGGGTTAAGCAGCTCCAGCACAGTAGGTATTCCAGTTCCTATTTCTAGATCATTTGGATTAAGAATGTTTCTGAATTTTTGTAGGACCTTCATGAACATAAACCATCATAACACTGTACCACAAAGTACAGCTTTGCTCTTTCCCAGAGTGAAATTTTGTAATAAGGGAAAGGGTTACACTATGTATGAGTTAAAACAGCCTGGAAAACCCTTCCAGTAATGGAACAAAATGGGCCACCACAATTTTGGTTTTATAGTAAGAGAAAATGCAATGAATCCTTAACCATGGCTGTGTGTTATTTAAATATTGCTTTTGATGTTTTATCTGGAGTCCTAGCTCAAATGATCAGAGATAATCCTGCCTCCTGACATAATTAGGGAGCTGCTGCTTTGCTAAACTACAGGATAATCAATTTGACCTTGAAAGTTTGTCTATAGTGCCATAGTACTGTTCAGAACACAGACTTTTCAGCCACACTAGTATCTCCCATGATAGTTAAACACCAGCCACAGGCTTTGTTCCAAGGGCAAGCAAGCACTAACAGAGAGGCTGCAAAAAATCATGGCTGGCACGTCCCATATGGCCACTGTATCTGCTAGATGGCCTTTAGCTTGCAGAGGCTGCCATTCAAATATCAGGGATTTTCACCGAGCATCTGGATTTGGGACAGCTTTGAGCTTGGAGTCAAACAGGGCAACACTCCGTGGATGGTAAGGTTGACCTCCTGATGGACAGGCCTCATTTCTAGATGTCCACAGGCCATGCATCCCATGTGTCCCCAGCAAGTACCATTTGCCTTCTGTCATCACAGTTGCACTGCTGTTTGCCTCATAGTCAACTAAAAGTGATTTTTGGTTTGTACTTATGTCTTCATACAGACTTTTCTTCTACCCAAGCCTCCTCACTCATTGACACTAACTTTCTGACCTTGCCAAGCACCTGAGTTTCCACTCTTCATCTACCAACACTCATAGGAAAAGAGTCTTCCTTGAACAGCTGCAGAGAAGTCATTTGTGTTACAATGAAACGGCCAACACCATTAAAATGTCTCCAGTATCTCCTTAAAGCAGCTTCCATATTTACTGTCATCTAGATCCTGGGAACCTGAATTAGCCTGCTCCATTATGCAAGTTTTTTTCTTTTTTTTTTTTTTTTTTGAGATGGATTCTCACTCCATCACCCAGGCTGCAGTGCAGTGGGGTGGTCTCAGCTCACTGCAACCTCCGCCTCCCTAGTTTAAGCGATTCTCCTGCCTCAGCCACCCAAGTAGCTGGGGTTACAGGCACGTGCCACCATACCTGGCTGTTTCTTTCGTGTTTTTAGTAGAGACGAGGTTTCACCATGTTGGTCAGGCTGGTCTCAAAGTCCTGACCTCAAATGATCTGTCCACCTGGGCCTCCCAAAGTGCTGGGATTACAGGTGTGAGCCACTGCACCCGGCCAAGTTTTTTTTTTTTTTTCCTTTTCAGAGCATCAGGCCCTCCCTCTTTAGCCCACTTGTTTGAAGGCAGAGACATTTTAGGGCAATAAAGGTGGCTTCATGCTGGTCTCCTCAGACTAAGGACATCGCCCTCCTCAGCTTCACCACAGTATCAAAACATTACCCTCTTCTCTAACCTGCTAAACCTGCTTGCCACTAAAAGCAAACAAAATCGGTGTATCTGAATACAGATTCAGTCATAAGCCCTCCTATTATCATTATAGCGTTAACTTTCATTGTGGGGAAGGTGGTCTCTTCTCCTCATCAAGCAAACCTTTGTCAGGTTTTGAACTAAAAAGGAAAAAATCATCTGAGCTGAAATAGTTTGAAGGAACATAACTTTTTCTTCTCATGTCTGTTTGAGTCCAGAAGTTCAATTACTTGAAATTTCATGAGTCAGTCCTTTGGATATTTTCAACCCAAGCTGGATTAATGTAATATTTCAAAGTGTCTGCTAATCCTACTGCTCTTTCAAAGTAAGTCTGATTTTTCTTATGGAAAAATAGCATACCTCTCCTGTACTACAATTTGGAAGAAAAGGGATCATCTTCAAAAATTATGCAGTATAAAATATGATAATGTGAAGAGCCTCTACAGTAGGCTGGGGGACTACACTAGAGTCTCCTTGGCTTGTCAAACATCAGCTACAGACTTTGTTCCAAGGGCAAATAAGCCCTAGCAGAGAGGTGCACATGGCGATGGCCACAGACCCCATCTGGCCACTGTATTTAGTCACTGGCCAGCAAAGCCGTTATCCAAGTTGGGGGTACTGAGGGCCAGAATGAAGGTAATTGGAGCAGGGCCAAGGGAGGAGACAGGGCTGGGTTCCAGTTAGGGAGATTAATCCTCCTGATTTACTGGGACTGTCTAGGTTTCGGTTTTAGAGGTCCCATATCCCAGGAAACCCTGCACTGCCAGGTATCTTAATCCCAGCAGGAAATTGATGGCACACGCAAATTGAGCTATGTGACAAGAGATGGACGCAGGAACCAGCAAAAGTACAGTCAGAGTCAAGGAAAAGGGGCCCACAGCATAAAGCAACATGCCAGTAATAATGGGGCACCTTTCCCACATCTAAGCCTAGAGGGCCAGGGGAGGAAACAATTTCCAGACCCAAAAGACGCGGCCACATGGAGGGGGCTCCCTGAGAAGAACTGTAACCCCCAATGGAAGGACAGAGCAGCCTGCAAAGATTTATTCTCCTCTCTCCCTCTGAGTTCTTGTCCCAATCCTCCACTGGCTAAACCATTGATTGGCAAACCAAAGCCCACGGGCCACATCTTAGCCTATTGTCAGTTTTTGTAAATAAAGTTTTATTGGAACACAACCATGCTCATTGGTTTACCTATTGTGTATGTCTGCTTTCATGCTACAATGGCAGAGTAGAGTAGTGTAGCTGCCCAGAGACTGGATGGCCTGCAATGTCTGAAAATTTATTATCTGGCTCTTTGAGAAAGTTTGCAGACTTGTGGGTTGAACCCACTAAAAGCCAGAGGGCAGGGACCTTTACATAAGGCCAGAGCAAGGTGAAGTCAGCTAAAGAATAAACCGCCTGGAGAGGCCAGTGAAGTGACCCATCACACTTGTCACGTATGACATCAATCACAGAATGAGAGAAGTACTGGGACAACCTAGGCCAAAAAAGGTGAAAATAGAGGTCCCCACAATGACTTTGAGTATAAACAAAACCATCAACTTCTTAAGCAGCCCTCTGTGAACCAGGTTTTTTTCAAATTAGGCTCATGCAGAGAAGGCACAATTGAGGAAAGATGAGATTTGGAAAGCCCAGAAGCAATGAGCATCTTCATGATATTACTATTACTTTGGTGAATTTCCCTGTAAGTTCAGCATTTTCTAAAAACTTTTTTCAACATTCAAAGACAATACTTTAAGTCAATAAACAGGAAGGGTGTGGGGGCTTCATTTGTTCTTTGGGACACAGAACAATAAATATAGTAATTCCCAATATCCATGAGGCAAATATTGAACACCTACCACCTGTCCATCCCTATAGTGGACACTAGTGATAACACAATAAATAGGACGGGCATGTTCTTCTGCCAGAAAAATATATCCTCCTTCTAGTGGAGATACCCATGAACAAGAATAAAAGAAGGACAAAGGATAACTTTAGAATGATACTTCCATTAGAGAAATTAGAACTCAGTGATGGGAACACGCAAGCATCTGCAATGAAAAGGGTGAGGACTTGGTCATGGAGAACTCAGGGGAAGAGCTTTCAAAACAGAGGCAGCTGCTAGCACCAAGGTAAGGCTTTGGGGCCAGGATCTGCGGGGTGATGGGAGGAATGTCAGGTTGGTTAACAGGTAGTACTGGGGATGAAGCCAGAGAGTTAGTAGGGGCCTTATGACCTCTAGTCCTGGGCAGAAAAGAGTTACGAAGCAGATTGCAGACTGCAATGTTGGAAAGGCCTGCCTGAAAGGCTGGCCCTTGGCTGGCATCTGGGAACTTGGGTTTGGAGAGTATTCCCATGCCCATAACTGGTAAGAGTGGCTCCAAGTGCCTCATGTTTGTATGAACTATTCGGTTTATGCTGAACTCTTGCTTTTCTTCCGGGAGTCAGGAATGTTGCTATGTATCAGGCAGAGGCTGTCTACGTGACCAGCTCGATGAGCTCCCAGTAAAAACTCGGGCACTGAGCCTCCAGTGAGCTTCCCTCGTAGAAACCATTTCACACACGGTGTCACCATATGTTGCTTGGGGGAGTTAAGCACATCCTGTGTGACTGCATTGGGAGGGGATTGTGGAAATCTTGTAACTGATTTCCTCCGGACTTCGCTCACAGGCCTTTGCCCTTTGCTGATTTCATTTTGTATATTTTCACCGTAATAAATCTTAACCATGAGTCCTCCTTGGGGATCAAGGAAACTGGGGGTGGCCTTGGGGACTCTAGGACTTCCTAGGACTTGGGGATCAAGGAACCTGGGGGTGGTCTTGGGGACCTCTGACATAAATGATGGATCTGAATTTCATTCATTTGTTCTGTGCCAGAAACCAGGGGGGAGCACTTTACATGGACTTTTCCCCGTAATCCTCACCACAAGCCTCTGAGGTAGGCAAGCTCTCCCCATGCTCACCACCACTATTTTACAGACAAAGTAATTAAGATAGTTTCAGCTTCTCATGGGAGGTCACCCCGCTGAGCCTGAGGGAAAATCCACGTGGCCTAACTCCCACTTCCCACCATTCACCCTCTGGGCTCACCCACAGTGCCCAAACTGCCTGAGGAAAATACAGGGACGCTTTTGCATATTTGTTTGACTTCCACCTCGATGGGTTGCCCATTTTAAGACTTTAATCTATTTTATCATGAGATGCTCCAGCAAAGCTCATTCAAGCTCCACCTCTTAATCTTGATAGTGAATTTGAGCCTTTGTTATAAGAAAGACTATTAAGATTTGGCAATAAGATTCTTCAAGGGTGATAAATATCCCTTTAAAGGGACTGCATATTCACCGACTGAATAACTCTGTCCTAAAAATGAAAGTCACACTTGGAGAATGGAAAGGTGGGTTATGAAAATGCAGATTAGAATGACTATGGGTAGAAATGAATTCACCTCATCTTGCCATGAAGAAGTATGAGTTGGGGTAGAGCCTTTCTAAGCTGAGCCCAGGTGTACCACAGAATGCAGGAAGTCGGCATCAGCAGGCTCATCATCGTGGGCTGTGATGTCTGCTGTTTGAAGGCAGCAGTAAAAAATGCCAAGACGCTGTCATTTCCATTATACCAGAACTTATCTGTGCTCTTCTGAAGATGAAGATCTCTGTAGGCCTAACATCCTTTCTCATCAGTATTCCTCAAAGTGGGATACATACACCCACTTTGGCATATCACGTAATTTTAGGCAGTATACTGAGATGAACATTGTTAATTTTAATAATTACGTCTTGGCCAGGCACAGCGGCTCATGCCTGTAATCCTAGCACTTTGGGAGGCCAAGGCGGGTGGATCACCTGAGGTCAGGAGTTCAAGACCAGCCTGCTTAACATGGCGAAACCCAGTCTCTACTAAAAATACAGAAAAATAACTGGGCGTGGTGGTGGGCACCTGTAATCCCAGCTACTTGGGAAGCTAAGGGAGGAGAATCGCTTGAACCCAGGAGGTGGAGGTTGCAGTGAGCCGAGATCGCGCCACTGCACTCCAGCCTGGGCGCCAATGCACTCCAGTCTGGGCAACAAGAGTGAAACTCCATCTCAAAAAAACAAAAACAAGCAAACAAAATGCAAAATGAAGCATCTTTCACATGCAAAGTTCATATTCACACTTAGGGCCCTGAAAAGCCATATGGGAAGAATGCATTTCAGACATTCTACCAGATACACATGACACATGCTGTGAGTGAATCATGGCAAATTCTGACATGCGAGACCTGAGCGATGAGACTTTGCTACTTGAGGAGCCTCAAGAGCCTGGAGCTGTTTTCTCCTGGGGGTGTTGGTAGCAGAGACTTCCTGGTGTGATCAAGACATACATTCATTTTATTGTCATAGACTGATGGAGCTGATGAGACTCTGGCCAAGAATTAAATGTCCTTGGTTTGCTGGAGGCAAACATGCATATGGATTGATCATCACAGCAGGGCACTTCTGGCTTCCTCCTGTGCATGAGTTGAGACCAGCAAAACTAGGGAAACTTCTATCTAGAGAACAGGAGCAGGGAGGCCGCTGATCAAGCCTGTGGAGGGACAGAGCATTTCCTCATAAGCTGGGAGCATAGGACTGTATGCACCTACTGCCCCTGGCGTGTTAAATAACCAGCAGCGGAATTGGAAATGATTGAGCAAGGGTAAGGCCAGAAAGAGGAGCATTTTATCAAATCAAGGGCTACAGCAACTGAATTCACTTTCCCCAGGAAGCACATCCCAGGAAATTTGCTGGGTGGGTACAATATTTGCAGCTTGGAATATGGTCCCTCCAGCTAAAATTGGGGTAGCTTTGGAGTTTAAATCCAGGTGCTATGTGACCTTAAAAAGGAAGAAGAGACCAAGATTTATACGGAGCATTCCCTGTGAATGTCAGAAGGAGCATAAATTGGTTCCAGCTCTCTAGAGCTGCCACTGTCCAATGCGGCAGCCACCGGTCACATGTGCCTGTTAAACCCCTGAAATGTGGTGAGTCCAAATTAAGAGGTGCTGTTAAGTGCAAAATGCACACTGGATTTTAAAGACGTGGTATGAAAAAAGAATGTAAAATATTTCATTCGCAATTTCTATATTACCTACACGTTGCAGGGATACTACTTGAATATATTGGGTTAAAGAAAACACACTACAATTAACGTCACCTGTTTCTTTTTACTTCTTTTAGCAGAGCTATCAGAAAATTTAAAATTATATATGTGGCTTTGAGGACTCCAGAGCAGGCCTGAGCAAACATTTTCTTAAAGAGCCAGTAGTAAATATGTTAGGTTTTGTGGGCCAAGAGGCAAAATTAAGGATTTTATGTAGCCATTATATAAGCATTTAAGATGCAACCACTTAAAAATGTAAAAACCATTTTAGCTTGCTAGTTGTCCACACACAAGTGGCAGGCTGGATTTGGCCCTCAGATCAGAGTTTGCAGACCCCTTTCCAGAGCATAATATTGTGCAAAATCTCCAGTGAATATCCCCATGGACCCAGCAAGCTCACTTCTGCGGAGCCAAGTGCGTGAGCAGACAGACATTTATCAGGCAGACAAGGGGGCTGACCACTGTGAAGAAACAGGCTCAGACCCAAAGCTGGTCAGCTGCTAAGAGGCAAAGTATAACTCGACCCACAGTGGCTGTGGGCTGTGGGCTGTGGGCTGTGGGTGGCTGCAAAGCTTGTGTTCTGAATGACTACGCTTCACCAATGGAAGGCACCTCTTTATTTTTTCTCTTTTCTTTTTTTTAGAGGGGGAAACTTTCTTATGGCTGTATGACTAAGTCAGATAAACCTGATCTCCTTCTTGGCCCTGAATAGATGCTCTTTGAATCGACAGATAAAGGAAAGAAATGCCTGCATGTTTAGGGGCCTCCTCGTGGTGGTTTTGAAATCTCTCTCTTGCCTCTGTTTCAGTACAAATGACCAAGAATTGACTAGAGCTCAGCCATCTAATGCAGGCCCCTGCTTTTCATGCACAAGGCGTTGACCTTTAAATTCATCTGAAAGATGTGTCAGCCTATCTGGTGAGAAGAAATGGATCTCCCAGGGTCCGGTAGTTTGCCTTTAGTGCATCAAGAGTTAATCCTCTCATGCTGAGGGTTATTAATATAAAAAATACAAAGCAATCATATCTTATCTTTTGAAAGCAGATGAGCTGGCTAGCGCTGAATTGAGAAAATTATTATTTATTAAAAATGAGATAGTCATGGGCCAGTGACTAACCTGATTGGGTTCAGAGACAATTCCCCACCCACAAGGTAAGTAATACATTTCTCGAGAAAGGGGTTTTGTTAAATACAAAATGCAGTAGCATTATTATGCATCTGCTCTGGGCTCACATGTCGATCTTTTCACATTATAATCGCATCAACCAGGAAGAAACCCTCAGCGTAGCCACACACCGTTTTCCCTCCCCAGTAGCTGCTGTACTGTGGACTTGCACAGAGCCAGGGCTTCCTTCAACCCCAGTTCTGGCTTAAGTGTCCCCTGAGAATTCCAGACAAGGAGGCAGTAGATTGAAAACAGATGCCATGAAGTCACTAGGTTGACATTAGGCTATTACCTGGACAGATGGAAGAACAGAGCGGGAGGGAAGGGAATCATTTTCCATCTTCATTAACTGCACAAGCAATGGAAAGCCCTGGAATGGTTAAGGGAGGTCCAGAAGGGAAGCACTCAGACCATGCTTTGCAAACTCAGCATTTGACAACATAGTGAATTCATGGGGATCAGAATCACACAGCAACAGGCTGTTGGGTTCCTGGGTTGAATTTAGACTGTGAAGTCAAGCAAACCTGGCTTTGAGTCCCCACGCCACAATTTACTATCTATGCAACTTCCACAGAGGCACTTTCTTTTCCATAAGAGCTGAAGTTGGATACCTCCACGAAAATGTCAGTGAGAATTATTTTGCAGGATCATTCGAAGGATGAAAGAAGAAGCACATTAATGTCCTCAGCACACAGTAAGATAGTGCTACACAATTATTCATGGTATGAACACATTTGAAATCAGAAAACCCTGAATATCCGAAACATTTGTTTTTTAGATGACTTACACAAGGCTCTTGGGAGACGGGTCTGAGTTCACTGGTCTCTCACATTGGCTCTCCTTCTGTCTGCCATCTGGGAATGTTACCATAACACACTGACTCATTTCAGGGTAAAAAGGTATAACTGTAAGATGGGAATTTTGTGGCATATTTTTGCAGCTCACTCACATAACACATATTGCTAATCCATGGCTGCAGTTCTATGATGTAGGCTGGATCCAACATCAGAATCCTCCCAAAGCAGCCTCTTAAGCATCTGCTGCCAAATAATGGAAGCTGTCATCTGAATCAAAATCTGCCTATGTTCCTTGGTGCAGTTAAATTCAGATACTATTTCAACGATTGTCACCCAGTAGATGCTCAAGAAGGTCATTATCTTTTTATCTATTTACATTTCAGAATATACAGTTATTTGTACCAGGCTGACTGATCCAGATGCAAAAGCTTACTGTAACATGGCAATGTTACTGAAACAATTTCATATCGTTGCTATATTTTGTTTTGTTTCATTTTGGGGTGATAATAGTTGAAAAGAATGTTTAAGATTCATTTTTTTTTTTTTGCTGGGAATCTTGCACATGATTTATAAATCTAATTATAACTGTGGATAGTGACAGCCTATAACTATGTTTAATAGACTGTATTTTCTTATTTTCATCCAGATTTTTACAACCATGTTGGTAGAGCAACACAATAAGGAGGATGAGAAGGAGGAAGGAGAGAAGGAGGAGGAGGAAGAAGAGATGAAAAGTCACACCTAAGTCGTAAGTACCTACTTGCTGTAAAACACTGAAAACTATGAAAAAGACAATGCATTAATAAGGGTTGAAAATCAAGCTTAGATATTGCAAAACTTATTTTCAAACTGGTTTCATGTTCATAATTAATGGTTAATATTCTGCCATTTATAAAGTATTAAACAGTGGTTTAATGAGATTTCACTAGGCCACTTGCAAGCACTCAATCAAATCTTATTTTCAATACGTGAAAAATGTCTCCTTGACTCTTAATGCATTTAGGGTCAACAGTAACATCTTCATACATAAAATATTTCATTCTGCTTTTAAAGAAGAGGTAATTATAAGATAAGGGTCACACAGAAGGTCGAGGTTTTATGTAACTTCTATTCTAATTAATTTATCATATGCGGGACTTTGCTTTGGCTTCCAAGCGTTGCTCTTTTACAGCTATCATATTCCATGTGATAATGAGTTTTATTCTTTCAAAAGGTCATCCTTGATGTAATTTCACCATTAACAGAGGGAACCTGTGAGCATGGGTTTACCTAGATATGGTTGTTTCCTGGAAAGTCATTCCACAAAGTCTTGGGTCTGTTTTGCCCTTAGATGTCATTTAAAAACCAAAGGGGCCAAGTCATTTGAACAAAAGGTGAGAAATTCCATTAATCATTAGGAAGATTGACTTCACAATCCTGGCCCCATGGAACAATGTGGAGCAGCAGAAATATTTGTATCTGAGAATTTGTTTTACCTCTTCTGTCTCATAAGTGAAATGACCTGGACGTTATTGTTATTTTTTGGATATTGATTTGGTTGTTGGTTCTCTTCGGGTAGTGTGGTCCACAGCTGGGGTCCTCACCTCAGCCCCTTTATTGTCAGGAAATCTTTGTGTCATTGTTGGAGTTGTTTCCTTTGCTGCTTCTCATTACTTGAAAGATTTTGGTCTTCCAAGCAAACTGCATTTATTAAGCAATAGTTATGCCATTTCCCAGGATCTCCCAACCCCCAGCACTTTAAAAAAAATGAAAGATATATAATTATCAAATAGAAGCTTCTTAGATAATCAACCAAGCTGAATTGTTAGGATTCTGGATGAAAGCAGAGAAACTTGATACCGACCTAGCTAAGGATAAATGTATGGTTTCGGCCTGGGGTTTCTGAAATGCTAATGATTGGCAAATCACCATCACTGACTGCAAAGAAGCCCCTGGATTAATGCTTCTCAAATGCCACTGTGTATGCAAATCATCTGGAATCTTGTGAAAATGTAGATTCCTATTCAACAGGTCTGGTGCGGCGCCTAGGTGCTGCATTTCTGACAAGTGCTCAGGTGATGCTGAAGCTGCTTGGTCCATGGACCACGCATTGGGAAGCAGCACTCTAGAGAATAAAGGAGAGCAAGCAGAGAAGGGGGCCGTAGCTTCAGCTCAGTTTCAGCTCTGCGGAAGATTTGCTAAGCACCCTCTGTATACCAGGCCCATTATAACACAAGATACACTTTTATATAAAATATAGTAATAGGACAGTTTTTCTTCCAATGACTTATTCTATATCTTGTCACATAGAAGTACCACACATTTCAAACAAGAGCCAGGCTATGCCCAGGGTGGGATTATTTTCACGGTCATGGTAATATGCATGTAAGACTATTTTTACTGGCCTTCTTTTATGCATAAAACAAGGTATTGGTCTATTCAACAAACATGTGTCAATACAGCTATGAAGCGCTAGAAGAAACAGACATAGTCCATGCCATCATGGCATGTCAAACTGAGAAGACACTGAGCAGGTAAGAACACAAATTAATGTCATTACAAATAAGATGAGTGTGAGGAAAGAAGAGAGCACATCCTTACATCTTCTAAGCGCTCCCACCCCTCACCATTCACAAGCAAACGACACTGTAGATCCTCTTTTTACTTTCACTGTATCACTCCCCATTTGTTCAAGAAATGGTCATTGTGCCAGGCACTATACCCATTTCATAGTGTGACAACAACACTGTTCACTGCCCATGGGGACCATGATGAATCTCAGGAGAGAAAAGATGCTCAACTCTGTAATCCCTACTCAAGAGTCAACACCAGGTATGTCATAACAGAGCCTAGCACAGTACCTCTAATAGTACTTGCATTCAAACACATATTTTTGAATAGATAAATGAATGGAGTTATTGATAAGTACCAAGTGTCCTCCCTGTAGTGTGAATCAGAAAAGGGGCAAGATAGTGGCTTTTATTATAAGTTTCACACGTGGACAGAATGGGCTATGGATCCCAGCCCTGCCACCATTCAGCTTTCAAAAACTTTGCTCCCTCATCTGGGGGAAAAAAAAGTAGTAACAATAACATTTTTATTGTAGGACTGCTGTAGGATTAAATGAGATATATCTATGAAATGTTTACTCAAGAGCTTGGCAAAGGAAGAAAGTTCAGCAAATAATAATGTTGGTTACTCTAAACATCGTCTTTATTACTATTTTCCTAACAATTGTTATGGAAGTACCATCTGATATGGTCCTCAAAGGAGATGAGGCATTTTGACAAATGGAAATGATGAGAAAGCTTCAGCAGAGAAAACAAATCTTTAAGAATCAGATTATTGCTTACACATTCAATAAATATGCCACTGGTTATTTGTGCTTGCCAGGGAATTAGGTGAAGATTAATTAATATTTATAAAGTATTTTGATATCCATGTAATATCTAGTAAGCAATTAGTTCTGTAACGCAAAGCCAAATCCTTTCACATACCAAACAATGTAAAACAAACCGAATACAGCTGTGTAAGAAGGAACGGAATTTCATTAACTCATGTTGCAGGAAATATATAGCTGGTTGGTTTCCCCCTCTTTCCCTTTCAGTAATCTTCTTGCTGATTTTCTCTGTCTTCCGACTGCACTTTTCCACCCTACCCCCTGCAGCCCCAAATCAAATTATTTCCTCTTGGGTAGCCGTGAAAACAGAAATGGGATAAAAGTAAATGCAATACTGGCCCCTCCAGCCTGGAAGGTGTTTCAAGCCCAAGAGTATATAACAGTCAATGGCTTAACAGGCAAGCAGACAGGGCTCCCAAACTGTGTATTTCCACATCCATCATCCTAGTCAGGCGGTATGAAAGGTTATACGCTCCCTTAATGTGATCCACACGGAGAAGAACCCTGGGGTAGAAGGAGAGGGGATAAAAAGAAAATTAAGTCAAAATAAAAGATGTGTTCCTCCTCGACTTGTGCCTCCTCAGTCTCTCCAGTCCACTCATGTATATATATTGCCAACCCAGAATGACTTGACTCTGATGAAGAAAAGGTTCTCCCACCCCACTCCAACCAGTCTCCATGGACCACCCTTACTTCTGGACAATGTATTGTTTCATATCCATGAATTCCATGTGTCCACCTTTTTTCTAAAACCCATCGCTCTAGCCTAAGGTATCTAATCTTGTGTTCACTGTGGAAGTCTCTGGTCTATGAAACTTTATCTAAAAGGTTAGCACAATTGTCCCTTGGTATCTGTGAGGGACTGATTCCAGGATTTTTCTCAAATACCAAAATACCCTATGTAAAATGGCATAGTATTCGCATATAATCTATACATATCCTCCTGTATACTTTAAATTATTTCTAGATTACTTATATAATACCTAATAGAATGTAAATGCTATGAAAATAGTTGTACTGTATTTTTATTTGTATTATTTTTTCTTTGAATGTGTGTGTGTATATATGTATATATATATGTTTGTGTATACATATATATATATACACACACACACACACACAAACACATCTATTTTTATTTTTATTTTAGACAGGCCCTCATTCTGTTGCCCAGGCTGGAGTGCAGTGGTGTGATCTCACTGCAACCTCTGCCTCCCGGGATCAAGCAATTCTCATGCCTCAGCCACCTGAGTAGCTGGGATTAGGTGGGATTACAGGTGCCCGCCAACACTCCTAGCTGAGGTTTCTATTTTTAGTGAATTGGGGTTTCACTATGTTGGCCAGGCTAGTATTGAACTCCTGGCCTCAAGTCATCTGTTTGCCTTGGCCTCCCAAAGTCTTGGGATTACAGGCGTGAGCCACCACACTCGGCCAGAGGATACTTTTGATCCATAGTTCATTGAATCCGCAGATGTGGAGCCTGTGGATACGAAGGGCTGACTGTGTGTGAAACAGACGTAAAGAGTCTTCATGGCAGAGGCAATGCTGCGGCCCAAGCTTTTCTCTAACCCTTGCCCTCTCTTCCTCAACACAGCTCCAGAAATGGTTCTGTGATGGTATTGAAAACCTTGATCTCATAGAAAGCTGTCTAATCAAATACAACAGAGCCTATCAGACTCAACCCATCCAGAAAGTGCTTCCTCTCTAACCTCTCATAATAGGATGACCAACTGTCTCTGTTTGTCTAGAACTGAGAGGTTTCCCGGAGTGTGAGACTCTCTGTGTCAAAAGTGGGACAGAATTGGGCAAACCAGGATGACTGGATACTCTACTCCTACTCTGCCTTGCAAGGTAGAGTATTCTAACTCCATTAGTGTGACAAATCAGTGAATGACCAGGCACTTCTGGCTCCGTGTCATACTCATACCACATCTGACCATCCTACACCATAAATCTCACTACTATTTTCCCTTTACCATTATTGTTCTGCTCAAATAACCCAACCACTATCAGGTCTATTTTCATCAAGTAAAAAAGGGCATTCATGCTGAGAATCTTTATGAAGCCATTTTAGGTCAGATTCTCCCCAGAGGTTCCATGTCCTTCCTCACTTTACCAACAATAGTGACTTTCTTGAGGTCAAAGATGAAAGGGGTCAGACGTTGCCCAGTAGGAAGTTAGCCTAGCTTTGTCTACAGATTGACTCTAGTCCACAGTATACTCCTAAAAAGGGCGGGACCTACTCTTCTATGCACCCTCACTTACAGAGCCCAAGACTCACATCATCACTGCCTCATGAAATGCATCACAGCCTCTCCCCATCATTTGGTGAGGTTCTTTGTTCAGAACCTCTGGCTCCACCTCCCTCACTCTGTGAGTGGCAGACATTTGCTTGACCCCTTCATACCTTAAAGACACCCAATGCCTCTAGATCCAGTACCTAAATCCCTCTTATGGCCAAACAATACATTATTATGCAAAATAGTAAAGATGAAGACATCCTATTAGAAGGGAATTCACACGATGCTTATGCCACTCTCTCTCTGTCTGGGAAATTACAAACCTAAACTTTATCCATTTCTAAGAGTCCAACAACTACATTTTACTATATTAACAGTATTATTTTTCAAAAAAATAATTAGCACTAGCAGAACAAGGCTAAGGCTGTGTTGCCTGAATTAAGATATGGGCCAAATGTGTCCACTGATAGAAATAACCCCTATTTTATCATCAGGCAGAGGATAAGCAAAACATGCCAGGGGCTGGATGAATTCTTCCAAAGCCAGCCGTGTGGCATTTTCCTGTAATTAGCTCAATTGTGCATTCTTAGTACCTTTCCCAAGTCCCCTGAGAGTCGACTGTAGTCTTTCTCAGCTTCTCTAGCTGCTGTAACTTGAAAACCTGCCTCACCCTTCCTGTGGTCAATGTCTGCTAATACCACATTTTAATCACATTTAGATGTCTATGCTCAATATCTCTAAATTATCTGAGGAACCTGCCAAACTGTTTCACCAGCAAATCCACTAAGTTACTTACAAATCAAAAAAGCTTATGGAACAAATTACCACATTCAGTAATTTACAGGCACTCTTCATTGTACGAAGCAATTTAAAATTACTGGAGCCCTTCGCCTTTTCCCCCCGTAAGTGCTTCAATCTGGAAGTGATTGGGACTCTATTCCTGAGATGAGAAAGGTAATTTAACATTTTGGAGGACTTTTTATACATATGCATATAATAGAAACACCTATTTTAATAATGATTAGGATTCTGATCATGTACAGAACTGCACGATTTAAAATTACCAACATGTTTCAATTACATCAATGCTTCAAGTTTGGGATTGAATTCGATATTGTATGTAGGAAATAAAAAAACACACAACCATTTCATGCACTCATCCCTACTCATTATAAAAATTAGAATTTCAACTTGGACAATTTAAGCACCTGCCATATAGAAGCCACTGCAATTCTCAAGCAGTCTAACTTCATGAGAAAGCAACCCTCTGATTTCAAGATTTCATTTGGCTATTGTGTGGCTGTTTATCGCAAAGTACTTCAGAATCAGAGGCATCTCCTGTTAGTAGACAATGCATCTTAAAAATATTTGTTGGGCCAGACGCGGTGGCTCAAGCCTGTAATTCCAGCACTTTGGGAGGCTGAGGTGGGCAGATCATGAGGTCAGGAGATCAAGACCATCCTGGCCAACATGGTGAAACCCCGACTCTACTAAAAAAATACAAAAAATTAGCTCGGTGTGGTGGGGTGCGTGTGTAGTCCCAGCTACTTGGGAGGGTGAGGCAGGGGAATCACTTGAACCCAGGAGGCAGAGGTTGCAGTGAGCCAAGATCGCACCACTGCACTCCAGCCTGGTGTCAGAGTCAGAGTTTGCCTCAAAAACAAACAAAAAAAAATTGTTAAGGCTGGGCACAGTGGCTTGCGCCTGTAATCCTCGCACTGTGGGAGGCTGAGGCAGGTGGATCACCTGAGCTCAGGAAATTGAGACCATCCTGGCCAACATGGTGAAACCCCATCTCTACTAATAACACAAAAAATTAGCCGGGCATGGTGGTGCATGCTTGTAATCCCAGCTATTTGGGAGGCTGAGGCAGGAGAATTCCCTGAACCCAGGAGGTGGAGGTTGCAGTGAGCCAAGATCGTGCCACTGCAGTCACTCCAGCCGGGGCAACAGAGGGAGACTCTGTTTGGGAAAAAAAAAAAAAAAAAAGTTAATATTGTTTAGATCTAAGAGGAAATAAGCCAAGAAGATTTCAGTTCTCACTAGATAAAAACACTTTCAGCTAATGAGAAGTTCTTGTTTCATTTTGTTTTTTTGAAGTATCAAGAAAAAGAATGAGGTACTTTGCTACTAGAAAGTGAGGCATTATTTAAAAGATGGCACAATACAAAGCAGACTCCTGGTATTTTCCTGGTGAATTCGGGTTGTGAAAACAAAGTCAGGGAGGGTGGCTGAGAAGTGGGTGCACCTTACTGCTTTGGAAGGACTAAGGTAAAACACGCCTGCGCTGTCTGACCATTTTCTTAAAATCATCGATAAAAAGCCCTTGGAAAAAGAAGAAAGTTCGTTGCCCCTGTTAATTTTTTTGGCTAAATTTTTAGTATTGGAGAGTTCAAGAAAACATCAAAGTGGAGAGATTCGTATGATGAACTTCTCTGTATCCATCGCTCAACCTCAATATTAAACTCATGGCTACCATTAGCTCACCTGAGCACACATCCACTCACCCCTTCCACAGATTGTCTTAAAGAAAATTCTAGATATCATATGATTTCATCTATAAATATTTAGAAGGTATCTGTAAAAGATTAAAAGTATTTTTTTAACAGAAGCAGCATGCATTATCATAACTGAACAAATACTAATGAGAATTTCTAAATGGCAGCAAACATCTAGTCTTTGTTCATATTATTCTAACAAATTTTTTTGCAGTCTATTTTTAAATCAGAATCCAAATTAGAACCAAAGATTATGATTGATACATCTCTTATGTTTTTTAATTCATCCAGCCTCCTGTTCATGTATAATTCTTTTGTCTTTGCAACATCGTGTTGAATCATTTGGATTGTTTCCACAGTGGAAGTTCGCAGATTGCATCTCTGTGGTGTCATTTAACATGTTCGCCTGTCCACTGTGTTTCCTATAAATAGATACATCCTGGAGGCTGGATCAGATTCAGGTGCAGTATTTTTGGCTCAAGACTAGATGGCGTTGTGAACTTACTTCAGGACATACAAATGTCATATGGTCTTTCTTTTTATTGATGGTTACTGCCTAGATATATTAATTTAGTAAGAACTGCAAATTCATTATATTCTAATTCTGCCATTTTTTCGTTGCTTATTACCTAGAAAGAGAAACTCTCTTCATCCACTAGTTAATTATTTCTACAAGGAATTCTGAAAACAAAGGCAGGATAGTTGTTTATGTTTTTTTTTCCTTTCCGTTTCTAAAATAATGAGATGGTTTCTATCATCTTTGTAAGGTAACCTATAAATAATTTTGTTTTCCCCTATCATTATGAACTTATGTATTTAAACAGATTTAGTGTATTTAAATCCATTGAAATCACTTATTTTGTTTTGAGGCTCAAATTATCTCATCTTTGAGCTACTCATACTGGCTTCTTTAAATGACATGACCCTAATGACATCTCATAGCCTCTCTGCTTCTTGGTATGACAAGATTTTACAGATTCTTCTTGTTTATTTCCTGCCTCAAATATAAACTCAATCATTTTCTCAAGACAGCTTGGTTTCTTTTGCTAGAAAATGATCACTAGTGACCATAATCTATTTGCTAAGGAAGTTTATTGCTATTGGGTTGGTCACTGTTTCTAGGGCTTTTTAGTAGAAAGAGAATACATGAATTTCTAAGATAAAACACCTAATAAATTCATATGTATAATCCCACTTCCAATTCTCTAGCATTTTAAATTAATCTCGCTGGTCTTATATCTGCATCTTCTTCCTCCCATACTTCAATATTCTAGTTCTCCAAATTAACATATACATTTATCTTTCAATACACACAATATTATACTATATTTTATATAACAATAAATATACCAACACTACCTCCAAAAGCAGTATTATTGAAAATACTTTAAGATTTCCCTTTGCAGTTGTTTTGGTTTTTGGTTTTCAATTGTCTTTAATGGACAGAGTCAAATAACTGCGTTTTAAAATAACTAGGGGTAGTTCCTATCAAGTGGTTATGCCAGCATCTTGAGTACACACTTAGGTTCAATTGTTTCTCTGACTTTTGAATTTTAGAATAGGCTTTTTATTTCATTTTGTTTTCAAATTCATGAAACAACTTTTTTTTTAAATGTACTTTTTTTCCCTATCTCTTCAGCCTTTATTTCACGCTTTTCACTTTAGGTAACTGCGTCAGATTATATATTCTAGTAACGGCCACAGCAATATTTTTTGCCATACCTCCTCTTCCAGACCTTATCATCTTCTCACTAGGAGGTAAAGTCCATCCCCTTCCCCTGCTGCCCCACTTTTCTTGAACCTGGGTGGGCCTTATTATCTGCCAAGAAAAAAAGAAATGTGGCAAAGGTGACACTGTGTGCCTTCTGACACTAAGTCATAAAAGGTAGTACAGCTTGTCCAGCCTCTCTCTTGGAATAGGCATCTTTGGAGCCTCAGGCCAACTTGTAAAACATACAGCTACCTGTAAGCCTTGGTGCTGCAGAGACCATAGAGAGATGTCAAGGCAGCCTTAGCAGTTCCAGCCTCAACCCTCAGAGGTTTGTCTCTCTGTTCCACACCCAGGTCTATGAGCGAGCGCACTTCCAGATGACTCCAGCCTCGGCCACTGACTGCAAGCCCATCAGAAACCCTGAGATCCACCTAGCGGAGCCCAGACAATCCCTACACTGTGAGAGACGATAATAAAATGGTGTTGACATTTTAAGGCACTAATTTGCTTCAAAATAAGTAGATAGACTGGGCATGGTGGCTTATGCCTATAATCTCAGCACTTTGGGAGGCCAAGGTGGGAGGATGGCTTGAGCCCAGAAGTTCAAGACTAACCTGGGTAACACAGGGAGACCCAATTTCTACAGAAAAATTAAAAATTAGCCAGGTGTGGCGGTGCACACCTGTAGTCTCAGCTATTCAGAAGGCTAAGGCAGGAGGATCTCTTGAGCAGAAGGTGAAGGCTACAGTGAGCTTTGATCGCACCACTGCACTCCAGCCTGAGTGACAGAATGAGACCCTGTTTATACAAAGAAAAAAGATAACTGGAACAGTAACTATTTTTTTAAAAAAATGATTTAACCTAACTTTTATTTTTTAAAAAAGTAAATTTGTATGTGAATGTGCATCCCCTCAAAGACAGGCAGTAATATAACACACAATTTTCTCCATCTTACTTTTTCTACCTTAAAAATATATCCGAACATTATCCCAAATAGCCTATAGCCCTATTCCTCATTCCCTTTTAGAGCTCCACAGTACTCATTTGTGTAGACATTCCATTGTTTATTCAACCTGTGTTCTTTTGATAGACATTTGGAAGCATTCAAGTTTTATTTATTTTTTTATATTGCATATATTGCTGTATTACATAGCCTTGTGTCCCCGGGTAATCTTTTGATTGCTGTTAATGTCACTTGTTTCAGTGGGGTGAGGCAAATGTCTGTCGAGGTCAAATAAGTTAATTCACACAAAGTCCTTGGAGCAGGGTCTATCCTGTAGTAAGAACTCAATACCCAATAGCCATAGGCATTACTAAGGAAGACCCTTTTGGTTCTATGGATGGGAACAAAGTCAGTGAGGAACCTGGTTCCCTTTGCCACACATTCTTATATCACTGGAGGTGCAATCCCCAGGATTAGGAAGCATAGATGGTCCAAGGGGACCATACATTCCTTCAAGCCCTTGTTCTTCCCTCCTCCTGAAACCATTTTCTTTCACCTGGCCCCTTGCCTTTCTAAATCCTACACTTCATTTGAGGTTCAGAGCAAGTATTTATTTTTAGGGGAGCCCTCAATGACCATCCCCAGTCCCCAAACAGGGTCATAGTCCTTTATTGTTTAAGGTCAGGGAATATTACTCTCCTTCTTTCAAGTCATTGATTCATGTTTGTAGTTGAGACATCCATAAGTAGTGTTATTTGATAAAGTCTTTCTTCCCTTGTAGTCAGCAAGCTCCATGACTGTCTGTGCCACTTGTAAGCCCAACATCCAAGCCCAGGTTTGAATGGTCAAGGCTCTAACCAATTATGGAAAGAAGGAATGTGGATAGGGCAGATCTCTTGCATCTAGAGCCAGACTTGCAAGGCCCCACAGAGCTCACCCTAAGGCTGAATTCACCAAGGGGCATAGGCCAACTTCAAGCCTGGGAAATTCAGTTATCTGCCTCGAATCGTCTCATTAGTATAAATTTTAAAAATAGCCTTATGCCAATATTATAAAGACAATTTCCTCTTGGAAAGAACACTTACTCATTTGCCTTAAACAGTCATTAATGTTCCAAATTCCCCCTCAGAATTTCATGTCAATGGTCCTATAGGGAATTTAAAAGTAAAACCAGAAAAATAATGATGTGGGGAAAATGTCAGATGAGAACTGTGAATGCATTACAGACCTTCAGCTAATGTTGTTGCTGCTGAAGTTCAAGGATTAAGTAGTCATCAGTTTGCAAGCTTCCACAGGAGCCCATCCCTCTCTGACAGCAGCTGGTCTCCAGCTTTCCAATAATGATCATTTCCGCTGTAACTGATGGCCTCATCTAATGAGGAGATCATTGTTAAAAGTCACCAAGCTCTACCCCTCATTGGTAGAGGCAGGTCCCACAGACTTACCGGGCCAGACTCCACCAGAGAAAAGGGCAGGCATATTCATATGAATGAAAATAATCTACCACATTTTTTGCAGTCAAACGTTGGTTGTTATACTCCAATAAGAAAATGGAATATTTACCTTCAGGGCCAGATCTAGGAAATCCAGGACATAAATGTATAATCCTTAATAAAGAATGTCTTTTCAGACCAAAATCCTTAGGGTGGTTATAGTGTGAGTCTCACATTTACATCAAGAATGTTTTGGGGGAGGAACCCTGTCTATGTCTTTCATTTCTATAGCCTTAGTGCTGATCACAGACCTGTCATGTAGCAGATAATCAATAAAAATGTGTTCCGTGAATAAATGAATGGTTTCTTTCCATAGCCTGGGCTCTAAAAATAACTGCAGTGCAGTTCCAGAAGCAGGATGCCTGTGTTCAAATCCTGCCTCCACCACTAACCAATTATAAAACTGTGGGGAGGTTACTTAAATTCTCTGTGCCTCAGTTTCATTACCTGTAAAATGGACATAAATTAGTTCCTACCCCAAAGGGTTGTAAGGATTAAATGTGCTAATATCCATGAAGCATTTAGAACAGTATCTGAGGCATTACCAGGGCACCACATATAAGCTCTTCCTGGTCTTTTATGAGTACCAACGTAAACGTGTACTCAGTACCCATTGTGTGCCAGTCTCTGTGCTTGGTGCTTTCCATTCACTATTGACTATTTCATCTCCTTTGTGGTGATGCTGTCATTTTAAAGAGGAGCAGTAAAAACAAATCAATGATATTTAATCATTCCCACTTCCCCACATTGCAGATATCCTTATCCCTGTTTTAAAGATGAAGGAGCTAAGAGATGCTGGTGAGTGTTCACATTAATGACATGTGCAGGGAACAGCCAGGAACCCTCCTGGCTCGTCTGACTGCTGTGTTCTCCTCTACTGCTGCCGCTGTCTCTCGGAACCACTTCTCAGATAAATTTTAACAGTAGCCAGTTGCTCCACCTAGGATCCCAGCATCCATCTAGCCCTCATTCGGCTCTGCTTTTTCTATTCCCATTGCATATATCACCTTCTAAAATACTATGTGACTTATTTATATATTAGTTGTCTCTTCTGCTAGAATGTCAGTTCTACAAGCATAGGGATCTTTGCCGTATTTATTCATTGATGTATTCCAAGTGCCTAAAAACTGCCTGGAAAAGCATAGGCATTCAATACATTTTGAAGAAGAAAGGAGGAGAAAGGACGGACTTGCCTCCCTTCCCTTGAGTGCTCTCCAGTCCCTGCCCAGTGGCATCTCCTCTTGGGTAACTCTGTCAACTTTCATGCAGGTGTCTTAATTTCCTCTGTCTCCCATGTTGCCCTCCCTGAAACACAGTGTGGCTAGAGGTAGGGAAAGGGAGGGGTAGCCCAGAAGTTAGGGAAGTCTCCTTCCCAGTAGGGCCAAGCCTGGGACAAAAGAGCTGGAGGAACAGTGGGACAGGCAGCTTAGAAGCTTCCTGTATAACAAAAGGGGGAGGACTTCATGACTCCCTAGTCCATGCCTTTCTCATAGTAATTCCAGCATTTGTTAATTTGAGAATCAGCATTTGATACTAGAATCTGTGTCACTGTCCCTGGCTGGTGGCTGAAAAGGTTCAATACCTCCTTTATCTGGAAAGTTACTTGAAATATGCCTTCATGCTTAGCAGGCTAAAATATGTTATCCGATTAATTTAGATCAATTAATTGATTGTTTTTGTAACTACAGGATTACTCACCTAGCAATCAGAAGATTACTTTGTGGCAATAAAAACACTCTAAACAATGAAATTTATCCAATCTCTATGTGGAATGTGCATTTTTCTCTCTCTCATAAAACTCAATCTTCTGTTCTTTAGTATTGAATAAATAGAAGCAATCACACATGCCAGATGATTTTGCTGAAAGAATGTCCACACAATCTTCGACAGCACCTCCTGGCAAAGCCACAGTTTATGATTACTGATCCTCAAAAAGCACTCAGAGGGGAGCAAGTTCTGTCATTGAAAATGTTTTATAAAGGCATAACTCATTTTACCGTTAGCCATGTTTTCTTCCTTTTGCAAAGTTATGACACCACTAACAGCAGACTTGGTGTTTGTATGCAGACATATGAATACGCAAATGCAACACCAGAGAGAAAGGCCTTTACAGAGACTTGCCCTAGATGACCTGCATGCTGCCGAGAGATGCCTGTGGCCAGATGTGAGGCACCGTCACTGCCTTTTTTTTGGAAAATGCCCGATTTCTACAGCTATGAAGCCAAAGGTACAGTGGGCCTTTTGAGCACCTCTAAAAGGTAAATGTTGGCTATCATAACTTTAAATGAAAAGCAAAATCTTTTTGCTTCCCCACCCCTTTCTAAAAAACTCCTACCCATCCTTCAAGAGATTCCTCAAATGTTATTCCCTCTTGTATGTGCTCATGTAACTTTTTCTTTTATGGAAATTATCACTTTATGTTGTAATCATATTTTCTGTTTTCTGTGAGTAGCTCGATGAACATACTTAGGGTTCCTTCTTTCTTGTTGTTGCTTTGCTCTCTTTCTGTTAACATCTTTTAAGCATTGGAAGAAAGTGGTCTTTTTTATCTTTTAGTCCTTAGTTTGAATATCAGCTTCACAACTTACTAGCTACGTGACCTTGGCCGGGCAACTTCAAGTTTTAGAGACTCAAATTCCTCATCTACGTAACAGAAACAATGGCAGCAAATGCAGAGCAGGGTTGTGATCTACTTAAGAAGGGAAACTACATGTAAATCTCCTGGAGTAATTAGTCTTCCCAAAACACACACACACACACACACACACAACCATACATGTATGAGTGAATACATTCATATATAAACATGTGTGCATTGTGCGTATAGTCATGTATGTATGCATGCAAATATGTGCATACATCTACAACTCTATACATGTGTATACCTATGCATTTCTATAAAAATGTATGTGTGTATACATACATATATATATATACATGCATTTATAATTATAGGTGTGTGCATATGTGCATGTATGCATGCATTTGTATGTAAACATAGATGTATATGTATAGGTATATTCATGCATGCGTGCATGCTTTTATATATAACTATATGTGGTTTTTCATTTGATTTTTTGAGATGGAGTCTCACTCTGTGGCCCAGGCTGAAGTGCAGTGGTGTGACTGTGGCTTACAGCAACCTCTGCCTCCTGAGTTCAAGTGATTCTCCCACCTCAGCCTCCTGAGTAGCTGGGACTACAGGTGTGCACCACCACACCTGGCTGTTTTTTTGTATTTTTAGCAAAGACAGGGTTTCATCATTTTGGCCAGGCTGGTCTTGAACTCCTGACCTCAGGTGATCCACCCACCTCGGCCTCCCAAAGTGCTGGAGTTACAGGTGTGAGCCACTGCACCCACTCTATATTTGTATGTATATATGTGTGTGCATTTAAGTGTAACTATATATTTCTGTGTGTATGAGAGTATTTTGTCACTGTTATATTTATCATCCCTTCTCCTTGGAGGTAACTGGGGCCTAGAGTACACATTCCACTGGGCTTATTGTGCAGTCAATGGATTCAGCAGAAACCATTCCTAAAGACAGTGAGCACGCTGAGCTAAGAAGAGCTGCTCATTAATGCACAGAGCCATACAGAGGGGTGGACCTGTATGGCCACTGGGTGTAGGGCTGGATAGAAGCTTATGAGAGAAAACCTTCTCCAAGTCCAGAGACATGGTCAGAAAAAGGAACAGGTACCTGCAGTGGGGGGCGAAGAGTGATAAAGAGAAATGAAAGGAGAGTCAAGACAAAGTACAGAATGGGACTTCAGGGTTCTCTGTGTTGGAAAACTTAGCCTCAATCTGACCAATGCACTTGGTTGATTTCTAAAGACCTCACAACTGCATAGTGGCTTAGATATCTCCTCCTAAGGGATAGCTCCCTTTCCTAAGGGAGACCCTGTAAAAAGTCTCTGTTTTTCCCTCTCTTTTAGGTCATGTTTTCTGTCCGCTCCTGAATGTCCTTAAAGTCTTGGTACCAAGCATCACATTATCCTTTCGTTGTATCCTGTGCTGAGTTGGAGCTTCAGGAGTGCAGAGATGAGATGATGAGTCATTCCCCCCCACCCCCCGCCCCCCGAAGTTTCTAGCAGGTGGTAGTGATGATGGTGACGACGGTGATGATAAAACATCTAAACCCTTCCAAATGGACTACAAGGATCAATGCAATTTTTCACATCTTCGTTTTTGAAGTTCATCTTCTATTATCTCCCCCTCACTCCATGATGACCTCCTTGGGCTTCCTCAGACACACCAGGCACTCTCCATTCTCAGGATTTTTATAGGAACTATTACCTTGGCCTGGCACCTCTTTCATTCCTTTGCCTCTTTCAAGACTTAGCTCAAATGTTGATGCCTCAGTGAGGCCTTCTCCACCCACACTATGGAAGTTACAACTGTTCCTCCCCAACTCTATCCTCCTTGATTTCTCCATAGCCTTTGCCATCTTCATGCACAAAACCAGCACACATTTTACTTATTTTCCTCTCTTTTTCCCCCCGGAATATAAGCTCCTTCAGAGTAGGGATTTTTGTCTGTGTGTCCACTGCTGTATCACCACTACCTACACATACAGGGTACTCAATAAATATTTACTGAGTGAATTCAGATGGCAATGAATAATTGCTGCTACAAATAATAAGATAGTGGGAAGAACAAGGATGTGCCTGTTGGAAGGCTGCAGTGGGGTTTGCTTCCAGGAGGGGCTCCTTGTATGTACGTAAGAGAGAGGCTGACCCTGAGGTCACTGGGGGAGCTGTCCTTTGGGCACCTTAGCTTGTTTGCAAGGCTCATCCTCCGTACACCCTTCGCTTCACCAAAATTGAGCCTGTTTCTGACAACAATGTATCAGACCCAGGCTTCCCAGCAGTCTACCTACTGTCACATACTTGGTAATACATTTCTTTTTATTCTGAAATAAAACACAGTTATGTATTTTATCAGTCCTAAACACGTGTCTTGCATTCAGAAAGAATGACATTTTCCGTTTCCCCAACAGTCATCTGTGGTGTTAAAGTGCCTATAATTAAATTAAAAGCATCCGTGAACTATCTGGAATATAATGCATTGAACAAACCTCAAATTATTGAAATTAAAGCTGTTGAGACCTCACAGTATAATGGGTGGACAACACACAGTGGCCAACAAAGTGATAGTCTACGATTAGGGGCACTGTTCTTCATGGTAGAGGATCCAAATAACAGAGCCCTGTGGAGACTGGAAAAGAAAAGAAACTACAAACGAAGCAGCATCCACCAGCATTTTGATACAGAATTTCAAGTCATCACTATTCCCATGGGAATTGCCTTTTGAGAGCAGTGGGCTTTAATGAAACCAGCTTGTTTCTGAACATGGAAATAATATCTCCCATGTAGGGAGTGTTTTCCATGTTCCACGCATTGTTCTGAGCACCTGACACACACTACCAGCTCGTGTAATCCTCACAACCACCTCAGAATCGCAACACCACCAGCTCGTGTAATCCTCACAACCACCTTAGAATTGTGTACCATTATCGTCTCCATCATGCAGGTGAGGAAACTGAGGCAGAGAGTGAGAGGCAAGTCGACTGTCTCTGTTCCTGTGACTAGTCATGGGTGGAGCTGTGATGTGGATGTCCACACTCGGCCCTCATTCGGGGTCTCTGTGCCTTACTCTCTTCTGCTTCCAAGACTCTACTGCGTGGCTGTTCCGACTCCCTACAGAGCTGTCTGCTAACCATGCAGTACTTTCTAAGTACCCTACTGTGCATTCAGGTGGGTCATGAACGATGTTTTCAGCTGAGCCTACGGTATAATGGATAAGAAAAAAGAAATGAATGAGATATTTATTAAATAAGCTCTCTGGGCCAATATGAAGGATAGAAAAAAAAACAAAATGTTTTACCTACTGTCACACACCACTCAACAGTTTTGACACCAAGTATGAGTGGGTTTTTCCCCAATACATCAAGCCATTCTTCAGTGGACACCAGCGGGTAATCCTCTGATTCAATTCAATTCAGTAATATCTACCTGGAGATAAAGCCACATCCCACAGGTCCTCCAAGACTGTCCCCTACTTCAGATGCCAGTCACAAGGCCCAGGTTGTGGCCTGTGCTTCTGACTGACCCACTATAAATTGGAGTTCCCACAACCCCCTCTTTGACTTCTATTAATTTGCTACAGTGACTCACAGAAGTGCTCAGGAAAACACTTTACTTATATTTACGCATTTATTATAAAGAATATTACAAAGAGTATAGATGAACAGTCACACCAAGAGATGCATAGGGAAAGGTATGTGGAAAGGTATGCAGAGCTTCCATGCCCTCTGTGGGCACACCACCCTCCAGAAACCTCCATGGGTTCAGCAACCTGGAAGCCCTTTAACCCCTGTCCTTTGGGGTTATCATGGAGGCTTTGTTACATAGGCACGATTGAGTATCTCACTGACCGTTGGTGATCAACTCAGTCTTCAGCCTCCCTTTCCTCCCTGGAGGTGGGGTGGATGATGAAAGCCCCAACCTTCTAAAAATACATGGTTGATTCCCCTGGAAACCAGCACCCATCCTGGGGGTATCCAGGAGCCCAGCACAAGTCAACTCATTAGAGCAAAAGATGCTCCTATCAGCCAGGAAATACCAAGGGATTTCGGAGCTCTGTGTCAGATGTTCCCGTCACTCAGGAAATTACAAAGCTCTTAGATGCTGTCTGCCAGGAACTGGGTTCACAGACTAAATATTAGAACTGGGGGCAGAGACCAAATATGTATTTATTATTATATCACAATATAATAATCACAGCCAGGCACTTTGGTATATCCACTCTCAAACTATAAAACCCTCAGGGTCAAGACCATTTTGTGCAGTTAGACTCCACAGCCAAGCACAGCAGCCGGTATTTGAATAGGAACTCAAGTATGTGCTGAATAGATGGGTCTCGACAATGGTTTTATGAGGTAGGTAATATTATCCCTATTGCATGGATGATAAAACTGACTCAGAGAGGGCAAGAGACTTGTTCAAGGTCCCACAATCATCTGAGGAATAGCTAATACTTGAAACCAAGACTGATTGAACTTCAAAATCTATCTTTTCGCCAAAATGGCACAGTTAGTAAAGGTCCTGTAGATGGAGGCAGCCTCAGGCAGTTGTAAACTCAAAAGTTTGGTTTTAGTTTCTTTCAGTGCCGAATCTTTAAAAGCCTGGGCCTCACAGGCTCTAGAAGGTAATAGAGAGAGACATGCAAAGTCCAGCCCCAGCAATCTGGGGTCTGTATAGCCACAGACACACAGCGAGTGGCCACAAGCAGCCTCCGGGAAGACACTACCTTTTTGAAGCCTTTTATCTTAACCCCAGGTAGCTCATAGCACTATCTACAGAAAAGCACTCTCTGCACTTAAAAGGAGACAGCCAGCTAATACCACTTCTGAGCCCTTTGATGCACAGAAGAGTCTACATCAGTCAATAAGGTTTTAATATCTGCATCTTGAGAGTCATGCAACACTCAGCTCTTGGATGCAGGGGTTAAAAACAAGGTGCAGCAGCTGCAGAGATACTGCAGTTCTGATCCCAAGAGGAGCACAGGTGCAGCTCTGAAGCCCTAAACGCATCAGCATCTCCCATCTCCTTCCCCAAGGATGACACCCTTATTTTTTTTATTGTCCAGAGCCCTTAACTCATAGTTTTCCTGCCTGGATAATGTCTCTCCAATTTCAATTTCACAGTCTACTCCAAAAACATCAACTGAACACCTGAATTTCCAGCTTACTTCAGCACACATTAAATCACTTTGTCTTCTGTAACCAGAAAAGGCTCTTCTCTAAGATGGGGGGCAATAAACAACTACCTTTAAAAGTGTTACATCATTGACTCAGTTTTTCATTGATTCAACTCCCAGGTTTAAAAAGTTAACAGGTCCCTCTTATGTTTTGAAGTCTAGCCTTTCCCACCTTCTCAGAAGCTTTATGCCATCATAAATCCCTTCTCTCCTACCCTCTCTGTCTCAAATGAATCCTTATGAGAAAGTATCTCCTACAGGAAAGAAGGGAGGAAAGAAGGGAGGAAGGAAGGGAGGAAGGAAGGAAGGAAAAAGGAAGGAAGAGAAGGAAAGGAAATAAAAAAGAAAGAAAAAAAAAACTTTGTTTTCTCTACATCCACCTCCAACTACTTCACTATCTGTCTCCTTTTTAGCCGCCAAACTTCTTAAAAGATGTGTCTATAACTGTTATCTCCATTTCTTCCCCTCCCATCTGGTTTCCTCCACCAACACAGCCTGTGTAAAATTAACACCCTCCGTGTCACTAGATGCAGGGAAGAACTTCCAGTGTTCTCTTGCGACTTTGAGTTTCACTCCTCTCCTCTCTTCTCACTGAAGCACCCTCTCTGCTTGTCTTCCCTGCACCTCCACCACCTCACCTGGCTTTTCTCCTATCTTTGTGGCTGCTCCCTCCAAAGTCTCATTTTTAGGCTCCTCCACCTCTGCTGGCCACTGATTTTGGAACTCCTCAAGGCTTCCTGCTGACCACTCTTCTCGCTCATTTTTTTCTTTGGGGAAGTTTCAAATAGGATGCAAGCTTCAATTATTGCAAATATCCTAATGACTTCCTAGTGCTCCTCTACTGTCCCAGCCCCTCCTCTGGACCTGCAGATCCAGCAAGATAGCCATGCAGCTACTGGGAAAGTAGTTACTCTGTATGCACAGGATCCTTCGAAGAGGGGCCATCTGCCAGTTTCTAAAGGCAGTCTGTTGGCACAATGATTGTTAGGAGATAAAGAAGAGGTGCTAGGGGAAGCAGTGTGAATACATAGAGACAAAGGGTGGCACAGCTTTTTGTAGTCTGCTCATCCATCAAAGAATAACATCCCTTCGTAACCTGGTCCCACCCCAAGGCTGAAGGTAGAACCTACTCATGTCTCTATTCCAAATGCATGTGTCCCAATATCTTTTTAATATTTCCATGATACTCAAAAGGCACTTCAAACTCAACAGGCCCTAACCAAACTCATGGTCATCTTCCCTAAACCTGGGCCCTTCTGGCATTCTCATCCTTATTAAGTTGAGTGGTGTAAGCCATAACCCTATAAGTCACTCCTGACACTTCCTTCACCCCAATGTCTATACATACCCAATTGTCATAGAGTTTATCTACTAACCATTTCCAATTCCATATACACCTTTCCATCTCCTCACTGGAATACAAGACACCATGGCAACTCATTTGGAATACTGCTATCACCTTCTAGTTGGTCTCTATGGTCCCTCTTTTTTCTCATTTTCTGGACACTGTAGTTCAGAGGCTCTTTCAATGGAAAAATGCACCCTTATTTTCATTACCCTCTAACGAAAATTAAGCAGGTTCTTCAACTATGAATGTAGATAACAAATCACAATAGTATTAGCAGAACCTGTGTTTGTCACCAGTTATAGGAAAAAAGTTATTATATCACATTTCAATTGTGGGAAATATCCTGAAATGGGATTCATACTCATCACTACTTCAAAATTGCAATAGTTACTAAACCTGCCACCAAAGCCTATTATTAAATACATAAGTATATACACAGTGCTATGATGGTCAATGTTTAACAGCTGACTTTTGAGAAGAAAAGTCCTGATCTGTAATGTTTTCCATATTCTATGATATAAATTCTCTCACCGTGGCTTGATTTCAAGCTACCAATTTGGCATCACTGAGTAAGAATTTGGAAAGAAATTCGCGTAATCAGCTTTGACAAGCTGGTAAGACAGAACCAGTTCCAGGACACCTATGCCTGTCTATTAATCTATGACAAATTCTTTATTACCACAATGATATAGTATAAATATGGTATAGCATAAGTAGCTTATATCGTAATTTAAAATATTTTAATCTATGCACCTGAACAGGATCTGAGATGGACTGCCCAGGCTTCAGCAGACTGAGAGAAGGGTCCAGGGCACACGAAGCAGCTAAGAACCATTGCTGTTCTCCAACTAATAATTGCAAAGACCTCCATGTCCTGATACCTCCCCCCATTTCCCCCTGACTCACAATCACCCCGAATCCTATTAATGGCTTCTCACTCTTCTTAGGATGAAAGCAAAATCCTTCCCATCACCTACAAGGCTCTGCATGGTCCAGCTTCTCTCATTTCCTCTCTCTCCCCTCTTATGCTCTTCACACGCAAAACCCACAGCTGACTGAAGGGTTGGGAGCACCCCCCAATCCCATGTACTTGAAAATCTTCTCTGGTAATCCCTTGACCAGCCATGGGGGCTGAGAATCATGTCTCAGGGTTTCAGAGATGCTAACTAATGCCACAGACTGGAGTAAGCCAATTGCCCACATCCACGGCCACGCTACTTACACCACCACAGAAAAGCACCCTTGTCATTTTCGGCATCTCTCATTCCAGGCCAAAGTGGAACTTACTAATGGATCCCTCCACTTTGAGATCCTCTCAAAATGAGAATTATTGAGGAGACGATTAAAGTTCCCAAGGATTAGAGGAAACTGTCCAGTGCTTTTCTGGTAGCTGTACCTCTCCCTGGCTGACAGATCCTCTCATCTCCTCCTTCTGTTCGGCAGGCATTTGTTTCCTCCCTAACTTTAGCAAAGAGAAAGGACGGGTTCTGCCTAATGAGCCGCTGTCCTAGGTCCTCACCCATTCTATCTCTGCTTATTGCAGGTTATTCTTTTGTTGAACTGGATACGTTTTTGCCTACAGATTCAAAATGTTGTCTCTGGATAACATCTCATTTAGAAAGTAGGCACCATGTCCTTACCTTGAAGCAGAAAAGGTTTCTTACTTCGATCAATGATGGAGGGTTGTCAGCAACTAAGTAATTCCTAATCACTGTTGGCAAACATGAGAGCGTGCTAAGGCACCGGGCGATGGCAGGCTTCCTCCATGAGGGACATTGCCCTTAATAGATGGGCATACAGAGAATGAACTGACATGTTTTAAAAGCAAGTCTACGTATCAGTTAATCAAAAATCTGTCCCTTTTTTTTTCTTAACAGGCACCTTATATGTATCTTGAGAAGGCTGTAAATTGTTCTAATCCACTTCTTTTACTGCTGTCCAGAAAGAATTATTTTTGTTAATGGCATGGTAAATCAGGGGACTTGTTAGCGAAACGGCTCAGAAAACGGGTCTTGAAAATGAAAGGTATAATACTTGTCAGATTTCCAAATTCCCTCTTGGGAACAAAGATGGTAACCATAACATATTTGCTAAATCCCATCACTTTAATACCTTTATGTTGCTTGAGATATGGGATGCTAAGGGAAGTACGTACATAAATCAAGGGTAAAAACATAAAACCAAATCCAAAGAAAGATATAATGGCTGTAAACTCAGACCTGATTTCAGGGTTAGTATTCTGATAGATTTGAGCGTCATCACTTACACGCTTAAAGAAGCTGCTCAGCCATCTTTACATGCCCTGAGCGAATTCTTAATGATAATGTGATCTTACCACTCCCTCCTCTCCAAGTCAAATGACCCTGCAGCATCCTCTTCAGGAAGAAACTCACCGGCTTTCTGCACAGCACAGGGCAAGGCTAAACTACTCATTTTTCATTTACAGTGATTTTTTTTTTTTGGACGTAAATAACTTGAGAGGTGGTCAAACTCACTTGTGATTGAAGAAATGAACATGAAAAAATAATGTAATAATAGCTTGGCAAATGTTTAAAATATGGTGACACGAAACACTGGTGACAGTATGAGGAAACAGATATTTTCATTCAATGTTGGGGAGGAGTGAAATTTTACAGAGCCACTTTGCAATGATAATTTGGCAGGATCTTAGAAAAATACATATATGTAGATACATACACTGATATACAAACACATATGTATTCATACATATGTATATGCATGTTCACAATCATATATATAACGTGTATATATACCCATACATATACACATATCTACAGATACATGCTTAGTTTATTGCACCTACCTAAAAAATATACTCTTATGTGTAAACATGAGGGCAGGTATAAGGATGCTCACTACAGAAACGCTTGTAATCATGAAAAACAATAGTAAAAAGGTTAAATGAATTAATTTTTGGCAGACTCACACCAGGAACATGACACAGCAGTTAAAATGAATAACTGGGTAAGTTTGGGAAGACTGCTTAACCCCTTTGTGCCTCAATTTTCTTATCCATTAAGTGGGTACAAACATCTTTATCTTGTATAAAATTGCCTAACCTGTGCCCGTTACACAGCAGGTGCTCATCAAACACTAGAAGCCTTTCCTTTGAAACTTTTCCAACATCATCTTATGAAAAAATAAATAACTATTTTTATACTGCAAGGGCAGAAAAAGAGCCTTCTTCTTGGTGATGTCCTTGTGTACCTATCACTTGCCTTTTCATGTGTGTTCACGAGCTCTGTTTACACCTCTCCTTCCTGTCAGTCCTTCTTATTTCATCTCTGACTTGCCTCCTATAAGGATTCAGCTCTGAAAGCATTGTGGAAAAGCATAAGGCATTCAGTGACAATTTTTGACTAAGTGTCTCCACAAATTATATCTGTAATTCCCTAGAAAGTAGACAGAGAGGTATCAAAGGCTGTTAGATCTTGCTTCACAGAAATAGAAGCTGGAGATCCTAGACAATGAGCTCCATTATTTCAAAGAGAACAAAAGCAAATCATTTCATGCGTGCAATGATTTAGCAGTTCTAAAAAAAATTAGGAAGAGCACAAAGAAAGGATTTTTAGAATTATCCCCTCTCATTTCATTTTGCAAACAAGGAAACATATGCAGACAGGTCAGGGGTGTTGCCCAGGCTCACTGAGCTAGTTAGCTGGAGACCCAAGTAAGACCCTGGGACTTCTGACTACACTCTCTCCTCCCCATTTTGCCCCTTGCCTAGAGCTCAGTAAGAACTGCGCTGGAGAAATACTGTAATTGGGGAATATTCTGTCTCTCGTTAATAAGTTGACCTTGGATAATAACCAATTCCCTTTGATCGTTTTAAGGAAAAGAACAGTTTGAAAATTACCCAAGATATTCTTGAGAATTGTGTCTTAAGTATGGAAGAGCCTAAATAAAGTTTGTTAAAAGTCCCCAGTAATTATTTTTATGGATCTAATTGTAAATAACCTTTAGCAATTTTCCTCCACATATAAAATGCTCCATTGTGGTGTTTGGAGGCTGGATTTGGGAATTAACTGCTTCTTTCATCCTCTGTAAGAAACAGGAAGCACATTTTCTCTTCTTCCAACTCATAAAGGCTTTAGCTTAAGGGTTATTATCCCTGAACCCACAATGAGGCATTTTCAAGAGCGAGTGTAAATGGTTGCACTTCCAGGGGTCCTTAGCCCAGAGATCAAGACATGGTGTCATTTTTACCCAGATGGTTTTGCTCTTATTTCTTTTGTAAAGTTCTCTCCCACTCACCCACTCCAGTTGGGAATTGTGAACCTCTGACCCTTCCCCTTGATCTTGGAATCCTCTATTGTTCTAACCCTGCTATTCTCAGCTACCAGACCTCTTCCTATCAATTAGGCCGCCCAAACTGCCAAAGAGAAATATCTCATTTCTTCAGTCAACAAATACCCTATTTTCTTTTGCCTGGAAAAACAACGATAAAATTTCAACTCCTTTTTGTCTTTTGGACAAAAAATAAAATGTTTGTTCACAGGGATTAAAACAAATAAAAACAATTATAGCACGTTACTTAACAATCTGGCCAATTGCTGCATTGCATTTTTATATGACATTTGGAACACTGGTTGTGTGGATAAATCTGGCAATGTCTGTTGTCAGTAAAAGCAATTTAAGTTTTTTCTTAAGAAAAAAAAAAAAAAAGGCATGATCCCAACTGCAAAAGCTTATACTTAGAAACTAGAAGTTACTTGTCATTTGGACTGAAAACCTTATCAGTCTTACTTTCTCAAAGATAGCTGCTTCCTTTGCTACCCATAGTTGTCTTGGATTTCACCCCAATGATGACTGCTATGCCCACATCTGATCACTCCTTGCTGGAATATGCTAGAGCATATTATTCTTTGCAAATTCCTCCTTTTACACTGTATTTCTCAGTTATGTTTTGTCCTTCTTTATGGTAGAATGAAAGCCTTGTTTCTCTGTGGATCTGAAATTTCACTGCTAGAGAAACAGGACTGTATTTCACTCTTCATTGTTTCATGTGAGTTCAAATACAAACATGTGAACTCTCCAGCTCTCCCTGCCCTGCAGAGCTTGGAAATCATCTTTGCTTAACAACAACAACAACAACAAAAATCCCACCATTATTCAACTGGGGTTCCCATCAGGCAGTCTGAAAGTTTGGGCAGGAATTAAATAAGACCTTTCCTTAACTTTCACTCTGCTCATTACTCCTTTTCTGTTTAATTGCCTCAGGAGAGAGATAATGTTACAAAAACAAAACAAAACAAAACAAAAAACAGAGAGCTCAAGAATAACAAAAATTAACTTTAAAATTCCAAGTTTTGTTTTGTAAGAACCCACATTCTTGTATTTCAAATTCTAAATCTTAAAGGTGTCTGGTATACGTTTTGTACCTTCAATGGTAGACAGGGAAGAATGGACTGTGGTCCAGGTTACTCGACCTATTATCTAGATAAAGACTCCCTGGGCTGGAAAGAAGAGGAGACAAATAGCAGACATGTAAAAAGGGACATGTTGATGGTTTATTATGAAGGGACAAGGGCATGTCTTCTCTCTGAGCTGCATCTCCAAGCCCAGTTCAGCAAGGAAGCAAGAGAAGAGTCCTTATATGCTTTGGGAAAAGACTAAAACAGTGGAGAGAAGGCTGGCAAACTCAATCACCCTTGAGCTTGGAAGGAAACAAATGAAGACCAGATGGGTTCACTAACATCTCAGTGGATGCCAGAGTGCCTCCCACCTGCCATGTGCCTTGTAAGCTCAATGAAAATTAGATAGAAACCTAGGGGATTATGGAGACAATGAATGGACTTTGCTAAAGTTTTCACCAACTGGTAGAAAGGGTGATCAAAACAGAAATGTGCGTACCATGTTAAAAGACAGACAGTTGTCTTATTTGCACACTAGAGTTCGTCAACCGGAGATTCATACCTTCACACACATCCTTATTTCTCTGTCTGATATGGTATAGCACACCCACAACAGACTGGCAAAGCCATGTCTTTAAGATGGAACTTGGATGCTCCTAAGAATTCCTTCGGCAAAAGCACCATTAGAAATCACCAGACTATGAGAAGGGTTCTAAATCAGACACCCACACCTAGTCTCCAAAGTAGATTTTTACAAAGTCTTTTTGACTTTGACTCTGACTCACAGAATGACATTCCTGCTTGTCATACTTATATTTGGGCATCTCTCATTGCAGTCCTCAACTATCTGTCATTGGCCCTGCCCGCAGTTCCATATAGGCCCCCGAACTCATTTTGGTATTCTGCCCAAATACACTCTTCTGGCATTTTGCAAGATTTGGCCTCATACATCTGTTTCTTCACTGAAAGCTTGAACCAGCCATGCCACTCTGCATAGCTGAGATAAGACAAGGACTGGATTTGGACAGCTAAAAAATTTCTAATCATCAAATGAGAAGAAAGACCAAAAGTTCCACAAATTTACAGTTACTTTGTTTTTCAGAGTCACCATTCAGCTTTATCATCTAATCACTTCTCTCTTCTGCATATGGCTCTCCTTCCTTTTAGGTTGCAAGACCTCTCTCCCACCAACAGCTATCATAGCACAGTCCTATTAGAGAGAAGGACACATGGACCTGGGGGCTGAGCATGAAGATAGAGGATCTCCTAGAAACACACACAATGAAAGTGAAAAGCAAGTCCACACTCTCTTCTACTGTTAACAAACCCGGGATACTTAACGATGCCGTGTCCCTTATCTTCATGCTTTTCCTTTACGCCTCTGGATAAGGAAAGATGGATACAAAGAGAATATCATCCTTGAACATCTGCTAAGTAGATAACTATGAATAATTCTGCTTAAAATAGGGATGAAAATATGAATTTAGATAAGGTGAAAAACAAAATCTGAGGGAATTTGAACATTCTTTGATAACCCTTAGATTATTTCTCTAAATTTCTTAATATGTTTTACAATTTATATACAGCTCTTTTAACCCCTAAAACTATGCAAATGGGTCATGAATTCATAGTGTTTTCTTCTCTGTGAGATACCTATTTGGGGAAAGTGTTTTCATTCATGAAGTTGCTACATACCAAGGGAAGAAGGGTAAGGAGATTCCTACCAATTATTGACTGTGGTGTTTCATACATACAGTGTCTCCTAATCCACAAACTGATGTGATAAGGCATATATTAAATCCACTATTTTTCATATGGGGAAAATGAGGAAGATGTTCACACAAGAGAACTAGGATCCGAATCCATGATGACCTGAGGATATGAAAGCAAACGTTTTTATTTCTTTTTCTTAATAGCTTTATTAAAGTATCTTTAACGTGCAATAAAACTGCACATGTTAAATGTATACAATTTGATATGTTTTATATATGCATATACCTGTGATACCATCACCACAATCAAGGTAGTAAATATATCCATCACCTCTAAAAGCTTCATTGTATTTCTTTGTATTTGTATGTGTGTGCGTGTGTGTGTGTGTGTGTGTGTGTGTGTGTGTGTGTAGCAAGATCCCCTAACCTGAGATCTAAACTCTAAACACATTTTTTTTTTTGAGATGAAGTCTCACTCTGTCACCAGGCTGGAGTGCAGTAGCGTGATCTCAGCTCACTGCAACCTCCACCTCCTGGGTTCAAGCGATTCTCTTGCCTCAGCCTCCTGAGTAGCTGGGACTACAGGCGCGCACCACCACGCCCAGCTAATTTTTATATTTTTAGTAGAGACAAGGTTTTACCATGTTGGTCAGGCTGGTCTCGATCTCTTGACCTCGTGATCTGCCCACCTCAGCCTCCCAAAGTGCTGGGATTACAGGCATCAGCCATGGCGCCCAGCCTCTGAACACATTTTTAAGTGCACATTACAGTTTTGTTACCTAAAAGCACTAAGTTGTACAAAACATCTCTAGAACTTTTTCTTCCCATATAATTGATGCTTTATACCCACTGAGCAATAAATTTCCCCTTTCTGCTCCCCCAAATCACCATTCTACTCTGCTTCTATTAGTCTGACTATTTTAGATACCTCATATAAGTGGAATCCTGCAGTTTCTGTCCTTCTGTGACTGTCTTATTTCACTTAGCATAATATCCTGCAGGTTCATCCATATTGTCACAAATGGTAGGACTTTCTTCTTTTGTATGACTGAATGATATCCCACGGCATGCATATACCACAGTTTCATTATTCTTCTTTTCATCCTATAGCACACCTAAACGACTTAGAGCGACTACAGGAACATTGGAGTCGTTCCCTAAACTTCCCATTCAGAAAAAATTGTAAGGAATTCACATTTGACCTATATGCTGGCATTACAAAAAAAACTGAGTCTGAGCTGCTCAGAGATTCTAAATAATCATTGTCATTTGAGCCTCGCATGCTAAGAAAGTCAGTAACTTGGGAAGAAAACACTCTGCCCCTTCCTGAATTCTGAGATAAAGAAGGCCCAATAAATAAGAATGAACTTTCCAAAAATATATAATTGCCCCTCAAGGAGAATTATTCAAAATTGAGATCATCTTATGTCTTTTACCTCTCCACGTCTTTGTGGTGCTATTCAAGCACCATGGACTACACATCTTACAAAGACATGGTAGGTAAGCTGAGAGTAGCCTAGACCTATCCAGGGTCAGTGAGAAGAACTGGCCAACAAACTTAAAAGCAAATACTTTAATACAGTCTTCGCCTTTTTATAAACCTGGAAATGCCTCTGATGTCTAAATCCCATGGCCTGGCACTGTTTCTACTATAGAATAGCACACTGGAAGGAAGAAAACCGAACAGGGTTGGATGAATCCATTCCAGGGATTCAAGTAAGTATTTTAGAGTTTCTGAAATGGGACACCGTAGTGGGTGGGATTTATTTCAAAGTAAGGAGGACAGCAAAGGTAAAGCACACATGCAACACAGATGGTGGCAGAGAGTCCTTTGTGACTGTTGGAAAAGCGCTGAAGTTTGCTCCTTGGTAACTTACAGTGCACTTTCCTGGCAGCTTGAAGAGGGAGGCAGAAATGTACCTAAACATTCTGGTAAGGGTTGCTGTTCACTTTTCCCCAGTATGCTCACCTTTAAAGTTATATTAATCCAGTAACTGTTCCTGTCTTTAGTGTACTCTTTCCTAACATGCACTTCTTATAAGATGCGGTTGGAGACAAAGAATAGGAAAAGGGCATGAAGCCCCAGAGTATGAACCCTGGGCTGTGGGCACACCTACTCACATCATGCACATGCTTCTGCAGGGAGAGTCCCTTTTGCTGCTAAGTCTTAGGGACCTATCTGTCCCTGATAGAGCACCACCAGAGAAAAGGAGAACCTCTGAATCTCTCAACAGATCACTGAATGTCCTTTCTTTGAAAACTTTGAGACAGATATCCTCCTGTTTTGCCAGGCGAAGCAGAAAAGAGCATTCTGTAAAGCTGAGAAAGCCACCAGCTTCATCAGGGTCGACTCCTGGTTATCTGTAATGCTGGTTGTGGGAGACACTGTTGTTGTCCCCGCTACATACTGTGAGCACTCACTATTCTCACGATCTCCACGTCTTCTTCTTAGAAGACCCTGGGATTCTGCTGAGGACTTTCTGCGGCCACTGGAGCATGCTTGGCCTCCTCTCTTGGCAGGTGGAAAGCACCTGAATATTATGCCCCTTAGAAGCAGGCTCCAACCAATGAGAGGGAGATGATAGATAAATAACCCAGTGAGCTGCCCCAGTGGGGCACAGCTCTGAGCCAGCCTATATGTAGTCTTCCAGAGATCCTCAACGGAACTGAGCCCCACCCGCCCATGGAGGTGACATTACCATTCACACACACTGTATTGCCTTCCACTTATTCACATCCGCACTCCTTACTGTAGTTTCCTGCATCACTTCACAAATAAATAGAATGCACTTAAATCCTTTTGTCATAATGAGTGTTTGGGAACAAAATCTAAGACACCAGGAGTTGGCACGAACGTGAACAACAAACTTTTAAAGCTATCTCCTGACCCAATCTACACCTGTATAGATTCAACAGTTCAAGAAGATTGTTACAAGGCTCTGGGTAAAAGTATTGAAGTAACATGGAATAATTTTGTATGTCATGTACGGGTAGACGAAGAGGCTGACCCAGCATTTCCAGGTTCCTGTCTACGGTTAAGCTTTGTACTTCCCTCAATGACTAATTTCAGAATTTTGTGCCTGACTCCTCTTCTTGCCTTGAGTCAGCATCCAGTAGTAACCTTGCTGTTCTTGACCCTAGCTGCCGTTTGTGGCTTCACATCTGTGAGCAAGGGCTGAATCTGATCATTTCTGGATTGATGGAAAGTGTGTGGGTGGGGAGGGCCAGAGATGTTCCTGAATGATTGCACAAAGCTAGCTGGTTCTAGAGACAGTGTGGATTAGACTGAGTATTTTTCCTTAAAGCATTTGAATCCACAGAAGCTAGAGGTCCCTCGAGGAGCATCAAGCCAGGAGGTTAGATAGATCTTCAAAGGGGACAATGATTCGTGGAATCACCAGCCAGGTTAACAGAAACAGGCTGATAGCAGAGTGGGAAATGGCTTGAGACAAATGATTCAGGAGTAAATCTCATAGGTGTTGGTGGCCATCCTTCTAAGGCTCTGTAGGGCAGAGAGTGAGTCTGAGAGGTTAGGAAGCCAAGTGGGATTTGGACACTTTCTGTTTCTTAAGAACAAACCCAACATTTTCTAGAGTCTAAGCATCAAGAGCTCCTGAGAGTACTTGAAAAATTTGTAAACACTGGTCCTAATCTTTGCTCAATAAGGGTCACAGACAAGAACTTAATGCTGCTTTTGAGTTTCAAGAACTCCTATTCCCTTTTTTTCTCCTTGTTTAGTGAGATGAAATGTACCAAATGGAGTCGAAAGGAGGAAAAAGGAAATAAGGTGCATGAAAATGCACAAGCTAAATTAAAATAATTGAATACTGACTACAAATGAGTAAAATAACCAAACTCAACATGACTCCAGATTTCTCATCTGAGACTCCCAAATACCAGAACAAATTTTAATTAGCACAGGATCACTATTCCTTTGAGCTTTAGGTAAATCCTGTTCTTTCTCTTTTCTATAATGAGGTGTGTGGCAGTTGAATGGCATGACCAAGGACAAGCAGTATGCAAATGTATGTAAATATGCTCCAAATCATGTAGAGCTGGCCAGGACCCATTATTTAGAAGAATTACCTGAAAATTAATGGTTCTTAACTTTTATGGGTTATGAGCCCTTTGTTAATGTGATGACACTTCTGTGAAATGTGTCAACATCTGAAGCATTTTTCCACATACTGGGAGGTTAACGGGCCTTCTAAGACTCACTCCCTGATCTCTGTTCCATAGATCCCAAGTTAAGAACTCTGATTTATGATTTGGGTATCACTAGGGGGTCTCTTCCTTGAGGAGAAGTCCTTTTGGAAGTAAATAGCCAGCTTTTGCCTCAGACTGGCTATGAAACCCATTGAACTGGGTCTTCATACGAGAAAAATACAATTTTAAAGGAGACCTAACCTACTGAATGAGACCCAACTTCCTCATTCAATAATTCATTTTTGAATTATTTTTTGTCATAATCTCAAAATATGGCCTTTGTCATAATCCCAAAATTTTAACCCCAAGTAAACACATAAAGGAAAAGTAACCTTTAAAAAAATGCTTATTGACAAGACAGACAAATATGCAATAGTTAACAGCCAACCAAAGGGTCTTCCTGTCTTTTAATAAACATGGCACCAACCACAACTGCTAACAAAGATGTGATGTCATTCGAGTGTAGTAGTCCCTTAGTAAACATCTGCTTAGAAAATAGATCCTCTCTGCTTGTACCAGCTTATCATGATAACGCAGTGGTTCCACGGTTCCTACCTAGGAGTCAATACGTTGTCCAATTCTGACAGCTAAAAGCCTGGTAGTGGGTTGCCATAAAGCCAAAATCCATCATCAGTAGATAGGCAGAGACATACATTAGAAATAAAAAATCTACACTTTGTGTAGTCTCCATTTAGAAAATCAAATTCCATAGCCACATTGTTGGCACTTTTCCCAAAAGCACAAATATATTTTTTTCTATTTGTAAATGTCTCTGTTAATTATAAAAACACAAAATCCCACACTGAATTAGAGGCCGAATATGAGAAAATGTGCTGAACCAACTATCTCCCAAGGTCACTGATGGAAATAAATGGGTCTAAATAAACTAATACTAAGTAAGAGTTTTCCATTTATTTCTCCTTGATTACAACGTGGAATTAGCAATGTTGCAAAAAAGACTAAACTGATGTGTTTACCCTGATGGTATCTCCTTAACGATGAGCTGCTTCTAGAAGCTGATGAGCTTTCAAAGCAGACTGCTGAGTATGTCTAGAAATTAGGGTTAAAAGCCCATCTTACGGTAAATTACTCTAGACTCTAATTTGGCAAGAGGAAGTGATTTGTAGTCCAAGTGGGGATTGGGTGCCAAGCTCTTAATTTGGGCTGTATACAATATTTCAAGACCAACTTTCATGAGTATCAATTGACACATGAATTATGTACAAGGAACTGAACTGTACAACAAAAAATAACATGTATTAGACTTTTCTTTGATCACTATCTAACGTCACCCCCTTACAAACATCATGGCGGAGAGCTCGGTGCTTTTGAACACGCTGAAGGCATTTTAGGGGGATATATAATTGACTTCTCCAGTATCTTCATGTTTATCTATCATTCTCAGAGACAAATTGCTGGGTTTGAATAGTCCTAAGAGGTACAAAATTTAGTGATTAAACAAGGACTCTGGTGATAGACTGCCCAGGTTGGAATCCTACCTCTGTCAGGTCCTAAATAACTCTGCTTCCTTGGGCACCTTTCTGGGCCTCAGTTTCTTTATCTGCAAAGTGAGAATCAAACCTGTGCTCACTTCCAAGGGTTCCTGTTATTATTAAATAAGATATCCATTTAAGCACTCAACACAGAACCCAGAACCTGCAAATATTCAAGATCCCTTGCTGGGATCTTGCAATCGTCTTAACGGAGCAAAGACACCAACCCCCAGCTCTACCTGGGGCATGTGTTTCCCAGTACAGCCTCACTCAGCTCCCCAAACCCAAACAGGCTAGCCTATGGCACTTATTCACAGTAACTACCCAGCTCCTATGGACATTTGTGCTTGTAACCCCTATCCTAGAATGGGGAAGTGTCTTCCAAAAACAGCCCTGAGTAATTAGACATTGCCCAGGCCACATTAAGACAGTTAACCTGTATTTACGGCTCACCCTACTATCATCCCTTCAGCCTCACACACCAATTCTCTTAGAAATGATGGTTGGAGAGTAATAACCAGAAGTCTAATCACACCATCACATTTCAAGAAACCCTGTATTGAAAGCAGAACTACAAATTTAAGAAACAGTCTAGGGGAAAAAAGAAAGCTTTCATCTGGTGCATGAATATTTTAGGTAGTGTGGAAAGAGCTCTGAAATCAGACAGACCTGAGTTCTAATATTAGCTTACTGAGTGTGCGGCTCCTACGAAAATGCTTAACTGCTTTGATGTACTTGTTTTCTAGATTTGTAAACTGGAGAGGATGATATCCACTGCAAGCGGTCATTTTTCTGATTAAATGAGACGGTGTTTCAAGAGCAACCTGGTTTCCGGTAGACAGCTAATAAATGCCAGCCTCTTTTCTTTCATATCCAATTCAGACACTGCATCTGCAATTGATTTTACCTTTAGTTTAGTCATCAAAGTTTTCTCACCCCAGAGCAACCTGGGGTAGAAAGTGTCTCTTTACTTTGTGATGGCTCAATGACATCTTAAATCTGGATCCATCGTGGTGACAGGAGAGACCACTACACACATGAACTTTGAAAGCACAAACCAGTAGTAAGGACATATTGCAAAGGTCTTCTGAGAAGGCTGTGGTGTCTTTCTGTCTTATTAAGCATCAGATCTAAAGAAATCCTATTACAGGGGGAAAAGTATGTACACATACACATGTATACACACACACACACACACACACACACACACACACGGCCCTAAAGTCATACATGGGCCCTTGTAAACCTTAGCATTGTTCACTGAATTCTATCCCAAATAACAGACATACCTTAAGCACTGAATAAAATTAGTATATGAGCCTGAATCTAAATTTTTTTTTCCTAAACAGGTAAATGAGAATCAACATGTGTTTGCATGGAGTGGAGGAAGTCTCTTTGTTTTCTAGTTAAATAGCAGTCTTGACATGGTATGGTAACTAGATGTAATTTCTTGAGCTAACTCAGATCATTGAAAGATCAGATAAGTGCCAAAAGTGATGTGATGAGAAGCTTGCTGGGGTCTTGAGGAAGGCAGTGATGAATTAGCAAAGTCTGCACTTGGAATGGGTAAAGGTCTGGCGGCAGCTCGAGTCCTTTGGTCCAGGGCTCTGCACTAATGATGCATGGTGGCGATGCTCTTTCTGCAGCTACCGTAGTACTTGCTCTGTATTTATTCTTGACTGACCACTGTACTGTTGAACCACATACCATATGAGGCTCCAAGAGCTGGGTTATAGCAAATCACACTGGTAACACACAGTGTACAGCAAACCGTATTCAGAAGCAACTGAAAAGTCACCATTCCTCCCCACACTGAAAGAGTGACGTATAGGAAAAACTATTGAACATTATTATAAAAACTAGAACCTCATTTCATCTAGACTTTGCTCAGCTTTGAGGTCAAATTTTAGAATGATGAGGAATAACTCATGACAAGTACATAGTCATGGAAGAATCGTATGCAATGTATACTGTGTCAGGCTGGTTTGGCAGAAGAAAAAGTTGATAGGATCCTGCCTCCAATGGGCATTCAGTCTAGTTGTAAGGAGCAAACTTACCCATGTAATCTGAGCAGAGTCAATAGTCTCCCAGTACACATAGGTCCACAGGTGCAGCCGTTGGAGAAACACTGAAATACACTGTGGCCCTACGTAAAGAGCTGCTGCTCCAAGCTCTCTGAATTCCCCTGTCTTAAAGCCTTCCTCTGGGATCTCCCATAACTTCCTTATAATTCGTCAACTAAAAGGTCATTATTTGTCACAGCAAAGAAGCTCCAAGAATCCATCTTGGGTGGCCACTAGGGCCAGTGTCCATTCTGATTGAGCGAGGCATTACACATATGGAATATCACCCTTGGAATCAAGTGTGGAACACCCATAAGCCAAAGTATCATGAATGGATCTGAAGGTCAAAGGTATGAAATAAAAAGACACCTCCTGGGAAGACTCAACAGAAAAACTGTGCCCTTTAGAATGTAAATTCCACGATGGTGGGGTCCACCCTGTCCTCCTTCACTGTTGAAATCACAGCTCCTAGAGTGCATGGCCCAGAACAGGAATTCAGTATCTGGTAGTTCCATAAAATAATGAATAATCGGGGCTATTTAGGGAATGTACCCTGGGGAGATGTTGAAGGTGGTTCTAAATGGAAGAGAAGAGCGAGATTGGAAAGATGATTCTAGGTAAGGCTTGATGTTTCCCAGGTACCCCATACTCCCTCCATACATCCATAGGGGTCAGTAGAGACTAATGGCAAAGAACCAGTTTCTGGCTAGAGTCCTGTCAATTGAGTTCACCCAGCTTTGCAATTTACTGGCTGTATTACCCACGAGGCTGCCTAGAACCTTGGTTTCCTCCTTTAACACAGAGACCTTATCACCTGCTTCTCCAGGAGAGGCACAGGAACCTGACATGAACCAGTAAGTGCCAATAGGGCAAGGGACTCATCTGTTGGGTCCATTAGTTTGTATCCCAGGCCCAAAAGCATTCTTGAAAAAACATTAGAAGATCAATAAATGTTTGTTGAATGAAAAAAAAAAAAAAAAAGAATGAAGGGTGGCCTTTTTTTCCACTGTGTTAAGCGAATAGAGACAGAGTCTTTGTGGGGTCCCACAATGCCTATGAGAGATGGAGATGCAGGGATTGAGGGCACTTTTCCAGACTGAGCCTGGCAGCTCATCAGGACCCAAGACAAACTGGCAAAGAAGGGTCACTGCACCACTACAGCCATTGTTTTCTTCCTGGTGGACGTCCAGAGCTCAGAAGTGAGCTGGATTAGGAACTGGGTCAATAGGGTGGTTAAGAGTGGAGGGTCTACAGATAAATGCAGGTCTCTGTCCCCCTACTTAACAACTGTAGGACCTTGGGTGAGGTGTGTAAGCTTCTCCTTAAACCTTCATTTTGTAGTCTGTAAAATGGGGATAATATAGTATGTAATTCATAGGGTTGACTGAGCATTCCATAAAATAATGTGGGACAGGTGGCCAGGGCATGGTAACGAGCCTTGAAAAATGTTAGTTGTCACTGTTACATAAGGATGACAATTTGAGGTTCCCCGACCCCTCCGGGCCCAGGTTGATGCATTGGCTGACTGCCTTTTGAAGCTTCTCACCTTGCTGTGCCTCTCCTTTGTTTAGGTTGCTAAGATGCAGAATGTGGTCTCTGTATTAACTCACACAGGTGGTCCACTGAGGCTGAGTTTACTCAGCACCCTTGATTTCCAGTCCCCTGGGACAACTGTCCATGTCCATTGGAAAATTATTCATTCCAATAGACATGGACAATTGTCCATGACTAGAACTCTCAGACCAGAGCTAAAACTTCCATGCCAACACCTGGATTAGCCAACTGCAGAAAGATGGACTCCTTCCCACACTATCTGGTGAAGGAATGTGTGAGCCAGTTGGAGATGAGTATGGGAAGCAAACATCATGAATGAGACTATGAGGCAAAGGAGGGAAGGTATCATTTCTTCAACTCTGAAGCCAGGGCCTGCTTCTCTTCAGAATCTCTCAGGACTGGGAGGATGCAGCATAATGGTTTTCGTAGACCAACCCACAGCCATTTCTTTAAGTCCTGAATCTTGGAAACAAGTTGCTTTTGTGCCAGTGAGGGAGGTAAAAGGGGTTTATATGTTCTGTGAGAGGAATTCAGGCAGAAGAATCAGCCTCCAAGGAACCAAAGTAGGAAAAACTGGTTTAAATTATTCTACAACTTCTGAGATAAAACATTATAACAGCTCAAACTGAAAACCATAGTTTTTGAAATATTAAGGCTGAAGGGGTATTATATTTATAGGGTGTTTGGCTAAGGCATGGCAACATAACTATTCATTTCAGTCAAAGAGAAATTAAGCTTCTGTTTGAGAAAATGAGATTGGATTCCGTTGTCGTCAAATATTTTCTAAATTAACCAAATGTGCGGGGTATTACATGGGTCAAACATGAAACTATTAAACCGCTCTTTTATGTTATTTATCAGCTATTCCTAGCCGTTGGTCTCTGAAGGGAAATATTTTAAATGATTCTCTACTCCACCCCTAGATTTCCCTCTCAAGGGAGAAAAAAAACAAAAGAAAAGAAAAGAAAAAAAAATTCCTTTCTGATGTTCAGATGATTTAAACCTGATTTAAAGTGTTCTTAAGACCAACAAAGATGATTATTTTGCAGAGCTGGCGAGTTTGTAGAGAGGATTTAAACCAGGGGTTTTCAAATTTTTGGCTTCCCTGGGCCACAGTGGAAGAAGAAGAATGATCTTTGGCAACACATAAAATAACACTAACGACAGCTGATGAACTAAAAAAAAAAAGAAAAGAAAAGAAAAAAAATTGCAAAAAAATTTCATAACCTTTTAAGAAACTTTACGAACTTGTGTTGGGCCTCATTCAAAGTCATCCTCCCTCAGCAGCATGTGACCCACGGGCCTCGGATTGGACAAGCTTGGTTATACCCCAGTTCCCTTTCTGCTTTCCTCCAGCAGGGAGGCTCTTCTTGGTGGGGCTTGTAGCAGATAATTGCATCCAGGCTATTTCCACCCAGTAAAAGCCTGGCCTTTCCTGATCCACTGTCTCACTTACTTAAATCCACTCCTACTGCCCCAGCCTGTCCCATATTTTTCTAACTGCAAGGGGAAAATTCTGAGACTCCCATCTTCCTGCTTCAAGTGTTGCACCTGAGATGCAGTCATCTCTAAGCCTTCTAATCTGTTTTCCTCTGAGGCCATTCACCTCATTCAGAGCTTGGGGAGCGCCCTGTTGATTGCAAGCATCTCGAGCAGCACAGTCATCTACATCACAGACAAGAGGAAGGAGGCTGCGGAGAATAAAATGAGTGATACCAGGGTTTGCTCTGTTACTATATCGGGCATAAAAATACTTTCAGGGTTTTGAGTTTTAAATGATGCGGCCCAGCAGGGGTTCACCAAGCACACGGCAGACTGACATGGAAATGAGAATAACCATTCAGGAGAACGGTCTTTGAAACTTGAGGTACCGAACTCAATCGGATAATGAAACACTGGGAACTCCACAGGGTATTTTTTCACCTCTATAAAGAACATTCAATTAAATGCTTTTTCATTTGGACAGGAGGGGTGGAGTGATTTTTTTTTTCCCTCCCTTTTCCACAGAAAGTATCTTCTTGGCTCCTGGCCCGAACTTTTCTTTTCCCCTTTGCTACTGCTTTTTATTGCCTTTTCTCCCCATCTCGCTCAGATCCACAATGTCTGCACACCTTGTCTTCTCACAGGTTGATTGAAATTCCCCATGCTGCCCTTGCAAATGCTCATTACTAACAGGCGACACAATGGCTTCACTGGGTGATGCACTGATGCCGCTTCCAGAGGCTTCTGGTGCCTCCATTTCATGGGCCACTTGTTTAGTCGCCCCTGAAATGCCTTAGTGCTATGAGGGCTGCATTTAACTTAGCCATCTGTGAATAACTCCATCAGGGGCAGACTGCTGCCCAAAGTCAAGTCTGCTTCTGCTTCCTGGCCAGAACGTCACCCCATCCCAGGCGGGCAAGCAAGAATTATTTCCTCGCATAACAGTCCAATGCTGTCGTCCCTCCAAGCCCATGGGTGCCTTTGGGAGAGTGCCAGGCATTTCATGTGGACTTTCTTACAAATCAATTAGCGCTTGGCACTTTGTAGTCTGGAATGATGTCACGCAGCCTGGATGCAGTTGGGCATTGGGTGATGATTTCCAAATAAACAGTCATTCAACTAGCAGAGGTATACATTTCTATTTTGGAGTGTGACAAGATAAGAGGAACACAAGAAATAAATAAAGGCCTTCTGAGTACAGAGCCATGTACCGAATTCAGCTCAATTCACCCTGAATGAAGGTCCACCTGCCACCAGGCTTTGTCCTCAGAGTTGGGGATGCAGTGGCATATGACACTTGCCTTCTATCTAGGGGGCCTTATAGTCTAGAGGGGCAACTAAACCTGGGGTCAATGACTTGGAGAGAACTTATAAATGGTCCTCAGGGAGTCCAGAACCCCCAGAATTGTACTGAATTGTGTATTGGGACTTGCACACATGCAGATACATATTTCTGGGTAATGAATTGATCTTTTTTTTATCAGATGCTAAGAGGGATATATGACGCCCCACACACACACCCACGCACAAATATCAAATAGTAGGCTAGTGTGTTTTTTACCTTGTATTTTCCAAGCAAGCGAGAAAGGGTGCTAAATGATTGAATGAGTAAGTGATGACTTCCATACTGGGAAAGGCAGACAGTTCAGCCCACGCGGCAGGAATCCCGGGATGCCAGGACAGCAAGGTGGTAGAATCATCTCTTATCTGGAATTGTGAGTCTATGAAGTCAAGGAACCGGGGATGGCTCAGAGATGGATGGTTTATGTGAAGGAAGGTGCCATATTCTATGGGCTAGAAGCCAGTCACAGATCCGTCCCACACTCAAAAGGAGGGGACAGCAGCGGGTGCCAAAAACCATGAAAGCCTTTGTGTCCCCACCCAAATCTCATCTTGAATTGTAATCCCCATGATACGGGCGGGTCTTTGTTCTTAGAGCTCCCAAGATGGGGCGGGCCGCTCCCAAGATGGCAGCAAGCCTTTTGTTCTCTGACCTGGGGATCTTGGCCTCATGAATTCCAGGGAATGGAACCTTGGCACATGCAGTGAGTGTTATAGCTCTATTAGAAGCCGTGGGTCACAGAAGAAAACCACGGAGCCCAGCAACTAGTGTTCAGCCCAGTTAGGACGAACCCAGGCACTTAGCCTTGCGGGAACAATGGCAAGCCTTTAGCCCAGTCGGGAGTGGCAATGGGAGCCTCGCTGGATCAGGAGCACAGTGGACACCCTGCTGGATCCAGAGGGGTGGAAGTCAGCCACGGGTCTGCGACGGCAGCAAACAACAGTGGTGGATGGTGAGCGAAAGCTCAGCTCAAGCCCTAACAAGCACAGACCAGAAGAGTGTTCACTTGCAAGATTTAACAGAGTGAAAACAGAGCTCCCATACAATGGGAGGGGACCCAAAGGGGGTTACCACACCCTGCTCGAATGCCTGGGTTTATATCCCGATCATTGTCGCTCCCCCTGTGTTCTCAGGCGATATATGATTTGACTACTTCTTTACCTCCTGCTTTAGCCTAATTTGTATTTTAGTGAACCCTCTTTACAACCTGATTTGTTGGGTGTGAGCTGAGTTACAAGCCCCGTGTTTAAAAGTGGGTGTGGTCACCTTCCCCAGCTAGGCTTAGGAATTTTTTTTTTTTTTTTTTTTTTGGAGACGGAGTCTCGCTTTGTCGCCCAGGCTGGAGTGCAGTGGCGTGATCTCTGCTCACGGCAAGCTCCGCCTCCCGGGTTCATGCCATTCTCCTGCCTCAGCCTCCCGAGTAGCTGGAACTGCAGGCACCTGCCACCACGCCCAGCTAATATTTAGTATTTTTAGTAAAGACGGAATTTCACTGTGTTAGCCAGGATGGTCTCGATCTCCTGACCTCGTGATCTGCCCGCCTCGGCCTCCCAAAGTGCTGGGATTACAGGCGTGAGCCACCAGGCACAGCTGGCTTAGGAATTCTTAGTTGGCCTAGGAAATCCAGCTAGTCCTGTCTCTCACCCACAATCCACATATGTCAAGGGAGAGACCAGGTGGAGTTAATTGAATCATGGGGGCAGTTTTCCCCATGCTGTTCTCATGGTAGTGAGTGAGTTCTCACAAGATCTGATGGTTTTATAAGGGACTCCTCCCTCTTCCCTTGGCACTCTCCTTCCTGCTGCCTGGTAAACAATCATGGCTGCCTTCTGCCACTGCTATGATTGTAAGTTTCCTGAGGCCTTCCCAGCCATGGTGAACTGTGAGTCAATTAAACCTCTTTCCTTTATAAATTACCTAGTCTCCGGTATTTCCTTAAAGCAACGTGAGAAGGGACTAATACACTACCCTACTATGGGACGCAGGATATGCTTTATTTTCACTTGACCAAATAATTTTTTTGTATGTCTATTAATATGCCTTGAAGCCCAAATTGAGAAATGTTTATCTAAAGTAATCAGCATAATTAGCAATTTTTCTGTTTTTCTTTTTTGAGACAGAGTCTCACTCTGTCACCCAGGCTGGAGTGCAGTGGTGCGATCTTGGCTCACTGCAACCTCTGCCTCCCGGGTTCACGCAATTCTCCTGCCTCAACCTCCTGAGTAGTTAGGATTACAGGTGCACACCACCATGCCCAGCTAATTTTTGTGTTTTTAGTAGAGATGGGGTTTCACCCTGCTGATCAGGCTGGTCTTGAACTCCTAACCTCATGATCTGCCTGCCTCGGCCTCCCAAAGGGCTGGGATTATAGGTATGAGATACCGCGCCTGGCCTATAATTAGAAATTTTGTAAGGTACGTGTGTGTGTTGCGAGGGGGGGTGTAGGCATGTGTGTGTAAAGTAATTCTAAGCTCCACTGATCAGCACCCCCCTATAGCACCAGAATATCTAGGTAAGAAGAAGTCCTTCATGTCATAGTGAGCAGAAGCTAAAGAAGAAATCTCGCCAATAGACAGAGATGGGGGCTGGTCTGAGAAAGATGTCAGGATTGTAGAACACCTACTAATTGCCTCACCACCCTGATTCTTCCTCCGCAGGAGCGTGCCCACAATGCCTGTCCAGTGAGGAGATGCTCTGTGGACAGGCTGGTCAGTCATAGAAACTGCTATTGGGACCTGAGACATGAAGGCTCTCAAAATCTGAACACAGGACCTAGGAACTCTTGGAGCAAGAAGAAATTATTCAGACCTGTGGACTTCACACTGTGTAAAAATAGCAGCACAGCCCTGTTTATGAAATAAGCAATTGCTTGACACTCCCTTGATTAAAACAAAACAAAAAAGTAGGTTGCTCTTGTAGAAACAGGTGTGTCCTGCCCAATGGACCTCCCATTTGTTTCTATCCTTGTGCAGCCCAGAATGGCCTTTGAAAATATTTCTCTTGCTCAGCTCCCTCATTATAAAACTGGAAAACAATTGAATCCCTGAATGGCGAAGTGTCGTTTCAAAGCCACACCACTAAGTCTAGACAGTTGTTCTTGTCATCGCCTTGATGTGATTCAGAGTGACCATCAAAGGTGAGCTGTGTATCATCAAAGGTGAGATATAAAGAGCATATATCAGCCTCTTTATATCTCTCAGAAGACCCTCCCTTCATGAGTTCACAATCACTGTTTTTAACTCCGAGCTTAAGGAATCAGACTGAATTAGTTCTTTGTGTAATTAACCTGAGGAACACCTACTCTTCGTGACTTCTCTAGTTTCTGTGATCAACCCAACCACACAGAGACTGGATGACCAAGAATGGCCCTTCAACCCCTCCAGGGCACCTTAAGGGTAGGATGGGGTGGGGTGTGAAATTCCAAGACAAATGGAAAAAGGTGAAAATTGCCTTATCAGCTGGAAAGTAACTCAAGCTCCTTATCTTTATGGTATAACAAGAAACAATCAGAGCAACCTCCTTTGCAACCCAGAGGTGAGTCCAAAAAGGAAACATACAATTGACTAACGGCCTAGTAGGGGATTCAGCCCGGAAGCTCACCTCTACCTGTGCCCAAGTCCTGCTCAGTTTCTTTTAAATGTCTTCCTACAAAAGTTGATCCAAAGGCTTAATGAACCAAAAGGCATTAAGAGTCATGCATGTCAATTATGCTACCCATTCCTGCTTCTTTAATTGGATGCAAATAACATCACCTGGGCTCCACATCCCAGGATCTGTCCGGCTCTTTGTCATGTGGCACTCTAAGCACCTTGTTCCAAAGATCCTGGCAGGAGAGGAAGACATTAACTGTGAGATCTGCTGGCTTCTGCCAAATTCACAAATGCTGGCTGTTAGGCCTATAGATAGAACGAGGGGTAATTTCATACAAATGCTCTGTGCTATTCCCTGAGCTCCAAGATTAGAGTTGTCAGAAAATGTAAGTGTTCCTCCGGTTAATAACACAAAGAACTAATTCAGTCTGATTCCCTAAGCTGAGAGTTAAAGACCAGCAGTGGTGAACTCATGGAGGGAGGGTCTTCTGAGAGTGACGCTGGAAAATGCCCAACATGTGCCAAGGCCATGATACCTGTTAAGAGTCACGTGGACCACATCAGGGCGGTCGTCCAGGAGGCCTGCATGGCTCTTGGGACTCAGCCATCTCCTGGGCACCTGCTGGAGGTACAGGCAGATGTAATGGGTAGTAACGAGCTTATGTGGCTACGTGGAGAACCATCCCAACCATCCCATGTCAAGTCAAGGCTGCTGGATTTGAGAACAAAATATACAACGCCTGTGCAGAGGACCATCCTCACTTTGTTTTTTTCCTCTCTCTCTAGGAAGGAGACACTTTGGTTCCTAGATGCATTCCTACTAGTTTCTTGGACACACATTTCATGTTTATGTGGCAAATTATATTTGGTTATAGCCTCCAGAGAGCACTGACTTATTATTCCAACAGGGCACTTCTTGAAGATGATTTTAAATCTTATGAATGGTGTGTAGCATGGAATGCTTCAGGACAGAAGGGAGGACACAGTGACACCATCCTCTTACTTACTGTATCGTAGGTACAGCCCAGGAGTTGTGAGTCAGCCTTTGGATTTTCAGATTATTATTTTCAAACTCTCCGGAAAGATGTATGATGGCTTTTGAGATCACACACACACTTCCTCCCTTCACCCCCCTCCATACAGTCCGTGGAATACAACTTAATTCGTAACTTTTCTAGAGAAAAAACAAACAAAATTGTTATTAAAATCAAGAGCATGATTAATGAGCCTAATTTGGGATTGAGTCCAGCCTTTTCCCACTGGTTGTGAAACCCTGTGAAAGCCCATTCACCTCTCTGGGCAACCTAGGTCCCACCTGTCCATTTAGGACAATAATAATTCTACTTCATAGGCTAATTCTGAAGTGAGGTGATGCATATGTCTAGCATACAATAAATGCTCGATAAATTGTACTTACACTATTTTTCATGGATTTCTGATTAAAGCCCCCCAATGCAGCATTTTTTTGCACACAGTAAACACTCAGAATTTCTCTACTATCTGGTATCAGTCCACCGACATCTGCCTTCTGTGACGGAAATTTCTTCCAAATAATGAAATGAGTCAAATGGGACAAGTTTTCTGTTTACCCCCCAGGACATATGTGCTGCTGTTTGAGATACTGTTTATTTTGTTAGGGAAAGTTGTTTGTTTTTTGACAGTATAATACAAACCAGTAGATTGGCCATGCTCAGCTGTATACATGGACATGGTGAAGAAGTCAAATCAATTATTTAAAAAGTTTAGAGCATCTGTTCTCAGGAGAATTCCACCTACAGATACTCACCTTGCCTAGCCTGAGACCAGCCCCAATGGAAAACAGTCTTACATAATAAGACCATGGACTCATTTTGTCTTATGAGATAAAATAGTATTTTATAGGTGAATTATATGTTACTTTAGGAAGCTATCCATTTCAAATAAGTAGAGCCAAGACTCACTGGAAATTGTGAATCCTCAGATGGTTCATACTCCTGTTAATTTAGAAGCGTTTGAAGCCATGCACAAGTAGAGGATGCTTCCTTGCTAAGCAGTCATGACCCTTGTCCAATACCCTTAAAAACAACTGTTTTCTATGTGGCACATACACACCATGGAATACTATGCAGCCATAGAAAAGGATGAGTTCATGACCTTTGTAGGGACATGAATGAAGCTGGAAACCATCATTCTGAGCAAACGATTGCAAGGACAGAAAACCAAACACCGCATGTTCTCACTCATAGGTGGGAATTGAACAATGAGAACGCTTGGACACAGGGTGGGGAACATCACACACTGGGCCCTGTTGTGGGGTGGGGGGAGGGGGAGGGATAGCATTAGGAGATATACCTAATGTAAATGATGAGGTAACGGGTGCAGCACACCAACATGGCACATGTATACATACATAAAAAACCTGCACATTGTGCACATGTACCCTAGAACTTAAAGTATAATAAAACACACACACACACACACAAAAGAAGAAGAAAAACCAAAAAGGCATAGATGAGACTATGGAAAAAAAAAAAAAAAAAAAACTGTTTTCTGATTTGGAGGATCAAAGGATCATTGCAAGTAAGCCCTCTGGCATAGACACTTTTGGAAGTGATTTTACACGTTTTCATTGGGATAGTGTCCATTTTGTCCCATAAATTATCCTGAAATATCTATGATGGTTTTAAGATTTAAAAAAAAAATCAAACCTTAACTGTAAGATATGACTTCTAAATTTCTTTTCAAAGAATATGTCAGTATGTGCAATTCTTTGCCTTCTACTTCTAAACTTAACTTCCTCGTAAAGCAACCGTTTTCCATTACCTACTCCACCCTGACTCATTCTGATCACCTGCTCCACCCTAACTCATTCTGATCACTTGCTCACCCTAACTCATTCAGATTACTTGCTACCTGCTCTGCCTTGACTCCTGCCAAAGCACTCACTCCATCATTCTCTTTAAATTTGCCAGTCGGAATTAGTTTAGCCTGTGTGGTCTAACCCTAGCCAACAGGGGAACCACACAGTAGCAGGGGCCACGTGCATCAGGGATAAGAACCCCTTCCCCTCTCTTGTCCAAATGTGGGCTCACCATAGTTCCATCTGTAAGGGTGCACCCTTCTATATAGAAGTAACTTGCCTTGCTGAGAATTAAAAATAAAATTTTATATTCGACTGCTATTTCTTTTGCGGTACCGCGACTTTATATATAACAATAACCTTCTCCCTCCAGCCCCTTCCATGCAGTTACTGGAATACACTTTGATTCCTAAGTTTTCTAAAAGAAAGGAAAGAAATTGTCCTCAATTAGGAATCCATGGGTGGTTTTACTGATTATCAAATCTCTAGAATGGAATACAAGATTGTAGACAGACAAATCTTGAGCCAGATGGTATATGTTATTAAAATCAAGTGCATGATTAATTAGTCATTTACTTGGAGTGATTTATCTTGTACCTCTCTCCACCGGCATTAGAACTGCCTGCTGCGGACATCAGGTGTGCTGCTCTATTATGCATACTAATCAAAGTCCGCAGAAGTGCACATTGAGGGTGAATTTGAGCTCCACTGAACATCCATTTTAAAGAGCTGCATTTTATTAAATAGGCCTGAAGTCAAGAAGGCCATAAAACTGCAGAGGAAAAGGATAAACCAGTTATGGCTTAGTTGTCTCTCTTTCAAATGAGCCAAGTGCCAAGCCTGCATACCTGGGACTGGTGGGCAGCCTTTCCAACCCATGTTAGACATTTAGACATAAGAGAGTCTCATGTCTTCCCCTTCCTATTTCAACAATCTATCTTATGTCTCTCCGTTTCAACTGCCAGCCCCGAACGCAAGCCCCCGTCTCTCCCCTGAAAGACTGCAGTACCCTCCCTCCTTCAGACTTCATCAGGCAGAGCAGATTTTTGACAAGCACAGCTGATCATGCTACATTCTTTCTTACACCCATGAGCGGGCCCCCACTACTGCTAAGGAGTAGCCCTAACTGTCTGAGTCCAGGAAGATGACTTCCATCTCAGCCCGGAGCAGCTCTTCTGTCTCATTTCAAGGCGCTCTCTGGCCTCTTCAATGTGCATCAGCCTCGCTGCCCTTTGGAGGAAGGGTCTAAAATGTTTGAAATTATTTTCTGCCTAAGGACTTTTCAGCTGCTGGTCCCACTTCCTAAAATGCCACCCTGCTGTGCATCTGCCTGGTTAAGTCTGTTTTGCTTTCTTTTTGCCAGTTTGAATGTCACTGTTTCCCAGAAACCTCCTCTACTTCCCCTTCACCTCACCATAGAGAGAGTTACCAGCTCTCATGGTGCCCTGAAGTTTTCCCCTATGACCCTTATCCAAAGTGTAATTAATTAATTTTATAAAGAGGTATTAATTCTTCTTCTTCCCTCACTAGGTTCTAACCATGTGTGGGCAAGGACCGTGGGTATTCTGTGGACAGCTGTATCCTCAGCTCCTAGGACAATGTAGGGCACATAGCAGGCCCTCAATAAATGACAAGGATAAACCCTGAAAGCAGGGTGTGGGGGAGAGCATTCGCTGTCCCTTCTTCCTGTACACACACAGCTGGACCACATTTCCTCATTGCCCTTGCTGGTAGGTGTGGTCATTTGACCAAGTGATGGGGACAATGTCTGCCACTTCCAGGCACAGTCCATAAGAACCTCTCCCACATGCTGCGCCGTGATACTTCTGCATTCTGGCCGACAGGGATGTCAACGTCTAAGGTCACTTTGAAGACCAGATGTTGAAAATGGCAGGGTCACCCATCAGCCTGAGTTTCTGAGCAGCTTCATAGAAGAAACACCCACTAGAGCTGTTGGGTAAGCAGGATAAGAACATCTGTTCTGTTAAACCACCGAAATTTGGGGGTGGATTTCTTTTACTGCAACTTGGCCCATCTGAACTAATACATTTGCATTCAAAACAAGCACTGGGCAAGAGTGAAAAAGGATAATTGCCCAGCCACACACACCTCCAGGAACATGTAGAGCCTGCGGAGGTAGAAGAAAAAAACAAATTGAATTTCTAACATTAAGTATTGTGAAGACATTAGTATTTTTTTCTTTTTCTAATTATATCCGTTTCTTTCTTTCCCTCCACTAACTCCATCTCCAAATCTCCAAAAATTATGCAGAGAGCCTGATTACCAGTATTCCCTTGTCAGAAGCCTGCCGCTGCCTCTGTTCTTTCTCTGTCCTTACATACTGCCCTAGTAATTCTACATCAAATCCTAGGTGTGGAGAAGCCCTTGCCTCGGAAGGGAGGACTTCCCAAAGCAATACATATGTAGCCGAGAAGTCCTCTCACTGAAATTAGAATCTCATTGAACAAGCAACTCCATTTAGTTCCGTGAAGAACTTACTTTGGCTCCAAGACAGCTCAGGGAGGAAAAGAATCACTGCACACATTTTTCAAAGGAGTAAGAAGTTTTTCTCTACATCCTCAGGGCTGCTGTCACTAATCTCAGGACTGGGACCCCACCTCCTGGGGCTCACCTCTCTGTGTCCTTGCAGCCCAATCTCTTTAATTCAAGCTGAGTGGAAGGCAGGCTCACGCAGCTCTGCAAGCTTCTGCTGAACAGGTTAATCTAGCTGAGTTAATGATGATGCAGCCACTTCCATCATCGCAGAAAGCCTGATCAGTTGGCTGGTTGGAGCTTTGTGGCCAGGGACCCCTCCCCTCCCTGCTAGCCTTGCTTGGGCTATGGAAAACTCTGCATTTATTAGGAGCACCTGTTCACGGAGCTTTGCGGTCTTTGGCCCTGAAGGGGAGGAGCTGAGCAGGTCTGGCTATGAGTATGGATTGCCCATGCTCCTGGAAGCCTGTTTCTTTCACAGGAAATGTCCCTCGGTGCCAACCCTGCAATAACGGAATGGAACGTTTGCTCACATTGAGCCACACCTGTTGTCAACAAGCATTTGCTTCCAATCTATTTAAACTCCATGGGGGAAGGAGACGCTGTGGGTCCCAGGCATTGTTTGGCAATGCTGGGTTCACAGCACCTGGGAAAGCTCCACAAAGTCTATGTTCTTGTTTGGGAAGTAGAGTTGCCCCTAGTAACAGCTGTTGCATTTCAATAGAGACCTGGAAGCCTCTGGAAAGTCATAAAGACCTCGCCCAGGCCCCTGCGCAGAACTTAGTGCCAGGAACTTGGAGCTGAAAGGCAGCCTGCTCCTGTCAGGATTCCTGCAGCTTCACCAGCAGCGGGAGTAAGGCAGACAGAAGGCCGGATTCCAGCATGTGCTTGGTCGTGAAGCTGCTTTTGTTCTTGGCATTTTGTTTTTGGTCAAAGATGTCAAGATGCATAATTAAGTGTCTGTGCCAATTAAATTCAAGTCTGCATTTTGATCTGTCTCCTAAGGTGTATTTATCTACCTATTATGCACTTGTTCATGCATCCATTTGTTTATTATTATTTTTTTTTTTTTTTGAGATGGAGTCTGGCACTGTCGCCCAGGCTGGAGTGCAGTGGTACGATCTTGGCTCACTGCAACCTCCGCCTCCCGAGTTCAAGTGACTCTCCTGCCTCAGCCTCCCCAGTAGCTAGGATTACAGGCACTTGCCTGGCTAATGTTTGTATTTTTAGTAAAGACAGAGTTTCACCATGTTGGCCAGGCTGGTCTCCAACTCCTGACCTCGTGATCCACCCACCTCAGCCTCCCAAAGTGCTGGGATTACAGGCGTGAGCCATTGTGCCCAGCCCATTTGTTTACTCTTTTCTCCTTTCTTCCATTCAAAACCACAGGCCCACCCTGAATCCTGGTTCTTGTGATTGGCTTTCTGAGCCCCTACTTCAGCTCCTGCCTGGTGCCCTAATAATACCACCATATGTTCTGCACCCTGGTAGAGGCCCCCTCCTACATATCCATATTTCTACCAAACAACAAATGGGCACTTTAGGAGGAACTTCAAGTCTGAATATTCATCAGCTACTTAATTTCCTGCTGTTGTGTTCCTCACCCCTGGCTGGTTACTTCCTCTTTTACCACATATGACATTTAGGTTCACATGTGTGCCTCCTTCTTTGAATCCTTCAGACACAGTAAACCATTCTTTCTTTAGAGTTCCCACAGCAACACGGCACAGTTCTCTGTAGGTGCACTGAGCACACTGTTGTGTAATTTTTGGTTTACATATACTCCCGTACTAGATCCTAAGCTCTTTAAGGACAGAACTGCGACTTATATGTCTCTTTATTACCAATGCTTACAGTTTTGCCAACTGATTTTTGTTTAAGGATGAGTGGTTACGTGGATGGATACAAGGCTATATTGATGGATGAGAGGGGAGGTAAGTGGGTGGATATGTGAAAGGTTGAATAGATAGATGGACTGATAGGTAGATGAATAGCTGAATGGATGGGTAGATGGATAGATTAATAGGTGGATTGGTGAATAAGTGGGTAGGTGGGTGGATGGATGGATGATAGATAAATAGCTGGGTGGATGGATAGGTGAATAGATGGGTGAGTGGGTGGACAGATGGGTAGATGGATGTATAGGTGTGTGGGTAGCTAGACAAATGGATGGAGAATGACCTTAGCCATCAAGTTGCCAATGTACACAACAAAAAAGCTTATTCTCATTAAGATAGCATTCAAATACCAAGCCCTTGTATAAGTTCACAAAACCTGAACCACCAGCAAGCAGAACGGTAGGCAGGACCCTTGTGGTCTGCATTTCCCTAAAGCTGGACGAATATAGAGAATGCTGTAATTTCAAGCTATAGGCCAATTGGTATAATGTTTCCCTGTGGCAACTAAACAGCCTTGCCCTGGCAATAATCACATCTCTATTTCATTGTTTTAAAAAATTGCCTGCATATTAAAACTGCCACTTTTATTCTTCAGAAATGATACCTCAAGTGAACCTAGAGGCAAACTTCAGAAGATACACTTAAAAAAAATCAATGCCTAGGGAAATAAGGAAGTCAAGCCTAAATCCCACTGCCTTTCAGGCAACCTCACAGTCTCTCCAGACAGCAGGAGAAGAGGACAGCTACCCCAAATGTGACCCTGATTCAAAGTCACAGTGATTTCCTCCCTCCAGTCCAGTCAGAAAACAAGAAAAAGTACACTACTCAGCTACTGTCAAATGTAGAATGAAATATAACCCTTGTTTTTGTGTATCGGGTTATTACAGTTTTTATTACAACTTCTGTGTTATACATGTCTTTTCTTCCTCCAAGACAACAATAGAACAATGAACCAGCGTGAAAGAAAAAAGCTGTCAGCATGGGTAAAGTCACTCTGTTATGTTTTATTTAAAAAAGTAGCTAATCATGCCAATTGTAATTTTAGTAAGTTATTTCTAATGTAAGTTTATTAAACCATGAATCTTCCCTTGAGCTAAACTAATGACCACTATTAGGTATGCTACTCTATTTTAAATGATCAAAATATTAAATGGGATAAGATGAAAATTATAGATAGTGATAATTACAAAATGTCAGCATCACCTGGAATCAATTTACTAATATGTCAACTTGGCTGCAGAGGGGAAGAGTCAGTTGAAAATGTGCAGAAGGCACATTGCATGGGCTGCTGTCATTTATCCTATGGGGACTGTCATGACTGAATATTTACATCCTCTGGTCCCGTGCAGTCATTTCTACCCTGTTTGCCGCACCTTTTATCAGAGAGCAAGGGAGAGATTGGCAAGGAGAGAAAACTCTTCCACCTCCTTGCATTCCAGGTTCTTACTTGAATTTTTGTAGGGAGAGTGGAGACAGAGCTTTCAAGTAAACCAATGTTGTTGTAACCACTTGTGGGTCGACATATGTGGGGTTTTTTTCTTAAATATATAGTCCTGACCTTTCCCCACCCCCATTCCTACAAGCAACAAGGGAGCAGAAGTCTCTGCAATGAGACTATTGCAGACACCGTTGCTTGATTTAAGTCACAGATTTCAGCTGTGCTTGTTTTGTTTGGCGAAATCACCTGTGTACCTGAAATCATGGGCAAAATGGATTTGCTCCTGGCACAAAAGGGCAGAGACTGCATCCCCTAAAGTGCGCCTGTCAAGGTAAGATGCAGTAACATGATACACATGTGCAGATGTATTTGACTTCTTGGGGGACTGATCGATTCTCAGGGGTTGTCAAAGTTACCTCGTGACAAAATACTATGAGAGCCATGACCTCCCACCTTTCCCTCTACTTCAGTCATCTCCCTCGACTTCCAAAATCTTTCTACCACTACCTGCTACACAGATACACAAAGGTATATTCACACAGCACAGACACACTTAAGCTCTGCATTCCTCTGTTGAAACAACTCCAACAATCTGGTTCTGGTGGAATAGAGTGCCCAGATAAACTATCCAAGGAGAGCTGTCGGTTACAGGTAAATTATGAGGTTTGTTTAAATCTTTCTTCTGGTTTTTCCTGGCATTCTCTCCTGGCCCCTCTCCTTTGCCTTCTCCCGCTCCGCCCCTTGGAGCCACTGACCATCCCTCTTGGTTCATTCCCAGACCCTCTTTTTTGCACAACTGAGTTCAGATTTCTCTTGTCCCAAGGGAACAAGAATGTTTTCTACAGGACATTGGAGAACTGCTGTGTTAGGAGCCCTGATTTAAGTGGACGCTTGGACCTGCACAGAAATTCTCAAAGCGGCCTCTGCTCTTTCTGGCTGGATAGTTCTGTGAAGTGGCAAAGTGCACTGGTAGAGACCACAGATTCTGAAGCTGGACTGCCTACTATCTGTGTGATCTTGGACATGTCCCTCAACTTCCCTACACCTCGGTTTTCTCATCTAGAAAATGGGGAAAATAGTACTTAGCTTCTAAGGAGTAAATTTGTCAAGCACTTAGAAGGATATCTAGCATACAGTAACTGCTACTTACGTATTTATTACATTTAAAAAATAGTTTTCAGTGGACTCATTACTCAAGCTTTACCCTTCTCCCTCCCACCCTAACTTTACACTTCTAGATTATCTTTCCTCTCTAAGTCCAGCCATTTCTTTGCTTTCCGGGATCTCAATTCTTCCATCTGAGATTGATTTAATATACACAGCAGGCTCCAGGGCTAATTCCTGATCATTTCCTTTCTTCAGACCAACACTTGTATTTAAAATTATCACAAATGAAACACCAAGGATACTTCAGTTCCTAAGACTCAGCTAATCTAAGCATTTTAAATCCACCATGGAATTAAGGAAGGAGGTGGTGGTCTTTGCCATGTTTTTTCTGTAAATGATTAAATAGGGGTTCCTAGTGCCTTGCGTGCTTTAAAGCTGTTGTTCATAATGAGGGCTCTAGATAGGTATGAGTTCAAATCTACTAGTTTTAGGAAGAAAATGCATAGAATAACAATCAGTGAGGAAGGAGATATCTCCCTGGCAGCCATATCTAATAAATGCTGTGTAGTGAGAATAGATAAAGCAGACCTTTTTTTTTTTTTTTTTTTTTTTCTGGTCGTGATTCCAAAGGCCATTCCCAAAGAGAAGCTACAACAAGGTCTTAAGCAAAGTTTGCATCATCAATGAGTTTAAAACCTTCTATTCCAGGGAGACTACTTCAAAGGTCAACACTTATTTGTATAGAAAGTACATAGCAGCAACGTGGAAATGCCCCCACCATCCAAAACTCTGTAATAAAATTAGATTCAACATCATGAGTCAAAGCAGGTGGATGCAAAGTTATTTGAAAGAGAGGGAATATTTCTACACCAGCACAATTTGACTAATAAACTCAGGTTTTTCAAACTGGAACGTCCTTATCACAGAAAGAGAGGTACCAGAGCATGCATGAATATTCAAGACAAAAGAGATTTTTCTGGAGGGACAATTCTACCCAATAAAAGGAATTTGACCCATCATTTTGCGTTAAAATAATCACGGTTCTTGTAGTAGGCAGTGGCTGGCTCCCAGTGAACCCTGCCTCCTCATATGCATGTCCTTGTGTAATCCCCTCCACTGAGGGTGGGGTGGACTTACTGACTCGCTTCTAAAGCATAGAAGGCAACAAAAGTGTCAGGGCATCTCTTCTATGACTGTTATCAAAAACTGTGGCTTCTGTTTTCTTGGCCCTCTGGCTTTCTGGCTCTTCTCACCTATTTTCTCTGACGAATCAAGTTGTCCTGTTGTGAGCTTCCCTCTGGAGCTGTCCAAAAGGCAAGGAATTAAAGGGTTCTTCCATCCAATAGCCAGCAAGGAAGCAAAGCCCTCAGTCCAGCAGCCTGAAAAAGCAGAATCCTGCCAGCAATCCCATGAATGAGCTCAGGAGCCAACCCATGCCCAGTCAAGTCTTAGGATGACTGCTGCCTCAGTTGACACCTTGATTTTAGCCTTGATTATGGCCCAAAGACCCAGCTAAGCTGCACCCATATTCTTGCTGCACAGAAATTGTGGAATAATAAATATGGTTTTAAGCTGCTAAGTTTTGGGGTGATTTGTTGTATAACCATAGATTACTAATACAGATATATTATAGACGATGGTACAGAACTGTCACAAAAGACAAGGCCTATTGCATCTACCTGATGTTTCAGCTCAGGCCCACCCAGGGGCACAACTCTTGGAGGCACCATTCACAAAGACCACAGTGTGGAGTTAAGCAAAATTAAAGCCCGGTGACAATATTGATGCCAAATTCCAAGTCCCCAAAGGAACTGGGTTTAGTTTTCTATAGCATATTCACTATCTGACTCACATCAAGTCTCACCTTCTTGATCCTCAGTTCATCTTCTATAAAGCAGCTACAAGAATCTTAACTTTTGGGCACAGTGGCTCGTGCCTGTAATCCTAGCACTTTGGAAAGTGGAGGCGAGAGGATTGCTTGAGGCCAGGAGTTGGAGACCACTCTGGGTAACACAGTGAAATGCTATTGCTACAAAATAAACAAACAAACACACAAACAAACAAACAAACTCAGCCAGGTGTGGTAGTGTATGTCTGTAGTCCTAGCTACCTGGGAGGCTGAGGCAGAAGGATCATTTGAACTCAGAAGTTCAAGGCTGCAGGAAACTATGATTGCATCACGTCACTGCACTCCAACCTGATGTTCTGGGAAATGTAAATGAGATGTCTGTGAAAAGCATAGTATCTGGCACATAGCAGGAAGTGACTGTTAGCTTGATGACTCTGAATGTCTAGCTTCCACCAGAATTTCCAGGGCTTTGGTTCTGTGCAAAATGCTGGGACACCTTGTTCTCTGTCTTCACCCCAGGTTGAAGTGGAAGCTCCCATCTCTTTCTGGTGGGAGAAGAGAGGGATGAAGCCACCTCAAATCAGTTCTGCTTTTCCAAGGTGGTTCCCCCATTAAGTACTAAGTGTTCAATCTGGAGAGAAAACCGAACCCACAGTCAACCCATGTGGGCGCAATGAAAACAAAAAACAGAACATGCGTTTAACTTCCTCATTCAGTTAAAACCAGCACTTCCTAAAACAAATAGTGACAGCACTGAGATTCTTATTTGAAAAGAAGGTTCATATTTGCAGGTTGTCTGCACATTATAATACTTGCCGGTATGTCCAGCTGCTCCCTTTGTGTCCCATTTACTACAGTCATAACTACAGATTCAGAGACTCCCACTAAGCATGGCTGATTATTAAAAATAATAAAGCACTCCAGCTAATTGACCACCAACTCTGCACTGGGTTTTTTTGCATGCAGGCCTTGATAGTCTCACAAAAGCATATGGCATAGATAGTGCCTTTTCTTTTCTTTTCTCTTTTCTCTCCTTCTTTCCTTCCTTCCTTCTTTTTCTTCCCTCTCCTCCCTCCCTCCCTCCCTTAATCCCTTCCTTCCTTCCTTCATCCCTTCCTTCCTTTCTTCAACAGTCTTGCTCTGTTACCCAAGCTGGAATGCAGTGGCACAATCACGGCTCACTGCAACCTCTGCCTCCTGGGTTCAAGCGATTCTCATGCCTCACCCACCCAAGTAGCTGGGATTATAGGCATGCACCACTGTCCTCAGCTAATTTTTGTATTTTTAGGAGAGAGAGTGTTTTGCCACATTGGCCAGACTGGTCTTGAACTCCTGGCCTCAAGTGATCTGCTGGCCTCAGCTTTCCAAAGTGCTGGGATTCCAGATGTGAGCCACTGCATGCAGCCTGATAGTGCCCTTTCTTACTGCTCCTTTCATACTTCCATCCATTCACAAAAAAAGAGCCATCAGTATGCATCCTAAGCAGAGTAGAGTTTCAGAATAGGAAAAGGATATGTCCCTCACCTTGCACCCAGGCAAATTAATATTTTTGCAAGGGTGTACACTGTGCCTGGCCCTGTGCTCAGAGCTTTACCCAACTGATCTCAGGGAGGCTGTAATGCGTATTAAGATCATTAATTGAGAAGACAAAATGCCTGGGTTTCACTTTTTGCTCTACCACTTAGCAGTTAGAGAGGCCTGGGTACATTACTTAACCTCTCTGAGGCTTAGTTTCCTCTGCTATAAAATGGGGGATAACAGAGTACCTTTCCCATAGCATTGACATAGACATAAATGAGCCAACAGGTTTTAAACGCTTAGCTCATCTTTCCAAGGTGTCAGTAAATGTTAGCGATTTAACCCTTGATGCAGCCTATGGGGTGAGTGTGATCCCACACCATTTTACGTAAGAGAAAAGTAAAAGTCAGAGAAGGTAAATAACTTCCCCATGCTCATACATACAGCTGGTAAGTAATATAACTGGACTTGATATCCACACGTGACTATTCAAAACAATGGTTACTTTACTGTATTAGGAGGCTCCGCTGACTTTCTTGTATATCATGATTACAGTGACCCCATTTTGACTATGTTCTGAGTGCCATATAGTGTGCTAAGAGCTTTACATGCATTTATCTATTCACTCTATCACAACTATATGCAGTAGGTACAGCTGTCATCCTCATTTCACAGATAAGACAGCCGAGGTATAGACAGGTGCTCACAGTCCCAAGTGAGTGGTAGAGACATCTCCTGTTCACCATACCCTATTCTACTCTCCTTCCAGCACGTGGGAGGATTACAGTCTCTAGGGCCATTAGGTAGAGTCTGCAACCCAATCTTGCTCCTGGGCTGCAGGTAGAACTGATCCATTTTATTTCCAAGTCAAAGCATTTAACCGCCAAGATTCTCCAGCATTTTTATTCCTCAGCTGCAGCTATAGGAAGAGCTTGTTTGGTAACAGAGGAGCCATAGGAGGGGATAGCCCACCATGCTGCCCCACCAGGTGCAGGAACACACCCTGACCAGGGGGCTTCTCATGAAGGAGAATTAAACCCGCTCACAGGCTCTGAGATCTGTGACTGTTCATGAATGCAGCAGAGCCTCACCTATCCTGGTGGATACAGTGAGCACACAGCATTTCCAGAACTTAAACCCTAGAAAATGAACACCATAACTTTAACACAGGGTGATGGTAAGAATTAAGTTATGTCAGATAAAATCTATATGAAAGGACATGGCACAGAGATGAGCACCAAGGAAATTTTCAATAAATGCTTGTTGAATGAAATAATTCTTTTTCTGAAGGTCAAGATTGAAACCTCCTAAAGAATACACAGTGGTAGACCCTGACACTAGGTAGTGCTTCCTCTATGTTATGTATATTTCTATGGGCTTCATACATACAGACTCACTTATTTCTCACAATAACCTATGAGATAGCTAGTGTAAGTATCCACAATTTACAGATGGGGAAACCAAGCCATGTAGAAATGAAAAAAAAAAAAAAATGAACTGAAGTCATACAGATGTAAATTGAAGAGCTGGGTCTCCAACCCAGGCAGTATGACACCAGAGCCTATATTCTTTCTTATTTTTTTGTTTTAATCACTGCTTCAGTCAAGGGAAAAGAGCCTATATTCTTAACCACTATGATGTAGCCTCTCTGTTGGCAACCAATTAGGGAAGCACATTTTTTTTTTAAAGAGAATTCCAATGATGAGTAATTAGGTATAAAGAAGAACAATACTGGCCGGGCACGGTGTCTTACTCCTGTAGTCCCAGCACTTTGGGAGGCCAAGGCAGGTGGATCACGAGGTCAGGAGATTGAGACCAGCCTGGCCAACATAGTGAAACCCTGTCTCTCCCAAAAACACAAAAAATCAGCCAGGGGTGGTGGTGGGTGGCTGTAATCCCAGCTACTTGGGAGGCTGAAGCAGGAGAATTGCTTGAACCCGGGAGGCGGAGGTTGCAGTGAGCTGAGATCGCGCAATTGCACTCCAGCCTGGGTGACAGTGTGAAACTCCATTTAAAAAAAAAAAGAAGAAGAAGAAGAAAAACAATATTCACAGATAAATTAAGAAAAAGAAAAAAAAATGCAATGTTGGCAACATAAGGCAAGATTTATTTTCAGTTTGCTTCAGGTCAGTTACTTCATAATGGTAACTGAACACACATACATACAAATGTACATACATAGAGGAAAATATAAAATGAATTGGAGATTGATGACACTTGAAAGGTAGCTCTAGAATGTACTGTTACAGGATAAAACACATGATAAAAGCACCTGAAATACAAAGCTGAGACCTACCTAATGTTCAAAGGAAACTTCCAGACCTACCTCCACTGTGTCACAGGGACAAGTCCACCTATTATTTCCTCCTGCAGGACTGTTTATGTCAGGGGATCCCTGGGGGCCCAGAAGTGGGAGCAGGGCAGGGGTGGCAGCCTTCCACTTCCAGACCCTTCATATGTCCTTGCTGCTGGCTACTACATCAATCCAGGGATGGGCAAGCCAGAGAAAGGAAAGAAGAACTTTCACAAAGCAGTGGCTCTTATGGCAAAGGAAACCACAAAGAACAAGAGGGACATTTATCTCTCTTACCACAAAAAAATTCACACAGCCTGACTGCTAATGATTCTGCTGGCTCAGCCCCATGTCCCAGGTTTGCTCTGCCTTTCTCAGCCTCTGTATCATTTGTTTTGGGCCAGCCTGGAGCTGATTCTGAGAGATGAAAGGAGTGTATCCAGACTTCCATCCCTCGATGAGATTTGAGTTCTATCCTTTCCACACCAGGAGGCCCAGCTACTGATTCTGGGCTCTCGTGCGCTCTCTACATGGTTTTTTTTCCTGATAACCAGATGGTTAAGCCTATAATCACGTAAAATTAGGTTACTCCCAGGTCATCCTGATGGCCACTGAAGCAACCTATGCCCCCACAACCATGTGTACTCAGTCCATAGGAAGTGGGACCTATTCTGTCAAAGTTATTCAATCTTTGCATTTGGAGTCAGATTGAATGGGTTCAGAGCTCAGCCATCCCACTATGATGTTAGACATATTACTTTACTTCTCTAAATCTCAATTTTATCATCTGTAGAAGAAGGATGACAAAGATGATAATAATAGTTAGAGTGAGGATGATGATGATGAAATCTACCTCCTAGGGCTCCTATGAAGATTAGCCAAAGTAAAGCATCTAGCTCAGTGCCTGGCAGTGCAAGTATTCAGTAGCTTAGTTAGCTATTTTAATCTCAGTTATTTCTAGGTTTTTTTCTGCGTAGCATGTCTCATACCCAGGCCACCTCAGGTTGAGAGACCTTGCTCTGAAATCCAGCATGTTCCCCTCCCTCTCACCAGTTCCCTTTTTCTCACACACCTCTGCCTAGCCTGTGTGGGCAGGGGCAGGTTTCCTACCATATTGCAGCTGGTATACATGAGTGCTGCAGTAGATGCTGTCCCTGCACCATCCACATCCCCTAGATTTTCTTTGCCATTTTAGTGCACACGGACCCCCAGTATGCTTCCATTCCCAAAGGCCAGCAGCTCCGGTAGTATGCCAGTAAATATTTACTGAACACTTCTGGGTGGAGGGAAGGGAGCCCTAATTTGTAATGTTGGCCAATTTCCATGGTGTAGATACTCTCACCATGGCTGATTTCAAGCTGTCAGTGGGGTCAACCAGATTGCAAAATTCCTAACAATTTAACATCCAGCTCTTCCAAGCCATTGCTAACCGACACCAGCACATCAAGGGCATCTGTGTCTTTTTCCAAAAGGCTGCATCTAGTGGATCTGCTTTGTCTGTAACACATGAAGTACAGAAGCATCTGACAACTTGTGCCCCTGCCTGCCCACTATCCCAGCAGCCTTTAACCAAGGACTTGTGGGTCAAGAGTTATAAATACTCAAGTTGCCTTGCCCCAAAGGGGCCAGCACTGAAGTGCAAATCACATCATTCCCAGTCTCCCTGGAAGATGAGGCCAAAGTTATCTCAATGGAACTTCGCTTGAGATGACACCCTTGCTCAGTCTCCCTCTTGCCAAACTCAGTTCCCACTTCCCTATACGTTTTTCCTAGCAACCTTTCCGATACATCACTTTAACACAAATTCTCATCCCAGGACCTTCTTCTGGGGAAGCAAACTTAAGGCAGCACTTAAGAGTTTGCATTCTAAAGCTGGACAGACCTGAGCTCAAATCCCAATTCCGATACAAGCTGGTGGACTGGGGAAAGTTACTGAAACTCTCCGAGCCTCCGTTTCTCCATGTCCTTTGCCTCACTGTCTCCACTTTCGGGGAGGAAGAGTCGTTGAGTGCACAGGTGTGGTGAAGCGAGCTGTAATGCTGACGGCAGAATAGATTAATTGCCCTTTACAAATGCTATCAAGCAGCCTCTACCTAGACCCTTACAAACACCAGTCATATTGGGTCCAATGGTACCAATTTAATATATCCTTTCTAAGCAGACAATCCCAAACTTGGAAAGTTTATGTACACAGATAACCAGTTTAGCCCAGTGCTCTGTATATAATTGACATATAACACATTTTAATTAATTGATAAGTCAAAGTATTATTTATCATTGTAAAAAACTGGAAAGCACCTTGATTTCAGTGAATGAACACAAAGGAAGAGCTAAATATTCTGGGTCTGACTTGTGATAAACAAGTTATGCATTGTTAAAAATTATGTTTGCAAAAAATTATAAAACAATATAAAAGGGTTTATGAAGTATAGTCAAACAAATTTCAATTCACGCTAAAGTCACAACTTAATTTTTTAAAAATATACACATAAAAAATTGGAACTATTGGGCCAGGTGTGTTGGCTCACGGCTGTAATCCTAGCACTTTGGGAGGCCGAAGCGGGGGGATTGCCTGAGCTCAGAGCTTAGTAGTTCAAGACCAGCCTGGGCAATGTGGTGAAACCCCATCTCTACTAAAATACAAAACATTAGCCGGGCATGGCAGTGTGCGCTTTTAGTCCCAGCTACTCGGGAGGCTGAGGCAGGCGAATTGCTTGAACTTGGGAGGCGGAGGTTGCAGTGAGCCGAGATCACGCCACTGCACTCCAGCTTGGGCAACAGACTGAGACTCTGTCTCCAGAAAAAAAGGAAATATAGAAAATAAGTGTGCCACAATAATACTGAACTAAAATATGTATCTCCAAATGGAAGAATATTATGCAGTAATTGAAAATTGACTGCTTAAAAATCATGAAATGACATCTGTCTATGGAATGTCAATATAACTCAAAGCATAATGATTGAATATGTAACTATATAGATTAAACTTATGATGATTTTTTAAGCAGGATAGTGAATATATGATTTTTGATGAGTCAAACTATAAAAAAACTAAACCAACAATTTCAAAATGTATGCATAAAGGAAAAAGACTAAATAACTAAACGGTCAAGAACCATTATAATTGGACTGCAAACTTTGAGCAATTTTCTTCCTTTTCCTTTTTTACGTTCCAAATTTTCTCTAATTAAGGAGAATTACTTTTATAATAAACAGAATTTCTGATTGGTTGGGTAACAACAGTGCAATGTGCACAAAAACACACACTCACACAAAGGAAATATTAAGGAAAGCAAGGGAAAACATTACTATTCGAACACTATTCTCTAATACTTTCCAAATTTGTTTTCTAATAAGACCAAATCACAGCCAGGTTCTGTGGCAGTTACCAGCCTGAGCTAACTAAATAATCTGACTCAAAGGAGAACTTCCCAAGCCATAGACAGTTGTGCTTTGGCTGACATCCAGCTCTGGCAAAATTAGCTGGGGACAGCAGCTGGGTGGTACGGTACACAATTCAAGAACAGGGAAATCTAGAACTCTATGCTTATTGAAAATCCAATTCAGTTATCTTTGTCTGTGCCGTATGCACCATGCATTCATGGGCTCGTTAATCTCACCATTGAAATCAAATTTCCTCTCTGACTTATCCTGTCACATTTCGTAGGTTTAAGTCCATTGTTTCCAACTGAATTTTGCTTTTTAATTGCAATGCATTCCGGTAAATGTGTTCTTGCTGATGCATTAGAAAAGCCAGGTCAATGGAAACACATTGATTCACCACCTGGTGGGCACATGTCTTTCTGTGAATAATTTGTCATTTGCAAACATAAAGTAAAATCTAGGGCATCATGGAATTGCTCCTATCCTCCTCAATCAATTCCTATCATAAGAAAAGTAGCATTCATCCTGGTAATATTCATTCACTTATATGTAGGGTGGCATCAGGAGACATAAACGTCAATGGCCACTAATGTCCTCTTCAATGTTACCATTCTCCAGAATTAGAGGTTCAACGTGGCCTCCATAAAGACAGAGGTATCAGCCTTTATTTCTTCTTCTTCCCTGATGCTGAGGGCATGAAGCCTTTTTAATACCCCATTTTCTAACACAGGAGGATACAGTATATAAAACCTGCCATCTGGCTCTTTCTTTTTTTGATGAAGCCATTTACATTTTCTTAGTATAATTAGGATTGCACTGTGACTTGTCAATATTCTTCTGCCACGGCACCAAATAACAGTTTAAGTATACCTGCAACTTTGATGATTTATTTGTTGCAGCACGCTTTCAAGCACTAGTGAGGGATAATTACCAGGGAGATTATTACATGGTGTTGGGTTAATTAAATATGATAAAGCCATTTGCCTGTGACATGATGGGTCTGTTTAGATCTAAATGATATAAAATGGTTAGACTCATCGAAGACAACATGATGACCTCACAGAAGATTATACCTAACCAAAATAGAATCCTGCTAATGATGTTTCAGAATTTGATGTTCTATCTCAATCTTGCCAGCTGTCTTTTTAATCAGAGAGATGCCATTACAATGATTATTCTTGAACATTTGTGCCCAGCCCTCAAGAGAAAGCAAGAGACCTGCTAACTAACTCAAAATGTTTGCAAAATACAAAATATTAAAGGTGTGAAAGGGAGCCTGCGGACACAGAATTGCTTCTGATCTTCTTTGCTAGGCTGAATCAGAGTAAGTATTAACCGAGGATGGTCTGCTGGGTTAGACAGCAAAGAAACAAGAGGTCAGAGCCTGATGTTCAGTGGCTGCTGAACAATATCCCTCAACCAATGGAAATGTTGCTGAGCTGTAAACAGACCTAAGCACTAGGCTGGATGATCCTGAAGCCCAGCTCTCCTAACCTGCCCCAAAGATTTTGAGATAGGGATAAAGATTTCTATTTTAATTCCAGAGCAGCAAGAAGAGAGATCAAGGCTATACCCTATTTTTGAAGATATAAAAAGCACCTTATACCATGAGGATTAATAGCTGGAATCTACCATGCTGTGGTAGTAAAATGGCAATAAAATGAACACATTCCTTATTGCCTAACCTCCATTTCCTTGGGAAGGCCAGGTTGACAGACACAAATTCTGCAAAGGCTGTAGTGGCTGAAATGGTCAATTCAGTCAAATCTCCAATAAGCCCAGTCCCACAATATCAATGAAACTAATTGCTAAAATGACTGGCCATGTGAGAGGCATCATTATCAACTAGCAGGTATCTATCAGCACCTTGCACAGTCAGGCCACTGCAGGGAACACCTTATGAAACTTTATTCCTGTCAATAGTAAGACATCAGCTTGCAATTTAGTTGAGAAAATTAGGCACATGTTGCATGATTGTGTAGCATTCCCACCAGCCACAAGGTGCGTCTCTCATGACTTCATGTTTAGGCTTCTTCCACATGACAGCAATCACTCCTGACAGTTTCCTTCCCTTCTTTACTCCTCCCTCTTGAACCTTTAGCCTCAACCCAAGGCACGCCCATGACTCAGGGATGGTCCCCTTGGCTCTTTCCCCATCACTCCTCACTCTTCGTTTCTCTTTGAGGCCTTGCAATGGTCACTCTAGATCCACTCCTTTTGGCTCGTGGGGTGAAGAGTACCTGTGGTCTAGCCCCTCCCTGGAAAGCTAAGTGAGCACATGGACCCTCAGTGCCAGTGCTCCCACCTAACTCTTCCTTAGTTTATGACCAGGAGCTGATCACTGATGACAACATCAACAGTTAATGGGATGGCAGTCCAGTGTCCAAAGGAGAGAGAGCTCAGGCAGAAACCCAAGGGAGTCAATGCAGACTTTGGAAAAGTTTGGGATTGGAGCTGATCTCCAGAGGAAGGGCAGAATATGAACAGCCAGAGTCCAGGGAGTGATGGAAAGAAAGAACATGAACAAAGGCACTATGCTGGGGAAGTTAAAGGGGGCAGGGACCAGGAGCACACAATGTGTTTGGCACAGGGAATTTAAATCTGGCATCAGGGTAAGCTAGACTTCTACAAACACAAAAATATTTGTTTTTCCCGATTCAGAAAGCACATCGGTGCAACAACATGCAAGGATCCTAAAAACAACATGTTGAGTCAAGGAAGCCTTACATAAAAGAGTATGTGCTGCATGATTCTATTTATATCAAGTTCTAGAACAGATAAAACTAATCCAAGATAGAAAACAATCAGAGCAATGGTTACTTTTGCTGTGGTAGGAGTCAGAATTGACTCGGAAGAGGCTTGAGGGAACTTTCTGCAGTAATTCTGCATTTTGGCAATGCTTTGGGTTACACAGATGTGTGTATTTGTTAGAACTCAGAATACACACTTAAGATTTATGCATTTCACTGTGTGTAAATTTTACATCAAAAGAGAAACAATATGTAAGCAAATATTGAACTCTACTGAAAAATATGCATGCTGAAGTATTTAGAGGGAGAGCATATCTACAATTTATTTTGAAATGTGTCCAATCGAAAACATGAGGTAGATTAGTGGATGGACGGGAGACACACAGAAGGAAAGATAGGTGGTAAAATGCGTGGATTAAATGGTAACGGTAGAATCTAGGTGGTGGGTACATGAGTGCTCACTGCAAAATTAAACTTTTCTGTACGTGTAAAAAATTTTATAATGAAACATTATTTCTAAAAATATTGTATGTCGGGTACAAATACATCTTCAATATAAGGTCAATATTATATGTTATAGTATATTTTATATTATATAGTCAAAGGACATCTCATATTTTGCACCGAGGAATGCTGAGAAGAAAGCAATTTGGGGGATTTGATCAGATGTATTTATTTGGATAATGATATAAAGGAATATATTGGATAATGATATATGGTAAAGACATAAACAATGAGGGCTCCTATTATTATGATAGAGTGACCACTGTCTCTGTATGAAGCATTAGGTATTGTCTCATTTAGTCCTCACAAGAGCCTCAGGAGAGAGATAATGAAGCTCAATAGATTAACTGCTTTGTTCCAAGCTAACCAGGCAGAAAGGTGTACTGGCAGAATCAGGATTCCAACCCAGGTCTGACTGATCCAGAATCCATGTGGCATCTTTGCACTTTGTCACAATACTCTACAGTTATCCTTGGCAAGGTAGAATATTCCCCAACCTCAGATCATGCCTCCATTTTCTTCAGTATTCAGGCAAGAGATTCAATCCTTCAGAAACAGTTTGGACCTGGTGTTAAATATATCAGCTACGGATTTACGGGTTTTGCAAATTATTCTCAGTGCATCTTGACCTAAATTCTACACATTTTCCTTGACTTAAAAAAAGAAGTTACGCTAGACATCTCACGAATAAGACTTTTTAGCAGAAGCCTAAAGAAGACTCCAGGACTTATTTCAGAAGAGTGATTTTCATGTTGGGCTTCTGGAAACAGAAGTGAGGTGGTGAGGAAAATATTTTGGGGGCAGCCCGTTCTTAGGGCACCTCAATTCTTAAGCTTAGTAATAAAACCTCTCCAGAATATAAAGAGTTGCTGTAGATTTCTCTATTAAGCTTGGACTTTGGGGTAGCATAGACGTGCATTCTGAACTCACATAACTATGAGAGATGATTTTATGAGAAGTGATTTAACTCCTGTGAGACTCTGTCTTCTCATATAATGGGGATAATTCCATGTAATTCTCAAGTCATTATAAGAAGAAACCAATATCCAAGAACTTACAGGGCCTGGTCCTATGTAGATGCTCAATGAAATTTTATTTCCTTCCCACTCTCTTCCCCGGGCCACAGGAAGACATGACACTCAGAGAGTTAGACTGTGAAATACTCTTCAGAGGTATGTTTAACACCGAAAATTAGCAATTATGCCTCCCTTAGAATGCTTTTTCATTGAGAAGCTTATAGTATAAAAAATTATACACTTATGAAGGCAATTATTCTCTTTTATGCCACATGATTTTCTCATCATAAATACCCGTGCACAATGTAGATTCCCCATTGATAGCAGCATCATCAACGCCAGCCCTAGGAAGGCTCACGGGGTGGTTGGTGGGGAGCTGTCAGCGGATTTTCAGTTGGAAACAATGCAGTCTATGATTTTGACAGTTAAAATAGAAGGAGTAGGGAATCAATTTCCATTTAAGACTTTTAGAGCTGGGCACTGAATGGAAACTTGTTGAATTGAGCTAAAGATGAGGAGGCTTTACACCAGATGCATAATAGCAGTATCTTTACGAGCAATCCCTTAATGCTGTAGAAGGGCTTATAGTCTTGGTAATCGGAGCTTCAAGAGGTATTTAGCTGATAGAATTCTGAAATTCACTGTGAATCAGAGGACTCAAATACTCATCTCTTTAAAAAGTAAAAGAATAAACAATATTCAGTTTGTTCTGACACATCCATAAACTACATGGAGCTAAGGGGCTTCCACAAAGAAATGAATGATTTAAGAATGAATGAAGGCAGTGCACTTTGGGAGGCCAAGGTAGGCAGATCATCTGAGGTCAGGAGTTTGAGACCTGCCTGGCCAACATGGTGAAACCCTGTTTCTACTAAAAATACAAGAAATTAGCCAGGCATAGTGGCACACGTCTGTAGTTTCAGCTACTCGGGAGGCTGAGGCAGGAGAATCGCTTGAACCTGGGAGGCAGAGGTTTCAGTGAGCCAAGATTACAACATTGCACTCCAGACTGGATGACAAGAGTGAAACTCCATCTCAAAAAAAAAAAAAAAAGAATGAATGAAATGAATGAAGATGAAGGGACTCTGTGAGTGTGGTTCCACATCACAAGATAAAGAGATAAAGGGACACAAACCAGCAAACAAAATTACCTCCTGAATTTGTGTCTTTCATTCATTATTCAACACACATTTATTCGTGTCCTTCATGTATTATTCAACACACGTTTATTGAGCACCTACTGTGGGCCAGGCATCATGCCTTCACTATGTTCTCAAAATACATCTGTAGAATAAATGAACACAAATTATACCTCATATTTTTAATCCCACTAAGGCTGTATATTAGATCTCAAACTGCTTGCTCTGCTAGCACATCTATCTGCTTCCCTCCCACCCCCAGGTTAAACCTCTTCCCTCTTCTGAACATAGATTTGAGACTTCCCTTTCCATTTCTAGTTTTATTTCACTAAGAGCTGAAAGAATCCTCCTCAGAGAGTAGAGGAGAAGAACTTAAATAGACAAATGAGAATCCTTTCTAGTAGGTAAGTAGCAAGACCATGGTATTGGGAACCAAATAATCAGCTGCTGAATTCAGTTTCTAGATCCCCCAGTTCTGAGCTGCATGACAATTCAAAAGTTGCAGTCATGCTTAGCCTGTGTACTTGTCTGTAAATGAGGAATATGTATTCTAACAACAACAACAGCAATAATAATACAAATAACACCTACTTTGTAGCTTCTGGTGAGAATAACATGTGAAAAGGAACAAGCCAGGTCTACGGTCTGGGCAGTAATAAAAGGTTGATGCATTAGCGCATACTAAAACAAGCAGTTTGGAATGTGAGATGCAACCAGTCCTTGTCACTCTACCCCTTTCCTTTTCAAATCCAGGGATGGCCAGGCACAGTGGCTCACACCCGTAATCCCAGCACTTTTGGAGGCCAAGGAAGATGGATTGCTTGAGCCCAGGAGTTCAAGACCAGCTTGGACAACATGGCAAAACCCTATCTACAAAAAATTACCTGGGCGTGGTGGTGTGCACCTATAGTCCCAGCTACTGGGGAGGCTGAGGTGGGAGGATCACCTGAGCCTGGGCAGAGGAGGCTGCAGTGAGCTGTGATCGCACACTGTGCTCCAGCCTGGGTGATAATAGTGAGACTCTGTTTCAAAAAATACGTGAGTAATAAAAATAAAAATAAAATCCAGAGGCTCATTATATATCTATTGAAAAGACAGATATCAACTCATGTATTCACTGTTGTTGTTTTCAATAAATTATCATTGTCAAATATATGCAGACATTGCATTTTTAAGTAAATAATATGTTTTGACTGAAATTGTTGGCCAGTGGCTCTCATCTCCATGTGAACCTTTTCATTTTTTCTTTCATTCAGCAAACAGTTGTTGAGTGTTCACTATGTCACAGGTGCTCTGCCAGGATTAGGAATTAAACAGAGACCAAGACAAGCAGAGAGCCTGTATTCACAGAGCATGTATTCCAGAGGAGGAGGTGGAAAATAAGCAACTTATAAATGATTTACTGTGTCAGGAAATAAGTGCTGTGAAGAAAAAGCAAAGCAGGATAAAGGGACAGAGAGTGATAGGAGACAGGAGGCACGTTGATTTATGTAGGGTAACCTGTGCAAAAAGAGGATGTTTAAGTAAAGATTCTAATTGAAAGAAAGAGCAAGGCTTACAGATACTGGGTGGGGCAGGTCAAGCAGCAAGAGCAGCACATACAAAGGCCCTGCGGTACAAGGACGCCTGGGGTGTTCTGGGGCTGGTGAGGCCCAAGGTCCATACTCACATGCTTATATAAAATCTATAAATGTCAAGGTACTGCTGGTTATTTTTTCACACAGTAGCACCACGAATGTCCTGTTTTGTACTTGCAATCTTAGAGCAGTTCATGTACCTCCCGGAAAGCATAGGAGATAATTATCTTTCCTAAAAAACATCATTAATCCACTTTAAGGACTCCACAATAATGGCTATTAATGAAGAGAGTGCCCACCCAAACCACCCCTGGCATCCCCAAGCATGAGAATCTGTTGATGAGAAAGACATTTCCAAACACATGCAAAGACAGCAGAACTCTTCTCTTCCTCTTTCTCCAACACAGCAGGTCTTTGCTTTTGGCACCCAAGTTTTGCTCAAGGCATTCCAGGGAACCCCTCCAGGAAGTCCAGTACGCCCACTGTTTGGCCAGGGGATTTTAATAAACAGTCATGGAAGCAGTGACCCAGCCAGGAACATGACCATCACCAAGAACACCAAGATGGGGAGAAGTGCAGATCAAGAAGCAAAGCTGAGAGTCTGGCTTCTAATTAGTAGAAAGTTAAAGTCATTTTGAATCATTAGAATTACTGACTTAGGGGTTTATTAAATAACATCCTCTCACATACATTTTCTATTAATACTCTGTGGTAGCTCCCTTTAGCTACAGCACTTGAGAACTTTGTGCATTAAGAGATAATATTTTAGAAAATCACAGGTATATTTTGTGCCAAGAAGTACAAGCTTGAATAATTTTCTTTTTATGAATAGTAGATAACAATTTAGAAGTAATCAATTCTAACGGCACAGAAGTCTTAAAAATCCTCAGCATCAGATCATCGTGGGAGCAGAAAGAGAATCTTAGTAATCATTACATTCAACCTCTTCATTTCATCTTTGGGAAGAGAGAGTAGCAGGGTGAAGTCCGATGTGCAGGTCACTTGGGGGAAAAGAAGGGGACTGCAGCCAGCAGTCCAAGGTACTCTCTCTTGCCTAGCTGCTTCCTTTCTAGCTTCCGATTTGTGGTTTCACTTTCCAGCTCCACTTGACACAGTCTGTAAAAAATTCAGCAAGGCTTTCAAGTGCTTAAATTGCCATTTCTCTTTGTCTTTTAGCTTTTGTGCCTTTAATGCATATCTCACCTGTGAAAACTCAGTGTAAACAGAAACCATTTTTCTTATTATCTAAAGTTATTATATTTTGATATTTTTCCTACTAGGATGTGTGTGTATGTGTCTGTGTGTGTGTATAAAAAATCATAAGTCATGATAAAAAAATCTTTTAGACATCACTTCAAATCTCACAGCTTTGAATCATTCTCACTCTTAGCCCTCAAAAATATGTCAAATTCTCCTCATCACAATGCAACTTGGAAAAACACTAACTTAAACAAGTGGAAGTTGTTGAGATATGAAACAAGTGAAAAATATTTTTTGGAACTTTATGTGACTTTTAATTATATCTAATCACAAGCCTACAAACTGCCAGTTAATTGTTGCCTTCCCTTGGCCTTGTTCAGCATATTCATGATGCAATGCCATGTGATGAAACCAACTGATCCCAAATAATTGATTGAGAAGTAGCCTTCTGAGGTAGAAAGAACATGAAAGCTAAGTTTAGACAGCACTGACTCTGAACATCAGAAGTTGGCTGGCTGCCCCACACTCTGTGACTAAATGTTCTCATCTGAGGAATGAAAAATAAGTAGTATTTATCCTACTGGTTGTGACATGATTTGGATATTTGTCACCTCCAAATCTCATGTGTTGAAATGTGCCGGGCATGGCGGCTCACGTCTGTAATCCCAGCACTTTGGGAGGCCGAGGAGGGCAGATCACCTGAGGTCAGGAGTTCAAGACCAGCCTGGCCAATATGGTGAAACCCCGTCAAAAATACAAAAATTGGCCAGGTGTGGTAGCACATGCCTGTACTCCCAGTTACTTGGGAGGATGAGGCAGGAGATTCACTTGAACCTGGAAGGCAGAGGTTGCAGTGAGCTAAGATCATGCCACTGCACTCCAGTCTGGGTGACAGAGTGAGACTCCAAAAAAAAAAAAAAAAAAAAAAAAAAAAAGAAAGAAAGAAATGTGAACCCCAGAGTTGGAGGTGGAGGCTGGTGGGAGATATTTGGCTTATGGGGGTAGATCCCTCCTGAATGGCTTCCTGCCAACCCTGCGATCATGAGTGAGTTCTCCCTCTATTAGTTACTGCAAGATCTGATTGTTGAAAAGGGCCTGGCACTTCCTCCTCTCTCTTGCTCTCTCTCTCACCATGTGACATGCCTGCTCCCCCTTCACCTTACACCATGATTGTAAACTGCCTGAGGCCCTCACCAGAAACAGATGCTGGCACCATGCTTCTTGTACAGCCTGCAGAACCGTAAGCCAAATAAACCTCGTTTCTGTAAATATTACGCGGCCTCAGGTATTCCTTTATAGCAACACAAAAGGGACAAATACAGGTGCTATCAGAGTCATATAGAAATAACTTCTGTTTCCCTCTTGTATGATTCCTAGTATGCAGTAAAGACACTCAATAAATACCATATAACTGGTACATTTTTGTAAACAGGGTCCAAACTATGAATCTCCTAAAGTAAGGTGTTGTAATGCCATAATATTAATAAAAGTACAAAATTTTTCAGTTGGTCTCTACTCATAAAATCATAAGATAAACAATGGTGAATTTTACACTAGATGCAAATGACAGTGTATCAAATGACTATGATGTGGCCACTTCCTAAGCCCAATGCCTCTTCCGACCTTCCAGCAAAAAGATAAGAATTCATCTCTCCCTGTTATTTTGATAACAGGCTAATTGCATTTTTGCGGGGGCGGTACTATGTTCCTTCTACCCCCTCAGTAAGTACCCGCAATGAGCCGGGTGCTTATGTCTAACTGGCACAGATATGCCTATGTGTGGAGCAGCCCTGAAATAGGTGTTCTGGAAAATATTTGTGTTCCAGAAAAACTCTATGCTTAGGAAAATTGTGCAATAAAATCATAAGGATTTTGGAAAAGACAAGATTAGAGTAGAATGCTCCAGATCTTTGCAACTTTGTAATCACATAATTATTGCAAATAATAATTATAATCATAATTTTTAAACCTGGTGTGTTTGAGAAGACATAAATTGTTGATAAATGAAAACTTACAGTAAATATAAGGCTTTCCCTTTAAAAAATGTGGATTGGGGCTTGGTAGACGGGTTATAAGGAAAGGGTGAATCTGCTGAATTATGGCAACAGAGGCGCAGTGCGTCAGGATAGGGGAGAATTACTCAATAAGCACTTCTAAGACAGAGGATTTGGCAAGTGAGTCAAGAGGCAGAACCTATTTGAATTCTATAGACCATTCTCTATTCTTTTGAGGTGTGCTGCATTCAGCTATATTAGTATACATTCCTTTAATTGCCGCTTCTTGTTAAGGCAAAATATCAATTTTCTATGGAATACTGCATATGGACCAAAGTCATTTTTATGTTATATTATACATATATATTATATATGTGTATACATATGTATATTATATTCATGTTATATTATACATATACATATATGTATATATTACTACATATTAATATACAATCCCCTATTTAACCAATTACCTATGAGTTTTTGCCTTACAGAAACATTCAGTATATTAGAAACAGACTTCATTTAGATGAAGACCATAATGCATTGGTCCCTACACTGTTAGCTCCTGATCTTCCCTAAAATGGGTGTAGTATTTTATTGTCTCAGTTTGAATAATCCCAAAAGCAAAGCCTGAGGCAAGGATTTTGGAGCAGAGAATATATTTGGGAAGTACAAGTGAGGAGGTGTGAAAAATGAGGCAGAGAAGGGAGATACACAAATAAAGTTTATATTAAAAATCAGGTTTCTGCTCACTCCCAGTGGGGACACTCTAAGGAGCTGTGTGGAACCTGACTCACAATTGTCTCACAGGAAGCCGGGCCATTTATCCACTGACTCTCAACAGTTAAGAGAGACCCCAGGGAGCCAGCTTCCCCACATTTACAGGACTGACTTGCTTGCTGCTTAATAAGCCCCCAATGCTGAGAAAGCCCTTAGAAAGTGAAGAAGGATAGTGGCTGCAGACTGTCTACCTTGACTAGGTGAACTTAGGTGGACCAAAGGACTAGCAGAAAGAGAATTATGGTAGCTGTTACGTGTATTTAAGAAAAGACTGGCCGAGGCTTCAGAGATTTACATGAGACTAAATCAACAGGGGAAAACTGAAGTATGCTAACTCAAACAATGGTTACACACCAGGCTGCCATGCTTAAATTTCAATGATTAGTAAATGTTCATTGGGCTAATCATGGCCCCATCCTCTGATAAAATAGAAGCAGCCTAATGCCTGTTACACCCATAGCCCATTTAGAAGAAAGTGCCTACATTTACTACCCCTCCAGAGGAAGATGCCCTCTGTAATGCCTTAAGCATAGGCGGCCATATTCTGTGCCGCGTGACCTCTCCTCTAGAGGCTGCTGATTGGCTCACTGGGAACATGTGACCTAAGAGCACCCATCTATAAGCTGTCTAATGCACAGCTCCGCTCAATCAGCTTCTCCCTCAGAAACTTGAACTAGTGGGAGTCAGAAGACTGCTCAGCTGGAAAGAGACACTAAAAGAAATGGGGAGACAAAGCAAAGGGGGGGGGGTATCAACAGTCTCCTGGGCCAAGGTGGTGACACAGAAACCCAATCACTAAAGTTAGGACCTTAACTTTCCCTCCAGTTCCTCAATCAACTTCCCATTTCCAGGAGACCTGGATGTCCAGCTGTTGCAAGTTTTCTGAGATTCTCATCACCCTTACTTCTCAAATTCCTGTTACTTCAACATAGCCCGTGTCCCTTTTTTTTCTCATAGCTCAAAGAACCAAATTATAGCTCAAAATACCAGGTGAGTATTGCCCATTCCTCAATTTTGACCAGGTCTTTTCCCAATTGGTCCAAGGAAAATGTCCCTTGGAGACTACATACTCAATGCTGGGGGCTTGGCACTCACCGGTCATGAACAAAGATGAGATTATCTACAACTAACCTGAAAGGTAAAGCCATTACCTTTGCATTCACACACTTGCCAGAGAGATTTCTAGCCTCAGAATGGATTGATAGTGACATTTTAAGAAGCTGTGGCGGCCAGGTGCGGTGACTCACGCCTGTAATCTCAGCACTTTGGGAGGCCGAGGCGGGCGGATCACGAGGTCAAGAAATCGAGACCATCTTGTGTAACGTGGTGAAACTCTGTCTCTACTAAAAATACAAAAATTAGCTGGCCTAGCTGGGCGTGGTGGCACACGCCTATAGTCCCAGCTACTCCGAAAGCTGAGCCAGGATAATCGCTTGAATCCGCTGCAGAGGTTGCAGTGAACCAAGATCGCACCACTGCGCTCCAGCCTGGAGACAGAGAGAGACTCTGTCCCCAAAAAAAAAAAAAACAAAAAAAAAGCTATGGCGTTATTACCAAAGCTTGCATTTGCAAGCTGCGGTAGTCAAACTAGCTTCTACCTGATCAGTTACCTAAAATTGAGCTTTAAACCAAAAGCTAAGGTGTTCCGGAAGCCCTCTGGGCAGAGCAGCTATCTCTTGCAATTAAATGTTGACATAATTCTTTCAGAGCCATCGATTTGTTTTTGCTCCAAGGCTTCCTCCCAGGCATGTGAGAGCTGCCCTATACCCAGGTAAAGCATTCTTTGAAAACCTGTAAGCTCAAGACAAGGGCCTTTGGACTTGGGGGTTTGGGTAAGAAGTTCAAATATCAAGAAAATTGTTCAGATGCAAATGAAGATATTTGTGGTCACTCATTCAAGTATCTTCAAAGTGCGTACATCAAGCCAAATCTGAACAAGGATCCAGGGGCATGGAAAGGTGGTGAAAAGTGGTCCCTGCCTTAGAGGAGTCTGCAGCAAGAGACAAACAGGAGAGTAGATAGGATACAATACAGCATGGAGGTACTGTGACCACTGTATGAACTAAGAGTTGTGTGGGAAGAGAGGACTGGAGGTGAGAGTGATGGAGGAGCGTCAATGTCCCCATGGATCCTGATGGGCAAGTAACAGTTTGCCAGGCAAAGAAAGAGGAAAAGGAAAGGTCAGTCGTCAACAAAGATAATGTGCCAGCCACTGATATAGATGAGGATGTAGCAAGGGACAAGAGAAGACCCAAATCCTGGCCCTCACAGAGCTTATGAGAATAAAATAATATAAACTAGTGGAAAGTGCTTTAATAATGACAAGGTGATAGTCATGCATTGGTGACAGTCTGTCTCTCTCATCATCAATTTTCAGTTCTAAGAGGAGCTCACGAAAGCATAATCTTCCAAGAATGCTCTCAGGTACTGCTTATATTCAGCTTGGTCCTCCTAATTCTCTGTTTCCTCCTCAGGGAAGGAAAAATACTAACGAGGAAGGAGAAATGCTAATAGTAGCTAATACTATAATTCTCACTGACCTGTTACTCCCTGCTTGACACCATGCTAACCACATAACAAGCATAGCCTCATTTAATGTTCCCACTGTCCCGTAATCTCTATTTTGCCCAACAGGAAACTGAGGCTGAAAGATACTGAGAAACTTGGGCAAGGAACTGCTATACTAACAGCTAGTCACCCCGGGTTGCCACGCAGGTTAAAGGAGCAGCTTGCACATGAGAAGGATTTAACACAGTTCCTGGTTTGCAGTAAGTGATCCACAAATGGTGGCTATTATTATTCTTACTATTATTATCATTACTATAGCAGTCCAGACTAATGACTCATGACTTCTTTCCCTATCAGAAGGATATCACTTTTCACTTGGCCTTCTTGGGAGCATGAGTCCTTTTCCTCTTTCCCCAAATTTTTTATTCCAGAATATCTAATTTACAGACTGTAGTTTTTTGCTTAGCCAAGAACCTGTTGGTTAGGTAACCCTAGCAACAAATAGAAATATGCAACTTTTTACAAGCTACTTCCTCAAAAATCTTTCCATGATAGAGTTTACACATTGAACATTTTAAATATTGAACACTGATCTTGTGGATGCATAAACTTGAAAATACCACTTGCTTTATTGCTTCCCAGCCCCTACTCAAGTATTTCACTCCTCCTAGAACGCTCTGCAACTTCTTTTCTGCCTAAGGCAGAAGCAATCCAACATGTAAAGTCTTCCTGGCCCCTCTCTGAGCTCCAAATATAATTTATATCACTCTCTTCATATTTTCTTGATTGTGTTCATGTTACTACCACCATTTTGACATGATGAATATTTAACAAGGCACATAACCAAAACAAATGCCTAAATCCCCAGTAAGGCCAAAGAATGGACATACCACCTAGTGGTCAATCCCGCCACAACGGATTCTAGTTTAGTTCTTGTTTTGGTTTGGTTCAGTTTTGCTCATAGACCTTGACGTCAGTGATTTTAACAGTTTTAATTATCAGTAAATGTCACTTGAAAGAATAATTGAATGAATACACAAAGAATGGACTGAATAAATGAACAGATGATGGACCAGAATGAGAACATAGGAATAAGGAAATGAGAGAAAGCTACAATGTAAGTTTTAAAACATTTCAGAAAATTGGGGATACATCATCAGAAATAACCAATTTGACAAAATATGGTTACAAGAAAAGCTATTATTTGAACAAGATTACCTCCTCAGAGACTTCAGCTTCATCCTCCTGTGCACTCCCTTTTCTAATCTTCCCAAACACAACTTGCTTAAGCAGTTTCCTTTGTTATTTCCTGGTTTTCCCTCAGTGCAATCACTGCCATATAACTAGAGGGTCAGAAAGGAAGACTCAGAAATGTTCTGTCCCCATGAGCCATCATTTGGGACAGAATGCATATCTCACTTAGGCCTTAAGGTGAGGCTCAAGCTGCAGAGAAAAAGGGAAACATGGAGTAGGGCTGCAGGCACTGGCAAATTTTCTATACAGTCCCTAGATGACCAGCTGGATTTGGACAAAGAGAACACTGCATATATTTTATCAGGTCGACCCATGCCAATGTGTGTACATGCTTGTGTATGCATAGGGATGTATGTGTGTACGCACACATAAAACACATCTGCACACTTCTGATGAATTTGTTTCCCAGGGTAATAGTAAGGAGAACTTTGCAACTACAGCATTGGCTTGAGTTTCTCCTTAACAAACATGATTGCTCTCACAAAATGTCAGGTCAATTATAGAAACCTAGTAATGAACCAAAAATACCTTTCTATGCACTCTTGGCTCATGAAGTACCCACTGACTGTGACAAACACTAGTTAAGGTTTGGATTTTTTTGTATTATTCATAAAAGGACGCAAATGAAATGAGTTGGCTTTTAGAGATCATTATCAAAAGTCTAGATAGCAAAGTCCTGTCAAGTTGTTTTGCATTTTGCCATATAATCATCGTAACAAAAGGTAGAGCTGCTTAGAAATCCAAATAAATTAATAGATAAATAAAACTATAATATTGATCTAGCAGCCCTGAACAGACAATGCCCTACCATCTTCCTTTGTGTAGAAGCTGTGTCTCTGTCTGATAATGCTTAGCAATAGGAAAAGCAAAATGAATGTTTGATGGCAGTTCTCAGGAATCCTAGACAATTCCTACAAACAGTGACCCCTTTTCTAGAAAATAGGAAGCTGGTTAGAAAGGCAGGTTCCAACAGCTCTCTTTAGGATAACTTTATTCTCCTAAAGTTCAGGCCCTAAAATGAAATGGAGACAATAATTTTCCCTGGTGGCATTCATTCGGTTATTCATTCAACAATCATTTATTCATTTTTTCAACAATCATTATTAATGCAGTTCCATTTCTATGTGGGAATGATCATCAAGGAGAAGCAAGGAATGTTAAAATTTATGTTTTAGGACCCCAGGGCAGAAATAGACATGAAAGGTTCTTGTCAGTGCTTAATGCAAATCAAATATCAGGCATTAGAGTTACTGTACACTAAGTTTAATATTAAGGAGTTTCTGCCCTGACCCTGCGCCATGAACTACACATGGCAACAGACTGTGCTGTCATCTCCAGCTGCTGCCCCTGTACCTTTGTACTTTTCATTCCAGAAGCGTGAGCACTAACCGAAGAATCACGGAATGCTAGACCTAGAGGGTTCCTGAGTGATCATGATCTTATTCATGATTCACAGTGAATCAATGAATTAGTGGATGACTACTTCAGAGAAGAAATAGTTCATGGAACTTTAACATATGAAAAGATGAAAGACAGATGGCCCTTGGTGATGGGAGATGGGGTGCCCAGGACTGGACCAAGGCCACTTCTCTCTTGATGTTTGGACAGCTTCTGAGGTGGACCCACAGAATAAAGGGCCCCATGGATTGTGGAGTAAAACCCATTAATCGAGGTCAAGCCTGTTTATGAGATGGCAAAACTCTGAGATGAGGGAGAATCAGTGACGTGCTCACAGTCAGCAAGCTCATTAAGACCTACAATTTGGCACTAGAATCAAAGTCCATGCCTCTCATTACAGCACACTTCCATTTGGCTATAAAGAATTTTTTTTTGATGGAGAATTGTTTTGGATATCTTGAATTTAAGGTGATGGTGGGCCATGCATGGGGCAATATCTAGGAAGTACGTAAATACACAGGTCTGTAGCTTAGCAGGGGAAATGTGCCCATTTCTTAGATTTAGGAGTTGTCATTATAGAGAGGATAAATGGTGTGCAAAGACAGGGTAGAAAGCCCCCAGTTAGGGGTTAAGGGGAAGAGCCAGAGAAGAGATGTCTGAAGAGGTAGGAGGAAAATGAAGCCAAGGACAGATATGCATATTGTTTTTGAGATGAAGTGAGATATGAACTTTGAATTATGCCAAAATAATAAAGAGAGATTGAACTGAGATGCCATCCATGTACTTCTGCCAGTCACTTCCTTCTGTACCACGACCTGTCTCCTGCTCTCTGCCTTCTTCCCAGAGAGGCTGTTTCCATGGACTCATGAGGAGGAATAATAAGTAGGAGCTGACACGTACTGTTTGTAAGAGGTCACTTTTGAAATTTCAGGATTTTTCTAAGCCAGTTAAACATTGATGTTATTAGACATTACATGCACTCATGATTCAATAATCTTAAAAGCAAAGGCAATGAATACTCAAAATGCATCACTTCTTAACTCTTTTACAAATGTATTTGACTGTTATCTATGCTTTTAAGATTATTTATCTATTATATCTGCATGGCAGAAGTACTACATAATGGGGTACAATAATGGGGTGCGGCTGCACATCCCTCCCCAGTGCCACATTCTATGATACGTCATTGGTAGCTTGCAATCAGCCACGGTGGAGGTATTGATATCATGAAAATAGGCAAAGGCCACAAATCAGGGCTTGAATCACAGTGGAAAGAGATGACCCATCTGTCTGGGACCCAGTGGTCTGCCTTCTGGTTCTGGCCCTTTGGAACGACTGGCTCAATTTCCTGCTCCTGCATCCTCCCAGGAATTCCCTGCTTTTCTTAAGCTTGTTTGAGTAGGTGTTTGTTACTTGCACATGAATAGCTCACAACTGAGAATTGGACATTTTCAAAGTAAAAAGTCACATGTTTCAGAGTTAGGGCTTATGTCAGTTTAGACTTGCCTCAACCAATCAAGAACTGTACAGGCATCTGTTCAAAACAGGGCTCTGGACTAATTCATTTAGGAAATGAAGTACTGCAGAGGAGATTGTTCTAGACACATGGGGTGTGGTGGGTAGGGGAGGGGACAGAGTCAGCACAAGGCAGTGCACCCAAGCTGAACCAGGGAAAGATTCCTTTCTGCACGCCGCTCTCTATCCATCATTGGCGGGCTCTTTGAACAGAAGTTAACAGTCCGGAGAAATCCACTATTAGTTCCATTACATTTCCGATTATTATTCTATTCATTGTTCTTGCACCTCAGGCCATCCTATTTACATAATGAGAAGAGAATTTGGTGGAAAGGAGGCTCATGTATTGATTGTCCCAGGCCTGCCTTGTTAGCTTATGGTATAAATAACACTTGTTTCCCATGCTGCTGCTTTGGGGGATATTCTGTTAATTTCAGCTATCATCTTGTTTCCCCCAAATTTGTCAGTTGATTTCTTAGAGGAATATTCAGATGCTTAGACATGGTCATTGTTTGTTGGCGTTTAGCCTGTATGTTTCTGGAAGACAGATACAACCGATAAATTCGTCAGTTAAGTATGGGGCTGGCCTACATCAGGCTGCTTTCTGTACATTCAGACATCCTTATACTCACCTGCGGGAGGATCCACATTTCTCATCCGCTCACCAACACTGTGTGCTGATAAACTAAAGGCTGTATGTAACCAGAGCCTGCAACATAATTTGCAGAGCTAGGTACAAAACGAAAACGTGCGATCTCTTGTCTAAAAAGCAGACAAAACTTTTTTTTTTTTTTTTTACCTGTTTTCCATGGTCTTTCTCTCAATCTGTCATGGTGTTTTTTATTTGCTATTTAATATTGTGCTCTCTCAGGCATGGAATATATGAAGGATAAGTCTGACCTTTCCAGGAACCTGGGGCTCTGTCCTATAATTCTGCATGTGGGTTACATGCACCTGACAAAAACCTCCCTGCCCCAGAGCTCTGGTCCATGCTAGTTGCAATGAGGTGCTGTAGTAGGAGGTCAGTGTGTGCCTTGTGTAGGGCAAGGTCAGGGATCAGGTGGCTAAAGACCTCTCCCAGGGAAGTGAGGAGGCAGGAGGAGGTGGGGCTGTCTGTGAAGTGAGGCTCCAAGCCCCAGCTCATGCTCCATTGTTCCTTTGGGCTTCATTTACAAAACACAAAAAAAAATCTATTAAGAATTTCAGGGTAGTGATGACAGAGCATTAACTCGCACGCATGGGCCCTCCTGTTAAGCACAGGGCCCTATGCAATTGTACATGTTGCAAGCCCATGAATCTGCCCTTCTCTGTAAGCTTCCCTTTTTCTTGTCCATCATGGTGACATCAACTGGTACACATCTGGCTTTCCACATAAAAGCACATACTGAAGATTACATATGATTAAATAGGGAACTGGATAGATGCTCAGGAAGAGAAAAGAAAGATCAGGAAGGAGGAGGATGGTAGAAGCCCAGTTAAGTTGGCTGGGGAGAGGACCAGCGCCATAATTTTTGCAAACTGCTGATGACTAGCTTTCATTCCATCACTGTTGTGGTTTGAAGATTATGTGTCTAAATTAAGAATATTTAAAGACACTTGTTTTAAGTGACCAGTCCTAGCATTAAGAGTGCCTACTAAATATTTGCCGGAAGAATGCACTCAACCATAACAGAAAATTGGAAATCAGAGTCTTTGCCTAGGCTGTTGGGAAAAAAAAAATCAGCTTAAGCCAATCTCTTGCAATTTTCAATCTTAATAAGCTCCAGGTGGACTTAGAGAATTTCTCCTTACTGTTCTGTCCAACCTCTATCAGCTGGAAGCATTCTTTCAGATATTTTTCCCCTTTCATTATAAAAGAAAAGCTATTATTTAAGGTCTTCCTTCTCCACCTGAGACTTTAAGAGAATGGTGAACAAAAATGGGCTCAGCTTTCAGAAAAGTCCTTGGAACCTTCTTCAGTCTATGTCAGATCATTAGTCTGGTACTAACATTCAGATTGGAATTGAATGGGCAAAGGGAGGAAGAATTGTTCTCTTCTGTGAGTCCATAAGCAGAATAACCAACAAGCTCCCTAAAGAAGGAGAGAGTGGGTGATAAATCACAAGATAAAGATTGAGGCTGGTAGAGGCACACACTTGGGCTTAGTGCTCTGAGGTTGACTTTCCAAAAACAGATTAAAGACCAGACATCCTTCCTGGATGTTCAGGAAATTTCCACCCATTTAGTCAGGATGTGGCTTGTTTATTTACTCAGCAATAAAGATATTCTTATTTCTGGCCACAGATACCCCCACCATCTGCTTCCTGATTTCTGTTTACAACCGCTGCCCTCTGAAGCATCGCTGCTTTTGGAGTTAACCTCCAAAAGCACCCCGCTCAACTTATGTCCTCCAGGAATCACACACAGATGTTTAGAAGGAGAGTCTCTTTTTGGTGCAACTCCTCCATGGACTGTTGACTTTAAAGGGTTATGGGGGATTCTTAATCTGATCTTTGGCCCCACCCAGGAATACCCTCCCCATAATGCCTAAACAAAAATCGACTTGCCTTTAGTTCCATGTTTCTAGAGACAGGAGCCTTCAACTTATACATTTTTTTCTTTCATTCAGTCATTGGCAAAAATAACATCACTGACACCTCCAATAGGCATAAATGTATGTTAGGTGCTGGTGAACATAAAGGAAAGGAGGAAGAAGGGAGAAAATGAGGGAGGCAAAGAAACAAGTGAGGAAGGAAGGAAAGGAGGGAAGCAAAAAATGACTGTCAAGGCATAGCCTAGTAGACTCTACAAACATTTATAATACGTTAAGTTTAAGGAGGTTCAAGGAAAATATATACATAATGCAATGGAAACTCAGAAGTAGGGACACCTATTTAAAACAATCGCATGAACATGGGTTCCAGTCCCAGCTCTCTCACTCTGTATGTGACTTTAAACAAGTTAGAGCCTTACATTGAGTTTTTGTATCTGTAGCACAGGCTAGGTAATACTTCAGAGCACTGTTAGGAGGAATAGATGAGTTCCGAACCTGGAGATATGTGAAGGGAAGTGGGTTTTCCTGCCCCACTCCTGTCACGATAAATCTTCATTTTTTCTCCATCAGGGTTACCTCTCTCTTCAAACTATTACTCGTAAGTGAGACTCCTGGGCTATGTAAGTGAAGCCTCATTGAATGTAATGCAAACAAACTCATTAAACAGATAATATATTGGTGCATGTAATGGGGAAGCTCAAGGTATGGGCTTTAGGTACAGCTGGATCCAGGGATTTGAATAACACCGTAAGGTCTGTCACTCTCTTCCCACCTTCCTCCTTCTCTCTCTCTGTCTCTCTCTCTCTCTTTCTCTCTGCATTTCTTGGCTCTGTCGGGCTTTTTATCCAACTCACTGTGTCCATTTGAAAAAAAAATTGGACCCCACAATTCCAGATTCACCTTGTCTTTGGAACTCATATTTCAGGGGAGTGAGAAGGCCAACACTCTGCAACATTCAAATTAATTTCCCCCAAAGAACTCTCATTTGCCATATATTGGTCATAAATGTGTCTAGATCAATCGCTGAGACCGGACAATTAGTGATCTGATTGGCCAACTAGGTGCAGGTATCTGTTGGGATGACCAAGGCACATATTTGAAAGTTCAAGTAAAATTGCTTAAAATAGGCAGTGGCAGGAGGGAAAAGATGCTGGGAAACAGAAACATAGCAGAAGGCCAATCCACAGGTCTTCTACCATCCTGGCTCTTTATAGGAGATCATCTAGTACTCTTGGGCTTCTACGTGTACCCCAGCTCTCTAGGTAGATTCTGATCTGTGACAAGCACAGTGAGGCTAACATGCCTTACTACCTTACAATGTACAATTATTAACAGAGTTTAGAGTTTTCTCTTTGATTTTTTTGTTAGCAGCTTCATCACATTGCTCACTCAAACTGAGGTCACAATCCAAAAATTAAAACACAAAACCACCACAACCACCACCACCAACAGAACAGATATCTATCCCATACAACCAAAGCTCAATTCAGAAAAGAATTTTCTTTCTGCTGATGACACTACCAAGAGATGATTCCCATAGCCCATCTTGACTGTCAAATCACACACACGATTAAGAACTCAGGCAACCATTTTGTCCTGGAAGTCAGAATAAAAGCTGATACCAAGCAAAACACACTCTGCATAGTAAATTAATTGCCATGTGCAATGAAGCCCTCTTCTGGATGGGAACATGAATTGAGTTGCAATAATGAGACTAATTTCCTGTGGGGTTTGTGGATCCAGCCTCTTTTCTTCGTTGTTGTACGTCCCACTACAGAGACGTGGCCAGGGCTTTGGCAGAGTCCCCAGCTATGATGCTGAAATGCCAGGGAGTCATTTATTATAGTGCAGCTGCTCTGTCAAATAGGAGACTGGGGGCAAAGAGAACAAGCAAGAAGTTCTGGACCCACGGAAGGCATTTAACATGGATTTCTCTGTATCTGGGAAATAAAGGAAAAGTAAAATGGAATCTACTTCCTCAAGTTGAGCCCAAGCTTTTCCAGGTATTATCAACTATCTAAAATTGTGCCTTGGTTTTTAAAAAAGAAGGTTGCCTGGATGTAAACAAATGCCTTTCTATTGTTAATTTTAGCCTTTTGTCACTTGTGGGGAAAATGCAAGTGAAAAGGCCAATTACAATTTTGCCTCTGGAATACTAATACTCTGCTATTCCTAAATCCCAAGAGTTGACATACTTCACAACATTCGCATTATGCAGACACTTAAAAAGTACACCTTTGAAAAGACTAATTTGTAAGTGGATTCAAAGCCTCTAAGATTTCTGTTTAAACAACTAATTCAACTCTCGTAAGCATTAAAGCAGTGGTCCTCAAACTCTAGCCATCAGAATTACTTGAAGGTCTCGTTAAACAGTAGTGCCATTCTCCAAAGTTTCTGATTCGGACCTGAGGAAGGACCCAAGAATTTGCATTTCAAATAAGTTCTCAGGTAATGCAGATGCTGCTGGTCCAGGGACCATACTTTGAGAAGCACTGCACTAAAAAATAAATACACATCTGCCAATACGTGAAATAATCCAGACCTTTCATTTATACCTAAAAACTATATGAGAAGAAAGGAAAGCTACCTGAATAAACACACCTCAAACTTTAAAGTGCATACTTTAACTTTAAACACCTCAAACTTTAACGTGCATACTCCTGAGGGTCTTCTAATTGTAGATTCCAATTCCATAGGTTTTGGCTACAGATTATGAATTTCTAACCAGGTCCCAGGTATGCTGATTCTACTGATCTACGGACCACAGTTTTTTCTCCATCATAAAATAATTGACTTCTAAGGGCAGGGCAGTCATCATGGTACAACAACATTTCATTCTGATTAAACAGTCCCACTGGAAATAAAACTCATTGTATTGAGAAAGCATATTTTCTACTTGTTTGTATCAATCACATTGTCTTAGAAAATGCCTGAATAGAAGAGGACTAAGACAATCTAACAATTCAATTCAACAACACATTCTGAGTTTCTACTATTTGCACAGCAATTTTCACTGTCAGGAATATAAAAACGAAAGAAACAGGGCTGCTCTAATCACAACATCAGGTCCTTAACAATTGTTTTAATATTCCAGGGAGTTACATTATAAGTGATCGTTACAAAAAATCTCTATCACACCAAAACAAAGCAAATGATTCAGAGTATTTCCAACTATGGTACGACTCTTGCAACTTCTTTATAAGCTGAAATTTTTTTCAAGTAAAAATTTTAAGAAATCAGTTTGGGAATTTTTTCTAGGTCTTAGGAAAATGAAATTGTATATATATGTATGCTTAAGTAAACCACTTACTTGAGAAGAAAATAAGTGGATTAATTTCTTCTAGTATGCCTCTTGGTTTTTTAAATAAAAATGTACTTTATTCATAAATTAGTACAATTAGTTATGAAGGCATAAAGTCATATTTCTGCTAAAGTAATAACCCGATTTTTAAAAATGAAAAAAGTCTTAGATTAATTCTTCAGTTCTCATTTGTAGTGGCTGACCTGGAGAGAATATGAAATTCTGGAATCTATTTCCCTGCCAGTAATGGGGACACCTTCTACTTTCAATGATAAAAGCATCTCAGGTTTGCCTAGATTTTAAAGAAATGTCAAAGTACTATCATCTCTATTTGAGTATGACTTAGAAATTGTTTAAAATATGTATATATACATGCATCATACATACAGTGTGTTTATATATAAACACATATATATAAACAGTGTGTTTATATATAAACACATATATATAAACAGTGTGTTTATATATAAACACACACACACCATGCATATAATATATAGTATGTATATAGTATATAGTATGTTTGATGTGTGCTTATATGTATATAAAATGTATGTATATATAGAGAGAGAGAAATAGAAAGACATAGATAGATTCCCTCTTATGCTGGCAATTATGTTTTTAAAACGTTATGACTAATGATGAAGACAGTGTAATTAAACTTGTGAATGGATATATTTTGATGGTATTAAATATAACAATAGTTTTGAAAAGCAGTTGGCAATATATATCCATTAAGAACCACAAAAATATTAGTGACTTGGTAATCTTAGTTCTAAAAAATTATTTTCTGGAAGTAAAATAACAGAGGACCAAATTTGGTGTTTGCAGTGTCAAACTGGAGGGGACTAAAAGAACAAGCTAAATATTCAGTAATGTGGAAATAGTTACTTAAATTGTGGTTTATTAATTCAATGATGTGTATGTCACTATGAAAAATCCTATTTATGAAAAGAGACAATAACATAAGAAAAGGCTTATACCTAAGGGAGAAAAAGGTGACGATGACCTACGATGATGTATGATGGAACCACATACATATGGTACAGTAAGACTTTTTTTTGAGACAGAGTCTCGCTCTGTCACCCAGGCTGGAGTTCAGTGGCGTGATCTTGGCTCACTGCAACCTCCACCTCCCGTGTTCAAGTGATTCTCCTGCCTCAGCCTCCTGAGTAGCTGGGGTTACAGGCGCCCGCCACCATGCCCGGCTAATTTTTTGTATTTTTAGTAGAGACGGGGTTTCACCGTATTTTCTTTCTCAGCTTTCTGTAATGTTGTTACTGCTGACTTTATGGTACTCTATTAATGGAGAAAAATCATGTTTAAAATGTCAAAATCAGTCCTGAGTTACACGTTGTATCTTTAATAATGCATTCGGTTGGGAAAGGCTACTGAAGCTTGGATTTCTTCCTAAAACCCCATAAAGCAAAGCGGCTACCATTGGAATGGCATCGCCCCACGCACACAACTCCAAGTCAGCCTGAGTCTGAGGGGGTAACCAGATTCAACAGTATTCTTTTGTTTCCCAGAGCCTTTAAAGTGTCACAGATTAACTTGTAGACTCTGAAGTCAGAGATTCTGAGTTTTAATCTGAACTCTAACCTTTTGCTGATTTGTCACTAGATTGCATTTCTGCCAAAAAGTCACTTCTCAAAATTCACCGCTCTCCGTACTGGAAAAGAATTGACTCTGTCAATGCTACCTATGAGACATATGGCTATTTATGTGTGTTGTGAGAGGCAGCCCTGTATGGTGGCCACAGGCTCTGGGGATTAGAGTGATACAACTGGGTATCACTGCCAAGCTGCCATTTTACAGGCTCTGCACCTTGTACAAATGGCCGAGGCTATTTGTGCCTCAGTTTCCTCATATGTAGCACAAGAAACATAAATTCATCCAGCCCTCGAAATAGGTGGTGGAGCTTAAATGCGATCATGTGTATAGAAGTATTCACTGCAGTGCCTAGCATGTGCTAAGCACTCAAAAGTCACAGCTTAGCTGTGATTTTTATCCAGGAGTAGTAGGGAGGGGAGATCTTTGTTCTAACCCTGTTATAGCTCCTTCTTGGAGCTATAACACAGGATACACAGGAACTGAGGGGAAAGGGACCTGGTATTCTAGAAGCCAGCCCAGAGATTTATGCCTGGAAAAGAGAGAAGTAAGACGTATAGATACATTAACTGGACCAATTGGGTTCAGAAAATCCTCTCCTGGTTTTCAAAAAAATCCCTAGGAACCCGAGGAACAATCCCAAACTCAAGCTACTGCTACCCACAGATAGATGCATATTGTGGTTCATTATCTCTGAAGGGCAAGAAGTCCAACCTATGAAAAACGACTACAAAAGCGAGAAAAATAGAGGCCCAGGCAGATACCATTTTTCAGTGTTTATTCTAATTACTCATTTAACAATCACCCTCTTGCTTCGCTTTGGACTTTGTTATTCCAACCAGGTATTTGCTTCCTGGGTATATCCTGAAACATGCTGGCAGAGGCTGCCATCCTATCTCTGTCAACTGAACTAGGGGGTGGAAATGGGCCTGATCAAGTAAAGGGAGATGACTTAGATCCAGACTTCTTGGAGGCGAAGATTTCTTTAATCTCTCCATTAAGAAATAGCTGGAGAAAACTTTGTGCTTTAAAAATGGGATCCCTTATCCATCTTGTTCACTGTTTTCTCCAAAGTCTAAAAGAGCACCTGGTATATAGTAGGTGCCTAATACATGCCAGATGAACAAATCAATTAATCACTATAACAATTTCAAAATTTCCTGTAAAAAATCAAATTTAATTACATACACCTGAATAGCTTGAAATTTTTCTATGTCATATTTATAAAATAGAAAATATTTGTATTAAAAATACACTTATGGCAAGATTTTTAATGTAAAAGATGCAGAGAACTATCTCTGGACAGGAATGTGAGAAAACATTAACAGTGGGGGACAAGCAACACTTGACATGTTTTCCATATTCACACGCTTTATGCTGACCAAGGAAAAGAATGCTGAGTGTTGGGTCTGTATTTTAAATTGTGTACATGAAAGGTATGTCTATTCTCTGTCTAGGTGAAAAATATATTTTAATGTCTTTGCTGGAGCATTTGTTCCAACAGATTTCAAATTATGCCTTCAAAATATGTATTAGTAGATGGGTGCAGTGGCTAATGCCTGTAATCTCACCATTTTGGGAGGCTGAAGTGGGTGAGTGGATCGTTTGAGACTATCCTGGGCAATACGGTGAGACCCTGTCACTACAAAAAAATGCAAAAATTAGCCAGGTGCCGTGGTCTGCGCCTGTAGGCCCCACTACCTAAAAGGCTGAGGTGGGAGGATCGCCTAAGCCCGGGAAGTCTGAGGCTGCAGTGAGCTGAGAGAGTGCCACCGCGCTCCAGCCTGGGCAGCAGAGCGAGACCCTGTCTCAAAAACAAAAAACATATTAGCACTGGTCTACAATTATTAAAATGTTCACTGTTGTTCAAAACTGGTTTTGCCCAGAAGATAAAGACAAAAGTATTGTTCTACATTTTTAAAAATCATTTCCAAAATAAAAATTGTACTGAGAAATAAAAGGTGTTGTGGGCGCTACATACATGGGATTTATTATACTATTCTGTTCACATTGTACACATTTCAATATTTTATAATAAAAATTATTTCTCATGGTTATTCTCTTACATAATTTTTTTCTAAATATGTAATTAGTAATTTTATGCACTTAAAATTACATTAATGTCACTTATACTTTCCTTCAGCATGTGCTGGAATTAAACCAATCAATTTGTTTTTAATGGACTCATGGAGGGATTTTCAGTATATTTTTGAGATGTATAGGTTGCCACCAGCTTTACTCAGTACATGATGGATAGTTTCTATTTTAAAATATGGCATTTGTTGTGATATAATTTAAATTACTTTTCTGCTGGGAGCATGCGTTCTTCAGAGTTACAATTATGCAAAGGGAAATTATACATCATATTCCTACTTTATCTTCCTTTATAGTCCTCATTGCAGTTACTTTCACTCAGGTACAATTACATTAGAGAAAACAGAATTTCATATTTAAATTAAGAACAATTCTATTTAGAAAATTCATTTCAGTTCTTAGTTAATTACAAAAGAGAAATGGAACCCAATCTAAAGATAAACAAGTCAAGGCTCAAAAGTAGCAGAAACTCACATAAAGAGCTATACATAATCAATAACTTAGAGCTCACACAAGCCCAGTTAACAGTACAAGTTACTGTATCATAATTATATCTTTAAAATATTTTTAGATCTTTTCATTTACTATAAATGCTATGTATGTTCATTGTAGAAAATTTGGAAACTAGAGAAAGGCAAAAAGAAAAAAATAAAAATAAGATCATCCTGTGATTATTACATCCAAATGTAATCACTATTAATATTTTCCTGTATTTCTTTCAAATTCAGTTTTTGGCGTACATGGGATGTAACTAACAATAGCCCTTATATTTTACAAGATTCTCATTTCTTGTGCTCTTAATTTCTTATGTTGGAACATACATGGTAAACCTTTTCCCATTTTATTAACTGTGCCTCTAATAATGGCAGACGTTTTGGCCCAATGTTATATCTACACCATGATTTTATATAACCGGGCTGATATTGTAAGAAATTTAGAGTGTTTCAATTTTTTCCTACTATAAATGATGCTATAATCAGCAATCCTATGTAATTTTTTCACATCTTTATTTCCACTTGATAAATTATTTAAAATCAAATTTCTGGGTCAACACATATGAATATATTTAAGTACTTGAGAAAGAGAAATGATAAAAATCCCTGAAAGTTGTCAGTTAGACTCCAGTTGGCAATGCCAGATATCCATGTTTTTTTCAATACTATGTCTTGTCTTTCTAAAAACATAATTCCCTATTTGAAAAATAAAAATTGATCTATAATTTTTATTTGTTTATAGTGTCTTTAATTAATGGCGAGGTTGAACATAACTGTTTGTGCCATGGCTGTTTCTCCTTTTTATTTCTTAAATGCTTATTTTTAAAATCTCCTTCTTTTCAATCCAACCACCTTATTTGAAGCCTACCATGTTACAGGCATGGAGATGAATGCTAACGATAGAAAATGAATGAGGCATGGACCCCCATCTTCAAGGATTTCACAGGCTAGCAGCAAAAGGCGCATGAATGACTAATTCCAGTCTATTATTATAAGTGCTTTATAGCCATATGTATAAAATGCTTGTAAACCACAGATAAGGAAACAGAAAAGCCTGCAGGGGATTAGTGAAGGATGTGCAGACGTTGTAAAGTTTGAGCTGGGCTCTGACGAATAAACATCAATTCACCAGGCAGGTGGGAGAGAGAAAAGAGAGTGTCCCAGCAAAGGAAATAACATGTGGAAAGACAGACAAGTAAATTCACACAGAATGATGGAAGAGACAAACCACACACTGTGAAGGTTATTGTAAAGCTAGCCGAGGGTTTGAGCTATATCAATGGCAACAGGGATTCACTGATGGGCTTTTGAGCAGAGAATGAACAGGACAAGTTTTGGGTTGTGAAAGTGGAAGGAAAGGAAGATCTGTGGTCATTGTTGGGTTTGGGGGTGTGGGGAGAGTGAGAGTGAGAGAGTATGTATACTAGGTCAAGGTTAACTATAAAATACTTTTAGCTTGGGTTATTCAATGTAGAGTAATACACTTACTTTTAAAAATATAGGCATGAGAAGGAGGTAACCCCTTTTAAAGTTATTTCTTTTATATAAACCCTAAAACAAAGCAGCTGTGATCGAATGTATTATTTTTCCCAATTTTTCACTACTCCCCATATGGAGGCTTTTGCTATGAGGCTTTGAAGTTCTTCCAAACAGAATGTTCCCCCATTGATATTGGACTTGCTTTGCCCAGTGGGTGGAAGTGACTGAGCACCAGTTCCTACCTAGACTTCAAGAAGCATCATGTGTTTCTATATGCTAACCTGGAAACTTTCAGTCTCCATCAGGAAAAGAATGTTTCCGAAGGAGCACGCTGTCCTCAGAAGAATGAGACGTCCATGGAGCAGACCTGAATGAAACCCACAGTCTGGAGTCAAGCCCAGCTGAGCCCAGCCTAGATCAGCCAACCCCTCAGCCTATGGAGCAATGTGTAAGCCATGGAATTTTAGCATGGCTTGTTATGCAGCATTATTATAGGAACGGCTAACCGATACACTGGCATATTCCACCCCTATCTAGATACAGCCCATCTCTGTTTAAAGACACTTCTGAAGAAAGCGGGTTGGGCTAATACGCTGTACATTATCTGGAAAGTGGGATAATACAATTTGAAGTTTGTGATGATTAAATGTAGCCCAGTTTCACCAAATGGAGAACGTCATCTCATCAACTGGAAGTTGCTGATGAGTTTCCATCCAGAATTAAAGTACTCAAGTCTCTTACATAAGAAATCAATCAACTATTGATTCTGTTGGGATGGCATGCATTATAATAAAATGCTAAATAGACAGATATGAGCTCAGTCCATATTGTAAATAAGAATATTTACATCTTTGTTGCCTCCTTCTGGTCAGTCTTATGAGTAAGCTGTTGAGTGGCACGGAGGTTTTAAAATCAGGTTGTAATAGGCGTCCACATTCTGCTCATTAAGATAAAGAAAGGTTTACCAGAGAAATGGTCTATTAGGTGGTATTTTGCTTTCACTTGCAAATTAAGGGATAATTAGTTTTGAATATCTGGAGATGTAGAATCTATGTGTTTGACATAATTTCATAGGTAGCCAACACCAAGAGTTCAAGTATCTTTGCAGGGCAAAGAAGGGTTATTTTGAAGTTAAAAGAGATTACACAATATTGCATTCTGAATATATACTATTCAGGTAAATATTACAGGTGGCATATATTTATCTCACCATTCAGAACCAATAGTTTTTTTTAACTTGCTAATATTTGGAAAAAGTTGACAAAGTCTGAGTGTCATCGTATTTTCCTTTTTCTTTTGTAGAGACAAGGTGTTGTTTGAACAACAAGATTTAAACTATTTTAAATAATTAAAGGCAAATTCCCGTGTCTTCATTTAATTTGAAATAGCACTTCTTCCCTTAACACTTTTTAAAAATAAATAAACAGAATCCTCCTCATTGCTTAAACAGGGAGAGTAAGTAGGTTTAAATGATTCTTACCTTTGTAAACTGTTACTTGGTCTTCTCTCACTCTTAAAATTTACCAAGACAACTAAAGCATATTTCATGAGGAAAATTTCAACAAGTCTGAAGTGGAATAAGACTCAGGGACTAAGAAAGCTTCTAAATTTGAATTTAAATGGAAATTCTTGGTAGGAAACTTCTCTTCCCTCACATCTAGCCCCATCTTGGCAGAAGATGATTTCTTTATCTAAAAGTAGGTGGTCAGCTTGTCTAAATCACACATAAGGGCATATCATCTGAAAAGGATTTTTCCTCTGATTTATGTAATTACTAAAAAATATAATAGTAAAATCACATCTGGTTAAGCAATTAACAAGTTATCTTTATTGTAAAGAATAAAATGTTATGCAATTCTAACTAAAGAATGAATGATGAGTGACTATGAGATCTCAATCATAACCAGGGCACAGTTCCCAGGGGTGGGGAAGAGCAAGGATTCATTTCCGAAAGGAAGAATAAAAAACGTATCTTGCTCACTGCTTCTTTGAATATTTAACTCATTTCTGCATTAACTTTATCCACTAAAAGGTTCTGGAAAGTCTGTGATGTGTGAGGCACAGGGAACACAAAAGTTAGTAAGACAGCCACTGGCCACCAGGGGTTGTAGGTGCAGCAGAATAAATGGTAAGACATGTTCATGAATAACATTAGTCAAAGAAATAAGCGAAATGTGTGAGATAAAAGGAACCACCAAGGTTATATGAAATTTTAGGGCATAGAGAGTTAATGCCTACAGAAAGAGATGACATTTTCCCCCAAATGCACTAGAGAATGCACAGGATTTAAATAAGGAGAAAGAGAGAATTCTAGGAAAAGGAAATGGTAGATACTGGCATGAGGTCAGGAACCTGAAAGGTATCTTTCTATTTTAGTAGGTAGTGCTGTTTAGTTACAGCATGGAGAAAAGTGTAAAAGTGCATTAAGAAAAGGTAGCGGAGGGCTAACTACTAAGCTAAGGAATTTGGAAACTAGCTTGTGAGCCACTAAACGTTTTAGGGCAGAAAGGTGATGTGCTAAAAGCACAGATTTGAAAGGTGAATGGGTGAGAATGAGAGAGATTTCAGGTGAGGACTCCGGCAAGAGGCTTATTTTTGTTTGGGATGGGCTTTCCACATTTTCACATTCCTAGAGTTTGACAGGAACACAAATTAAAGTCCTCCGTGCACGGTAAAGCCAGGTAAGAAGCCAACTTCTGTTTTAGAATAACATATTGGCCATGCAGTTACGTTTATTTTTACAATGGAAGTGACTGATTTTTTTTATTGCTATTTCACTTTTCACCACAAAGCACCCATCATATTCTTGCAAGAAACTCTTTGAGAGCAGACTAACTCTTAGCCCATCTCAGAGGACAGACTGTCATGAAACCTAACGAATGTGTGACAAGTGGCTAGTTTAGCAAGATCAGTAAGCTCTAGAGGTCTGCTGTACAACACAGCGCCTGTAATTGACAGTACTGCATTGTGCACTTAAACATTTTATTAAGAGGGTAGATTGCATGGTGGGTGTTCTTACCACAAACAAATCAACAAACACTGGAGGGGCATAAGGAAACGTTTGGAGGTGAATGATATTGGAAGCCTTGATTATGAAGCTGATGGTTTCACCAGTGCTTGTATATATCCAAACTCATCACACTGTATACATTAAACCGGAGCAATTTTTTGTAGGTCAATTATACCTCAGTAAAGCTGTTTACAAAAAAGAAATGCAGTGAAAGAACCTAGAGTTTATAGAGGAAGAGGAAAAGGAGAAAAAAGTATGGGGAAGGTGTCCTCTATAGAACTAAGGGCAGGTTCTGCCAGGCCAAATCTCTGTGTCTGGGGTCATCAGTCAAAAATCAAACAGAGCAGAATTGAAAAGCTACCCTCAAATCCCCACCACACTATAAACCTTCTCTGCATTGAAATATGTTGCTTAAGTATGAAATGCAAGACCGTTGGGGCAGTGGTTGATATTGAGATCATTTTGAAACAAGTCATCAGACCACCCCTCTCTTCCACACTAAGGAGCACGTTTCAAGGATTATATTTCTTTTGTTCAGTGGGAGGTAAAACAGACGCTGTGGTATCACACAACGGTGGGTGAAATGGAAATAACATGGAAGGGCAAAGGAGAAAAATATAGTGATGGATGAGTTGACAGCACATGACCCCTGGGTCCATCTGAGAGCAGCAAAGAGAGAGACATGGGAGAGGGCTCCATCTTGACCCTCAGGTCTCCACCTGGATGACCAAGTGAATGGAAATAGCATTAAATAAAATTAGTCAGAATGAGTTTGACTCCTGATATGATGAGTTCACATGCCTTTGGGACATCCAGGTGCCCAGCACACAAATGAAATTGTTCTAGAGGGTTCAAGGCTTAAGATAAAGATTCAGGCATTATCTCCTAAATGAAACTATGACAAGATAACTTGAAACTAACACTGATGGAGAAGGCATAGAAAGTCAGAGAATATTTTTAAGAATCACTTAGGTGTTGGGAAGAGGAAAAGGAATGCAGAGAGGCAGAAAAGGAATATTCAGAGGGGAGGAAGAAACACGATTATGCTGCATCTGAGAAGTGAAAGGTGGAGGAACTGCCCAACTACAACACAATGAAAGGATTGAGGAAGACAACCAAGAGAGGCCATCTGACCAGGTGTGGGAACCCCATCAAGAGTCCTTCTCTTAAAGTGGTGGGAAAAGATAGCAGATCAAATTGCCCGAAGGAGTGAAAGGGTAAGAGAGTGAGTGTATCCTAAGAAGGTGGAGAGAGTGACTGTGTAGCCTGATTTTTCTAAAAATTTATTGGTGATAAACATCAGAAAAATTATCGTATTAACCATGGGAGACTTGAACAGATTTAAGCTAGCGGAGAGAGGAAAAAAATACCATCACAAAATGAACCTTAACAAGTATTTAGTGGGTTCCTAATATGTACCAGGCATTGGAATGGGATGCTGCCCCATGGCTCTTATGTCTGTGTGTGGCAGTGCTCTGTTTATTTTTACCATTAGCTCACCACAGCAAGAATTGCAACTTGTTCATCAATGCATCTGGGAAGGCTAGCATTGTGTCTGACATGTAACAGCCCCTGCAAACTTTTCTAGAATTAATGAGTGGCACCGTGTCAACCTTTAAGAAGTTCTGTTTTTTTCTTCCCTTAACAACTCCGCTTTGTCTTTGGGCCTTCCTTAACCTCCAGAGTTAAACATGTTTCAAGGATTATATAAATATATTTAGTTAGGCATCCACCCACCCAGGTGCCCATTACACCCTGGGTGTTCTTCCATCAAAGCAGTTTAAAGAGAGAAAAATCAACAAGTGGCTTCGAGATTTTGACCAGTCCCTAAGCAAAGGAGAAACATAGAAAGCAAAACCTCAGCGCAGCTTACTGACTAGTTTGGAAACTCAGGGGAATTAATTTCTTATGCACTTCAGGTTTTTCATGAATCGCTTTTATTGGTTCTCTTTTTACTCTTGCAGGTTTTCCCAGGGCTAGACTGACTAGCTTGGCTGAATTCAAATGAGCAGAGAAACCTCTAAATCAGCCTAGTGAGTATAGCGTCTGGTTTTTCTCGTGCTGTCAATCTCATGTAAATAGCCAAGCCATGCACATTGTAAGCAAAGCCCATTAGATTCTATTGGCTGGCTTGGCACCCAAGTTAAAAATGAAACTTGCTAAAGAGTCTACCCAGCAAATAGCTTTTCTTTGGCAGAACGCTGCTGTTCAACTTGGGAAGGAATGTGATAAAGTGCTTTACTGGATGGCAACATTGTGGTCTCGCTTTCCTCAGATCACAGTGGGATAATGAAGCTGGAATCCATTTAAACCTTCCATTTCACCCCACACAGCTCATAGACACTGTGTCAAACCACATCACACTGCAATAAATGTGCTAAAATCTATAAGCTTATTCATCTATTACACATAGTACTCTGTCAGATTGGAAACAAATTATGGAATACAATTTCTTGATTTGCCCACTCATGTAGCTTTAGCAGAATCTCAAATCCAAGGCGATACTCTAGTTCATGAAGTCGCATAAATAACTGTATTGTTTCATGCCAAGTTTAGCAACACAACATTCTTGCTATGAATAGCACAGTCACTGCAGGGACAGACCCAGCCATGTGACAAGGACTTATCTGCCCTGTCTGGTGTGACAGCTTCTATTCCTGTCACTGAAGCATTTGTGATTGGAACGTTTGTGATTAAATAGTGTTCCTTCTGTACACCCTGGAAAATGATGAGCACAGGTAAACCTAAGCTAAGCAAAGACTGTCATGGATGATAATCAATGGGTGGGGAGATTTAATAACATAGACTGAATCTTTGAAGCCTTTCCCCTTGGCTTGTTTCCTTTTACTTTGCTCCTTTAAGGTGATCTTAGGCCATGGAGAATATATGAAAGCTTTACCTTCAAAAGAGAGAGTCTGCCAACTCTTGGCCACCTCCTGGTTCAAGCCACCTTCATCTCTCAGTTAGATTTCCGGAGTAGCCTCCTAATTAGTCTTGCTTTAGCTGTTACTCCCTACATCCTCTATGTGCTGGACATTGTGATGTGCCCCCAAGATCCTACTTCAATGCAGGACCCATGGCACCAGCTGCTGGGAGTGCGGTCAGCAGGCAGCCCTCGGCTCTCAGCTTCTCAACAATCACCCAGGTGATGCTCCTTCCTTGTAACTGTTGTTGCCATTGAAAGACCTATATTCAATGACCGATCAACACTGGAGTATAAAGGCCTGTCTGTCTTGGGCCAAACAGGGTCAATTCTGAAGCTCCTAGAGAGTGGCCAAGGTTGCCATTGGTCTGTATCATAGCTGGACTTCTCCCTCTGCTCACTCCTGCTTCCTGCCCCTGCTTTCCATAGGTGTTGGCCCTGAATGCTAAACTCCATCTCAGAGTTGCTTCTTCAACCTAAGACAGTGGATGTATCACAAAGAGCGAGAGTCCTCCTGTTAACACTCTGCAGAATCCTCCCTCTCTCCCCTACAGTGGCCCCCACGTGCCCAGGCCCTGCCCTCCACTCACCCCTTTGCCCATTCTGTTGCAGGCGCACCTGCCTCCTCAAACACACTAGGCATATTCCCATCCTGAGACTCCTATGTGCTGCCTGTCCCCTCTCCCTGGAAAACTCTTCTTCTAGATGTAGGTGGACACATTTTTTTTTTCTATAAAAGGCCAAATAGTAAACATTTAAGTTTTTCTGGGCCACAGGATTGCAACTGCTTAACTCTGCCATTTGAACACAAAAACAGACACAGATAGTGCATAAACTAATGGGCCTGGCTGAGATCCAATGGAACTTTATTCATGAAAACAAGTAGTGGGCCAAAGTTGGCCCATTGGCCATGTTGCTGACCATGACCCCAGATGGTCCTGTGGTTCCTGCACCTCCTTCAGGTCTCAACTCAAACACTTTCTTCCTTCTGAAATCCCAGCTCCAATATTAGTTCTCTTCCCACCTTATTTTCTCCACAGCCCTCATTGCTATCTGGTATACTCTGTTTTCTCTACAGTTCTGTCATCCTCTCTTTTCCCTAAGAAGTAAGTGCCATCAAGGCAGGGATTTTGCTTGCTTTGTGTTCCTAAGCAAAGTCACTGGTTCATGATAGGTGCTATGTACTTATTTGCTGAATGCAAGAATAAGTGCATACATATTCAGGCAACTGGGTATTTTATCCAGTTTTTGTTTTGTGTTAAGTAGTGTGTTTCTTTTCTCTTCATATCTTAAGCAGTTCCTTTTGCCATTTATATCCTGGTAGAGTTTGGTGCTTAAAAGCATAAGCCTTACTAAAAGACCCCCTGGAGATTTAAACCCCAGCTCAGTCACCTGTTGGGTCTGTGACCTTGAGCATCTATAGAACCTCACTAAGCCTCAGTTTTCTCATTTGTAAGATGAAGATGGAATGTTGAATGTCTCATAGGATCAAGATGATGAAAAACACTCAGCACAGAACCAGTCACCTATCACTTAATGAGAGCTCTACACAGCCAAATCATGAACTCTTTCCCTTGGTTAGTATTCTTCCCAGAGAAGATAATGATCATGTTTACAAATTGGGTCATATGCCTTTAAACAAAAACTCACATATACACGCAATAGATCATTTGATTTTTTTTTACATAGCAAAAATAAATTATAATAAGAAAAACAGAACAATTAGAATGACTATTTATGGACAACTCACTCCGTGTCTGCTGCTGGGCTGATAACTTTACATGTTAGCCTCCACACAATCGACAATGCAATGGGGAGGACCAGTGAAATGATTTTCTGCATGTCCTCACTTGTCTGCATATGTAAAGCCAGCCAATGTGAGGACACATTGTTGAGATGCAAACATTGTTGAGGGCATCCAGTTGGATAGCAAACTTCTCTGCCTCATGCTTGAAGACTTTGTCACAATCGATAGGCACAATTACCCACACATTGCAGAGTATGCCTGTGGAATAAACCTGGTTACTACTGACATTTGCCTTATGTTGAGAAAGCAGAAAAACAAATGGAGATATCTCTTCTGCCTGACACAGCTTCAACTCCATTTGTCTTTCTGAGATCCTAAACTTAAATTTAAATTCCAGATAGGAATTCCCTCTAGTTTCCCCATCAGACTCTTCCTCTGTAATGGGTATCCGGAACCCTCACTCATCCCCAGATGTCGGACACAAACTCTTGATGAAACCAGAAATCCAAAGTGACTAAACAGATCCTCAGTGTTCCTGAAAACATGAGCTATTTACCATAGTAAATATGTATGAATAATAGTAAGCCTTTGGAAATCAGTGGTTAGATATCTGTGGTCACTAGCACACGGACTAGAAAATTAACTGCTGCTGGCTTTTATCTCTTGGCTTTTGGGATAGGCTGGTAGCAACTGGCCACTCATTTCTTGAGCAAGAATAAGAGGGATAAATCTCTTTTAAACAACCCTCATTCCATTCCATTCATCTTCCTGTTTCAAATCATTTACAACAGCTTCAGAAATAGATTTGTCCTGGCTGGTCTTTAAAGAGACAGTCAATAACAATATGAGAAATAATTACTATACCTGGAGAAAGTGGGCATTGATTTTTAGCAACTACTGGGGCCTCAAAACTGAATTCAAATATGTTGTAGTTGAGTGACAGCCATTTATTACTTAACTAACTTGCTGAATTAGTACTTAACTTGGGCTGGATGGAGCTGACACTAAAACTTTTAAATACAGACCTATTTTTTTTTAAATCACAATTCAGTTCAGCTACAAACATAATATTTCAACAAACTGCGTAAGACTCCAAAGACACGATGATAAAGAAGATGGACCTATCTACCTGGGGAAGCGTGCAGTCTTTTGGTAAAAAGGAAGTAATAAGCCAGCACATAATTCATCATTTAACTATAATTAAGTCAAGTGTCACAAGGAAAAATGTGCATAAAGGGAAGAACTCATTTGGTACTGAAGGGATCAAAGAAGTCTTTTTTGAAGAAGTCACATTTAAGCTGCAGATCAAAGAAGGAGGAGTTAGGTAGGCAAAGGGAAGAAGAGATTGTTTCAGGTGGAGGAACCACTCAAAGGCCTGGAAGCTAAAGAGAACATGCCCCATTCAAGCAGTGATATTCTGGTAATGTTAATAATTGGCTCTACACAAAAACCAATATAGGCATGTCCAGGCACATATATGTTGATTATGTATTTCACTGATATCAAAGATAAGTAACACATAATTTACAAATAATAAAACACACAATTTTCTATATTGTAAATTGTACACACAGCCAATTGATTCTCACAGAATGCTTTTGTTGATTTTTTTCCAAACTCTTACACTTGTAGCCAACTTACAGTTAGAACTGATGAGCAAGTGTGGTTCCCATATCAATGTTGATTGCCATTTCCATTTAAATGAACAAGCAAGATTGAAAATAAACCAATGACCTAAGTCAGAATTTCACTTATTTGTCAATGTCTTGAGCAGCTTCTTTGCTGAATCCCAAAATACTTTTCAGATGTTTAAAGAATATGTCCTGTGTTCTGGGGGGCAATATACAATGTAACAGCTACCAGAATCAACACATTTTTAAAATTTAATTTGCATTCTTTATGTTTTCTCTATCACTTTTGTAAGTCTAGACTAGAGTTCAGCAAACTGTGAGCCTGTTGTTTTGGTAAATAAAGTTTTATTGAAACACAGCCATACTCATTTATTTATATATGTATATTCTATGACTGTTTTCCACTCTTCAGCTGCAGGGTTGAGTAATTGCAACAGAGGGTTCGGTGCCCACAAAGCCTAGGATACTCCTCTAGCTTTTTACAGAAAAAAGTTTGCTGACTGCCATTCTAGTTCAAAAACAAGACATCTAGCCCTGAGGTGTTTGCCAGTTCCTGTCATATAAATACTCCCGGCATGGCCAGCTTCAAGCTGCCAATGTGACTTCACTGAATGAAGTGCTGGCAGCTATGAGCAGCTGTTCCCCATTATATAGATTTCACCATACATAAATAATAGGACTAAATAAGCATAGAAAATAGTAAAATGTAGTAAAATAATCAGGAAATGGTCAGTTTTGTGCCCATATTACCCTTCTTTTAATATAACTTAATTATAAGTTGATGCAATTTAATTTTTAATGATAGCTGTATTTAACAAAACATTTGAAAAATTCATGAAAATGTAACAAATCTGGGCTGGACTGAGCTGGCTGCAGCAATTATTACCTTAAGCCAACTGAAAGACATCAGGTGTACCTTGTTTGATTGTGCTTCACTTTATTTCATTTTGCAGATACTGCATATTTTACAAATTGAAGGTTTCTGGCAACCCTGCATTGAGCAAGTGTATTGGTGTCATTTTTCCAACAGAATGTGCTCACTTCTTGTCTGTGTCACATTTTGGTCTTTCCTGCAATATTTCAAACTTTCAAATTATTATGATATCTGTCATGGTGATCTGTGATCAGTGATCTTTGATGTTACTATTGTAACTGTTTTGGGATGCCACAAACCATGCCCATACAAGAAGGCTAACGTAATAGGTAAATGTTGTATGTGTATGGCCTTACTGCTCCACCAACCAGCCTTTCCTCTCCCTCTCTCTCCCTTTCCTCAGGCCTTTCTATTACCTGAGACACATAATAATGAAATTTGGCCAATGAATAACCCTACAATGGTCTCTAAATGCTCAAGGAAAAGGAAGAGTTGCATACCTCTCACTTTAAATCAAAAGCTAGAATGATTAAGCTTCTTAGTGAGGAAAGTATGTTGAAAGCCAAGACCGGCCAAAAGCTAGGCCTCTTAGGCCAATCAACCAAGTTGTGAATGCAAAAGAAAGCTCTTGAATGAAATAAAAAGTGCCATTCCAGTGAAAACTCAAATGATATAAAAGTAAGACAGTCCTATTGCTGATGGGGAGAAAGTCTAAGTGGTCTGAATAGAAGATCAATCCAGCCACAGCATTCCCTTAAGCCAACACCTAATCCACAGCCCTAACACTCTTCAATTTTCTGAAGGCTGAGAGAGGTAAGGAACTACAGAAGAAAGGTTGAAAGCTAGCAGAGTTTGGTTCATGAGGTTTAAAGAAAGCTTTCTTCATAACATAAGAGTGTAAGATGAAGCAGCAAGAGCTGATGTAGAGAGTTGCAACAAGTTTTCCAGAAGATCTAGCTAAGATCATCGACAAAGGTGGCTACACTAAACAGATTTTTCGTGTAGATAAAACATCTTTATACTGGAAGAAGATGCCATCTAGGAATTGCCTAGATAGAGAGAAGTCACTGCCTGGCTTCAAAGCTTCAAAGGACAGGCTGACTCTCTTGTTAGGGGCTAAACAGCCAGTGACTTTTAGTTGAAGCCAATGCTCATTGACCATTCTGAAAATCCTAGGGCCCTAAATAATCATCCTAAATTACTCTTGCAGTGCTACTTTTAAAAAGCCTGTCTAACAGCACATCTGTTTACAGCATGCTTTACTGAATATTTTAATCCCATTGTTGAGACCTACTGCTCAGAAAAAAAAAAAAATTCCTTCCAAAATATCACTGCCTATTGACAATGCAGCTGGTCACCCAAGAGCTCTAATAGAGATGTACGAGACTAGTTTTTTCATGCCTGTTAATGTAACATCTATTGCGCAGCCCATGGATCTAGAAGTGACTTCAACTTTCAAGTCTTATTATTAAAGAAATAACATTTTGTAAGGCTGTTGCTGCTAGAGATAGTAATTCCTCTGATGGATCGGGGCAAAGTGAACTGAAAACCTTCTGAAAAGGATTCACCATTCTAGAAGCCATTAAAAATATTCATGATTCATGGAAGGAGGTCAAAGTGTCAACATTAAAAGGAGTTTGGAAGAAGTTGATTCTAGCCTTCATAGATGACTTTCAGGGCTTTATGACTTCAGTAGAGGAAGTAACGGCAGATGTGGTGGAAACTGAAAGACAACTATAATTAGAAATAGAGCCTGAAGATGTGACTGAATTGCTGAAATCTCATGATAAAACTTGAACAGATGAGGAGTTGCTTCTTATAGATGAGCCAAGAAAGTGGTTTCTTGAGATGGATTCTATTCCTTGGGAAGATACTGTGAACATTGTTGAAATGACAACAAAAGATTTAAAACAGTACCTAAACCAGTTGACAAAGCAGTAGCAGGGCTTGAGAGGGTAGACTCCAATTTTGAAAGAAGTTCTACTGTGGGTAAAATGCTATCAAACAGCATCACATGCTATACAAAATTTTTACAGAAAGTTTTTGTAAAAGAAACAGTCAGTTGATGCAGACAACTTCATTGTGGTCTTCTTTTTAGAAACTGCCAATTCACCTTAGCCTTCAGCAACCCCCACCCTGATCAGCCAGAAACCATCAATGTCACATCAAGGCAAGACCCTCAATCAGCAAAAAGATTATGACTCCCTGAAGGCTCAAATGATCATTCATATTTTGTAGCAATAAAGTATTTTTAAATTAAGGTATGCACACGTTTTAGACATAATACTATTTCAAACTTAATAGACTACAGCGTAACTGTAGTTTATTATTTATATGCACTGGGAAACAAAAAAAAAATTGTATGCCTCTCTTTATTGTAATATTCACTTTATTGCTGTGGTCTAGAACCAAACCTGCAATATCTCTGAGGTGTGCCTGTACCGTGTCGCTGGGGAGGAAAAGTGGATGGATAGAACAAGCCCATAAGGGTAAACTGAACAAGGCCTTGTAAGCCAGGTTGAGGAGATTAGTATTTATTTTTACAAGAAATGGGGTGCCATTGAAGGATTGCATCTGAGAAGCAGTGTGATCCCTCCCAGCCCATATTATCAAATGTTTTTAATGCCAGAGAACATTTTTGGAGTGCTTTGTATGTGTCAAGCTCTCTTCCAGGTGTTTTACAAATATTGATTCTCACAGCAGCCCTATAAATAAGGTATTCATATTACCCTGCCATTTTCCAGAGGAAGCAGACATAATAAGTAATAGAGCAGCTTTCCCAAGGGTTTGAGTAATGAGTAGAGAAGCTGAGATACGAAGGGAAGATTCTAACTTTTCTCTCATTCAGGGGAATTTGAACCTGCAGAGACACAGGGCTGTGTCCAGAACATGCATAAGGAGTTTCTTGACACAGAACGGGCTGATCTGTTCAAATGCTGTAGACTTGAATGGCAAAGATGGGTGGAGTGGGTCTGCTCACCATTGTAGGGTGAGCAGATTCCCATAGGTTGGGGCTGCCTGTCTTCCAAGACGAAGAACTTTGGAAACTGATCACATAGTAACATGCAGAACTAAGCCAGCTACTGGTAATGTGATTTCTTTTTTTTGTCCTAGCAATATAAGTACCTCCAGAATCTACTCTGACACTTTCTCCAGTCTTTTATCCTTTCATAAATGATATGAGCAAGGAGGGAAAGAATACACCATGTTCTAAATGGGATGAGCTCTTACCCTTTAAATCTCAGCAGCTTCCACAGAAGCCAAAGTTGATCCTTAACTCTAAGTGCGGCTAATGCATCTCGAAATCACAATAGACCTGAATATTCTCCTGGGTAGAGAGGGAATAAGGAGGAATGGTTACTGGTTAGAAGCTGCGGTGGCTGCTAAGTGCATCACAGACATTTGTGATTTAAGCTGAAATTTTACCTTCCAGGGAAAACGAAAATCAGTCAATCTTCTAATTTGGTGCATTAGAGAGGAAAAAAAATGCAATGGGAGAGGATAAAGGCACATTTTACAACTGCAACCTCCAGGGATTTACAAATACAACAGGGATGCCCCCAGTGCAAACACCAGAGTGTGTCCACAAAGGAGAACAATGGAAGAAAATGCCAAAAAAATAAAATGCAGTAACGGCTGCTCTGTTGCTGTCATTTGATTTGCCACTCCTTCCCTATACCACCTGCGCATCTTGTAACCCCACCACCGCCGCCGCCCTCATCCCCTTGCCAAATGACAGTTTCTAATAGGCACAGGCAATTTCTGATGGATGGGAATCCTGGGCACTTCATTAGAAGAAGAACAAAAGCAGTTTTGTAGTAATTTGGACTTGTTCATCATCAAAGACAGGTCCCTGCTGCTTTGTGTAAATAAGTAAGTCATGGTCTAACTCTGGCCTCAGACAGAATACAGCTCTGTGCCTCAGTGTTTTCATCTGGGAAATGGGGATAATACTATTAATACTATTTTCCTCATGATGTAGTTGTAAGAATTCCATGAGACAGTAATTCAATGAAAACAATAAAAGCTAGTATTTCTCAAGGGGGTGCTACGCACCAGATACTGTTTAAGGCACTTAATCTCTGCTAACTCTTACAAATTTTCTCTACCAACATAGGAAGTCTCTGATTTCTCTTTTGCAGAAGAGGAGACTGAGGCACTGACTACTTATGGAGTGTGCCCAAGGCGATAAAGTAAATAATGAAACAAGCGGTGCTTGAAATAAGCTGCAACAGATGCAGACTGTAATCCAGAGGTCAGCAAACAACAGCCCACCAGCAAGATCCCACCTACCACCTGTTTTTGAACAGCTCATGAGAAAAGAATGGTTTTTATCTTGTAAACAGTAGAAAAATGTCAAAAGAAAGTAACAGTTTGTGGTCCATGAAAATTATATGAAATTCCAGCTGCAATGTCCACAATAAAGTTTTGTTGGAACACAGTCACATCCTCACTTATATGTATCTTCTTGCTGCTTTTATACTATATTGGCTGAATTGAGTAGCTGTGATGAAGATCTTATAGCTTGCCAAGGCTAAAATATTTACTTTACAGGAAAAGTTTGCCAACACCTGCTCCAAACCACTACAGGATACAGTCAACCAGTCTATTTGACCCCTTGGTGCTGTATAACCTACCGTGCGCACATGCACACAGCACACACACATTTACGTCTGGATATCTTTCCCATAAGTAAAACTAACATTTTCAAGTACACCAGAAATGTCCCATGATTAATGAAACCCTGTACCAGTTCCCTAAGCAGCTGAGCTCCCTCTCACCATCACGGACTGCTTGAATGGCACGGCCACCCTCTGTGCACCAAAGGTTTCACACCTTCACCTGAGAGCTTTAATAATTCTCCCATCTTAGCCAAGAAAACTCTGCCACATAACCTCAGGCCTTATTAAGTCTATGAACAGAAAGGTAACTGGAGAACTGCAATAATTATCTGGTTAATGAGTTAAAAATCACTCTTGCCTGAAATAACCTGGTAATAAGTAAGTCTTGCTATCATATTCATTAAAAAAGAACATTTCTCAGAGAGCCAAAAGGAATGAGGATGGTGTTCAAATCAGTTTACAAGTCAGCATTCGGGGCACTGCATACAACTTTCCAAAGTAAAAATAAAGGTACAATGTATAGAGAAAAGCCACCAAGTAAAGTTGAAGGCACCTCTTAATTTCAAAATGAGGATATCTAGCATTCATTAAGAGGTCACCATGTGCCAGGAATGAGGCTTATAGTTTTATGCAGATCATTTTACCATTCCTTAAAACACCTAAATGTGGCAGTTACTATTTTCATCCCCATTTTTCAGATGAGAAAGCTGGGGCTCTGAGGAGTTGCATGACTTCCTCAAGGGTATCCTGCTGCTAAGTGGTGGAGCTAGCTTGTAAGCCAGACAGTCCAGCTCCAGAACCCACTATTCTCCCTCACTATAGAGAGAACAATAAGCCAAGACATCTTTTATGCTCTGCCCAAGGCCACAAACCTGGTTTGGTGATAGAGCTGGGACAATTCAGAACTTGAGAGACAATAACGAGTATGGGGAAAGAGACATATGTACGTTATTTGCAATGAGGGAAACAGCAGGAAAACATTCTTTTGATTCTAGTTCCAAATCATCATCATCGCCATTAGCACAACTGTCATCATCACCATCACCATGACCATCAACATCACCATCACCATCCGCACAACCATCAACACCATCATCACCATCACCATGACCATCATTATCACAAAATAAGCTAATATTTATCAAGAACTTAGTATTGCCAAGCCCTATTTAAAATGTATTATCTCAGTTAATCCTTAAGAAGCCATCTTATTTAATCTTTAAAACTACCCTTTAAGTATGAGCTAAATTATCCTGATTTTATAGGTGGGGAAGCTGAGTCACAGAGAGAATGGCTGACCCAGCCAAGGACATCCAACTGGAAGACTGAGGGTGTACGATCAGTCTGACTCTAGATTCAATCATCCCTGCTCTTGTCCCTGGCTCCCCTGTTTGTAGGTTTGGCCATCACCTTGGATCATCTGGGTGCCTTCCAGTCTCTCACAGGGCCCTGTGATTCTCTCAGCTACTTTGCACAGCACCTTTCCAATTGCATTACTTGTTTACATGACAGTCTCTTTTGACTATCCATCTTCACACATGTGCACACACATACAGTGTGAACTCCTTCAAGTCAGCTACTCTAGGTGGGGATGCCTCCATCAGACATGGCATTTGAGGGCATCCCAATAAATGTAGAATGAAGGACAGCATCATGACTATGAATCTAGGCTCTACCAAAACATATATGGGATCATACTCTGAAGAAATGTCTCAAGGCCTCAGTTTATCATTTATTAAGTGATAATCATGGCACCTGCCTTGTAGGACTGTCATTTGAATTAAAAAGGACTAGTCATATCAATAGCATGGCACCTGGCAAATGAGCATTTGACAAAAGACAACTATTATTAATAAAACTACCTCTAAAGAATAAATATATGGATGGATGGATGGATAGATGGATGGACGGAAGGATGCATAGATGGATAGATGGATGGAAGGATGACTGGATTAATGAAATTCTAACTAATTAGAAGGACTTGTCTGAGAACAAAAATGAGAAATAAGAAAAAGTACAATTTGTGTATATAACAAAAAACCTCTTTACCCTGCACAATTGTAGGATCTTTCAAGCTTCACAAGGCCTAAAGGATCAGGCTGTGACCCACAGACAAGCCCCACTCCAAGAAAGGCTCAGAGAGTACCAATGAAGTTGTTCATTTTCAAAACTCAGCCCAGCATCTGGCTCTGCTGGGCACTTACCAGAGTTATTTCAAGACTATTGCCCCCAACATCATCTGTTATTGCCTGCAAGGAGTGGAAGACGGAGTGGGAATAGAAAAAATAACAGGTAAGACTGAAAACTCCATCAAGGCCAGAGCAGCACCTGCTTTGCTCAACACTGAGAACCTAGCACATGGCACAATTTCTTATATTTTTTTTAACTCTGATTACTCAAGGTAGGCTAAATTCTATATTCTAAAGCAAAAACAAAAAGAAAATAACTCCAAAATTTCAACAAGTGAACATTGTAAAGATTTATCTTTCACTCCTGTCGCAATCTGGTGTGGAGTTTTGTATTTGCACAGGAGTTTGGATGATTGACAACTCCTTGCTGTCATTTAGGAACCTAGACTCCTCTTTCCATCTTGTGGCTCCACTGTCCCCCACCAGATCCTCTTCTTCCAGGTGGCAGACAGAGGAATAGGGCAAATTTGCATGGAGAACTTCACAGGAGGTTTTGCTGAAGTAAGGTGGACTTTACATCATCCCACATCCCACAGACCAGAATCCAGTCACAGAGAACTTAAGGGAGGCTGGGGAATATAACCTAGCTATGTTCCCAAGACAAAGAAGGAAGAGAGCTGGTGAATAACTAGCCAGTCCCCACAAAAAGGTTCAATAAATATGTGCTGAACTGAAAAGCAAAAGCCCACAAGAAGCAAAGAAACACAGCCCTGAGAGCAGATGAAATACAAGGATAAGGAGGAACAGAGTGCCACCTACATACACGGATTTAAGGAGATACATTACAATCATTCTCAGGCTGGAACTCAAGCCACCCAACTGCTCCCTGCAGGTAACTTCTCATGTGGAACCCCTCCTTCCCCAGACTGTTCCCCAGGTCCACCTGTTCTCCATTTTTGTCTGTGCTGGTGGCTTTAGTACTCATTTCCAGATGTTGGACTAGACTGAAGGTCAACTTTAGACATCTTGGCCCTGTATTAGGGGACAAGAAAAACACCCTGATTTAATATCCAGTTAAGGTACCAGAAATGATTTATTGACTCTTAAAATAGAAATGTGAGAAAACATGTGCCTTGGCCCCAGGTGCCATTTGAGTAAAAGCAGTCAGAGCTTCCTGGTGCTGGACATGCCATCAAATCAGGGCACTCTTCACAGGTGGGCTCACGTGAAAAAGGCTTATATGTATGTATCTGCATCCCTGGTACCCTGTGAGCATCTTGGGGATAGGAACTGAATTATTCACTCCTGAACTTCCTGCAGGAGAACTAGGCAGAGCTTGCATACAATGGCAGGTGCTCGTAGTAGGTACCTGTCCTTCTGTCTACCTGCCATCTCTCATGTTCTCCACATACCAGTGTCCTAGTGGGTCTTTGGGAAATCACCTCACTCTCCATACTTGGTCCATGAAAATAAGGGTGACTCCATCCCCAGCTGCAGAGCTGGCCATGTGACCCTAGCGTAGCCAATTCCAGCAGTTCATCTGGCACAGTACCTGTACCGTGTTCATGGGACCCAAACTGGGCAAATCATTGCCAGCCCTCTGCAAGGACTGTTCAGTAATAGCAGCCCTCTCTCTCTCTGCTGGGGTTGTGAAATTATAAGGCTACAGATCTGAGTCTGCCAATAGCCGGTATCACATGGGAAGACCCTGCCTGAGAGTGAAGTCACCATAGAAAAAAGTAGAGCCAAGAGATGGAGAGAAACCATTTAACAAGATTCAAGCCCCTGTATTCAGTTTTGCCTAAAACTCAACTCCCTGGACCTTTTCAGTTAAGTGAACTATACATTTCCCATTTGAGTTAGACATTAACCCCTTAAAATTGAGAGGGTTCTGATGAAAATACATCTCCAATGCTTACTGAATTAAATTGAAACAACATTTGAAAAAAAGTTTATTCTATACTCTGTTGTGTTTCCATCCAAACCAACAAGTCTTCCTTGAATCCCATCCCTGCCTCCCGATGGGCCCAGTGGCAGTGTGGTCTGTCCGACTATGGGTCAGTGAGAGAGGGTAGGGACACAGAACTCAAGCATGTGACACGCCCCAACTACATTTCAGGAAAGCACATCAGGTCCTTCCATTCCCACTGCCACAGCATAGTGTAGTCTAACTGGCATTTCCCCTGGTCTGCACCTACAGCCTCCTGATGACTCTCCTCCCTGCCCTCTCTGCTCCATCACAGTGACCAGACTGACCCCAAAACTTAGCTCACTGGAAGTACAGTGCCTACAATTCCTAATGGCTTTGATTGTATTTAGAACAAAATCTGAACTCTCTATCATGGCCTACAAAGACCAGAATGACCTGGCACAAGTTCTCTCTGTCAAAGTACATTTCTTGCCACACTCTCCTTCATTCCTATGGTTCATCTTTTAATTCTTCAAACTTACAAATCTCTTTGCCGACTGCTTTCTTTGACTTTGCTGTTACTTCTACCTGGAGTACCTTTCTTCCTGCCTACGTGAGCAGTGTTCCACTCTAGCCTCACTGGGTGACTGGCCAGTTCCATGACCTTCCATGTGCCCATACCTATCCTGCACCTTCTACCCTACTCCCTCTTTAACTGCCTGAGGACCTCTGAACCTCCGTGTCCCTCACTCATCCTAAATATAACTTTCCCAACTGGTTTCTTTGGGCCCCAAGGCAGAATTGATGTTCCTTCATCTGTATTCCTTCAGCACATCATGTGTGTAAATACTAGATCATGGTACATTGCAATATGATCCTTTGTTTATGTATGTGAACCCACTACCAAGTCATGGCTTATCAAGGGTGGGGGCAATGTCTTATGCTTTTTGATAGAAACTGAGGTTTTAATATCATCAGCAACACTGTAGGTGCTCAATGAATGTTTGTTAAATCAAGGAGAGGAATGACTGGTCATTGAATAAATTAACTGAGCACCCTTGGAGCAAATCACTTTGCATCCCTGGTTATACTTCCATTATGTATAAAATGAATGTTTTGTGCCAGTAATTATCATGGCTTCATCCCATAATCATGTGGGGAGAGCTAAATCAATTCAGGTTCTTGATCCCTTCTCCAGTAAACCTCACTCACTCATTTATTCAGTTAGTATTTACTGAGCATCTACTATTTACCAAGCTTTGTTTCAGGCACAGGAGACTCATTGGCGAATGAGCCAGGCGAGGGCCTTTTGCTCAGTGACTTGTAGCAATGCCAACTCACTGTGACTGACTCAAACAACAATGCAGGAAGACCTGGCCATCATGAACAATAAATACATCCAGACATCATATAATGCTGTTTTCTTCAATGTTGTTTTATTATAATGTTGATGAGAAAAAAAAAAACACTAACTCTTGGCCCAGACCACCCTGTGTGTGGAGTTTGTACATTCTCCCCATGTTTGTGTGGGTTTTCCCCGGGTCCTCTGGTTTCCTCCCACATCCCAAAGTTGTGCATGTGAAGTGAACTGTCACATCTAAATTGCCCCAGTATGAGTGAGTGTGAGCGTGGGTGTAAGTGTGCCCTGCGATGGAATGATGTCCTGTCCAGGGTCAGTTCCTACCCTGTGCTAGCAGAGGCTTTGGCCACCCAAGACCCTAAACTATTATAGACTAAGCAATTTGGAAGGTGAATTAATTAATACGAAGTATTGTAAAACAAAAACTCATGAAGTACTGTGTATAATAATCATAAAAATGCACAATAAAAAACAATGCAGTAAGAAAGCACTCAGTCAGTCTGCCATTAGTTGGAATTGTTTGTTTTCAAACTGCACGGTGGCAGGAGGTGCCCCTGACAATTTTCGCTTTGCAAACCTTTATTCCTTGATTTAACCCACCACCACTACGACCACCGTCACTCACTGATTCACCAAAAATTGAGCAAACGATTATCTTACTTGTTTTTATTCATCTTTCTTAAATGTATGTATAGCTCATCTTTATTTCAATGTTTAATATTAGAAGTGTTTTGGGTCTTTATTAAGAAGTTTGGTAATGTTTTTGTGACCAGGAACGTGCCGTAAGAATTTAACTCTTGTTTATACCATTTAGCATACAGTAAAATTGCTTTCATTATATTTCATTTCCCTGAAAGTCACAGTTTTCAAGAACCTAGCAATGAAGTTAAGTGAGGACATATGGTACAGTAAGACCTTTTTTTTTTTTTTTTTTTTTTGAGACAGAGTCTCTCTCTGTTGCCCAGGCTGGAGTGCAGTGGCGTGATCTTGGCTCACTGCAACCTCTGCCTCCCAGGTTTAAGTGATTCTCCTGTTTCAGCCTCCCGAGTAGCCGGGATTATAGACACCCACCACCACACCCAGATAAATTTTGTATTTTCAGTAGAGACGGGGTTTCACCACCTTGGCCAGGCTGGTCTCAAACTCCTGACCTCAGGTGATCCACCCACCTTGGCTTGTCAAAGTGCTGGGATTACAGACACAAGCCACTGCGCCCATCCTAACTTGTTTTAATCAAATGCTTAAAACAGAGGGGGAAGGAGCCCCAGCTCCACTTCCATCACTGCCTTCACATCTCATGTAACTTACGAAGTTGGCATCATTCCTTCCTTCTGCAAGTGGGAAAACTGAGCCTCAGACTCCAAGCCATTGGACAGCCAGTGGAAGGGCCTGGAACTGGGACTTGCACACAGGACCACCTGACTCCAAAGAAAATGTAGACTTTTAAGTTCCAAGCTTTAAGTCTTTAGTAACAGTGCATCTCCACACCACCTGTCCCAGATAGACTCAGGCCAAAATTATATTACAGGCCAATGGCAGTGATGTGAGGTTCCTGCTCGTGGAAACTCCTGAGAATGGGACCCAGAGCTTGCATCTTTCCCCCATACCATGTTTCATCTTAAAACAGCCCCAGCAGAAAAACAGCAACAACCTTTCCACAGGACTTCACAAACTGCAAATAACTTTCACATGGCATAGCTGATTTAAGGCTCATAACCACCCAGGGAAAGAGATATTGACCTCAGTGTGAAGGATATTCAAAATATTGAACAAATGTCAAGGCACAGGCATCAATCAACCAGAACAGATACGGACCACATGCATCCAACACGCACCAAATGGCTCTCAGGTCTGGTGAGATGCTGTTCCATCTCAACTCCTTTCACTCTGGACACTTGATATGATTTAGCTGTGTCCCCATCCAAATTTCATCTTGAATTGTAGCTCCCATAATTCCCACGTGTTTTGGGAGGGACCTGGTGGGAGATAATTCATTCATGGGGCTGGGTCTTTCCCATGCTGTTCTTGTGATCGTCTCACGAGATCTGATGATGTTTATAAAGGGGAGTTTCCCTGCACGAGTTCTCTTCTCTTGTCTGCTGCCATGTGAGATGTGCCTTTCACCTTCCACCATGATTGCCAGGCCTCCCCAGCACTGTGAGTCTGTTAAACCTCTTTTGTAAATTGCCCAGTCTTAGATATATCTTTATCAGCAGCGTGAAAATGGACTAATACAACACTACACTGTGCCCCACCTACCTCAGGGCTTGGCACTTTCTGTTTCCTTCCTTAACACTTTCTCCTTCTTCTTCACCATCCCCACCCCAGTTGCTGGTTACTTCCTACTTCTACTTCAGGTGGCAGTTCAGAGGTCACCTGCCCGGGGAAATCTACAGCAGAGCTGTCAGCGGTGAATCCCATCATCACTCACCTGTGCCCTACAGAGGCTGCTTACTGGGAATACCTGTGACTCGTCAGAAGAGGGACTCAACCAATAATAGAAGGGGAGTTGGTAGATAAATACCCCAGGTCCCTCATTCCTCAGTGGGGATAACTATGAGATGTGGTTTTCATTGTCTCCCAGAGTCCCCAGTGGGATTCAGCTCCAGCTGCCCATAAGAACAAGCAACTGCTTGAAAGCAACTCCCATCACTGGCTGCCCTTTCTTCCCTGTCTCACTTCCCCCACTGCCTTACCGGTTTCCTGAGATCACCTCTCAAATAAACACCTTGCACACAAATCATCGTTGCAGGGTCTGCTTCTGTGGGAACCCAACTAAAACAGCATCCCTGCACACACAGAATGGGTCAGGTCTCATTGGGTGACATTCGCAGTAGTATCTTATTTTCTTTTAGGAAACTCATCTTGGTTTGTGATGACACATGCATTTTGGGAATAAACTGGCTACTTCCCCCCCACTAACTGATGAACCCCTACTACAGTAGGCTGAATAATGATCCCCAAAGGTACCAAATCCTAATCCCTAGAACTCATCTATATTAACTTTTGTGGTAAAGACATTGCAGATGTGGCCAAATTAATGATTTCCAAATGAAGAGATTATTTTGGATTATCTGGGTAGCCACTAAATAGAATCCCAAATTCCTTCATAAGAGGGGGGCAGAGGAATATTGGACACAAAAGGTCATGGGACCACGGAGCCAGGGACTAGACTGATGTGGCTATAAGCTAAGGAATGTCGGGAACCACCAGGATCTAAAAGAGTCCAGCAATGGAATCTCCTCTAGCCAACAACTTGCCTCTAGCCCATTGAAACAAGTTGCCTTCCAGGATTGTAAGAGAGTAAGTGTGGATGAGTGGGGGGGCTCTTTTTTTTTTTTTTTTTTTTAGGCAAAGTCTCACTCTGTCGCCCAGGCTGGAGTGCAGTGGTGTGATCTCAATCCACTGCAACCTCCGCCTCCTGGTTTCAAGCGATTCTCCTGCCTCAGCCTCTGGAGTAGCTAGGATTACAGCTGCGAACCACCACACCTTATTAATTTTTTGTATTTTTAGTAGAGATGGGATTTCACCATACCCTTATTTTTTATGTGATTTGGCATCCTCTTATGCATCTCTGGGCCCAGGTTCAGGAGCCTTGTTGGGCCAGGGCTCAGGAGGACCAGCCTGTGCTCAATTCATGTCCTGTTGAATGAAAGGCAGAAGATGGCAGTGTGGTTATGAAGTGCACCTGGGCAGACTTCTCCAGCAGCCAAGTGTGACTAACTTCAGCAAGGGGACACAACTGCAGCATCTGGCCAAGCTCAGCTCATTCCCCAAAAGGCACTCCTTCCAGCATCTTCCTGTCTGGACGAAGGAATCTCTAAGTCTCTAATTGTCCCTTCTAACACCAAACTCTACACCGGGACTTGAAGAAGGAATGAGCCCTAGAGGTGCATCTTACGACGGACCCGTGTAAGGCTTCTGCTTGAGGCAAAGGACAAAGAAGATCTATAGTTATCACGTGCTTGGCTGGAAAGGATTTTTGGTGGGTGAAGTCTGGGCTCATTAAAACAGACCTGGCATATTCATAACTTGTATTACTCAGCAACAGTGAACCCCTCCAGAAACCTGTGCAGGCAACTAATGATTTTAAAACAACTAGTCACCCCCCTTAATACCCACTCTCCCTGCCAAATGGTTGAAATTCCATGCCAGCTGGGTGTCTGCTTATTTACATAATTAATCTAGTATGAAGTCTTTATATGTCCCTCCTCAGCCTTCTCTTTTCCAGGATAAATAACCCCGATTCCTCCACTCATAATCCCCAACTTTTACAACTGTTTAATAATTTTTTGTGGCTCCCTTCTGGATTTTCTTTTGGCTCTATTTGTGACTTATCTAAATTTAGCAGATGTGTTACAAAGGCAATTGGGAGAGATGAATCCGTCAGAACCTGAAGCCATCTCTAATTTGGATCCATGTTTGTCTCTCTCTCTCTGCAAAGGTGACATGGAGAATTCCCACCACCTTTCCCATGGAAAAGCAGGCTCGGGATGGGCTGTTAGTTTCTATTCCCCATAGGAGGTCCTCCAAGGTCCCGAAAATCCAGTTTCCATAAAGGCAGGAAGCAGAGGACATGCCTGAACCCAAGAGGGAAGTCTTTTCCAGGCTCCTCGGGGGATTGAGGAGTGCCATGGCTCTCTGGCAGCTGTTGCAGTCTCCTGAGGCCAGGCCAGCCTGCCCTTCTGTGTCCTAAGGACTCATCTCACCATGCCTGGAAGGTCATTTCCTTATCCGACTTTAGGCAGAGCCAAAGAACTGAGCGCCAGCAGACTGCAGGGAAGCTGACTCCTGAGTTTTCAACACCCAGTAGTGACACATGGCTTAGTTTCTACCAAAGAGCTCATAAAAGGCATCTGGTAACACTGTGATGTGGCTAAAGAAGAAAGGGCATTCCTGGAGTTGGACTGGGGATTTTCTAGTCAGGTATGTTTTGAGAGCAGGGGAAATAAAAAAGGCAGGTAGGAATGAGGTGAGACTGTGGCTTGTAATTTTGCAAAGAAAAAACCCCATCATCGCTGCTTCGTGCTGCATGTCATTGTCACCTCTTTCTTCTGATCTTTCCTGCACTGGAGTGTCTCCCCTTCCACAGTGTGGTCTCTGCTATTTCCCAGGTACCCACTTGACAGGGCACAGACGGTGGGGATGTGTATTTGAGGAAGGATTAGCAAATATAGAAATTCCTGTTTGGCTACCCTATCAACAATTTCAAGGTGAAAAGCCCACCAGTTCACCAGCTAATCTGGTGAGGGAGATTATTGTTGTGTGCAAAAATCAAATAAAATCCTTTGCGGCTTTTCTTAGGCAGCATCGCACGTAGCTCTGGTCTCAAGATCAATAAAGCAGAACCTACTCTTCATTACCCGTTAATAAGGTGCAAGCAGAAACCAGAGCATGGGGCGGGGCCGCCTTTGCCTCTCAACAAACAGACGCCCTGACTTGGCTATAAGCACTGCAGGATTGGCGCTGATGATGGCTAAGTGACTTGGTTGCAGCCATAGTTGATTTTCAGCCTGCAAGTCATAGAATTAGACTGGCTTTTGCAGTGTGAAAAAGCTTCTCCTGATACTCAGGACATTTAGAAAGGCCATATCCTGGCTTAATGTGCTTCATGATGCTTGCTAACTGGGCATGAACTGAGTGAGTTAATAACAATTATTAACTCAGAATGGAACTTAGCTAGGGTCCTGTCTAAGTTCCCAGTGCTGCCCCAAGCCAGGCCTCTTGGTGACTTTGGATCTAGACATAGTGGAAAGAGTTTGGGACTTTGTATTAGTTTCCTACGGATGCTGGAACAAAGTATCACACACTGGCTGGTGTAAAACAAGAGAAATGTGATCGCTCACAGTTCTGGAGGCAAAAAGTCTGAAATCAAAGTGTCAGAAAAGTCATGTCCTTTCTGAAGGCTCTAGATGGCAGTCTGTTTCATGCTGTTCTCTTAGCTTCTGGTCATTGCTGGCAGTTTTGGTGTCCCTTGAATTGTAGCTGCGTCACCCCAGTTTTTGCCTCCATCATCACACAAGTTCTCTGTGTGTCGTTGTGTCTTTTTTTTTTTTTTTTTTTTTTTTTTTAGATGGAGTCTTGCTCTGTCGCCTAGGCTGGAGTGCAGTGGATTGATCTCGGCTCACTGCAACCAGCACCTGCCCAGTTTAAGCCATTCTCCTGCCTCAGGCTCCTGAGTAGCTGAAACTACAGGTGTATGCCAACACACCCAGCTAATTTATATATTTTTAGTAGAGACAGGGCTTCCCTATGGTGGCCAGGCTTGTCTTGAACTCCTAACCTCAGGTGATCTGCCAGCCTCGGCCTCTCAAAGTGCTGAGATTACAGGCCTGAGCCACCATGCCCGACCCTCTTTTCTTCTTACAGGGACATCAGTAACAGTAGATTAGCTTCTTCCCCAAAATGACCTCATTTTTATTTGATTATCTGCAAAGACCCTGTTGCCAAATAGTGTTACATTTACAGATCCTGGGGATTTGGACTTCAACATATCTTTTGGGGGAACACAATTCAATACTTAATAGACTTGGAAGCGGGTATGTTGGTTCAGCCCTGGGGAAGAGGGCTTAAGTGGAGTCAGAGGCATCAAAGAGCAGAGAAGCTGCCTTTATGGACGTATGAGTGTCCTGTGGCTGCTGGGAGAAATGACCACAAATGTAGTGGCTTAAAACAACACCCACTTGTTCAGGTACAGTGGCTCACACCTGTAATTCCAGCACTTTGGAAGGCCGAGACAGGTGAATCACCTGAGGTCAGGAGTGTGAGACCAGCCTGGCCAACATGCACTCCAGCCTAGGCGACAAGAGTGAAACTTGATCTCAAAAAAGAATAATGATATTAAGGGTATGATTTGAGTACTTATCCCGCCCAGGCCCTCAGCTGAGCACTTCCAAGATATGATCTCACTGGATTCCTACAATAGCCCTGTTAAAGGGAAACTATTGTTTTCCTTTTTTTTTGTTTGTTTTTTTTTTCACAAATACAGAAGCCCTAAAGAAGCTAAATAATTTGCCCAAGCTCATAGAATTAGTCAGAGACCTAGGTGAAACATGCACTAGGCCACCTAATATTCAAAGAGCACACCACTGTTTTTCTGGTATGCATTTGCTTTTGCTGGCTTTTTAATGGAGTCTTAGAGCAAATAAGACAATATTCTATGTACAAGACATCATAACAATCATGAATGCAATCATCTTTTTATCTTTCTGCAACCTCTGAGTCCGTACTCTTGACCACCCTGCCATTCTGACTCCCGGAAACACCGCACAGAGTGTTGGCAGAGGAAGCACAGAGAAGGGACACCCAACAGTGCTGGGGGCAGGCAGGGAAAGGGTTTCAGGGGGACGCATACTCCAGCCCCTCAAGGACACAGAAGCTCTCTTGATCTCATCATGACACTGGGACTCATGCAGGTACTTCAAATCAGGCTTGATGGATATCCTAGTTCTGAGCGCAGTGGTTCTTAGATACCAGTGTGTATAGAATTGCCTGGAGAGCATGTTCCAGTTGCAGATCCTTGGACCTCATACCCAGGAACCCTGCTTTGATAGGTCTTGGCCAGGCTGGAGAAACTGCAGGTTTATTCAGCATCCAAAAGATTCTTATGCGGGTGGTACCGGGATCCCAAATTGAGGGACAATGACTTCGAGTTGCTATTCCCTCAGGTAACTTGTTTTTTTGCCAAACGTCCTTTGCCTTCCCTAAACACACACACACACACACACCACACACACACACGCCGGGGTTCTATTCACTCCATAAGCATTAACTAAGCACCCAGGGAGTAGGACATTGTGCTCATGCCTGAGGGTCAATAGAGAGAAATTCCTTGATGAAGCTCACGTTCTAGGAGAGGAGATAGGACAAGTAATCACTGATCCACATGAAGCTGAAAATGAGAGTGGCCCCCAGAGAGCGGAGAGTTAATAAGAGCCCTAGGGGAGAAGCTGATGGTGGAGAAAAGCTGGAACCCAAGAAGACTGCCTGCAGAATGGGCAAACTTGGAACTGGGAGGTAATCCCAGGAAAGGCTATGCGAACAGTCAAGAACATAAGAAGAGTTCAGGGAGTCAGCCATCTCAGCTGCGGCTTCAGGGGGCCTGACGAAAACAAAAGGGGCAGGGGAATTAAACATTTATGTAGACTGAAGTGTGGATTATGGAACACTTTACTGCTGCATTTTGTAGACATCCATGTGAGAAAGGGACAAAGGACAGGTGTGATAGGTGGGGCACAGGGTAGTGAGTTTGAAAGCCACCATGATAGGCGTGGTAAGAGAAAAATGAAGCCATTTTCATAGGTTATCAGGCACGATTTATTACCATGGAGAAGAATACGCAAGGTGCTGATATTATGCCTCCCTTTCATTTACATAGAGGCAGTATGAATGGTAGCTACAAATCACTGAAGTGAGTCCCAGAAGGGAGCATTTTTATACAAATCTTTGTGGAGGTTTGTGCTTCAAAGTGACAGAATAAAATGTATTCTATAATTTAGACTTTCTCTAAATTACACCAGCCTTTAACTAATTAGTAAAATAAATTAATGAAGATTGACCATTTTGATAAAGGGAGGGTTACTATCTTCATCAAGGTCATGCGAGATAATGGCGTTAAGTCTGTAGAACATTCAATAGATGAAAGGCAGTTGGATGATTTGTTTGCTGGTAAGTTTTTTTTAAGATATGGTAAGTTTGGACGAAATAATATGATAGTATCTTTCTCCCAAGAGAAGTATGGAGTATAAAATGCAGGAAGGCGAGAGAGCAGAATGGTTAAGGCTGAGGCCTCTGGACTGAGATCACCTAGCCTCAAAACCAGCATTGACTGCCTAGTAGCTGTGTGATGTGGAGCAAGTGATTTAATTTCCCTGAGCCTCATTTTCTCCAACTGTTAAATGGAACTAATATGAGCACCTAACTCAGAGCACCGTTGTGAAGATTAAACAAGTCCTCGAGGCACTGACACCTGGTGGGAACTCATCGGCATCACCGGTTGTCCTTATCACCGTGGGGTATTTCCTGAGTGTCTGAACTTTAGAATGTGTTCCAGTGTTTCAGCAGCAGCAAAACATAATGGGAATAGCCGTAGCAAGTGACTATACGCTGGATCCCAGTCCTGACTTTCCCCTGGACAAGGTGGGGGAGCCCAAGAGAGCCCCTCAATGTCTCTGGATCTCAGTGTCTTTGTCTGTGCAATAAGAAGGTAGGTCTATGTTGGAATTAATTCTACACCTGATTTTTTCAGAACCCTCTAATCTTTTTTCAAGTGGCATCACCTCTTGAACCCACATGCCTAAAACAGATGAAAGTGGATGAAGTATGCTTGAAGGGCCAGAGTCCAAGCTGTTTACTTCACTGTGTTCCTCTTGCATCCTCCCCATTCCAGAATCCCAAGTGCCACCGCTCAATGCTAGACCTCTGGAGAACACAGGTTTAAAACCACGGGATGAGGGTCCTGCAGGATCACTGGAGATTCTAAGACTCTATCCTTAAGAGAATGGTAGATGATGAAGGGCTCTTCACTGGTGAGATGAAACAGAATCTTTCATAAACACTGTTAGATCTCCTTGAAAACTGTGTGTCCCTCATAGTCATTATTAGAACCTCCACACTGCGGTCACTGCCACGCGGCCCTTTCATGTTCATTCCTATTTAGAAGCCCTGAGAAAGACGTAGAAACTGCCAGGAGGTATTCAGACATAATGCGGTCCGGGCAAATGACTGGCCCAGACTTTCAGCTACTAGATATTGTAACACTGGCACAAGAAGAGATGAATGGATGACTAGCTTCTTTCTGCACCTTGTTTATGCACTAGCTTTTTTTTTTAATGTTGGGGTAAAAAAAAAATCAGGTGACAGTTTATAAAATATGCCAAATCAAACTGTTCTTTCATATATGCTTATAATGGGCTGTTTGATTCTGAAATGTGTACACATTTATGTATAAAAGTATTTGTGTATGTAAAACATACATATATACTTATAGGTTATATTTGTATATAAATATACTTTTATATATTTTATAAATATACAAATATATTTTTCTAATATTTTATAAACATACAATATATAAAATACATTTATAAATATACAAATATATAAATATACTGTATATTTTTAAATCAAATAAAATGATTATATTATATGTAAATATATTTGTATATCATATATACTTTATATATTTTATAAATATAGAAATATATTTATATATATATATATATATATATATTTTTTTTTTTTTTTTTTTTTGAGACAGAGTCTCACTCTGTCACCCAGGCTGGAGTGCAGTGGCGCGATCTCGGCTCACTGCAAGCTCCGCCCTCCTGGGTTCACGCCATTCTCCTGTCTCAGCCTCCCGAGTAGGTGGGACTACAGCACCCACCACCATGCGCAGCTAATTTTTTGTATTTATAGTAGAGATGGGGTTTCACCATGTTAACCACGATGGTCTCGATCTCCTGACCTCATGATCCACCCGCCTCCACCTATTATATATAATTAAACATATAAAATATATTTTATATTTTATATAAATATATTTATATATAAATTTATGAATATAAATATAAATTAATGTAATATATAAATAATAAATTTAATTTATAAATTAAATTTATAAATTTAAAATATATTTATATAGAACTATATATTATATATTAAATCTATATAATATATTTAAATGTATTTACATATAAGTATTGTGTGTATGTGTGTGTGTAGTGTGTGTGTGTGTATGCATACTTTTATTTAAGGCAGTCTTTGTCAGCCCATCCTAACCCATGCTATCAAGCCCAGAAGATGGTCTGACTTTGGGACATCCCTTATGTAGCTTATCCAACCTCACATCCTCATCTAGAGCCCTTCTGGGGCTTTATTTCTTTCAAACCCATTCCTTCTTTGGACAGCTCTATCTGTTTTGCCTTTCTTTGTTGATCTGAAATCTGTCTGCCTATGATTTCTTCCCTATTGGTTCTACCTCTTCTCTCTCTGCCACAGGAAACAGGATGGCCCACCCTGTAGATACTAAATGGAAGCTCCTGCATCCTCTTTACCATATCTTTTCTATTCCAGGTTAAACAAGCTAAGCTCCTCCAACAACGCTCATGTGAAGTCCTAATAATTATCTTCAGCCAACACTTGCTATGTCGCAGTCGCTGGGCCAAATACTTGACATGAATTATCTCATTTATTGTCCACAGCCTCGCAAGGTACCTATTAGTGTTATCCACACTTTCAGATGAAGTAACAGAAACATCAGAGAGACTGAGTAACCAGCCTAGAGTTACATCCCTTGCAAGCATGGAGCTAGAATTTAAAATTAGGCAGTCTAATTCCAAGCCCCTGATTGGAACCATTAAATTTGTCTGCTACACAGACTGCTTCATATCTGTTGCTTTAAATAAGACATAGAATTGGGTCTATTTTAAAGAATTTCTTAAAAATTATTCCTGTGGCATGAAACAGAAAACAGAAAAAAATTGCAAGTTCAGAATTTTTTTCTTTTTCTTGGTTCCTGGGATTAAAATAGCTTTTGATGATAATGTCCATGTAAAGTGGGAGCTGGCCAGACTTGTTCTGCTGATTGGTTTTTGAGAACTGCTAAGGGCGTATTCAAAGACTCATCTTCATTCGTGGAAAACTGGATAGAATTGGAGCTTATATCCATTGTTATGTTCATTGTATCTACTGCAGTGAAAGAGGAGCTGACCAGCGATGTAACTGGCAGCTCACTCTGATTCTTACCCTTGGGCCTGTCCCCACTTCTCAACTGTGAAGTATGAGAATCTCTAATCTATGAACTCATCACTCAGGACTCTTCTGGTTCTAAAGAATAGATTCACGGTTGCCAAATGTATAAAAGACTGAGAAACAAGTTATCAATTTATAAGAGAGCCCTAGCAGAATTTCTGATGCTGGTCAGCTCCACAGAGTACTTTCTCACATAGTACTCTGATATTCACACTGTGCAAGTTGTGTTTGGGTCAGTCTGGGGAGGGGTGTCTCAGAAAACTGACAGCTTCTCCATTTGCCCAGCGTCATCTGATTGGATAAGCGCAGACAGCTGACTCGGAGTCCCCTCTTTTTAGAGTGGTCATGGTGTTTTAGACCCTGACTATCTTGAGCTGGGCGAATCAGATCTTCCCTTTAGATAAATTAGAATCAAGAGACAAGTAAGAAGATACCAGTTGGCTTTGGAAAACCCAAGGTCAAGAAAGTAGAGGATACTATCTGGGGCCAGATCCAAGATAGGACATCAGAGGAAGCTGGTGGAGAGACAGAGACAGTGGAGTCTTCACACAGAAAAAGAGAAAGTGTGAGAGATGGAGAGTGAGAGCTAGAGAAGCACGAAGGAGAGCTCTCATCTGAACTCCATAGGCTCCTGCACTCTGATGCCTGGTTGTTCAGTGTTTCTTGCATCCCCTTATGCCCTATTTGCACTTTTATAGTAACTCCCTGTGGGTCCACTAAAACCCATTCTCTCCTCCTTCTCTCCCACAGCAGAAGAATGCAAGCCATGCCACAAAGCCAGCCAGCTAGATTTCGCAGCGTCACTCACAGCTGTATGTGGCATATGACCACATTTGAGCAAATGGGATGCGAACAGTGTGATGTAAGCAACATTGGAGTCATCTCTAATGTAAAAGACAGATGTTTGCCTCCATGCGTGCACTGAAAAGCAGACATACACATGAGCCACCTTCAACCATGCAGACAAGGACCATGCCCAAGGTGACGTCTGAGCAACAGCTGGAAGGAAAAAGATGGAATGATTACACAGGGCAAAGCCAGCCTGCCAGTCGGTGCCTCTCACCAAGGGACCAAAACATGACATAAAGGCTCATCTTATCAAGCCATTGGATTTGGGAGTCTCTTTGTTATGGAAGCTTGGTCTTTCCCTAACCGACACATATGCTCCTTTCTTTGGGTAAATTTTACTGTGTTCCTCTTCTCTGAAACCAAAAGAACCTTGAATACCACACAGATGGTAGTCCAAGAGGCTGCTTTGTGCTGAGATACACGTCTTCACCTACAAATATTTAGTGAGTGCCTACTTTGTGCAAATTACATGAAAACAGAGACATCAAGCTTAAAGAGGGCAACGGGTGTTACCAAAACCATGTTGGAGCTAATTCTGCAAAATCAGACAGGCAATCTGTCATCAGAATCCACACACCCTCTGCACCCCTGAGTGCTATGGTCACTCTGTCATGTATCACAGACCCTGGCTTCTAGGAAGACTTCTTTCCATTTCTTTAAAATAAGGAAAAATATTTTGCCTGTGAATAAGCCCAGTGCAAAGGCCCTGCACCCTATCATCTCTCCGTGCCTTGAGGATACTTCTTACTCCTTCTGTATGTGCTGGTGGCACCATTATACCCCTGCTCATTCTCATTGGCCAGTGCCTGTATTGCACCTGTTGTTAAATATGTGTAAGATCATGTCTACCCCTATCTCTTCCCTACAAATGTTTACAACTCCCTTCTCTTTGAAATCTCCATAACAAAATGAGTCAGCTGGCTTTGTATACATAGCCTCATTAGCAATGGCTTTTGTTCAGTTAATGGAGAAAAGAATCAAGCATGGAATTGGTGTTAATTAGTTAAGCTTGATACAACTAAATCAACTACTTGACGAAATTATCACATTTCCAACTTTACGCTTTAGGAAGCAAAACAACCTGCCTGTGACTAAAGCTATTTTCCCGCCAAACAGGGGATGGTCCACGCCTTGTCCTCCAATCTGAGGCTTCTGTGACAGCCCCTGATTTAACTATCCTTTTCCTTTCCTTAAAAGAGGACTCCCTAAATGTAGAACTGAAGGCAGAATAATTTTATAACTCTAGAAGAGAGGGCTAAACTAGAATATTCGTAAAAACATTGGTTTGGAAAATGTGGCAGGCACATATACCTAATTCACTGAGAACATTCTCACATTAAAAATGACCTCTATACTTCTTTTTTATTTTATTTTTTTTTTGAGACAGAGTCTCGCTCTGTCACCCAGGCTGGAGTACAGCGGCATGATCTCAGCTCACCGCAACCTCCGTCTCCTGGGTTCAACCAATTCTCCTTTCTTAGCCTTCCAAGTAGCTGGGATTACAGGCACCCACCACCACACCTGGCTAATGTTTTTTTTTTTTTTAGTTTTAGTAGAGACGGGGTTTCACCATGTTGGCCAGGCTGGTCTCCAACTCCTGACCCTCAGGTGATCCACCCACCTCCGCTGACCTCTGCATTTCTGAACATTACAGAGAACTGTAAACTCCTACCAGCACTTTGCAGAAAAAACTCCTTGTTTTTTCTCCAGGCCAACCACCTAGCAGCTCCACGGCCTTCTACTCTGCCCTGGCATGAAACGGCTGCTGAGTCTGTCTCATCCCTTATCCTTATATGCAGATAATTCTCCCCAAAGCCATTCCCTATCACTTGTCTATTTCTTCCAAATACTCGCTGGCCATTTTTCTTATCTTGTTAACTGTTTATTTATCACCTGTGTTACTCATCATGTAACGGGAACCACATCTGCCCTGTTCAGTGTATTTCCAGTGCCTTGCATCGTGCCTGGTATATAATAGGGTTTGAATAAATGTTTGTGAAGGGAAAGAGGGAGCGAAAAAGGGAGAAGGGAGGCGGAAAGAAAGGGAAAGAAGATGGGGAGGAGAGAAGGGAGGAGTGAGGAAGACAGGAAGATGAAGAAGAAAGGGAGGAAGAGAGAGAATAAGGAAGAAGGGAAGAAGGGAGGGAAGACAGAATAAAAACAGGGTGGGAGAGAGGACAGGAGGGGGAAGGGTAGATAACCTGGGTATAAACTTAACACCTAGCCTGTATATAAGGCTGCATCTCACGAAGGAAAACACCACTGATTGTATTAAATAATATGCCAGATGACTAAACCTGTTGTAAAAGCATCTACCCCTTCTTCATGCAGTCAGAATTCACTTGGCAGAGAATGCGTGATACATTGCAGGATCATAAACAAAATGAGAAGCACAATCAAGTCTATCTTCTCTCCAGAATTGTCTAAGGCTGACATAAGCACAGCCTCTTAATCTTCTTAAAGCATTATTGATTTTTTTTAAGTCTCTAAAATTTCAAAACTTGAGGACTAGTTTTGAATGAAATACTGGCAAGAAAGAAGCAGGCGTGTGTGGTGAAATGTGTCCCTACCAAAAAAATAAATAAGAAAAGGAATGGGAAACTTATTAATTTTTGAATTAGTCTTGGGATCACCAGCCCCATGAAATTCCTACTGCTCAAATGAGCTTGGCTCTTCACAATCAAAAAGTAGTTGAGTAAAGATTCAGATGGGGACGGATGCAGGAAGCCGAGCTAATTTCTAGGATCCCGGGTTGTCGTGCATATGGACCACTAGAGGCGATTGTGTGGCTTGGCTAATGAGACACTGTATTAGCGTATTGAATTCTAATTGTTATATCTCTGGGCATCCCTTGCTGGAGAGAAGGAGAAGAAATCAGATCTTAAGTAAGAATATATTGGACATCTCACCTGTCCAACGTGGTCTCTTGAAGTGCAGCCGCACCTTGTCCTCCCTCTCATGTGCTATATACCTGAAAGCTCATCATGAAATAATAGTCCTGGAAGCAATCTGTTTACCTGGATCCTTTTGCCTTTGTGGTCAGCAAGACTGTTACTATCTCGGGCTTTATTTTTGATAAATTGCAGGTTTTGACATAGGTATATGGTAGGCCTCACTGGTGTCTACAAGAATAAAAAGAAGAAACCGTTTATTTTCCCGTCCAGTGGCAATGCATGGTCATTCACCTTCCTCATGAGGCAGCAGCAAGAGACATTGTCTCCCAAGTCTGCCTTAGGTGTCTGTCAATATCCCGGGCTTGATTTGTTACAATTAACAAATACTGATTATGTTGCTTTTGCGTGTTATGGCTCACGCTAAGCATGGTTCATGCATTATCCTATTTATTTCATACAAATCCACGATGTAAATATTATTCTGGCCACTTAGCAGACCAGGAAACTGAGGCTTGGGGAAATTAAGTATTCAGGAGGCTTAGTGCAAAGCAGATTCTAATAAGCCAGGGCTATTTGACGGCATATCCTTAGCTCTTGATGACTGAGCCCTGCTTCTTCCTCTGGGAAACCTTCCTGGACCCCCCAGGCCAGGAAAAGGACCCCAGGTGTGCCTGCCTCTGCAGCACTTGCCCTTAAGCACTTCTTCACAGCACCCACCTTGGACAGCACCAATAGCAAGGCACTGTGGTTATTGATTTGCCTGTCTATCTCCCTTAGGTCTTGAGATGTGGAGGAGTAAAGAATGGGCCTCAGACATCTTTGCAGTCCCAAGACTTAGAGTCACCATCAGTGCATACTGAATGAATGAATAAATGAAGAACATCCACCAAAAATGTTGAAGTAATGCTTACATAAAATTGAACAGCACTGTGAACAGGCCAGAGAGCCAGAGCAATCCGGGTGGACACAGCCTTAATGATTCATTCTGTAACATCCATAATTCAAACTCAAATTCAGCAAGACAGATGCCCAAATCAACGTGCTCAAAACATGCTAGAGGCAGTGTGCCCCTAGAGCCTGCTGAAGGCTGAGGATTGCTTCCACAAGACTACAACCCCCCATGCCCACCCCCACCTCTTTCTTTATTTGTCTGTGGCTTGCAGTTTTAGAGTTTAGAAACATTCAAGCCACGCCACCTGCCTTTTTCAAAGGCTTTTTCAGCTGTGGCAGTGTCATGGGTTTTTTTATTTGGTACTGTTGCAAAGGAGGGGCTGGAGATGAAGCAGAAAGGAGAAAAACCGAAGCCTTGAAAACACAAATTGGAAACAGATAAAAGCAAAGCTGAATGCAAAGGAGTCTATAACACGGATGCCACAGGAATTCCTGGAGCCCCCGAAGCTGGGTAGGATTACATTCTGAGTGCAGGTGTCACTGACGGGGCTCTGAATGACCAGCTTCCTAAGGAAGTATATACACATTGTTGTACATGGGTGCCCTTGTTCAGGGGGCAAAGAGGGGGCATTAGCAGAGGGGGCAGCCAGAAGGCACAATCTATTGGCTGTGATTTCTGAAGAGCAAAAGCTCATTTTTGTGAAGTATAGAAACCTGTTTCTACCATTCTCCCTTGTCTTAAGTAGCGTATTATTGGAATTAGTTCTCGAATGTAAGTAGCTTATTTAGGAGGTGGTTCCAGGAGGCAGTGATATGAAAAGAAAGCCAGTAAAGCATTATCAGTCCAGGTACCACTGTGGGCTACTGGAGCTCATTCTCCCTGGAGACTCTGAGAAATGGTGTCAAATACATCTCCAAAGGGGCAAGGGAGTGGGGAAATTTATCCTCCATCTGTATTCATCCCTGGTTGAGAGCTGATCCTGGGGGTACGAGTTCTCCAGAACTTCTGGCCTGCCATGCTCCAGCAGCTAGAACAAGCACTCAGGCAGAACATCTCAGGGTTCACAGTGAGAAGCTGCCAGAAGGAATGGTGGGGGGACGGAACATAAGTAGGGCACTGAGAGGCTGTGGGGCAGCCCTGAGTGTGTTACATACACCTTATAACATTGTGTGTGTGTGTGTGTGTGTGTGTAGTATACATCCAGTGTGTGTAGTATGTTTATGTGTGCATAAATACATATATATGCATATATACACAAATATCTGAATATATAAGTGGTTTATATAAGTGGAACAAAACAAAAAAAAGTATAAGCAATGGTAACCTCTGCATGTTTGCAAGCATTCATGAACTGATGCTGTAAGTGTTTGTAGAGCACTCACTGGCTGTGTGCTGACCACAGCTCCAGCAGTGGAGAGGATACACCCTCACCAAGCTAAAAAAAGGTCCCTGCACACAGGGAGCTTACTTCATAGCCAACCAATGAGGGGATACACCAGATTTTTTAAAAATCTAAATGCACAGGAAGATCTAGAGACAAAGGTGAAGCTCACACTAAGCTGTGCCTGATGAGGCACCAGGGAGCTGAACCCTGGGGGCCACAGGGTTCCAGGCAGAGGAAATCATACATGCAATGGCCATCAGTCAGGAAGAAGCTTTTGATCATCTTCATACTTTTATATTCACAAATTTTCTGCAATGCTTACACATTGTCAGAATTGAGGGGGACAATTACAATAAAACTATTTTTAAAATACAATTTGAGTGGGGGAAAGAATAATCCAAATGGAAGTTTTATTGATTCTTAGAAATTTGACTGATAAAACATTCCAAAATTGTTCATCTGATGGGAATCAGAAAACCTCCATTAACTTCTCTTAATGAATGGCAAGTCCAGAATCAATCAACAGGTATTTATGGTGCCTGCACTGTGTACAAGGTACTGCATGTGGGCCCTGGGGAGCACTGAGACGAACAAGACAGGGGCCCTGCTGTCACACTGTCAGTGTCTAGCAGGGGAGGTGGGATCATATGAAACCTATCCTATGATTAGGTATTTCATGTATTTCAAGAACCATGATGGAAGTGTAGATCATGTGCTGTGAAAATTATTCACACAGAGGAGCAGGGGCAAGTTTAAGGAGGCTTTTTGGGGTGGAAGGCATTTGAGCTGCGTTTACAGAGTGAACACATCTGCAACAGCCACAGAGGGTGTTTCAGGCAAGGGAAAAGCATGGATCTCAGCAGCAGAGCAAACACGCAGCACACACAGAAAAGGAGCCATTTAGAGCAGGGGACTCTGGTTCTTCGCATTCAAGGACAGAAGGCCAAGTGGGAAAGGTGAGTTGGATGGGGTGACAGAACACCTTGAGTGCCATAAGCAACGATTATTTGCTCTTTGTAAGCCGCTTATTCATGTCCTTGCTCCAAGAACAGCCCTCCAATTTCCTCGGGGAAACTGCACCCACCCATCCTGTATTCTAAGTCCACGTGGCTGGGTAGAGATGAAGTCCCAACTTCTGTGTCTTCAGAAGAGGGGAGGTGACTAAGTCCTGGCTAATCAGAGCATCCTGTCCCCTTGTTCATAGCAAATGGTTGAAGGATGGGCACGTGACATGTTAAGAGCCAATAAAATTTATTTCTAAGATTTGTATGGAAAGTGTTAGGAAGAGAGAACACTTCTCTCCACTGGAAATGCTGAGGATGGGCTGTGAGTCTGGGATTGCTGCTGGAAGCCACGTTATCACCACAATGAGACATGTGATCACAGAGCACAGCCAAAAAAAAAGGAAGGACTGCTGACAGAAAAAGCAAATAGGACATATTCCTGATGACAAGTCTAAGGTCTAGCCTTCATGAAAGCTAAATCAACTCCAGGTTTGCCAGTTGTGCAATCTACTAAACACCTCCTTTCTTTTCCCTGAAAGCTAGTCTGGAGTAGGTTTCTATCACTTGCAATCAGAAGACAGAATGACAATGCATGTCAAACACCCAGAGAAGAAGGAGCACACAGAAATGTTAAAAGTCTTAGTAATCAGGATGGAAGTCAAAGTTGTAGAAAAATTATAAGTTGGATGGAAAAAGAGATCATGGCAAAAGGACCCCGTGGTCCATCTAAGAAAAATAGGACCTTGAACTAGGGCCATGCCCAAGGTTGAAAGGAGATGTGGATTTGAGAAATATTTCAGAGGTAGCATCAACAGGATTTAACAGCTAATATTAGTAGAAGGTGAGGAAGAGAAAGAAATAAAAAATTACTCAGAAGTTTCTAACTTTGGACATTGAGGGGATGGTAATGTCATTAGCTGCAATGAGAGAAAAAAACAGGAAGAGGAACTGACTCATGGAGGAGATAAGAAGTTTGCTTTTGAGCACATGCAACTGGGGCTATCCACAGGACAGCAGTTTGGAGATGCCCGGGGCGGGGGGGGGGGGGGGGGGGCGGGTTCCAGCACTTACAATGGTGCACGTAATGCACTGTAAAGAGAAGCAAATTACATGGCCTTTTCTTTGTAGATTTAGAGATCAGATTAGTGTTCTGAATAGTAATCATTTGGGATAGCGGCTATATAGAAAACACAACTTGATGTATTGGGAAGTCATACCAGAAAACAATTAAAATGCATCCTGTCAGGAACATAATCACTGAAATCCTTTGTGAGGGCAAAGAGGAGGGTGAGACTCAAAACAGGATGAGAAGCTGTGATCTTCTCACAGTTGCTTTCTCTGACTGTTTTTGAAATTCTAGGACAGGACTGAAAACCTGAGATTCTTAGAAATGATTAAGTTTAACCCAAATCCAGACTTCTTAATCCCTGGGGATGGACATTTACACATAGAAAGACACACAGACACACACACACACACACACACACACTTACTAGCCCTAATTCTTGTATCTTCCTTAATAATAAAGTTTGACTTTATTATTTGAAAATACAAGCTAATGTCCACTTATGTACATTATACACATACACGGTAACTCTTCACTGGTGGGGATACTTTCAAAAATCTCCTCTGCATAGAACGTTGGTCACGTTTTACGCATGGTACTGATTCTCATCGTCTGTTCTTTAAAGTGTTCTCTCATGGGATGCCCTGTGAACAAAAGGGTTCCCAGGTCAAGTAGATTTGGAAACTGCTGCACATTCTAAACCCTTCTTGGAAATTCAGTATGCACATTCACAGATTAAAGCCTCTGAGAAGTCCCGCAGGAAAAATTCATTTAAATTTCTTTAACCTAAATGATCCCCAATATGTTCAGCCATATTTGTCTTTGATGCTATAACCCTTCTCAGCATCCTGATGAACTAATATCCATAAAATATACTTTGTGTCACCCTAGTAAAGACCAAACTTCTGTAACAGGCGAACTTCTAGAGTAAGCCAATCTTAGCCAAGTTGGGATAAATCAACAAAGCTCTCTGGCAACTTGCAGGCAAATGCCCAGCCAACTAATTGGATGACTCATTTTATTTTCCTTTTTCGGAAAACTGTTGAAACATTGCATCAGTGTCACCCATGTGGACCTTCATAAGCTGTATTATTTATTGTTTGTAAAAACTAGATGGGACATTCCTCTCTCAACAGCTAAATGACATTTGGCATAGACAAAAGAGATTATCTTAATATCCTGTTACGTTTGTTCTGTGGCACTGTTTGGATTGTGGGTGGGAGAAGGTAAAACAGTAAAAGCTATGTTTGTGGATTAAGTGTAAGGATGCAAAATGTGTGTACTGATTACATTTTGGTTCAGCAGAAATGTCATAATCACCATGAAGACTTGTTTTATGCACATTCTCTTAAATACCATTTCTAAAAGGTTCTTAGTGGAGAGGAAATCTTGCTGGAAGGCAGAGTTATGACACGCATTAAGGGTGGCCATGTTAATGAAGTGGAGCAAGGGAAATGGGACCTGGGAATCGGCTGCCTCACCTTCTTTGCCCTTGAAATCAGCCTCCTCTCAGTCTGGGCTGGGTTGAAATTAACATAATGAGATGGCTTCTCTCCACTTGCAGAGTGTATGTTCTCAGGAGGATGGAGCTGAATGCACTCCCTACTACCGGTGGTCCTCCTGGAAGCTTAGTTCTCAGAGGCAGAGGACACAAGCAGCTGTCCTTGGCAGGGCAACCTCAGGTAATCATCAGTGACCCTCCCTGGCCCTACTACAGCCTGAATCCCAGTTTCATCACATAAGTTCCCATCTCTCCCCATATGAAAGGGGAGCTATTAGAAATATCCACCTTCAACAATCAGGCTTCTATGAAGATCAATTAAATGACAAGTATCAAAATGTCTTTTGCCAACAGAATATTGTATATTATTATTAGTATGAAGATGTTTTTTCTTCTTAAACTAGGGATGAACAAACTACGGCTCACGGGCCAAATGTGGCATGCAGTCTATTTTTATACAGCCTGGAAGCTAAGAATATCTCTGTTTTTTTACATTTTTAAAGGATTATTAAAAGAAAAAGGATAATAAGAAAAGGAAAAGAAGTAAAAAAAGAATATAGAACAGGGCCTGTACGTGGCCCCAAAGTCTAAAATATTTACTATCTGTCCTTTTAAAGGCAATGTGTGTGAACCCTTCTTAAACAGAGAAAAACTAGCTATTTCTTTGGCTTCCTGTAATAGATTGTAAAAAATGTTCCGATTCTTCACGCCCCCCTGTGCCATGGAGCTATTCAGTGCCCTCCCTCTTTGACAATGGGCTCAGCCATGGGATGTTTGGCCAGTAGATTGCTTGCTGAACAGGCTTGAAAATCACCTGTAGAATTGAGCTTGTCTCTCATGCCTCCTCCAATGCTCTAAAAACATGCCCAAGCTACACTGCTACAATATGGGAAAGTCACGGAGCAAAGCCCACCTCAAATACGTGAACAAGCTCAGCTAAGATCAGCAGAGCCACCTAACTGATGGCTGAGCCCATATGCATGGGCAGTGAGCACTGCTTGTTAATATACTACCAAGGTTTTGTAGTTGTCTGTCACAGAGCAAAAGCTACCTGATACATTCTCTTCCTTTTTCCCACCATCTACAGAGAGTACCCAGGAGATAGAGTTCTTTGCCTTGGTCTTCACTAAAAGCAAGCAATCCCAACCAGCTTTCACCTTTGTTTTTGAAGGCAAACATATGCTTGACATGCAAAGACTCTTCCAACCTGGCAGAAAACACTAAAGAGACTAGAGATAGCACTGCCTTAGAATTCAAGAGCTCATTCTTACCAATGCTCCAATCTTCCATACTTTGAACATGGTATTCCTAGGCCTACAGCAACAGTTAGAACCTGCCTGTCCAAGTTAAATTCCATGAGTCTCCACTCATTCATTCATTCATTCATTCATCCATTCAACAGATACTTCTTTATAGCCCCTATGTGCCAATCACTGCGCTGGAACATTAACATGCAGCCATATCCTCAAGGAGCTCATCTATGGGGTAGATTACATCCTCCAGTCTTTGTTTCCTCCTCACCAGCACTGTCATGTTGGGGCAACAATAAACAGTATAGTTCCACAGCTTTATTACAAGCTATTATCAGCAGTGCAAATATAAATTCTATATATTCAAAACCATTTGGCTATGTTTTGAATTCATGAAAAAACTTACACACACACACACACACACACACACACACACACACACACACACACACAATGCCTCGGCCCAGCCAGGTGCGGTGGCTCACGCCTGTAATCCCAGCACTTTAGGAGGCCGAGGCAGGTGGATCATGAGGTCAGGAGTTTGAGACCAGCCTGGTCTACATGGTGAAATCCCGTCTCTACTAAAAACACAAAAAATTAGCTGGGCATAGTGGCGGGCACCTGTAATCCCAGCTACTCAGGAGGCTGAGGCAGAAGAATTGCTTGAACCCGGAGGCAGAGGTTGCAGTGAGTCGAGATCACGCCACTGCACTCCAGCCCCAGTGACAGAGTGAGACTCTGTCTCAAAAAAAAAAAAAAAAAAAAAAAAGAAAAAAGAAATGCCTTGGCCCCCTTAAAGGTGATTAAAGGATGTTGGAGGATAGTCTGGGGTGAGAGTGACAAAGCCTCATCTTGTTCTCTTCAGATGGAAATCACCAGTACCTGGGAATATGGATCAACTGTGCTATTAACTTTACCCAAACCACCTTAAAACTGAATCATGAATATACAACGCCTTCTTTGATGACATAGTGTGGTGGTTTTGAAATATATCCACAAATTATTTGATCTTTCTCCCTTCAGGACATAGAGTTTAATTCCCTTCCCTCTGAGTGTGGACCTGGACTCAGTATGCATTTCTAATAGATATAGCATGGTAAAAGTAACAATATATGACATCCAAAATTGGGACATAACTGGTGTTCTGGTTCCTTCCTTGGTTTTCTCTCTGGGATATTTCACACAGGAGAAAGCCACTTGCCATTTTGTGTAAATACCTTAAGAGTCCTATGCAGAGCCTATTGTGGTAAGGAACTGAGGCCTATTACCACCAGCCATGTGAGGGTGCCACTTTGAAAGCAGATCTTCCAGCCCCAGTCAAGCCTGCAGATGACTCCTATTTCAACCAACATCTTGACAACAGTATCGTGAAAGACTCTGAACTACAAGTACCTCATTGCAATGTTTCTGTAATAATACTTGCTTGTAAGCCACTAAATTTGGGGAAAATTTCTAATGCAACAATAGATAATTAACATACATAGATAGCATCCCACTGAAACCACCACAGTTGACCTAACTGAGTTGAAGAAATCATGGGACATAAATGAAATGATAAGAGTCATGTAGGGCCTGCTTTCCTGTTACAGCCTTCGTTGCAACATGAGCTATGGGCATTCTGATTTTGTTTCTATCACCTGAATCAATGACTTTTTTTTACATATTTGCTGCCATCAAAACCAAAGGTGCAGAACTTAACTGCAAAGCTGTCATTCATGTTGCCATGTCAAAGACCTTGTGACTACCAAAATTTCTTACTCTTACAAAACAACGGTGTTCCCATTGAGTTTTACTTTTGAATACAATTAAGGTTTACTTTCTGATTAACTTACATTGACTGTGTTTTTTCTAATTTTTGTTAGAAAGTAATCTTTCATTTATATATAAAATATATAGAGTGAGTGACACTTTTTAGTAAAGATGTATTTGAATAATATATAACGTGAATAAAATCAATTTCAAAAGCAACACAATAGAATTATGCAAAAAGAAATCTGTGTATGTTTATATCACCTCTTTTTTTACTTAGACAGCAAACTAAAGATTTCATCAGAGTCCCAGAAGGGTCAGTGGCCCCAAAAGATTAACACAAATCTAGGGGCTTTCCCTGGTCAAGCACATCTAGTTTACAGAAAGTAGATGTCACCCGAATTTCAGGCTTGGGAGAGAAAGTAACTGTCAGAGAAACATTAGAAAGGCTTAGTGTTGTGGAAAAATTGATAAATGTGTGTAGATAAGGAATACATTTGGCAGGCTAGTAGATTTGAGACATTTATCTGCAAGGCTGCTTTAAATGGGTTATGGTTGATTTAACTCTGTGTTTAATGTCACTCAATATCTTGTACATAATCTGTTAAAAATTAAATGTGCTGTCTTACAAACCTAAAAGTTATTCAGCTCAACTCTACCAGGCTGCATGGTATAGCACCATGCCCTTGTGTTCAAATCTCCTGCTGTTCTAACACTATGGAGAATCAATTAGTGACCTAACAATCATGTCTCTTTCAAGAATTCAGATAGGGGCTTTGACTGAGGTCAGCACAGTAGCTTTCTGTCCCTAAAAAACTGATAGGAAGCTTGAGTGGACCCAGAGAATACCTAACCCAACAATGCCATGAGATGGTTCTTAACTCCAACTCCAAAGCTACGTTAGGAGCAGCACACACCAAAGCTAAGGGACAGACAAGAGGTGAAGTCCTTCCTGCTCACCATTGGAGCCACGTGCTAACCCTGCCATGAATGGTAGAGATATAGGAACAGATCGAAGGGAGAAAAATTGGTGGGAAGTAGAGTTAAAAAGAATTTATTAAACCTCCTCTGGGCAACCAAGTCCTGAGTAAGAGATCCAGAATTAGAAGCAAATTGGTATTTGCTTTCAAATAATTTATATTACATCTGAGGATTCAGAAAGATCCAAACACCACACAGAGGGAGACTTTGAGATACTCTAAATACTGTATCTCCCTGTTGATGCTTCACAGCCTCCTCATTGCCCCAGGCACAAAGCAGCTAGGTTGACAAGGCCCCCAGGGTCTGGACTCGGCCCACCAGCCTCCGCTTCAGGATCCTTTCCACTGAGCTGCTTCTGGTACCAAGAACATGCCCTTCCTCCAGCCGACAGGACTTTGCCCACGCTGCCTCCTCCACCTTGGGATACTTAGCTCCTCCACTGCCTCCTGTCTCCACCCTCCCCACACACATGCACCATTATGTGTTTTCCTTCAAATCTTAGCTCCATGGTCATATAATCAGAGAAGGCTTCCCTCCTTGACTCCTCAGTTCCATCTGTTATGCTCAGTAAGAATACCCAAGGCGCCTCCTTTATAGGCACTCCTCCTTTCTAGAAGAGACCACAGCTGTCCACTTTACAAGTAGGCATAGTCATCCTCCTCCCTCCCTCTTATATCTCCAGGGTCTGCCCACAGTAAATCCTCAAAGAATATTTTTTGAATGAGTGATTGGGTGAATCATACTGGTGGTTCATTCATTCAGTAGGTCCTTATTTATATTTGGAATGTTGTCAGAAAAGGGAAATATTTTGGTAACATGAAGCATGGCAGTGGGAAAATTCACCAAAAAAGCTGAGTATTAACAGAGGTTTTAGAAGATGATTGGGAATGGGCCTGGGAGGAAGGGAAGGAGGGGAGATTCAGTTTTATAGTCTTAGTATAATCATAAGATAAATAAAGTTGAGATAAAACAGCCTCCTTCTCATGCCTGCAAGCCATTGATTCAGCTAAAAAGGCAATTACCCAAGAAGAATATGAATATTGTCTATCACATTGACACAGAAAAAAGTGCTGAATGTTGCAGTGATAGTGAGCAGTCCATAAAAAAATGTTGGGGTGGTGAAATACCAAAGTCTGCCTGTCACATTTTATCAAAAGTAGCTCAAATAACTCTGTTCAATCTCATGTACTTGGAGTCAAACATTACTTTTTATTGCAGGACAGAAGGCTGAGCCATTTCCTATGGATACTCTTCTATAAAAGTATCCATATCTGGTAGTTGTCACATAAACTTTTCTGCATAAATAGCTCTATATGCAAGTGAATAAATTAACTGGGGAGACAGAATTATTGAGTACCTACTAAGTGCCAGGCACTGAATTTTTTATGATCATAGTGTTTAAGTATATGTTTTATTTTTATTTTAATCCAGATGTGGACATTGAAGTTCAGAGTTTGTTTCAATTACTTGCCCAGGACCATGTACGCAGCAAATAAATGACATCATTTTAATCCAGGCCTTCACTGTACCTTAGTGTATCCCATTAAATCACAGATGAGAAGTTTGAACCAAGAATGTTATAAGATTTTCTAGGAATGGCAGAATCTAAGAGTTCACTGGAATTTTAATGGGGACCTCATGACTCTGATGGCACCTTGGGTCAATAATGCAAAATAAATACCTTGCTCTACTCCTATCATTCCATGAAATATGCCTCAAGTGGCAATAGGCAATAGCTCAAATAAACATCAGAATGTAATTTTACCTTTTAACATGTGGCAGGGTGCACAGCAGTGCTCATTAATGATTCACTGACAGCAACTTATCATTTGGATGTGGTCCTGCATCTTGGCATGTTTGCATAAGTGTCTACTTGGAGGTTCTTATACAGGGTTTAATGTAGGAAAATGGGGGTCCTTTATGCAGCATACATTAATACAGGGGAGAGCGAGTAACTAAATGTTTAGAGCTCAAGTGTTTAGACCTAAATGTTTAGGTCGCAAGCTGGGAAGTGGTCTTCCTGAGGATGTTGCTTTCAGCAAAGAGGTGCACAGATATGTCCTGCACAACTGTGTTTTCATGTACAAGAATTCTGCTAGCAGGTCCTTTGATGATACCCAAGCCTAGACTTTCATGTATGTGTTAGTTATCTTGCCACAAACTAAGAAGCTTAAAATAAAGAGGTACTTATTCAACCATGGGTTAACTGGGTCAGGAAACAGGGCATGCCTTAGCTATCTTCTCTGCTTCAAGGTGCTTCAAAAGGCTTCAAAGGATCATCCAGGTCTGGGGTCTCATCTCAAAGTCCATGGCATGATAACTGGCAGATTCATTTCCTTTGAGGCTATTATACTGAGACTCCTAGTTTCTGGTGAGGTCTTGGTAGGAGGCCACCCCCAGCTCCTTGCTACATGGCCCTCCTCAACAATGACAACTTGCTTTATCAAAGCCAGCAAGAGAGAGAATCTAACAAGGTGGAAGGCAAAATCTTTTGTAAAACGATCACAGAAGACACCTCCCTCAATGTTGAGGTACTCTATTGGCTAGAAGCCAGTTCCTCAAGGGAAGAGGATTACCTGAGGCCGTGAAGACCAGGAAGTGAGGATCACCGGGGTCACTTAGAAGCTGCCTACCACATATACTAAAAATGCCTGTGCAGGTCTCCTCCCAGCTACTGAGAACCTAGGTTTTTCATGCACACAGCTCCACGGAAACTAGGAATATAAATTTCATTCACAGAGAACCCACGTTCTCTCTCCTCTGATTGCTAAGGACCACACTGCCATATCACCTATTCAAGGCATCCTCTCAGAAGGTTTCTGATGTGGTCTGGCTGGGCTCCCATTCAAATCTCATCTTGAATTGTAGCTCCCATAATTCTCACATGTCATGGAAGGAACAAGAGAGAGGTAAATTAATCATGGGGGTGGCTCTTTCCCATGTCATTCTCATGGTAGTGAATACATCTCATGAGATCTGATGGTTTTATAAAGGAGAGTTTCCCTACACATGCTCTCTTGCCTGCAGCCATGCAAAACATGACTTTGCTCCTCTTTCGCCTTCCACCATGATTGTGAAGCCTCCGCTACCATACAGAACTGTGAGTCAATTAATCCTCTTTCCTTTATAAATTTCCCAGCCTCGGGTATGTCTTTACTAAGCAGGGTGAGAACAGACTAATATAGTTTCTAATGACTTATTTCAAAGGCAGAGTGTGAACATTTGAGCCTAATAACATAGAAGTTACCATGCTGGGTAAACTATCCCAGCTTCTCTGCCTATTTCTTCCTGCAGCTTACACTCCTAAGCATTTGACTTCCCTTCAGCACTTCAGTATAACTTTGCTGTCCACAATATAATTCATGTACTTTTCTAATGAAGCCACAGATAATTCATTGTCCAGCCATATCCCCTAAAAGTGACAGAACTATTTGCAGATTATGAAAAACATAATTGAAGGGAAGATAGACATGCTTTACATGAGTGTTTCCTAACTGTCAGCATATATCAGAATCTCCTGAATGCCTTGTGAAAATACAGGTTGCTGGCAGCTTTTCTGATTCATGAGGTCTCGGTAAAGCCTGAGGGTTTGCATTTCCAGCAAGTTCTCAGGTGATATTGCTGCTGCTAGTCCAGCATCATCGAGATCCCAATTTAAGAACCAGTGCCTCCTTATTAACCCATGTCAGAATATTGAGGGGAGACCATCTTTCCTGATTTCTCCCTTCAACTCTCCATTAGCCTCTTCTGAAGCCCGAGGAAAGGTTATCACAGTCAGCTTCTGGAAGTCACCATCCCTAATAGTACAACAGGCTTATAATGTATTTTCTTTGCTTGCCTTTCCCCAGAGTGGATCTATAAGAAGGACCTGGATACAGGTAGTTTATTTGGAAGACAATCTCCCCAAGTAGTAAGTGAGACAGAGAAGGAGAAAATGTCAGTAAAGGGTGCATTAATGAGTAAGGTACTGCCGAAGTTAATGGCACAGGCCTCAGAATTGTCCCACCAAAGGGCAGGGAGGCTGGGACACCCATTCACCAACTTTCACCCCTATAGCTTGAAGATTTTTCCTGGGTATGGATTTTGCATCAAGTCCCACCTGCCACATGCTCAGGCTATGCAAGCTGCTACTGGCTGCTGAGAATTCCCCAAAGCAGGAAGATGCTGGCAGCCATTGGCATATAGGGAGACTGACTGCAGGTGGCCTCTGAGGTGCACAGTACCTGATGCATAGTAACTAACTAACAAACACTTTGGTCTTCCTTTCCTCACTTGTAGGTAACACCTCCACGAGGGTCCCTGAAGGTCCAGACTTGTTCATTTGGCTGATTGTTATATCTCTGAGTCCAGTGCAGCGCCTGGTACACCATAGATGCCCAATAAATATTTGCTGAATGTGTAAATGAATCCAAAATCTAGGTGTTTCTCTGCATGTCCCTCACTGGCTCTATTCTCCCATTTCCTATGTGTCTTTATAGACATTGGCTGGCTTTCCTCTCAACCTTTACCTTCCCAGCTAGATGACTGATTCTTTATCTGCCACAGGCAACTAGAGCGTTCATCCTCATCCCTGGCTCTGCTTCTGGTCCATGATGGGACAGGCAGTTGCGGGGTTGACAGTCAGCTCAGCCGAGGCCAGGCTGCGTCAGCCAACACCCAGGTGACTCCCAGAGGTGTGAGCAGGTTGTGCCAGGCCAGGTGTGCTGCATGTGCACACATGCATAAGGATATCTACCATGTTTCTTTTATTCATGAACAACGGTGGGCATAGTGGCTTCCAGAGCACAGTAGTTCTGCTTCATTACTGTGGGTACAATGGTCACCTATATGAAAGGCTTTGGGCATCAGATTTTTTTCTTAAGTGTCTCTTTGCTCATTCTCACGAGATGAACTCTTCTGCCCACGAGGCTGTGCTAGGGCCCTGTGTATTTTCTATCCAGAATAGCTTAGGCTAATCTACAAACTTGTGTGCTTCCTCTTCTGGATCATCAATAAATGTGTAAAGACAGACCAGCCCTAAGATTATTCCACAGAGAACATGACTCTTAGATATTAATTTTTTGTTATTTTTGTGTCCAAGCCAAGTTCTTCATTTATAGCTAAATATTAAAATACAACTAAATATTTAAAAATAGCAATGCTTTAGGGTTGACACATTTCCAAAGCTTTCTGGTAGTCTACACAGTATATGCCCACTGGTTGTCTCACCATTCTTCTTCATATTTATTTCCCTCCACCAACCCCACCCCAGCCACCCACCCGGGGTCATGAGAAGATTTTTTTTTTTTTTTTTTTTTTGAGACAGAGTTTCTTGTTGCCCAGGCTGGAGTGCAATAGCACAATCTTGGCTCACTGCAACCTCTGCCTCCCAGGTTCAAGCAATTCTCCTGCCTCAGCCTCCCAAGTAGCTGAGATTACAGGCATGCAACACCATGCCTGGCTAATTTTTTTTTTTTTTTTTTTTTTTTTTTTTTTTTTTTAGTAGAGATGGCGTTTCACCATGTTGGTCAGGCTGGTGTCGAACTCCTGACCTCAAGTGATCAGCCCACCTTGGCCTCCAAAAGTGCTGGGATTATAGGCGTGAGCCACTGCCCCCAGCTATGAGAAGATCTTAATCAGGCACAACTTACTGGGACAGAAATGCATTACATCTTCTTCAGAAGCTATGTTTGCTCCAACCTGTGGTATCTGCCCTTTCAAGCAGACAGCCCAGTTTGTCCAGAATGTAAATGTGAGGCCTGGCACTCTGAGGACAGGAGTCCCTTTACAATACTTTACAGAAACGGGAGGGGGCTATGCACATCCATGATCCTGATTTATGTTAAACATTAGGGCATCAAACACATTTGCCATTTGCAGCAACATCCCAGAAAACAATCTTCAAGTGTAGAAGAAATATGGCAGTGACGGAAGTCACTCCTGTCATCCTCGAGCCTTCAGGCAAGGTGGCCTCAAAAATAAACCTAGATTGTGAGATTCAGTTTGGAAGAGACTTGAAAACCCACAAAAAATCCAATGTTATGTAAAAGGAGGTTACTAAACTGACTATGATAATGATAGTCTTAATAATGGACCCAAATGATAACATTGGCTTTCTGTAAGAGTGGATGAATATGATAACTAACAATTTACCTACGGAATACATTTTTAATAGCAGTGATTCATACCTGCTGAGAAAGCCATTCCCACTGGAACCTGTATGGGCCCATTTCTAATTCAGATATTTTCTGCATCCTACCAAGTAATGTCAACTGCACAGTTTGACAGGCTGGTTTTATCTTGAAAAAAAAAAAAAAATGTTTGGATGCAGGCAAGTTAGAAGAATAAACCTGAGTAAGTGTGTTAACCCTACTAGAAAAATACCCATTACTTTATACATGTTATTGCCCTAAGCATGAAGAACACAGCTGGTGTGAAAGACAGCTGACCTAGTTCTTAAATGGAGGCATACCATTATGGCAAGATCAAAGTCCAGGTGCCCTGGTTCTCCGTGGGGCCTGGATCTTTAATGTCTCAGCACTGGCAGTGACCAGGAAGCCTGACCAAGCCCCTCTCTGGGTCCTATTTGGTCCCTTTTCCAAGAAGCAAATTGGTCACATGGTTACCCTGTTCCCTTTTCTTTCCATTCTCAATCTGCCTGGTGACCAAATCACCAACCCAGGCCTCTCCATTTTTCTTACCTTATTTTATTGCTTTGTAAATAACAATAACAACAAATTCCTTAATATTGAAAATATATTTTTTAAATGAAGGTAAGAATAATTGAATGCTCACTTGATCATCCTCGGATCTTTATTTCTTGTTACAAACAATATCAGAACCATCCCAAAATGGTTCAAAAGAAGCATGTCATCAGATGAATGATGTTTTCACTATTACACTGTAAAATATGTTGTCATAGTTGATGTTTTATTCAATAAATATTTCTGAGTCTCCATTGATGGAAAATGCAACCAGAGAACATGAATTCTGCTTTGATAGACTTCAGAGTCTTGAATGGTGATGACCAGGGCTGAACTTGTGAGCTTCATTATTTGATTTAGTGCATAAACATGCCTGTGATCATGGCTTCTTTTTACAGCTGAGGAAGCTGAAGCTCAGAGAGGTTTAAAAGTGAGCCTAAGGCATATGGTTTGCCTTAGCGCTTTTGTGTATTTAGGGGCTTAGATTTGTAGATCAGAAACCATGTTCCCAGATACACATGGAGCCCAGCAGGGCATTCGAGACACAGCCTGGAAGTAGCAGTTGCTGCCAGGCTATACCAGTGTTGGACGAGATCTCTTGGCTGGTTCACTTGAGGCAAGAGCCAAGCAACTACCCTGTGGTTACTTGTTTAGAGATTCCAGGACAGAAACCCCAGTAACCCAGCTTCACAAAAAGGTAAAATCACAAACACTGTTGTCATTTCTGCACTTGAACCATTGCTGCCATATAGATCTGTGATCACTGAGGGCCTACATCTGTCACTGCCATGTTTCATTGTGGCAATGGACAGTAAAAGTTGTCCTACGAACGCGGTCCCAAGCATGTCTGAGTCCAAGGAGGTGCCTTGGATCCCCTTGAAGCTCCTTACTTAGCATCCCTGACGGTTTGCCCTGGCTCTGCTCCTACCCCCGAGGACAGCCAGTTTGAAAAGAGACTCTTGCTGGGTCACCATGTTAGGATCTACCAACTTTGATAGAATGAGATCAGAATGGAAGGCAACCATATTCCAAATGATATCTATCCCACTGATATGGCTTGGCTCTGTGTCCCCAGCCACATTTCATCTTGAATTGTAATAATCCCCACATGTCATGGGAGGAAGTGGGTGGGAGGTAACTGAATCTCGGGGGCAGGGTTTTCCCATGCTGTTCTTGTGATAGTGAATAAGTCTCACGACATCTGATGGTTTTATACATGGGAGTTCCCCTGCACATGCTCTCTCTTGCCTGTCACCATGCAAGATGTGACTTTGCTCCTCCTTCACCTTCTGCCATGATTGTGAGGCCTCCCCAGCCATGTGGAACTGTAAGTCCATTAAACCACTTGCCTTTATTAACTACCCTGCCTCAGGTATGTCTTTATTAGCAGCTTGAGAACCGACTAATACACCCACATAGACCAGTAAAGTTGTCCTCCAGCTGATATCACTTACATCTTGCTATAAATTGGAAATAGTAACCCCACCACCACCCAGTATCCCAGAAGTTAAGATTTAGTTACCCCTTGTGCTAAACCCTGCCTCCTCCTTTACACACCTTCCATCACTGTTCACAGGCACTGACCTTTCCCTGACACCAGCTTCAAAGCTACCATGAGAGAGGACTTGGCCTCTCCATCTTAGGTAAACAGATGACCTGCAGCCCTGAAATCCTAAACGTAATGGGTAAGACTCAGTTCCATTCCCCTCTCTGCCCATTTGTACAATGTCTGAGGCAGATTCCTACATCTACGAAGGGAGAGAAGCAGTGGATTTCCCATACACAATCTTTATTGAACGAAGCAAGAGCTTACAAATGTTGAGCTCTCATTTCTAGCATTTTGATGAAAAACAGACAATGTTGTCTGTGTAAGAGAGATCCAAGGAAGAATTCTCCTGTTGTAGCTTGAGTAAGAAGTCGTGTTCCCTGTGTTGTTCCACATGGTGGGGGTGTTATGGCCATGGGTATTGATAATACCCAAAATGATTACTCAACATCAACTCTCATTTATAAAGGCTCTTCTTGATCACTCTATTTCCCCTGTGCATCAAGCAACATTCTGGGTTGTCAACGGAAGGAAGAAAGGCCTGCACTAAAATCTTTCATGCACGTTATCTCCGGGAATCATAACAATAATCATTGAGGAAAGGAATATTCTCATTTTTAGAGCTGAAAAACCGAAGGCCAGAGTGATTAAATAATGGACTCATCTTCCATAGTCAGTGAGCGACTGGCCTCGTTGTTCTCTGGCATATTCTGTGACCCATGCATCGCACTGCTGCCTCTGGGAAAAGCCGAGCCTGCATTCTTTAGTTCCTCTCCCATACAATCTCCGTTGACACCAGTAACCAATCACACAAGGGAAGCTGGCACCCAAATGGATGCTAAGACCCTCTGCATTTATAAGTGTATTGATCCTAACTGGTGATTGTGTTCTAGTCTCTCATGGCTCTCCGCAGAACCAGGAGGAGACGAATTCAAAGATCTACCACTGCTAAGGTGACTTCCTGTTCTAGTTTCAACAGGAAAGTCCTGATTTACTTTCAAGAGTATTCTGCTTTGAATTAGAAATTGTATGATCACTCTCTCCAGACCCCACAAACACAAAACACATGTTCTCTGCAAATGATAACCCTGTATTTTGATAATTAAGATGAGGATGCATTACCCAAATTTCTGAGAAGGGTGTGGAAGTGGAGCTAAGGGTGATTATCATTTCTACTTGCAGTTGGGAGAAAAAATTGTAATTCACTAGGGATAATGCAGAAGAGAAATATGGTACTCTTTCCTACCTTAATTATCAGCTCTCTGTGCCTATTCATCATGATTTAACCACTAGAGGAACCATGATATGTGGGTGGCGGCCATTCCTAAAGGGAGCACCTGAAAACCACGTATCAAAAAGAGGACTGTCTCTGCTTAAAACAAAGGTTCTGTTTTAAGACCTCTGAAGTGGCATCTAAGCAGAGTGGAACATTCTAGACTTGGTTAAACCTCTCCCTGGGACACAGGGCTGAGGGCACATAGGAAGAGATAAAAGCCAACTGAAGCGAAAGCTGCCTGAGCCAGGCGGGGTTGAACACCTGCTGGCCCCCTCACAGACTGCAAACTCTGCCTTGTGTACAAAGCACACACACAGAGCACATGCACACACACACATCCACACATGTGCAAGTGCACACACACAGGCACAAACACATCTTTCTTAGCAGCTAATAATTCTTTCTCCAGATGTCACTTAATCACCTACACCTGATCTCATTATCTTTGCTACAGGCTAAAGATTTATTCCCCCCAACATCCATATGTTAAATGTCTAACCCCCAAGGTGATAGTGTTAGGAGGCAGGGCCTTTGGGAGGTGATTAGGTCATGAGGATGAGCCATTATGAATGGGATTAGTACCCTTATAAAAGAGGCTCCATCCAGATCCCTCATCCATTCTGCCAAGTGAGGACACGGCTAGATGGCACCATGGATGAGGAAAGCGGGACCTCACCAGACACTAAATCTGTTGGCGCTTTGATCTTGAACATCCCAGCCTCCAGAACTGTGAAATGAGCATTCATTGTTTTTAAGCCACCTAGTCTATGGTATTTTTTTATATAGCAGCTCAAACAGATTAAGATCATCTCTCAACAAAACTGAAGTATTTTTTCCCCTCATTGGATCATTTCTCCCAGAAAGGCCTTGCCTGGCAATGTCTGCGCACTGAGTTATTGCAGGTTTACCGGCCAGACACACATGTTGCTCCACAGCAAACACTGTCTCAAGTGGTGCCCACCTTGGCTAAATTTCCCAGCTCCAAGAATACTACACATTAAATAGGTGAATTTACTCATTTTCAAGCGACTACTTAAATGTGATTTATATTTCCTCAAAGAATACCCAAGTTGTTTGTCCTCCACCCTTATCTTCCTCAGCTCTCAGAAGGAGGCTGTGGCCTTAAGAAAGCACAACTTGGGTATGGGCTCTGAGTGGGCTCAGGCTATGCCTGCAAGTCATGTTTGCAGAGGATAATTCTCAAATGCCGTGCTTTCTGTACCTGACCTGTTTATGCCAAAGCACTCAATCATTTGGAAAAAGGATCAAAAGCAATTGTAAACAGTTCCATGCTATGGAACCAGTAGAGACTCCAGGTAGGATCTAGTATCAATAGTTTTCAGAAATATTTTGGAAACAGTCCTCATACATTAAGGTAGCTCCCCAGATCCTGACTTCATGGTCTATTAAGCTGAGATGGTGAGTCTGTGGTATGCATGACATAACTTCTCTACCCGTGCACATGGCAGACATCACTAATTGACTACAGCATACTTTCCTGATGAGCTCTAGAATCTTGCTCACCGCAGACATCTAGGCATCCTCTTCATGTGAGTTGACCCACAAAACAAAACCTACTTGCTATCCCAGCTGTAGACACATGATGTTATCTAAGGGACTGATGACCCAGAGACATTCATAGGGGCCCTTAAAGGGTAATCAAGGAAACCCTTATGTCAGACACCATGGTTTACTCTCACAGTCACCGTTTCGTTCTGAATCCTAGATCTGAGCTCTAGGGATCTGCCTCAAATTCCTGAAATCCAGGGATGTCTTCAGGTGTCAAAACCTGGGCCCTTTCCCCATCATTGGACCATTTTCCCCAAATACGATTGAACCTCTAACTCCCTGTCTGGTTACTTTGATCATGGCTATTCACGAATTCTTCCTTGATCATTTGGTTGCCTCAATATAAATAGTCCTTGGGAAGGGGTAGACAGGCGAAAAGGCACTCCCCATCCAACTGCTTAGAGCAGATTTAATAAAAGAGGAGACTAGACAAGTCAAAGGTTAATGTGTCATGTTTTTATTAGTTCTGTAAAAGAATAAAAAGCGCACAATTTTTATCAACACAGAAAACAAAACCATCGGTACCTTAACCTAATAATATGTAATATAATGTCTACCATCACCAGAAAGCAAAAATAGAAAAAATATCATCCACATCAAGTCTTTGCCTTCTTGGCTTGAGTCTCATTTTCTCCCTCATTAAGAAAGTATGGACTGAGCTAGATGGTGTGGATAGCTTGGTGAATAGGACAGTAAGACAACCATTTCCTAATTAATTATCTCTATCAACTTGCTTGAATAATGGATGCATTCCTCAATCCATGAATGCTCACATGATTCCTTATTCTCTTACCCCTTGAGAGCTGCTGGTCCTTCTGGTCCAACTATATTTGTGTGCTTGACTCCTTGGTCTAGCTGTTTCTGGCATGATATAATTAGGGAAGAGAAGGCTCAGTGGTCTGAATGCAGTCTCTCACCATACGGCCATCCTTCCGTGTCACTGGGGTGACATTGCATCGGGCTATGGAAGATTCATGGCATGGCCACTTTGCAGCACCAAGAGTGAGCTCAGCAAGTCAGATATACAAGGCAAGAACAGGCTAGCATCTGGAACCAGAAAGCGGGGAGGTTGGGGTGATAAGCAGACAAGCTAGAAAGGTTAGACCAGAAGGCTAGGTTCCTGCAGATCAAACCTGGACAGAAAGGGGCAAACAGGTAACCCAGATGCAATAAACAAGACCCCGGGCTGAGACAGGGAAGGTTTAGTAAGACCACACCAGGGCGACATCTTCTGATCTACGACTTATTTTCCTGCAGAGCATTGTTTCACTGGATACTGATGACTGTTTCTGCTATTACAACCCCTAGTTTTAAGCTGAGAACACTAAGCTCCATGGAAACTGAATAACTTGGCTAAGTTCAGAAAGCTGATAAGTGGGGGCTGGAACTTGAACCCGAGGTCTAATTCAGAGCTGCTTCCTGGAGATAGTGTGTTCCTAGGGCCCAGGCATTCTTAGGACCAGCCTGAACTGTGGGCAATGGCTGTGTGTTTTCTGCTCCCTTAATTCCTAACTGTGGCTGGGTCATGGCTCAGGGGAAGCACCAGTCCTCAGGGTGGCACAGACTTCGGAAAATTACAAGAGCAGAGGGCTAGGCCTTCTCAGAAGATCTTTCCAATATTTTTCTCAGAAGCAAGCACATCCGTTTCCTAATTAATTATCTCCATTAGCAAAGCTCAATTACTTTGTGTCCACCTCCAAGAATACAACCTTGCTCCTTGGAGACTTCCTATTTGAATTTCCTAGGGGGCAAATATTGCCAGAAGCATGTTTTATGTAATTACATAGTGTAGATATTTCACTCTCTCTTTACTTAATGATTATTAAATACCGAAATTAACTTTCATACTTGGATATGGATCCCATCAGTTTAAGAGAAAGTAAATGTATACATGTAATGGAGTATTTCTCCCTGCAGAACTTGAGGGACCACATTTGTTGAAATACTGACCAGATGCCAGTGCCTGCCTCCAATAGGTGGCCTCTCCTCTGTTTCTCATCATGCCAGTGTCCAGTGTTTTTCAATGAAAACTTTCTACTCTATTCTGCATTAGAAGAACCAGAAAAGCTTGATAAATGCAGATTCCAAGGCTCACACCTAGACAGATGGAATCAGCATGTTGATGGGTGGGGCCTGGGAATCTGCACTTTTAGCACTTTCCCTAGGGGATTCTGTTTATGCTAATGTCCAGGAACCAATTATAGTTATTTGCCTGATGCGTGAAGGCAGTCTTATCATTGGGAACAAGAGAGGCAAAATGAACACAAGCCAGTGTCTTCTCATACACATTTTAACAATAAAAATTCAATACATGTTATCTATTATTACTCCGTAGTTATTATAAATCCTGAGCCAAGGGCTTGAGAGCCCCACCTGATTTGGAAGGTGAAGGAGAAACCAGGAGGGAAGAGGGGAAATGAAAGGAGAGGTGGCAGCACAGTCAAGTGCACTAAGCCTGGGAACTGCTGCAGGCAACTGGAGCTCAACCGGGCTGGGGCCTCTGGGAGCCAGCAAGACGCACTGAGCTCTGGACCCCACCTGGAGTGCAGGGAAGTTGGTGTTTACACATTGACGCATGTCAGTCCTCACCCGAGTGCTGCTCCTGGGACCTGGTAATTCTCTGGTACTGCTGTGCGTGGACACGGGCTTTGGCAGCCGGAGAGAGCCCTCAGGCAGAGAAACACAGGCAGGCGCTGGCTACTGGAAGCTGAGCTGGCAGAAAGGTGAGGGAATGCAACGGGGGCACCAGGAGCATCCGCTACCACTCCCGCCAGGTTAAGCAAGAAAGTGTCAGATACGTTTTGGTGACTAGCTCAGAAAATGAGTAAGAGGCAAACAAACATTATGAGAGAAAAATTCTTTCTCATTTATGTATTTGCTTATTTAATTGTCAGAAAACAAACATAACATAAAATTGGCCATTAATGACATCTGGAACACTATCAATGCTGTGCAACCATCACCACTATCTAGCTTCACAACGTTTCCACCTCCCCAAATGGAAATCCTGTACCCAGTAGCAGCCACTTCCCATTCCCTCCTCCTCCACGCCCCTGGCAATCACGAATCTACTGTCTGTGTCCATGGAATTGCCTATTCTGGACATTTCATCTAAATGGAACCACACGGTATGGGGTCGTTGCCACCGGCATCAGGTTTTCAAGGTTCATCCCTGTTATTGCATGTAAGAGTACTTCATTCCTTCTTCTGGCTGAATAATATTTTATCACGTGGATGCATTTTCCCTTTAATCTTTCAGACACCAGAGTCTTCCCAAGAATATCTTTTTGCAGATTGCTGATAGTGCTGGGCAAGCCCCTTTGCCATGCCAGAACAGACCTGCTCTCATCTGCATCCTCATTTGTGCTCTGAGACACTGGCCTTTGTAGGCAGTCCTGTCTTCTTTATGGGCTCCCTTCTCTTCTCACTTTCTTCTCTGGCTTTCCACTAGATTTGGCTCATGGGAGCTACTGAGCAAGTGAGTTTAAGGTGTCTTTTTCTCTCCAGCTCCCTCGCTTTATGGCCACCACCCAGGTTAGGCGGTCCTCTCCACCAGCCTTCTATCTCCTGGTTCCATTGGCCCCCTTCTCCTTGCCCTTTCAGGCCTAGAGGTAGTAATAACTTCCTGCTATTGATAGGCCTCAAGTACGGAAAGTTCCTTCGTTAGTTTTCCCCAGATCTTCCAACATTTTTGTAAGTAGTCTATTAAATGTCATTCATATTATTCCAGCTTGTGTGTGCCTTTCTAACATGCATGCAGGGATGGGGAGTAATATAATGATCACTGACAGAGTAACCCATTTATGTCTCACTCAGTCACTGAAGCATATTTTGGAGTATATATATTCATAACTTTGGAGCGCAGAAATAATCTGTCCTATCCACACTTCTGTGTTAGCCCCACTTCCCAGACCAGATCTCAACCACACAGCAATTGCTACAAGAATCACACTTCCTGGGTTCAAATCTTACACCCGCACCTCCTGGCACTGTGATGAGGGCCAAACTACCTAACCTCTACAAGTCTCAGTTTCATGATGTGTAGAATGTGAATGAGGGTGCCTCGACTCTTGATGTCTAACACACGACATGCAGAAAGTACTTAGAACAGAGTCACATGTAGGATGTGCTCAGTAAATGCCAGTTATGGCAGTAACTCTCATTAGACCAGGCCCCACATTCCCCTCTCTTGGTCTTTATCAGCTGCTCATGGCACTGTCCAGGAGTCCTTCCTGCAGGCCCAGATTCTTCCCAGATGCTGAGCCAACAATGACCTACGCTGGAAGACTGGCACCAACTCTCTCTTCCCCAGTGGAGGGATGAGAGTGGATAGGGACAAGCAAATTCCCCATAGATCCTGGAACCTCCATTCCAAAGAAGACCCGTGTGTTATGGTGGTGGTCTTCCTTGTCCTTCTTCACCACCGTCAAGAAGATCACGATATACTGAAGGTTTCCTGTGGGCTCATACTCGTGATGTTTAATGATCCTGACAATCTTATGAGATAGGGTTCCTTCTTTAAAAACTTGTTCCACATCTGTTTCAAATGTTTTAAAATCAGATCCAAACCCATTTTTGAAATCTGTTCAAACATAGTATTATTATGTTCAGTTACACAGGTAACAGATGAACACATTCTCATTGTAAATGATCCAAAATCTAAACAGTATGAGGTTGGTATTAACGTCCCTATTTATCTGACGACGAATACATAACCAAGGCTGATTAAACAATGTTCTCAGGTTCCACTGGGAAGCAACAGAGACAGATTCCAAAACCAGGGGAGTCTGATGCAGGAGCGTGAGTGAGTTCATATGTACTAGATTATGCTGACCTTGTCCAGAGGACTATCTTCTGCCTCGGTTTCCACCATTTGGCATCTTACCAGGCGTTATTTTTCTACCTGCTCTGCTAATGTTTAAGCCTTCCATGCTCACAAGCCATTTTAGTAGGAGGTAAATCTTTGCAAACCTTTGAAAGTCCATAGGTAAACTAGATTATGTTGGACAGTTCTTGCTCCCTGCTACCCTGCTCCCCAGCCATGGATATAACAACCAGGTTCCCAGGTATGTGATCAGACAGCTTCCCAGGTACGTGATCAACAACAGCTTCCCAGGTATATGATCAGACAGCACCTGGCCTCAGCTATACCCCGTATTTCTGCATTCTTCCTTGGAGCTTCTCAGACTCCTTACAATGGAATACCCAAGAGAACCTGCAGGATGACACATGCTTGCAAAGTTTGGGAATGCAAAGGAGCTGGCGTTCCTCGGGCAAGCTTTGACCCATGGATAATGGGAACCGTGTCCTAGAGACAGACATTTCTGAGGCACTTTCTATAGCTGTCTTGGGAGGAGTGTGCCTCAGCTGCCCACAGCGGTGATCAACTGGAGTCTGCTCCCTTGAGTGTGCTGTCTTTCTTACCTGTTGAATTGGCCCTATCCTTCTGTCCTATCTCCTGGAACCACACAGTCCCAATTATTGGCCTTTTCTTTCTAGGCTGAGGGCAGGCTATGTCAGGGATGATGAAAGAGTTGTTTTCTTTTATAAATATTTTGCTGTGAGTACTGGGCTCTAAGAGATAGACTGCCTAAGAGAGAAACTTCCCACACTTTTTCAGGAACAAAGTGGCCCAGATCTTTAAGAAGATAACTGTACCCATTACTGTCTCCTTAAACTGTGTACTCTTCAAGGGCCAGCCATGCCACCTGTTTTGCACAGAAGTAGGTATATACCCTTAGCTTCAAGGAAAGATCCAAATATTTCTTAGTAAATCAGCAGCAGAGATTCACCCTCCTTACCAGTCACTCAAGCTTCTGACAAGCTTCCTCATCCGGAGAAGGCTTTGTTTCATTCAAGAAAACTTTTGAGTACTTAGGACCAGCTAGGATTATACAAGTCTCCAGAGATAAGAAGGTAAACATAACCTATTCCTTGCCCTTAAGAAGTGAACATTCTAGACTGAAAACAGATAAGCAAACAGAAAATTCTTATACCCTGCAAAAAGTACTTCTACTAGGGAAATCATGTAGTAAAAATTGAGCTTTCAGAGCTAAAAAAAAAAAAAAAGTTTTTTCTGTATGCCATGCATTTGCATTTTAAACCAACGTTAAGAAAAGCAATATTTATATTTATTCTAGTTTATTTCTGATCCTAGACCTATGAACTATACCGAGATGAAAATATAAATCATCCTCCCATCCATCCATCCAATACACAGCATGTTTGGCCACAACATTCTTACAGGAAAAGAAAGTTTCCCGTACTAGATACCTTCCATGGGGACTTGGGAGGCCAGTGTAGAGGGTGAAGATGACAGAAGATGCATATTTTTTATGCAAGCCTTCTGTGCAATGCTTCTTACTATTCTGACCACGATTCATTAAAATTATGCTAGATTTGCAACTATAGATTTTCTGGATCATATCTTCAGACGCTTTTCCAACAGGGATCAAGCAGACATCAATCATTTAGAGATGGCAAATATGTGAGAGCAAGGTCAGAAGCCAAATTCACTTGGATTAGTTTGATTAGAAACTTAAAGACAGGCTTAACCAGGACCCACTGAAACCATCAAGGCAGTCAAAAAAGAGGAGAAAAATTGGAGGGGGAAATGTAGATTGTAGAACTGAAAACATTTGTGTTAGTATAGTGAGATGAGAGGAACCTTTAAAAAATATCTGTCAGTGCTATTGTACACCTTATAGTGTATTGTGTTTTGTGAGTCTGGAGACCCGGGTCAGAGTCCTGCCTCTGATACTTCTAAACCCTTAAGTTAGAATGAGCTCTGATTTCCTCACTGTTGAAAGAACCTAATCCTATCTGCCTTATCTACACAGCAGTAATTTAGTCGTTATTTATTAATTACTTCAAAGGTGTTCAGCATTGTGCTCAGCAGTGGGGATTTCATAATGAGTTAAAAACCAAAAAAAAAAAAAAAAAGGCAGAAGAGTCCTTTCCTTTGTATAGCTTTGAATCTCAGTAGGGAAAATACAATAATCACATATTCCCCATAAATAAATGGGAATTGTAAACACCTGGGCTAGGAAGAAGAGGTATAAAACAGAAGAGGGAATAAGAGGGGTATCAGATCTAGACTGAGGGGTGATGTTTCCCAAAGAAGTGGCAATAGACCTGAAATACAAAGGATGAATGAGTCTGCATTACCTTTCTCCGTACAGAGAGCAATATGCATAAAAACTGTGTAGGCCAGGCGCAGTGGCTCACTCCTATAATTCCACCACTTTGGGAGGCCAAGGAGGGTGGATCATGAGGTCAAGAGATCAAGATCATCCTGGCCAACATGGCGAAACCCCGTCTCTACTAAAAATACAAAAATTAGCTGGCTGTGGTGGCAGGTGCCTGTAGTCCCAGCTACTTGAGAGGCTGAGGCAGGAGAATCGCTTGAACCTGGGAGGCGGAGGTTGCAGCGAGCTGAGCTTGCGCCACTGCACTCTAGCCTGGTGACAGAGTGAGACTCCGTTGAAAAAAACAAAACAAAACAAAACAAAACAAAAAACAAAGAAACCCAAAACAAAACTGTGTAAATACCTTTGTGCATGATAGTCTCAGCAACTTAACAAGGACTGGGGTGGCTGGAGTTGAAAGTGTAGAGTGGCATGAAAGGAGAATGGAGGGGCTGGTCTCAGAAAGTGCATCTCATGCAAGGTCTTATAGCTCATGTCCGAGGTTTTGTTTTATATTTCATAAAAAAAACCAACGGCAGGCCACTGAAGGATTTTGATCAAATGAATGACATCGTCATATGCATCATACTGAAGCTTTCAAAGAATCATTCTGGTTGGGGAGAAGAGAAAGATTGGAAGAAGGTAAGAGTGATTGTGGTATGACCATCTGGGGGGCCAGATTGATATTCAAGGCAAAAAAAAAAAAAAAAAAAAAGAAATGATGGTAGCTCAGATTAGGATACTGGCAATGGAGAGGGAGAGAACTGGATGGATTCTTGCTGAGATATTTAGCAGACAAAATCAACAGAATTTTAATTGACTGTGAGAAAGGGGAAAAACTGGATGGAGAATGGTGCCACAGAATGAGGTAGGGAACACTAGAAAGCCTTGAGTTTAGGAGGGAAGATCACACACTAAATTGGAAAACGTGGAATCCAAGGTGCCTTTGAGACATGTAAGAAGAATGTCAAGTAGGCAGTGGGTATACAGCTCTGGAGCACCAAGATGACTAAACCGAAAGACCAAATATATGAATTATTGGTGGTCAGGTAGATAAAGTTGAATCCATGGACATGGATGAGATCATTGTGAAAATAAAATAGATTTTCAGATACAAAGCACCTAGAATGTTGCCAGGCACAGACTGGGGGCTTAATCAATCTTTTCTCCCTCCTTTCTTCCCTGTCCTTTGAACAATAAAACAGGGAATTGAGTTTGAGCATACCCTCCAGGGAAGCAGGTTCACAGGGAGGCAGAAAAGAGGCAGTTTGCTGCTTACAGCTGCTCTGGTCTCCCAAGGATATGGTCTAGGTTCAGAACTGCTTAGCGCGGAAAGAGCAATACCCATTTCTTTTGGCTTCTGAACTCAAGTGCCCTCCCTCAAGTCTACTTTTTAAACAAGGTGTTTGTGTTAAAGGCAGAGGTCACAAAGGCTGGACTGGATATATAGAAAAATTCCACCTTCAGCTTGATCTCAGTAGGAAAGGCAGGAAGGGAACCCAGAAGGTTCTTTTGCTTTGCTTGCCAAAAGCAGGAACGTGAGTCCAGCAGGTTTGGTGGCCTCCGCACCAAAAAATATTTTTGCATACATTTTCTGAAGTACTTAGAAAAGCATCTTTAACCAAAGGAATTGTAATGAGGCAAACGTGACTTCATGCAGCTTTGAAACTGTGCTGGGCCAAGGAGTCAAATTCTTTTCCTACCAGAGGAGAATACCTTAATTCCTTGGTAATGGCAAGCTTACTGGGTCCTGGAAAAGCTGTGTTTTTACTGTGTGTGACATCTCCAATTTCCTCCTTCCATCAGTTTGACATTCCATTTATAGACTTAAGCATTTTCTTCAGTCCCCATTGGTATGTTTCAAGTATACAGCCATATAATATAGAGAAATAATAGATGGGCTAGATAAATTTATGAAAAATAATCTCAGGTTCTATTTCACATTTAAACCAAGAAAGCGATGCCACAATGCCTAATGTCAGAGAAATCTTAGGATGAAATTATCTCCCTCTAATTCACTGTAGTGTGTCTTTTACACATTTTTTTCAATACGGCACCCTTATCCAATACGATTTTTAAGTTGCAAAATTATTAAGACAGCTAAAATGATATCCATTCCCTAACTATGCCAAAAATGTTTGTATCCTTCCTTCCTATTAATATTAGAATAGAAATAAAGGTATCCAGGGGTATTCTAAATGCCATGCTTCAAAGCTTTGAGAGACTCTTTCTTCTGACACCTGATTGACAGATTATAGCTTTTTGATATCCATCAAATTAATAGATTATGACTTTTTGAATCCAGAGACAATGCAATTATTGCCACATTCTATCTATAAAGAGATAACTTATTCTTTGTCATCCATTTGTGTCTCAGAAGGCAGCCCCCGTCCCGCCAACACATACCATAATTATAAATAATTTAGTTCCTCCTGTCTTTCTTTCTTTCTTTCCAGTGTGCCCCCACCTCAAACATCCACAAAGTAATTGACTTGGAAAAAATGTTAGCACAGGAGATGGCTGACACATCTCATATTTCTCAATAATGTTTTGCATATTTAAATATCCACCATCTATGAAATCCCCAGGGAGATCTCTCTTCTGGTTTCACGTACCTGATCCAAGGACTTCTCAGGTGATGAATTAAGAATACAAGGATGAAGACATTTTCAACTCAGGCACTTGCCCCTGCTGTGGTTAACTGAGGATTTCAGTTTGATATCATGGAGACAGAATGAAAAGAAATTTTCCCTGTCTGGAGGATTGCTAACACTTCTCATGCCCCTTCATTTGCTTTAATCTCACATTCATTTCAAATACCTCAAATCAAAGATGAAAACTAAGTGGTCCAATTACAATATTATTTGTAGGTACAATCTCTAGTCTGACCTGAAGAAAGGGATCTTCATAAACACTATTTAGAAAGGGGTGAAACTGAAGTCATCAATCCTCCCAGTCCAGATGGTGACTTCCATAGGCCAATGCAGGAAGGGCACCAGGCTGCCTTAAGGGGTGAAGATTTATTGAAATGAGGTGTGATTTTCTGCTAATTCCTCTCTCATTACAAGTGTCTGCCATCCATATCAAGAATTTCAAGACTGCACCTTCAAATGTACGTTCTTAAATGGGAAGAAAAACACAAACAACAGGACCAACATAATCAGCTCTGTTCCCCTTCTTCGAGCCCTAGAGTACATCCTTTGAAAGTCTGGAGGAGAAAGAACACTTTTGTTCCATAGGCTTAATTAACAAACTAAACCAACTCACATACTAAAGATGCAGAAAGCACACATTGCCGGACCTGGATAGAATTTTAGTTTTCTCAGTTTTTGAGGACCTGGAGTTGCTGCCCATACAGTTGCCTCTGTTGCTAACACTTCCACATGGATGAGCTTGTATGCATATGTCAAGAACCCATGCCTGTAAAGTTGTGGAGCAATCATTCTCTGCCCACTCTAATGTGAACACTCTGCCTCCTGCCCTCAACATATACAGGTTTAACTAAACTATACTCGATTTCTCAACATAGGTTTAAATATGATTTCTTTAGGGAGGCTCTCGCCATCTCAGAAATGAAAACCTTTTTGTTGTGCTGTTGCATTCTCCCTTTCATGACTTTCATGGCTCGTAGAATTATTTATCTCATGCTCATCTAATACCTGTGAGGTTTTAAGCTCCACCAGGGCTGGGGTTGTGTCCATCTTGTTCATCACTAAAAAGCAAAGTGCCACAGTCAGTGCTCAATAAACGTTTGTTGTGCAAAAAATTTTAATTCCCAAGGCTTTCTCCTTGGGGATACTTTTATTTCCTGCTAGTGAGTTTCTAGAGAGAACTAGTAATGGCATTAGTGTTCTCAGTTCCTTGACTGAGTGTGAACCTCAGTAAGTGTTTATTGAATGAATGAATGAATGGTTGAATGAATGACAGAGGAAAGAGACACACGGCTGAGAAGAGAAACAAAAGGAAGGGGAAATTAATCAAACACCTGCATCTACCAAATTCCTACCCGGGGCTTCGTCGAACACTGATGGGGGCACAAGAAATAAAACATGTTTCCTGGGGCTGGGCACAGTGACTGATGCCTATAATCCCAGCATTCTGTAAGGCCAAGGTGGAAAGATTGCTTGAGCCCAGGAGTTCGAGACCAGCCTGGGCAACACAGGAAGACCCCATCATCTCTACAAAAAAAAAAAAAAAAAAAAGAAAACTTTATAAAAATTAGCCATACATGGTGGCACGCAATCCTGCGGTCCCAGCTGCTCAGGAGGCTGAGGCAGAAGGAAGATTTGAGCCCAGGAGGTAGAAGTGGCAGTGAGTCATGATCATGTCACTGCACTCCAGCCTGGGCAACACAGTGAGGCTCTGTCTCCAAATATATATATTTTGTGTGTGTGTGTGTATGTGTGTGTGTGTGTGTGTGTGTGTGTGTGTGTACACATATATATTTCCTTTCTTAAAGGAAACATGAGATCCCCACCTCCAAGAAAGTCACAAGGAATTCTATGGAGAACAGTGAATCAGTGAGGAGAATGGAATTAAGATTTACAAGGCAGATGGAGGAGGAAATAATAGGAGTTGGTGACTGATCACCTAGATAGAGGTGTGGGGAAGCAGTAGGGGATGATATGGTGCGAAAGGATCAGAGAAGAGTGGAGGGAAGAGCCAAGAATGATACTGGACGTTTCGAATCCGGGTGATTTCAAGAATATTAATATCAATGATAGAAATACAGTGATTAGGGAGGGACTAAAGCTGCCAGTAGAGGGGTCATCACGGCCTAGATAGATGTACCGAGTTTAAGGTGGTGGTGCATACATGGGAGTTTAGGAATAAAATCAAAATAGAGAATTAGACTTCTAAGTCGGATGCTCAGTAATTCTAGCTATCTATCAAGGAGTAATAATGAGGAAGACACACTGCTCAATGGTGTGCATACATTATATCAGTTGACTCTTATAATAACCCCATGAGATAGTTATTGTTATTATTTCTATTTTATTCCTGTTTTACAGATTAAAACACTGAGCCTTAAGAGGTATACCTTGCTCAAACTCACAGTTGGGAAGTTACTGAGTTAGAATTTGAAATCCAATCGGCCCAGCTTCAAAGACTGCGTTGTTAACTTCCATATTGAAAAGCAAGAGAGAGAGTGTAGAAGAGAAGCTAATGCCCCTAGGGGCATTCTGGAAATGATGCCATTCTTTCCAAAGCAGGTGATAGTCTCAGGGCAAGAGGGGGAGGGCAGAATTCATAAACAAAGACCTCCTTCTGTAGTGAGACACAGAGAAATGATGCTGGCCAGCAGGGGGCACTTCTCAGGTGCGCAACTTTCTCTTTTCTTTATTCTTGGACATATCTGCCCCATGGTGTTTCTCTTCTTTTATAATCCAAAGGGTCATGAATAGAAAAGAAGCCCAAAGAACACCCAGAAAGTAAAACACTCTAGTCTTTAGAATACCAAATCTGGATCTGATAAATTGAGTTCTAGAACAGCTTGGGCACGAAGTTAAAATTTCAGTTGGATTCACGAAGATCAGCATTTTCATCACTATCTGGGCAAAAGACTGGGGTGGCCTATGCTCTTTCAGTGACCACAAAGGATTAGTGAGAAAAACAAACCTATGTATCTGAAGACTAGGTTAGTAAATTTGTTTTAAAAATTGATCTGCTTTGATATTGAAGGTATAGGTGTAATCGTTTTCTTAAACAACTGATTTTGAAATATTTGGTTAAAAATTTGAAAAGACATGTGTATAAATGTGATTTTGCTTAAGGAATTACTCCCTTGAACATCAGGAAAAGAACAAGTCTTGTTGATTGGCTTACATGACCAAGGTACTGCACTGCCACCTCGTAACAGTGTACATACTATAATATAGCAGGAAAATCAGTGTCTTACATCCCAAACAAAGGAAGACCACACCAAAAAATAAAAAACCCTTCTGGGTTCCCTTTTGTTGCCTTCTTCATTTGTGACTTACACAGTTGTGTTCTTTTTTCATTTACTTTATTTACAAGCAATTTATTTTAGTACTTAAAGAATGTTAGCTGTAGCACTGCACAGACTTGTATTCAATTTTCAAAGTAGTCAGTCTCTGGCTTGATGACTTTCCCCTCGCCATCTAATACCCACGAAAGGCTGGCATGAGGATTTACCAAGATCATATATGAAAAGTGCTTGACATAGTGTATGACACATAGTTAAACAATACATGATAATCATCATTGTGTTATTGATATTGTTACTATTACCCATGATAGGAAATACAGAGAAGCCTCGGTGATACTGCACCTCCAGGAGGAGGAACAGTGACAGCCATGGGAAAAATGTTTTGTTTATATCTCAGGTACTAAACAGCTGTTACTACATATTAGGGCCAGATGTTCTGAAATGATATGCAACATTATGCTCAATTCCAACTTTTACTGAATTGCTCGTTGATGACAAATGACTACTAGAAGAGACGATTTATTAAAGGGAAATCCATGGATGTGTCTATAAGTTTCATACCCGACTACCCCAAATTACGTGCCAGTCTATATACTCTGAACATTGCAAATGCCTAGCTCATTCCGAGAATCTGTTGGAAGCTCATCCCCTAATTATAGCCCCATCTGTCCTTCTACCCAATAGTCCTCAGTACGTGTGCCCCGCTGCCTTCAGGTAAAGCAAACCTGGGTAGTGCATGGTCACCCTACCCATAAACCCACACTTCCTTCTACATGTGAGCTTTTATTAATTCCAGAATTGCTGTAGCTTTTGATTTGGTTTCAAGTGATATTTTTTTCTCATTTCACACCCATAGGTGCGTGAAGGAGAAATCAGTGGGGAAGGTGGAGAGAAGGAAGAGGAAAGAAATCGCTCTAAATTGTTCCCTCTTAAGAGCAGCCATTGTTCTAAGTCGCCTACCAAACCTTTGGGTTATTTCCTGATCCCTCTAGATGATGTTCAAATGTTCCGACTAGGGATTTGCAATTCAGCATGACATCAAATATTTCGGATGCAGCTGGAAAATTTCTGCTCTACTTTATTAAAACTTCCCAGTAAATTCTCAGGCACTGGAGTGGGCAGTCCAACCTGAAGCCCCATATGCTCGGTGACTCAAGAAACCCCGGCAGAATCTCAAACTCTGAGACAAGCAGCAATTATCCAACAGGGGCTGCTTTCCAGTCCGTATCTGCTCCTTGAGGCAGGTCAGGAATAAAAACTGCATAATGGTTTCTCTTTATCTTTTAAAGGGAAAATGTACAGGCTGCAAGAAATTCTCTGTACTGGGAAAACAGACTACATCTCTGCCAATGGGGCCAGGAGAAATATTTAGCACATAAGCTGCCTTATAGAGATCCATTTGTCAACTCCCTAAAGTGAGATCAGGACATTTGTCTTCACAAGCCTACCAACCCGGCTGGGGTATATCTCACTGGAGAGGGTGATAACTGGGGAGCAAATGGTTCCGTCCAATTATATATGCTTAATTGATCTACATTCTAGAGGGCACAGTTGTATGGAAAAGGTTTGCCAACTAATCACAAGAGAAGAAACAGCATCTTAATTGGGATGGCTTTACATTGGGCCATACTACAATTAGTCACAATGTCTAATAAGTTATCTATAATGCTTTTAATGAGAAACATTTAAGTCCTTCTGGATTTTTTCCAGTCAAATTAATTCCAAGGACTGGAGACAGTATTACAAGTAATGTTATCAGAATTACAATTAAGTCCGTACTAGAATGTGTCACTTAAAATAAAAGGCTCAATGGGTAAGTCCTAAAAGACCCACTATTTTCTCTGTAGACTTTATCAATGTGGCAGTAGATAAGATATATTGTACCTGCGTCCATTTTCTATAAGCTTGATAGGGTAATATAATCTCCTGGGCGTTAAATGCCAGGGCAGAGCCATATACTAGGCATCTAAAGGGCTTGTCCTTGGATCTGGAACTTCATCGTATCTAACATGCTGACCCAATGTTCAATGATGCCCCAAAGGCTACCAGAGAGGAATGGTGTCCTCAAGAGGTTTCCGATGGTCTGTAGTGGGTTTCATGCCATGCACTTGGGCAGCATTGCTCATACCTGAGCCTCAGGAAGTCCTAAATGCTAGTTTGTGGCTTCTCTGGTTCAAGGCTCATCCGTGGCTTGTGGATCCCGCTAATTTACTCCCTCGGATGTGGATGGCAATGAGAGCAATATGAAAATCAGCAGGACTGCACTGTGCCAGGTACACCGGGGCAGCCCCCTAGAATAACAGCCAGCCCTGTTGTCATCTTCACTTTACACAGGGGTAAACTCACATGCACAGAAATTCTGGAACTTGCTGAAGTCCAGGAAGGTACAGGTCTGGCTCCAAAGCCAGGGGCTCACAGCCCCTCTCTGACATCGTCACTCCTTGCTTTTCCCTGTTCTGTCCCAGGTACTCAGCTGGGCTGTGACACAACTTAGAGCATTCCAGGAGGCCCAAGTTACTGAACACTCCTACGACAGTCATTCCCAAACTTTAGTGTACATCAGAATCACTCAGAACTCTTGCCAAAACACAGACTCCCAGACCTTACCCCAAGGAATGCTGAATCTGTAGATAAAAGACAGGGCCTCAAACTCTTATCATTGTTCACACCATCTCAGGTGATGCTAAAGTACATAGCACAGATCCCTTCTTAAGGAAGAAACAACAACAACAAAAAAACATTGCCCTAATGGTTTTCCCTGAGCTGTAGCTTTGGGGTAATATTATAACTGTCCCCCCTTTACCAGTTCAGGCTCTGAATGCCTCCCTATCTACTTATTTTACCCCTCATGGAATGAAGTCGAGTCCTCTAGAACCAATAACAGCTTAGGCAATATGTCCTAGGCACCCTTTAATTATCAGCGGGCCTGATGCCATCCCTGGGGTTGGCAGTTCTTGCCAACTCTGCCTTCCCAGCCTAGAAGGCATTGCTCACCTTGTGATCAGGGCTCATAGGACACGGGGAACAACCAAAGTCTTAGGTGCCAGGGTTTGGTGGTGTAGTTGAACTGGAAAGCTACAAGCCCATGGTCTGTATGCTGCCTCCTGCAAGTCTTTGTAAACTCACTGGTACCCCAGGCAGGTCTCCCTGGCAGGGTATAGCCATCCTACATCATCTACTTGGTATTCATGACATCAGGCACACAGATAATCTCTAAAGATTCAGAGCGCAGTCCTGGTAATGGTGTCGCGATAGATGCGTAACATTCAAGTAGAGACGAGAACCTGTGTTAATATTAGGTCAGCGTGACAAATACAGGTGTTTCTAAAAAACTGTATTAGGCTTTAACTTATCTCATTTTGAGACAGCTTTGAAACTGGAGCATGAGAAGATTGAAAAGGCTCCCTAACAGCACAGCCATGAATGCCTGACATAGCAAGACAGAGGTACAGAAAAGCTCAGGACATAGAAAGCAAGCGTGAGCTGTGGCGGCTCAGAAGGGGAGAGGCGGGGGGCGGCTCCATAGTGACTGCGCTTTCAAGACTGCACCAAACATCATGGGTGCACTGCTTCGCCTTCCTCACTCACGTCACATCTCAGCTCTGCCTGGGCTCTGTCCAACTTCAGATAGGGGCAACGTGACATCAGACAACTCCTCTCTGAACTGAGAGCCTCTCCGCCCTTGCCAAGGGCTTCCTTCTTAACTCGGTAGAGGAGCCCCATCATACATGCACAATCCTACGGTGCAAGGAAAGGAACGCCCCTTGAGCCAACATATGGCCAATAGCAGATGGGAATGAGTGGAGGAATTATTTCATCTCCCCACACCACATCCTGGTGAGGCAGGCTTCTCAGGGACAAAGCTCTACAAACCTCTCAATCAGTTGCACTTGGGGATGGCCAGCTCAGTACGCGCCTTCGCAAGCCTCCCCTCCTTACCTGCCTCAATCCCCTCTTCCTTCACTCTCACTCTCTGGAATTGTCTCCCTAATACGATAGAAATGTATAAGCTCTCTGCTTTATGGGATACCCAGCTAAGTCAGTGACTCAAGGCCAACCTCTTAAATTTCAATACCCTACTGCTGCATTCCTGCTCCAGCTGCTAGGAGGTGAGGCGATGTGAATAAGCTGGCATCAGATAACTTCTGAAGACACAAGTCAAAGTATTCCCCCTCTAGAAGGAACAGCTGATTCCTTTGTCAGTTTGGAGAGAAACATCAGAAGGCTCCGAGTTGGCTTGCAAGCAGTAGGGCAAAGCGTGTTTAAGAACAGGAACTGGACCCATTCCTGAACTCATCTCAGGGGCAGAAACTACACACTGCATTTTACATCATTTCTCTGTTGTAATTGTCACCCATCTTGACAAGGTGGTTCTGATTCTTCAAGATGTGGCATAGCATCGTTTGGATGGTGGGAAGGCAGGCTGGCTCTGGGATTAAATGTTCTACTTTTAAATTCTGGATTCACCAGCTTCCATCTGTGTGACCTTGAGCACACCATTTAACATTTCTAAAAATGGGTGTATCAACAGGACTACCTTTACATTGTGATATGCACCACAAATAAGAAAGATGTTCTTCGTGCCTCAGTTACCATGGTTGTTGTATGGTTAACCTACGACTAGGTTATAGTAAATGGCCAAAAAAATAGTAGTAGTTGTTGTTATGTCAGACATCCCAGATTCCAATGCAAGTGAGTCTGGCTTCAAAGTGTGTGCTTTCCCCTTATAGCCCACTGCCTATTCCACACAAAGTGAGAGGTTAGCTCAAGGTACCCACCAAGTATTCAAGTATGGGTCTCCATGTGGAAGGAACAAGCACAGTGTATGGTCATCCATTGATTGGAGAGGGAGGGCTGATGGTGGCCTCATTGTCCATGATTCAGGTACCTTGCCTTTGAAAGTAGGATCAACTGCCTTACCAAAGCAGTGCTGTTACTTAAAATACACAAGATACTGCCTGTGGCATAATTGGTACAACAAACACTAAGCCTTCCATTCCCCTGTGTTTCTGGTTGATTGCAGGAGCTTGGAAAGATGAATAAACACCTAAGGATAAACACATCCCAACTTCCCTGAACAGGTTCCCCAGCAGCTATATTTTTTGGCAAAAAAACAGACGTGAGATCGTTATAGGCAGAGAGGGATGCCATTAACTTAAGAATCACAGTCCACACCCTCTCATAAAGGTTCTGGGAGGATTTTACACGATTTATACACAGATATTCCCTGACTTAGAATGACTAGACAACAGTTTTTCAACTTTACAATGGTACAAAAGAAATACTTACTCCATTGAAACCATTTTTCAGATTTTGAATTTTGATCTTTTCCTGGTCCAGAAATATGTGGTACAATACTCTTATATGAGACAGTCAACACTTCATTATAAAATGGGCTTTGTATTCAATGATTTTGCCCTCCTGTAGGCTAACGCAAGTGCTCTAAGCACATATAAAGTAGGTTAGGCTAAACTATTGCTGTTCAGTAGGTCCAATTTACAGGGTGTCAGTTCAGAGAGGAGCTGGCTACTGTCACATTGTCCCTGTCTGGAGTTGGGCAGAGTCCAAGCAGAGTTGAGGCATGACATAGTTGAGGAAGGTGAAGCAGAGTACCTGTGATGTTTGAGGTAGGCATGCAGCCGCCTTTTTGATGTAGGATGGTTTATCAGGATAAAATCTCATCATAAATCAAGGAGTGTCTGCATACAATTGATTCTCTTATTTATGGTACTTATGTTCTATGAAGTCACCATGAATACTTAACATATATTGAACCATTGCTCCTAGTAGAAATGCAGGGTTAGGTTCCTGTGAGCCTCTGGTCACAGTTCAGTCAACTAGTCAATATATAACCTTGTTTTACGTGCGCCTCGGTTTAAAGATGCCTTACTTAAAATTTATCACAGCCAGCAGCACTGTAACTCATGCTGGAACAAAGCTTATCTAACACATGCATTTTCTCAGTCAGACACATCACAGCCTTCTTGCACTTAGAGACACTAGAGAGCACTCTGCAGTCCACTTGGGGCCATTTTGACAGCAAAATTGCCAAGAAATAGCATAAAATTGTGGCAAATGTGGCATTAAATGGTTCATGAAAAGGATATTTGTTTGTAGTATGAAAGCTAAAACAAGAAGGCAGTCTCACCTAGTTTGAATGCACCTGGAAGCATATACATCATATGATTCAAATTTGTCACAGCTCTGTATATGTCTGCAAGTGACCACAACACTACCATGACCACTGATTTGGGAGCTACAGATACATTTTACTGAGTAGGCAAATTCACAAAGACAGAATTCATGAATAATGAGAATCAATTACACACACACATATATATGCATATATACATGTATTCATACATACCCACAAATATGTAAGAATATATATGTACAAAATGCTTTTAACCAATATCTGTATCAAATATATTCAAAAATACAAGTTACGTTGATGTTGTTGTTACTGTTTCATATCAAAAACTGCCACTGGGTAGAAGAAAACCCTCAGTTTTACATACCAAACCAGTAAAGTGAAATTGTTAGTTAATAAGCAAGTATTAACAAGATTTTCTTCTCTTTGAAAATAAAACAGAAAACAAATCACATCTAGAGAATAAGGCTGTTTTAAGGAAACACACAGGAAAAACTTGGGTCCTTTCTCCCAGTCATCAAATGTAAAGGCTCCCAGCCTTCTCCCTCAGAAAGTCATGCTTCAAAGGCACACTGGTGTCTTATTTTACCCACCTACTGCATTGACAGGACTCTGACTGTGCTGGGCTCACTGGCTGGCAGCTTTTCCAAGCAACTGAGCCCCCACTGCTGTGTTCAGAGCTGTAGCCAAGCTGCACCCAACCCTCGCTCTCTCAGGCACCAGGCACTGCCATGAATTTACTAATCAGCTAGTGCAAATCACTGTCAGGAGCCTGGAGAGACAAGAGTGAAGCAGGATGCTTTTGTCTTCCAACAACCCTCCTACTCCATCCATCTGAGGAGGAGAGACACAGCCATGTGAAGAACAGGCAATGGCACGTTGCTTTGCAGCACAATTTAGTGAAAAGTAAGATTAATTTCAACAAAAGCTAACATTTATTTAGCGCTTACTATGTGCTGAGCACTGCCTCAACCCTTCACTGTCCTTGTCTCACTGACTTCGAAAAACCACCCTATGAGGTAGGGACGAGTAAGTAATATTTCCGCAGAATAAGACTGAATTTCAAAGTCACTGCCTCGTGGTCCACAGCTACAAAGGCAGAAGTGGAGCCAAAAGAGTCCTGAGAGCCCACATGGCTCACACCTCAGAGTGGAATGCCTGTCATGCTGCAGAATGCGCCATGGTAGGAGGAGGGAGGGTAGAGAAGACTTTCTGAAGAGCAAGAAGAAAGCCCACGCTATATTCACATAGTATGTAAGCTAGCAGAGAGGTAAATCTCCTAGAAGAGGATCACAAAGGGGACCAGAGATCACCCCCAACCCCACCTTGGTTCTTATGTGGGCTCTTTGGCTGGACCTAGAAACCAAATGGACACGAATCAGACAACCAGATCAACAGGAAAAAAGCATACGGATCTTAATAGTTTTCCAGGTACAAGGGATCTTCACAAGAGAGTGATGTCTGAAGAAGCGGCCAAAGCAAGATGCTTTTGAACTTTTTAGACAAAGAATGATAAATCTGACAAAGACAGGACAAATGGGATCTGGCTAGGGTCAGTGAATTTCTAGGGGAGTCACTAGGAGACATACAGGGGACTGTGTAAAATGAGTGGCGGTGGCTGGGCATGGTGGCTCATGCCTGTAATCCCAGCATTTTGGGAGGCCGAGGCGTGTGGATTATCTGAGGTCGGGAGTTCAAGACCAGCCTGAACAACATGGAGAAACCCATCTATACTAAAAATACAAAATTAGCCGGGCCTGGTGCTGCATGCCTGTAATCCCAGCTACTCCAGAGGCTGAGGCAAGAGAATCGCTTGAACCTAGGAGGCAGAGGTTGCGGTGAGCCGAGATCGCGCCATTGCACTCCAGCCAGGGCAACAACAGCGAAACTCCCTCTCAAAACAAACAAACAAACAAACAAAAAACCTAGTGGAGGCTAAGGGCCACTTCAGTAAGGGTATTTATTCAAGCCCACTGCAGCCTGCAATCCGCAGTCTCTGGCGATAAGGGCTATTTTCTTGCCCTGGCAGGGGGAGGATGCCCCTCCCAGAGAGGAATCTTTCTGGCCTGCTACATGTAGGAAGAGACAAGTCAGCTAGCCCTTTCTGAAACTGCAATTTATCCAATGTTTTTAACTCGAAATCATCAATGTACCGATTTGTCATATGGGAGAAGGCATGTCCTTTGCTGTTTCAGTGGGTAAGGGTACCAGACACACAGGCATGCCCACGCAAGCACACACCTCTACCACCTCACACTGGCCTGGAGGACATCTTCTCATTGATCTTCTAAATGGCAGAGAAGCCCTCCCAGAGGGACACATACTGGTGGTTGTTTAAGCCTCTCAGGCGCTATTTGACATTTAAGCCCAGTGATCTGCCCCCTTCTATAGCAGAAGCTGTTATCGACTCAAAGATTAGTAGTGAGAGGTCCTATGAATAATTATAAAGCGCATTTGTTGTCCTACAACAACATTCAGGACATTCAGGAAAAGCAGGGTATGCCTGGGCAAGACCTGATAGTGGTGGGGATGGATTTACTCCAAACCAGCTCCCTTCTTCTCCCAACAAGCCATCTGGTCAATCTCACTCAGGTAGCACCATTAACCAGTCTCTAAAGAGGCAAAGAGAAAACCCTCTGTTCATGTTTCTCAATCATTTTCATCAGTTTTCATCACATAAATCTCTTTTTAATTACAACAGTAACACATGCTCATTGAAATATGTTCAGACAATACACATGTGAAGAAAATAAAAAGTAAACATCTACCCCCGCCTCCTCAAGGTAACTAATGCCGACAATTTGGTGTGCATCCTTTCTGTGTTTTTTGCACTCTTATCCAAAAAGTATGTGCCTGTGTGTTGCATCTGTTTTTTAAGTGAAATTAATATCATAAAGTTTTGTAACTTGTTTACCTGGCAATACACAAGGGTGACCTTTCTATGCCAGAATATCTGCATTTACTTCATTGAGAATATGGAGAATACTCCATTCTATGGACATACTACCATTTATTTGACTCAGTGGTGTCCAGCAAATCCCTCTGTGATGGCGGGGATGTCCTACATCTGCACATGAGAACCACTAGCCGCCTGTGACAAAGGAGCCCTTAAAATTCCTCTCCTGTGATCAAGACACTGAATTTTCAATTTTCTTTAATTTGATTAAATGAAATGTAAACAGTCACATGTAACTAGTGGCTACTATATTAGACAGTGCAGATTTAACAAGTCCCCTAATTACAGGACATACCTTAGTTGTTCCTAAATTGTGTCCATTACATAGTCTGATGTGACACACATCTGTGTGTGTACTAGCTCTTTATTCCCTAATTGAGGTTTCCCCCAATACTCCGTGTTCTCTGCTAAGTCTGGTTCCTACAATGTACATTCATTTCTGATGGAATAAAAGACAGACGAGTTCATACATTTGTAAGCTAGCCTTAAGGCATGGAACCTCCATATGCATCCAGCATCCATCCTTTTGGAGTTGCACAGGCTCCCTGAAATAAACCAAGAGGCACGGATCTTCTAGAAGGTGTTGATGCTGATAGCCAGGCTTTCACCAAGGGAACACCTGCGCTAATTCCCTGCTTGGGAAGAAGGTCTGCTGGCTGCCTGGCATGAGAACCAGCCGGCAGCAACCTCTTTACTCAGCACTCACAATAACATCTCATTAATATCGTGCGTACTAAAGCAGGACAAACAATATTTAAGTCTATTTCTTAATGTCTGTCAATTACCCGTTCCTATCTGTTCCACCCCATCCCTAGGAAAAGCATAAATAGGGTTTGGCTGTACTTCACATAATTAAGCTGTGATCAGAGCTAATCTGTTTCAATGGACAGAGCGTGTGTCCTCAGGACTATCTCATTACAACATGGTGAGGGGAGAGCTTGAAGCCAACCTCACTAGGTCAGCGTAAACAATGAGCCGTTTGCTCCATCAGGATGAAAAGAGGCAAAGGAAACGGACAGCTGTATCCCTCCAGCATGAAACATCACACCGGCCCCTGGGCCACCATCACTCTCTCAAGAGCCCCTTTCCTTCACGGAGACCTGACCCACTTTGAAGTGGCCACTGCCATGTCCCCAGGAGGGGAGAAGGTGGTGGGTGTTTGGTTTGTTTTTATGACTTCTTCAATGAACTTAATAGTTTTTTTTTTTTGATAAAAGAAACTTAATGAATGTTAAATTATAATCAGTTATATACTTCAAAAGGCTCTTTACATCTTTGTTAACATCCACATATATTTTACTTGTATTGCCGGAACAAAATTGAAGCAGCAGCAGCAGACGTCTAAATAAAACGAGGGGGGAAAGAAAACCACCCGCCATGCTGAAAGCCCTACAAATCAAGCTGTTTTCATTTTTCTTTGCTCCCTTTCTGTCTTTGTTCATGTATATACATAATTTATGTCTGAAGCTGCTCTAGGGTCTTTGGTCCCAGGTATACAGTGAAAGGGCTTAAATATAACTCAACCTTCTGGAAGCTTCCCTCCTGGGCCCTAGGTTGTCATCTTTCTTTCACTTCATCTCTGGCCTCGGGCTGTTTCTGTTTTGCCAGGTCTTGCTCTGAATTTAATCCCTGTGCCTCTGTTAGATGGTTTGTGGATTGACTGACGTTCACCAACTGGTGCTCCCTCTTGGGTTTCCCCGCACGCCCCGGCAGGCACAGGAACGCCCATAGTGGGTGGTTTCAGCAGATGGCTGTTTTGATTGGTGGTTTCTCTGTCATATTTACATATGACATATTTTAAATACCACCCTTGACTTAACTCACTTTTAAGACCCAATTTCCATGCTCCCCACGTGTGATCATTTTACTTGCATCTGCCTGACCCATATTTATCTCCAGGTTCCTAATCTTACACAAACCAAGATACTCAATTTGTTGAGATTCCCTGGTTCCCGTGATTTCTGGGTCACATTTTCCCTCCCTCTCTTTTCTCAGCAGCTTCCTCTGAAACCCAAAACCTCAGCCAAACCACAGAATAAATGCAGTATTACTTTCTGCTTTTTAAAATTTATGTCATTTTCCCAGTGCTGCTGTTTTAAGCCTCCAAATTAGCTCATTTCCATTTTCCAGTGAGCAGATATGCCTCAACTTCTTAAGTATTCCCCTAAAGCAGTGGTTCTCAATGGGGAGTCACTTTCCCCCCTTTCCCTCCAGGAGACACTTGACAATGTCTGGAGACATTTTTGGATTTCACAGTGAGGATGGGGCTTCCAATGGCCTCTAGTGGGTAGAGGCCAGGGATGCTTCTGGACATCCTGCCATGCACAGGATAGCCTCACCACAATCTTCCTGCCCAAAGTGGCCACCATGCCATGGTGGAGAAACCCTTCCCTACTATTTAACGTTCAGAATTTCCCAGGTGTTTGTCATGACGTTTTCATGAGTCTCCTAGTCCATGTTACCCCCATTGTATTCCAGTGCCTCGCACAGTACCTGGCCTGTGGGTGGGTTCTTGTGGACGTGGTATTATATTTTGGGGGGATTCTTTATGAGAAATTCCCAATAGGGGAGTTATGTTCATGCATATGGATTATACATGTTTGAGTATATATTCTTTTCTGTTATTTATGGTTTTACGTTATTTTTTGTTCCAATTTCCATTTGAGAATGGACTGCTTGCTGCCATTTTTAAGGAATGTGCCAAGTACATGCAGACAGTGCCTAGACTCAACCAGAGTCCCGTGCTTCCGTAGCCTTGCTCCTGCTATTCCCCTCTCAATGGCAAGGCCGTCTTTCCAGGATTATGACCTATACCTATTCATGTGTGCTTATGAGTTACGTGTTTCTACCTTTGAGGTAATTTCCACAATGCTGCTGGCAAGCATTCTAAACCCAGTGTTGAATGAAGGGAGAGAGGAATAGTGGGACTAGGTTCCAATAGAGAAGTTCTGCCATCCGGATTCTAACTCAGGTGCTAAATCTTTAAAGGAGTCAAATCAACTATTGGGAACCAGCAGCAACTGTGCACTGTTTTCTTCTGGCATTACTTTCTGTATAATGGGAAGCATATTACCTGCCCCACATCCCTGGTGGCCTCCCTGCTCACAGCTTTTGTGAGCTAAGCCTGGGATGATGGCCAGGAGGGGATTAGAGTCAGCACAAGACATAGAGTCAGCTTTAGGAACTATGCTCACAATAGTCTGAGAAAATCCACCCCCTTGAGAACCTTCTTTAGGGCTATTTTATCTGAATATCAAGTGTCTAGTCAAAGTTACAGAATCTTCCATACATACCCACAAACAGGGAAAAATGTATGTTTTCTTCTATGGGCTTTTAAAATCTATCGACTTTGTACCAGGCACTGAGAATACAGAGAGAAACAAGACACTGGGCACACATTCAAATGAAGAGAGGTCACGGCAAACCATCATGGCAGCCACCATGTGCTGAGTGGGGTGCTAAGTTCTTTAGGTATAATTTAACCCACGCAACCACCCTTGGAGATCAGTACTATTTGACATAATTTTACAGATGTGAAAACTGAGGCACAGAGAGATTAAATATCTTGCCCAAGTTCATACAGCTAATAAGCAACGGAGGTGCAATTTATACCCAGGCAGCCTGACTCCAGTCTTAACCACTGAGCTACTTTCTCTCTTGAGACAGGTATGAAGAAAAGTAAGTATATTAAAATGTAACCATGATGGGATTTATCACAGGTATGCAAGGCTTGTTGAACATTTAAGAATCAATTGATGTTATCCAGCACATAAATGGGACAGCTAAATCTTTAAAGGAGTCAAATCAACTATTGGGAACCAGCAGTAACTGTGCACTGTTTTCTTCTGGCATTACTTTCTGTAAAATGGGAAGCATAATACCTGCCCCACATTCCTGGTGGCCTCCCTGCTCACAACTTTTGTGAGCTAAGCCTGGGATGATGACCAGGAGGCTCATATGCACATATCAATAGATATCACATGCACATATCAATAGATGCAGAAAAAGCACTTGGCAAAATCAATACTCATAATAACTCTCAACAAACTAGTAACAGACAGAAACTTCTTCAACTTAATAAAGAACAACTACAAAAAGCCTACAACTAACATCACACTTCATGGTAGGAAACTAGCTTTCCTGATAAGATCAGTAGCAAGGCAAGGATGTGCCCTCTTACCATTGTTTTTCAACATCGTCCTGGAAGTCCTAGCTAATGCAGTAAGATAAGAAAAGAAAACAAAGGTATAGTGATTGGAAAGTAAGAAACAAAACTTAGTTTGCAGATAAAATGATTATCTATGTAAGAAATCCAAAAAAATTGACAAACTCCAAGAATAAGTAATTATGCCAAGATTACAAGATACGAGGTTAATGTAAAAAAGCCAATCACTTTCCTATGTACCAGCAATGAATGAATGAAATCAGGAATTTAAAACACAATACAATTTACATTACCCTCCCCAAATTGGAATATTTACATATAAATCTAGCAAACTGTGTACATGAAATGTACAAAATACAGTAGTCTCTCTTTCTCCAAGGTTTGCTTTCTACAGTTTTACTCAACTGTGGTCAATCACAGTCTGAAAATATTAAATAGAAAAATTCCAAAAATAATTCATAAGTTTTAAATTACATGCTGTTCTGAGTTGCATGATGAAATCTTCTGTCATCCCACTCCATCCTGCCGGGAATGTGAATTATCATTTTCTTCAGTGTATCCATCCTGTCTATCTTACCCATCATCCATTAGTCACTCAGTAACCATCTTGGTTATCAGACTGACAGATTAAAAGAGAAGGGTGAGTGCGCTACAACAGATTTTGAGAGAGACAGCCCACATGCATGTAACTTTTATTACAACATATTGTCATAATTGTTCCATTTTATGGAGCAATTGTTGTTCATCTCTTACTGTGCCTCATTTATAAATTAAACTTTATCACAGGTATGTACAGGAAAAAAACATAATGTATGTAGGGCTTGGTACAATCCATAGTTTCAGGCATCCATTGGGTGTCTGGGAACTTATTCCCCATGAAAACTGGGGAACTACTGTATATATACAAGATCTATATGAGGAAACACAAATGTTTATAGCAGCTTTATTTGTAATCACCAAAACTTAGAAGCAACCAAGATATCCTTAAGTAGGTCAATGGATAAACTGTGATACATCCAGACAATGAAATATTATTCAATGCTAAAAAAAAAAAAAAAAAAGAGCTACCAAACCATAAGAAAACATGGAGGAAACTTCAATGCATGTTACCAAGTGAAGGAAGCTAATTTGAAAAGGCTACATACTATATTATTCCAACCATATGACATTCTGGGAAAGGCAAAGCTATGGAAATAGAAGAAAGATCGGTGGATTGCCAGGGGTTAGGGAGAAGGGAGTGGGTAGGCAAATAGGCAGAGCAAGTATTTTAGGGCTGTACAACTATTCTGTGTGATATCATAATGGTGGATACATGAATTTACACATTTGTCATGTATCCACCATACACCGTACAGCACCAAGAGTGAACCCTCATGTAAACTGTGAACTTTGAGTGATAATGATGTGTCAATGTAGAGTCATTGACTGTAACAAATGTACCATTCTGATGTGGGATGTTGATAGTGGGACAAGGCTGTGCATTTGTGGGGATAGGAGGTACTTGGGAAACTTCTGTACCTTCCACCAAATTTTGCTGTGAACTTAAACCTGCTCTAAAAAATAAGGTTTACTTGCTTTTTAAAAAATGCTACCAGGTGCCAACCTGTCTTCCTCTCTAGCCCCTCATCTCATCACCATCATTAACACACACACACACACACACACACGCACACCATTCAAATGCAACCAGGTGCACTCCAGCCTCTTTCTCCAGCCACACTGAGCCAGCTGCCATTCTCCTTCTACCCTGTGCCTTTGAACCACTGATTCTCTGCTTGAAGCCCCCACTCCCACACTGCCAGCTTTTGTTTGACTATCTTCAACATGATTTTCAGTCTCAGCTCATATGTCATCTTTTCACTGATAACTCTGTCCAAGGCAGATGCTCTTTCTCTGTACTTCCAAATCGAAATCAGAGTTCCTTTTGCTAGACCAGCATTTTCTGCCTTGCACGGTAACTCTCAGCTGAAGTTTCTGTCTCTCACACTGTCCTGAGACATGCCACTGGTTCAAGGGGCTGTCTAGGTGGTGCCAAACCTCATACAGATCCTGGCACATAGCAGGTGCCCACTAAAGGCTAGCTGAAATTTCAGGCACTTGAGTAGTGAGCCATGACCCGAAGGCATTGCTTCCTATCTGGGCGACCTTGCCTACTCTAAGCTTCAGTTTCCCCATTGTTAAAATGGGAAAGAATGATAATAAGGGCAATGCCTATTTCATTTGGTGGTTGTGAGGACTGAGTTAATATATATGTAAAATTAACAAATGTAAACAAGAAAAAAATAGCCTGTGGAGGAGGTAAGCTTCTGTAGGCTTCTTCTGAATTGCTTTGGCTTCCTCTGCTGCACATAAAAACAAATGATGTCACTGCCTTGCCCTCCCCCAACCCCACCAGTGGTTTCCCATCACTCTCAGCATCACACGCACACCCTCCCTGCAGCCTAATCTGCCTCCCTGATCTCATCTCCTACTCTTGGACCCGACACTGCGGTAGCCTCACTATTTCCTGCTTTAGGACTTTGCACTTGCTTTTTGCTCTTCCTGGCATACACTTTCCTTTTGAGATCCACATGGCCATCTCATCTACTTCAGAGAGATCTCAGTTGAAATGTCTCCTCTCCAGGACACCTCCCCTCACCCCCAACCCCTATCACAAGGAGCACCTTCGTCACACTTTACCCTTTTATGGTGCTTGATTGACCGGCTCATTGATTGCAACACTGATTACTAATGAATTTTCTTTACTGTTTGCCTCTGCCAATAAAGCAATAGCTCCATGAAGATAGGAACCTGGTTGTGCCCATTGCTATTTTCCTGGTGCTTGCGGGCATTCAGTAAATGTGTTGGGAAAATGAATGAATGTATGAACAGATGAATCCCCTGATACAATGGGAAAGGCAGGGAAATTATCTTGAGTTTCTTTTGGACTCCATCCTCCAGTTCTGGAAGCTTACCTGTACCCCAGAGCCAAGAGAATGACTAAAAGCATGAAATCTGGGACCACCAGCTCCACAGTTTATTTGCTATGGCTGTGGGCCTCAGCTACTTTGCCTGTATAATGGATCTAGTCACTCCATCTACCTCAGTAGTGTTGGGAGGGATGAAAGAACTGATACGAGGAAAGCCTTTAGCACAAGGCCAGGCACATACCTTTGTTAGCTGCTTCACGTGGTTAATACTATAACCTGAGAAGCTGCCCTCATCCTTTCTGTACCCACCTCTTCTGAATATGAAAAAAAAAAAAATCCTTATTTAAATCCATGGTTCCTTTGATGGTACAGCATTTGTATCTTTGCCCACGGCCCCATCCCCTAAGGATGTCTGCCCCCAAATAAAAGTTGTCAAACATTTTAAATGGTATTAAATTGTCCAGAAAATGGGAATGCCCAAAGCAGAGAGTCAGTCAATCAGGATTATTTGAGAGCTTCAAAAAGACAGAAGGAAGCCATTATTAGGTTTAAGAATATTGCATTCCACCTCCCACACAGCCTTTATCTAAATCTTCATTTAATTGGCAGCCTTCAGCACTGTCAGAATTGCATTCTGAGAACCAAGAGAAGTTTTCAAACATTCACACAATGTTATATGCTTGGCTCAAAACAACTCAAGGGGAAAGAACCATCTCTTCTGCAAGAGATTTGGGGATGCCCTAAAGCTGATGCTATGAGAGTTGGGAAACCGACCTTGAATAAGAAACCAAGACCACCATGTAAGTGTCAGCCAAAGACACTGTCCAGAGGTTTCAGGCAGAGAGACTCGGACCTGCTGTCTCCCCAGAATCTCTAGGTGACTCTCTAAGGGCAAGAATTCATCCTTTCTCTATCTCTCAGGACCTCCCCCACTGGCTGGTGCAGTGTAGGCCGGAAATAGATGTTTTTGCAATGACTAATGAGAATTTTTGCGGCTTTATGTCATAAGGGGAATCCTCTCTCAGGCCCATGTGTCTCTGCCTGAGTGATTCCAACCAGAAGCTGGGCTGGAAGAAACCTGATTTCTCCCTGTCCCTCCCTGTAACCCCGTACAGTTAATTAGCAAGTCTTATCTGTTGTGCTATATCTCATGATCTCTGTGGTATCTGTCCCCTTCTCTTCTCTCTCAGGGCCTTGAATGTGGTCTTCAGTCTTCTTCTCCGGAACTACTGCAAAAGGCATCTGTCTCCCATCCTGCGCCCCGGTGCAGGCACAAGCATGCTGATCATTGGAAAACCCAGATTTAAGAGCGTCTGTCACTGCTGCTGAAAAATCCCCCCTAGTTCCTGCGCCTCCAGGGTGAAATCCAAGTTTCTCAACATGACATGCACATCGTGTTTCTTAACCAATCCACCCCCTCCCTGGCTGCTCCCTCCTACCCCTGCAGCCCTGCACCTTGGCCTCCAGCCCCACAAGCAACTCTCAGCTTCCCCCAAGCATGAACTGCCAGCTCCCTCCACTCCATGTCTTTTCTTCTGCTGCTGGCTTTGTGCAGGTACATCCAGTCCCATTTTACTCAGTGCCTAATTTCTGTTGCTCCTTCAGGGCCCAAGTCAAATATATTCCCCAGAAGGCCTTCCTGGGTCCCTCTCTCTGTTCTCCTCCAAAGTTGGGCTGGTCTCTCCTCTGTATTTCCAACACACCTGAGGCTGAGCATACTTTTATTTATTTTTTTGTGTAAAATACACTAAGGCACTACAAAAAGGTGCAAAAGCCCAAGTATTCAGCTCAATGTTTTCCATGAGTTGCCACGTAACTGGCACTAAAATCAAGGAGAAACATTATCAGGTCCTCAGAAACCATCCACCCACCCCCTACCACCACCATGTCTTCTTCACAGACACTTGGAAAAACCGTTCAATAAGTATCTATCAAAGGTAAATTAACAAAATGGGTTTCCAAAGTGGTTGTACTCCCAAGCTCATTCACACTGAATGGACAATGTTGACTGCCTTGTCTGTTTACCCTTCTGAATTACAACATCCTGGGGTCACGGACTACCTTTTGGTCGCCTGTTTACCCCCAACTTCTACAAAGAGCCAGCACATGAATGAACGAATCAATGAATGAATGAGCTAATGAAGGAGTGGGATGAAGAACATACACTGTCAGTTTGAGCAACAGTTTTGATTTTCTTCTGGTCTTTGTTAAATGTGCCTCTCTCATTGGAACCCACAGTTACAGAAAGATTCTGGGATTCCCATCAGAACTCACAAAAGACCATAGGTCCACTAGAGATTGTCAGAGGAAAAATAAAAAGGCTTTAAAGGTCATTGGTTTTAACCAGAAAAAAAAAAAAAAAAACAATTCTAGGTAATGCAGGCCAGTTAAGTTGGTTTGACAGCCAACCTCAGCAGCAGCAGCAGCAGCAGCAGCAGCAGCTTCCAATATCTTTCTAGATTGGTTCATTTTCCAAGATCTGTAATTTTTAAATGAGGAGTAGGATCAAAGGTCAATCTCACTTCCTGGAGCAGAAGCTTAAGTATGGGCTGTAATCATATCACTGAGCAAACTTCAAAAGCTGCTGGTGCAGTGACAGCAACCACCTGTCTATCTTCAAACCAGATGAATGGCTTTTCTGATGCAATCAATCAGGATAGAAGATATATAACGAGAGGTCGTTCCTTATTTAACCAAGCTCTTCTCATCTTGTCATGAACAAAAACCACAGGCACAATCCTGGCCCAGGTGAGAAACAGAACCTTCTGAGAACTGCCAAGGACCAGCTATTTTCCTGTAATCTTTCAGAGCCCAGGGGTTCCACCATGACAGGCTAGGATGACAAACCAATAATGATTTTCTGAAGCACAAGACTCTCCAGGGAAATGGAGATCCAACTCTACAATCTGATGACCTCTTTTCAGAACCTAAATCTTGCCTCGGATGCTAGTGACGTTCACATGTTCCAATAACTTTGCTTTCATAGCTGTGGTAGGCAGAGAAAGGCAGCAACAATAGGTTGGCCGAGCAAGTTGTTTCTTTCAAAATGAGAAGTGAAACTAGTAGGCTTAAAGAAGACGAAAAGCTCCAACTTGTTCTGATTGGATGGCGCTGGCCCTTCCTGAATTCTCAGTCATGTCTTATCTTCCCTCCTGCTTTTCCCTGGACTGACCTAGCAGCCTATCCAACTGTTAATGTCAATAGCCCGTCCTAAATCCCAAGGTCCAAGACCACAATCACCTTCTTGCTGTCCCACTGGAAAAATCACTTGTCATTGTTTCTCCTATTGAAGGCACTGCTGTAAGAAATGCTTATAGCAGGGAAAACCTGGAGGGTAGAATGGGAAGGTATAAGCCCCAGCTGTACTTCCTACAACTGCCTGAGTGGCTTTGTTCCAATGGCGTACCTACCCTCTCTAAGCCTCAGTCTCCTCACTGTAAAGTGGAAAAACACCACCTCCCTAATAGGGTTATTACAAGTGTTGAGACAATGCACAGTAAATGCTTTTCTCAGGACCTGGCCAGAGGAATTTAAGAAGATACGCCACCCATATACTCTCCCAATAAAATCAAAGTAATATGGAGTCAGAAGACCTGGATTCAAACCGTGGTTCTGCCAATTGTTTGCTGAAGAAGACAAGTCCCTGAGATTCACTTTTCTTAACTGCAAAATGTCTTTCCCAGGCTTCTGATGGTTGGGTGAAGATCAATGAAGATGGTATATGTGTGTGTGCCCTATAGGCTGTAGACTCCTCAGCTATAAAATGAAGTTAATCATATTCAGAAGCTTTAATTAGACATCACATGTGAAAGTACTTAGCTGGGTGCCTGATATGTAGACAGTGCTCAATAAAAGTTATTTCTTATTTGTTAAAATGTCATTAAATTAATAATTATTGGAGCACAGATAATGATGGTTGTTCATAGTCTTGCCACCCACTAAAATTAGATAAATTTCTATCCCAGGAGGGACAACTTCAAACTGATAGTCTTTCTCAGGGTTCTCCTCCCAGAAAAGGAAGCAGTCTAAAGAGGGTACCGTTTTCTCCCCCAAAAACCACATGACAGGTAAAGATTAGCTGCCAGATAAGATTAACACAGAAAGAGAAAACCCATTCTAGCCCAGCAAATTTCAAACCCCAACTTCACCTGTCTCTCCTGTTTATTGTTTTAACTTTCCAATTTAAACTGTTTACTGCCCTGCCCCACTGGGCTTACAACCAAACTTAGAGGATACCTATGCTGCCAGGTTCACCGGATTGATTTCTACACTATGCAAAATCAATCCTGGATGTGCAACTTCTCCAGTGGCTCAGCCTCAGAGAGAATGCTTCTTTGGCAGGTTTCATGATCACCAAGGGCAGGAGGGAGCAGGCTGAGCACAGATACAGTTTTCTGGAAACCAAGGCTAGAGAGGTAGGGGGATGTGGGAGGAGAGCCAACCAAAGAAAGGTATTAACTGAATCTCCTCATCCCAACAGCGGGACATTTTGGGGCCCAGCAAACCCTGAGCCCAAATAGAATAGGGTAGGGGTTGCACTCAGAAAGCCTAAGTGGTTGGGTTAATGAGGCTTTTAGGACTTCTCATGCCAAGTCTGTGGTGTGCAGGCTTCTCCAAGCATCAATGATATGAGCATAAGACTTTCTGGAATAGAGAAAGGGCACTGAGTTGATGGAGCTTTCTGGGATCTGATGGATCTCATCTGCCTTCTCCAGGTCCTCCAAGTCCTCACTACCTTGCTCCTCAGCCACTCTCCAGTGCTTCCTAAACTCCTTCTAACTCTGCTTTATTGAACAGCCTCTGTTTATTAACTCTTTTTTCAAAAAGGAGAAAAAAATGCAACCTCACGTACCTCATTTATTACAATTGCTGAAGGTTAGTTTCCACTAACAAAGCCATGCATCCTATTTTACACAAAATCTATTTCTCCCTGGAAGACAGGAGAGGTAACTACTTGCAGGTAGAGCAATGTTGAGGCTCCAAGTGTACTTTCTCAGAGAACATTCTTTAAGTGACTGAGCCTCAGTTTCTTAATCTATAGCTTTGGGTTGTTGCCCAGGAAATGGTCCTTGTTGTGATGACTAAGGCAACAGGATCCCTACACAGTTTCAACTTACAGCACACCGGGCACTGTCTTAAGCATGTTACATGCTTCAATTCCTCCTCTCAGGAACCCCAGGATATAGAGCTTATTACTCTTTTCCCATTCAACAGATGAGGGGTCGGAAGCAGAGACAGTTATGGGGTTTGCTCAAGGTTACAGGGCAGCGGAGTTGAGACTCAAACCCAGGCAGTCTGGTGTCCTTGTTCTTAACCAGTAATTTCTTTCCTTTCCATTTTTCCATGTCTTCTTACCCTCCTCTCCCTTCCCCATCATTTTTCTCTCTTACATCCCCTCTCCTTCCTATTGTTGGATCTCTTCCTTAGGTTCAGATCTGGTTTTAAGCTCATACATGCCATGCTCTGACTAGCCATTTCACAGGTTCCCCAACATGTCCTGGCCCTTCAGTCCCCCATGCTGCTTAAGCCCACTTTCCATTATTTAACTGGAAGGACCTTCTCAAAGAGGACCAGTGACTGGTTCTTTTTGTTGAATCTAGTGCTTTCTCTGTTCCCTTCCTTCTTCACTGCCTAAGACTATCTGCCACTTCCTTCTTGAAATGCCCTATTTTCCACTATAACATTACAATTCACCAGATTCCTTCCCCTTCATATAGTTATCAATGTATCCATCCATCATCCATCCATCCATCCTCCATCTATGCATTCATCCTTCCATCCATCATCTATCCTTCTATCTAGCCAGTTCATTTCACAATAATCTGAGTTTGGACCCTGTGTGACCTTGGATAAGTGGCTTTATTTCTCTAATCTTCTATTATGTCATTTGTAAAATAGGAATATTAAAAGCATAGCATATAGGATTGCTGTTAGGTTTAAACAAGCAACAAATGTAAAGAAAGCCGGTGCGCGCTCACTCTCTAACTATATTTATATTAGTTCCATTGCTTATTTTCTTCCATTCAAAATGCTTTAAAATGTTGGAATCATTTCTGGCACTTTTCTCTTTCTTCCCCATCATCTCATTCATGATCAACCATCTAAAATTGGCTCTTTCTTTTCCATACTCCCAGTAACTCATACAAGCTTTCAAGCTGGACTTCTCACCTTGGGTGTTTCCTGATTCAATCCATCTTCCACACTGCCCCCAGATTAATTTTTCTGAAATACATTTTCCATTATGTTATTCCCTTCTTTAAAACTTTCACTGGGTCTTACCACCTATTTTTTAGAAGGTTTTTTCTTCTTGTACTTTTTCAAGTTTCTTGTATTTTTCATTATAGATGTAACGCAAGTGTATCAATGGAGACTTGTAAACCAGAGGGGAAAAAACAACTCTGAATCCCAACGCATGAACAAAATTGCAGTTAGGATTTTGATAAATTCCTTTCAGATTCCACCCTTCTTTTTCTTTATTTAGAGGCTTGTTTTGCTTTGTAGGAATCCTACTGCACACACAATCTCCTGTTTAGTATTCAATTCTCATTCATATGATTTTTCCATGCCATTATCATCATCTTTATAACCATCCTCTTTAATGGTTATGTAATATTCTATTGAGCTGCCTAACCTGTTTTCATTTGCTGGAAATCTAACCTATTTGCAGAGCATTTAGGAGAGTCAGGCATGTGGCAACTACTTCCTAAGCGTTGGCTATTATTACTATTTCACATACAATGCATAAAACATATACAATATTCATATATCATTTAATATAATGTATTTTGTACATATTTTCCTGTATTTACCTCTGTTTAACTTCTCAGATGTGTATTACTTCCCCAAAGTGCATGACTATTTTTATGCCTTTGGATACTGTATTAGTCCATTTTCAAACTGCTATGATGAAATACCCAAGACTGGGTAATTTATAAAGAAAAAGAGTTTTAATGGACACACAGTTCCACATGGCTGAGGAGGCCTCACAATCACAGTGGAAGACGAAGGAGGAGTAAAGGCATGTCTCACATGGCAGCAGGCAAGAGAGCATGTGCAGGGGAACTGCCCCTTATGAAACCCTCAGATCTCGTGAGACTTATTCACTACCATGAAAACGGCACAGGGAAAACCTGCCCCTAAGCTTCAGTTACCCCCGACAGGGTCCCTCCCATGACACATGGGGACTATGGGAGCTATAATTCAAGATGAGATTTGGGCAGGGACACAGCCAAACCATATCAGATACTTACCACATTAGACACTGACAGACAGCTCACCACCCAACCCCAAGCTCCTGTCTCTTCTGGCTTTTCCATTACAGGGCTGGCTCAACTTCCAACTGCAAATATCTACACCTCTTCACTGACTGCTTTCTCTGAGGCTGGAGTAGTCCAGTAGTCTCAAAATCAGTGCCCCCTGGGGCAGCTTTGAATCAATGCCAACCAGATTTGTGGCATAAAATCTGGAGCTCCCATGCCCCTCAGGTGGGATGGCTTGGAAGCAGGTATTCCACACTGATTCTCAAAGGTTCCCAGGGGAGTTAAGCTCCAGACACCCAGAGCAGTACCTGCCTGAGTAACAGACCCCTCGTCTGTTTCCTTTTCCTTCCTTGCCTCACTTTCCCACTCCTCTACACTTCCCCTTGGACCACCTCCCAAGAGAATTTATTGCACTCAAATCCTCCTCACAGCATCCGCTTTTGAGGAAACTCAAACTGAGACTGTGACACTTACAGCCAAGTCACTCACAACCATGGTCTGTTAAGTCCTATCTGTCCATTTCCTCATGTACGTAAACACATCCAGCTTCTATTTTCTGAGGCCATATTATTTGCTGGACCAAGTGTTTACAAGGTTCTCTGGAATCCCCATCCCAGTCATATCAGCTAGGTTTCACTGCCGACATTTCATAGATCTGGTAACTGAGGCACAGAGGTTAAGCAACTTGCCCATGGTCACACAGCCCTACAGTGGCAGAGCTGGGCTTCAAACTGTAACCTTCCCTCGAGGCCTGGGCTCTTAACTGTCATGGTGTACTGCGAGGCACTGCACTACAGCAATAGTAAAGTCCTTTGGCTAAAATAACACTGATGCTATTAACAACTGTCATCTTTCTAACTCTGATCCAATCTCACGTTGCCTTCACATTCATAGTCACCCATAACAGCCTCTTCATTACCCCCTGAACGTGCTGTGAGTATATCTGCTTCAGATCTGGACTCAGGCTTCCCTCGAGCTTATAACATCATCCTTCCTCTCTCTGGCTTAATTGCAATTCTCCCTCTATCATCTTGATCATTACTTTCTCCTTCCTTTGCCCATGCCTGCTACTGACATACCTAACTCTTCCTCTGACTCAGTTTTCTCATCTGTAGATGGGGATGATGACAAGATGCACCTCATAGGTTTGAATGAAAGCATCGCTCACAACCCACACTTCATAGAAGACAGGTAAGAAATGGCTTCTAACCATATTACAACCTTGGCCTCCTGTGACCTCTCCTCCCATCACTTCCCATTTCTTTGACCCACTTTTCACAGACCATGCAGCACCAGTAAATTAAAAGTCATGTGCTTAGGCCAGGCGCGGTGACTCATGTCTGTAATCCTAGCACTTTGGGAGGTCGAGGCGAGCAGATCACTTGAGGTCAGGAGTTTGAAATCAGCCTGGCCAACATGGTCAAACCCCATCTCAATGAAAAATACAAAAAAAAATTAGCTGGGCCTGATGGCAGGCACCTGCAATCCTGGCTACTTGGGAGGCTGAGGCACGAGAATCGCTTGAACTCTGGAGATGGAGGTTGCAGTGAGCCGAGATCACGCCACTGCACTTCAGCCTGGGTGAAAGAGCGAGACTCCGTCTCAAAATACTAACAATAATGTGTTTAAAGCACCAGAAAAATTATTCAAAGCTTGCAAACAAGGCCCAAATGGTTGATGGCACATCCTTTGGTTATCAGTCAGGGACAACCTGAAGTTGTTTAGGAGCATGCTCTTAGTTCATCTCATTGTTTGCTCTTGAAGATCCCAGACTTTGTGAAGTCACCACTTAAGTGGTCAACTTTTGTCCAGTAGAGATGCAAATACTTTTTATCTAATAGAACAGATAACCCCCAAAAGTTTAGGCATGATGAACATTAACCACTTTTTATCTAACTCAGCAATCTCGTCTTCACATTTCTTTGCTAAATTCCTTACGAATACCTTAGCTTCTTAAATGCCCTTTGGAATAACCATGGCATCTTACTGGTTTCTTCATAAATTAATGAGTTGAAGTGCGTATTTACCCAAGAGTCTTGGTTTTACCTTTTGAAAAATTATACATGAATAGCGGCTTGCTGTGAGGTATCTTTTCACAGCCCCAGCTTCAGATTCCAGCCTCCTAGTAATAACAGGATAAGATAAGGATAAAAATCCCTGTGTGTGCTGGGTGAGTATGAAGCTATGCATTTGGATCAGAGTTTTCCACCTCAGCACTACTGTATTTGGGTCAGGATAACCTTTTGTGGTGGGAGCTGTGCTGTTCATTGTAGGATGTTGAACAGCATCCCTGAGCTCTGCCCACTAGATGCCCACTCCCCTCCCCAGGTTGTGAAAAACAAGCATGTCTGTAGATATTGCAAACTGTCCCGAGGGTCACAACCCCCCTCACCCCAACAGTTGAGAGCCAACGGTTTAGACTACACTTCAGAAACAAGCACCACGGATAGACGTCAGAAGGATCAGCAAATATTCACAGTGACACCAGAAGAATTATTCTGGATGGAGTTGAAAACCCAGTGGAATCTGGAAACACAGATTTCTGAGCCTGCCCCCAGAGGCTTTCATTCTCTAGGTCCAGAGGACAGGATTTGCAGTCCTAACAGGCTCCCAGTTGGTCCTGGAGCTGGGTGAAGGGCCCCGTCGAAGCCCGTACTCTGAGATATGGCATCCTAGGAGCTTGTTTTCAGAAGTGTGATCTGTGAGTTAGTGCCCGAGACCCACTGTGTACAAGAGTTTCCTTAACCTCAGGGGTTTGGGAAGAGCCCTCTGAAACTGAAACACACTACAATCTCAGAGACTTTCATTTGTGAAAAAACAAAACCCAATCTGGTCCACTTCTCTAACTCCAGAGTTTTCCAAAATATTAGTTTATACAAGTAATTTTTTGATTCCCCTAATTTTTTTTCCCCAGAACCCATATTAACCTCCCATGGAACCAGTATCTCTTCAGAACACATTTTGCAAAACGCTATGCTGGAAAACTGACCAGGGAGGACTGAATCAGACACTTACGTGGCTTTGCGTGATCTCCTGTTGCTACCTGGAAAGGCTTTAAGAATCAGAGGGAGCCCAGCGGACTCCTGTCACCTGGGAGCTGGCTACCTGGGAGCCTGGGTCCCAGCCAGAGCCAGTTCAAGTCCTGACTTCTGCCCCAGCCCAAAGCGTGGTTGCTTTTACAGACTGGAGACCTATGAAGACACGTACAGCCCCTCAGCTTTGCCTCCATAAAGCCTCCCCTTCCAGCACCCAAACTCGTGCACTGGGCCTGGTCTGGGGACCAGCTCTAGGCTGCTTTCCTTGTTTCACTGTGCATGGCTAATGGCTTTGTCACTCAGCATTTTCAACATGACAAAGGATAGAAATCATCAACCCACGAGTGAGGGCAGACAGGAGTACGTTCCATGGTTAAGGGACCTGAGAATCAAAGGAACTCCGTAGGGGGGTGATGGAGAGCACAGAGGGAGACGCAGAAGGCAGGGGTGGGAGGAGTTCGGGGGGCCTTGATTTGCAGAGTGATGAGCACTGAATGTAAGAAGTGGGAGCTCCTTTCCCAGCCTTAGACCTTAGATTGACTTCTCATTACTAGGCTATTGAATTCTTCAGCCGCACCAGCCAAAGGGTGCCAAACATTCATGTTAATTTGGGTAAATCCTAAATCCTTCAGCAATCTGCTATCAACTTGAGTACAATGACAATTAGCATATCAATTAGATTTCTCTCCTCTTTCTCCCCACCCGACCTCCATACCACCCCCCATCCTAAACCACTTACTACTTTTAAAAGTCAGCCAAGCCTGTAATGCCAGCTACTCCTGGAGGATCACTTGAAGCCAGGAGTTCGAGACCAGCATGGGCAACATAACAAGACCTTGTCTTAAAGTTTTTTTTTTTTTTAATTAACTGGGCCTGGTGGTCCACACCTGTAGTCCCACTTAGCTATTTCCAGAACTGAGGCAAGAGGGTTGCTTGAGCTCAGGTGGTCAAGGCTGCAGTTAGCTATGATTGCACCACTGCAATCCAGCCTGGGCAACAGAGAAAGACCCTGTCTTAAAAAAAGTCAGTAACACTAAACCATCTCCTTTTCTTCAGTCTCTGAGAGCTTTGCAGCCAGAACTCTACACCAGGGTAGGCTACTATGAGAATAATAACCAGTGAGGCAAAAGATGGTTCTTAATTCACTTTACAAATCAGCAAAACAAACGTGAAGAACCCTTGCTTTATTTCCAATAGGCCAAGGTGACCTGCAGTTCCAAATAACACAGGTTGCTTTTAATGAATGAAACACATGTAAGAACCAGTGTAGCCAGAAGGAATTAGACCCAAACAGCCTGGGTCTTAATCCTGAAACTACCACTTGCCAGCCCCAAGTTTCTCAACATCGTTCTGCTTCCGCTTTCTGATCTCAGTAGGGTGGACAATGGGGATCTTTTGAGGAGTCGCAGTGTTAATATAAGTAAAGCAAGTAGAGTATCACCAGCAGGTGGTGAACAACTGTAAGACAGGTGGTGTGTGCTCATGAACAAACAGGAGCCCTGAGGCTGACCTGCCCAAGGTTTGCTTGTTTTCCTATTCAATACCAGTTTTATTTAGACATGTGTAACATACTATAAAGCTTAGCCGGTTAAGATATATGATTCCCAGGTTTGGGGTTTATTTACAGAGAGCTAATGTAATCACCACCACTATCTAGCTCCAGAGCATTTACATCTTCCCCAAAGCAATTCTATACCCATTAGCAGTAACTCCCCATTTCCTCCTGCCCCCAGCCCTAGACATCTTCTAATCTGCTTTCTGTCTCTGGATTTGACTTTTCTGGACAGTTTGTTCCATTTCATAGAATCATACAACATGTGGTCTTGTGTGTCTGGAATTGTCTTGAGTTTGAATCTCAGCCCTAGAGTCCTAAAGCTTTATTAGGTTCTTTTACTAAGTTCTCCTGAAGTTTCCCCACCTATGAAATGGGATTAAAACCATAGAAGATATTTTATAGAGTCACTATGAGGATTACATGTGCTGATTAATGCATCTGAAGCACTCACACCAGGCCTGGTTCAAAATCAGCACCACACTGATATCAGCTACTATTACTGCCACTTCTACTATTATTATTCCTCAATTCCCCCACCCCAAAGCATCTGACTGGTAGTGGGAATCCAAAGATAAACAGAACACAACAGAGAAAACAGGTCTTGCCTTACGTAATGCACAGTCTGGTGGAGATTGTATGATTAGGAATGTGGCTTAAATGAATATAGTCAAGTCTCATCATATGCACATTTAACTAATGGAAAGCCAGCTCTCCCACCAAAGAGAGAGAGAAAAAGAACAATGTAAATACTGCAATTAAATGCTATAAAATTATATCTTGCATATATTCTTTATTATGCCCTGTACATTACTGCGTGCATTATACATTGTTCCCTATTGATTACAATACGGGGATGCATAGACTAAACCACGCCTACTGTACTTTAATGGGCAACTTAAAAGAGTTCAAGGCTAATGACAACTGTGTTTGCCTAAAACCCTGACCTTATAGTCTAACCTCTGAGTTAAATGCAACTCTATTGTGTGTCAACAACAATAGTAATTCAGAAATATTCCAGACAAATTAAATCAGCCAACAAGCAGTCCAATGAGTTAGGTGTTAGGCTGCAGTGGGCCCCGACTAGTGAACACACATTTGCCAAGCACCACTTTTTTTTTTTTTTTTTTTTTGCCCTCCATGAGCTGTTAGTTTCATTTCAAAAATAAACCGCATAGGGGTGTCATAAGGAGTTGGTGAATGGAAGAACTGGGTTTGGGAAGCAGATGAAAATAATCTCTCACCCTACAGCCAACAGCGAAGGCAAGCGCCATGACCTCTGCCTGTCGCTATCTACCCCCTCGCCTGCTTTCTCATTCTTCATGGCACTCATCACCCTCCTGCAGACATCACATACCTACCTGTTCATTTTTTTATTGTCTCTCTCCCAGCCAGTACATAAGCTCACCAGAGCAGGGACTTGGCCTGTCTTACTCATTTCTGTATTCCCAGTGCCTAGAAAAGTGTTGAGCACTCAGTCAGTGCTGAGTAATATTTGTTGATAAATGACTGAATGCGTGAATGAGGGTAACTGTTTAGACAGCCTCCACTTTTCTCCCATCTCCTGTCCCTAAAACATCCATAGTTGATTCCTTTGACCTCAACTGGCTTATTCATTCATTGTTGAAAAGTAATGAGAATATATCACATGTCAAAGACGAGGCCCTAAGGTAGCATTCTAGGGCTTTGGCATACTGGTACCATCTAGTGGGAAAGAGAATATCTGCAGGAGGGTGCTTAACCAAATTCAGAAGGTTTTAAAAATTACCACTACCATAATTCTTTCTGTTACCATTAGCTCTACTGAGGAAGTTTCCAGTAACATGTAATGGTGGCAAGAGAAATCACATATATTCATACCCTACCCAGGGCATATCCTGACAGTCCAACAACTTGCCATACCTTTCCATTTTTTCTGCTATGATGCTTCCAAAGTCATGACTGCTCCCCATGACAGCAAAGGCTCAGCAGGGAAGCACAGAGAAGTTAATGACGGCAGGGGTCACCCCTGACCAGCAGAAGATAAGGGCGAGTGAATACACCCTCAGCCACCTATTCTGTGGAGGGACCATTCGGAAATGAGCTTTACACAGTGCTTTTGTAGAGACCCAGCAGCAAGAAGCCAGTTTCCCATGACTGTGACCACCTCAATGACACATTCACTGTTGGCTTGCTGGCTTTCCTTCTTCTTGGTCTCACTCTCCCCACTCGCTCACTTATGGACCTTGAGATCATTTACCAACTTAACCCCCTGAACCCAATTCTGTGTCTCTATTTATTTAGAGGAATTCAATCCAAGAGCGTGTTTAACCCCAAGATACTTTTGGGTAGCAAAAGTGCCTTAAAAATTGTAGTCCAGATAAATATTACAAAGCTAAATTATTCCTATGTTAGATCTACTCTGAGAATTATGTTCCATAGTTGACTATTAGCATCTTTACCTTGATAAAAGTTAATGCAAATAATCTAGTGATATGTGACCCTAAAGAAGTACCATGATTTTCATGGCAACTGAGGCCAAAGAGAATGCCTGGTTCCCCTCGCTGGCCTCTGCCCTATCCCTGTCTTAAACAAGTTTGACCAACTGGTAAGGCAGCTACTGGTTTAGATTAGTGGTTGGCAAATGGCAGCCTGAAGGACCAATCTAGCTCTGCTTGTGTTTGTAAATAACATTTTATTACCCTGCCCATTCATTTACATATCGGCTGTGGCTGCTTTAATGCTACACGGATAGAATTGAACAGTTTCAAGAGAAACCAGCTATTTACTAGATGGCTCATTACAGAAAAAGGATACCTACCCCTGGTTTAAATCATTAGTTGCCATATTCGTAAATTCCCAACAGTAAAATTTCAACACAAACAAAAAGTAGAGAGTTGACAAAAGTTGACCAACAACACTTTATCAGTGAAGACAAAAATGCCATGTATGTATTACTAACTTCCTTTCACAAACGGTAGCACATTTCATCTCTATGCTATAGAAAGGCCATTCCATCAGAACAAAGAATCCTCTGTCCCAAGAGGGTGTGGTGGACAAGCTCAGAACAACACTGTCTATCACTCTACCCCATTTGAACGTTTTTCTATAGCACTATCACTACGCAAAACTACCATATTTATTTATTTTTCTTGTTTCCTGTCTTTCTCTGCTATCAGAACACAAACTCCACGGGGGCAGGCAATCTTGTCTTTCTTAATCACTGCTGCCTCCCTCAATGCTGAGAATTGTGCTTGAGATATTGTCTTCCCCCAGTAAATATTTGTTAAGTGAATGAGTTAACCAAATAGGGAATGCACAGATAGGCACGGCCACCAGGTGGCGGGACGGTGCACACAGTGGTGAGGACCCTGTCAAGGGAGAGAGTGTCTGTCCACCAGAACAGGATTGGAGGGCAAAGGCCATGCTCTCGCTGCTCTGTGGCTAGTACGGAAAATGGAGCTGGGTACATAATAAGCACTCAACACATGTTTGCTCAATCAATGGCAACCCTCACTAAAGCACTTAAATTAACAGGAAAAAACACTAGTCTGGTAAGACAAAAATAAACTTCAAGTTACATTCAATCCAATTGCCACACAATATAGATCCAGGTGTCTCTATATAGCTACAGACTGTATATTTCTTGTTTTCTTTTTGTTTGGGGAAAGAATTACAAAGAGTAGCTTGCAGGAAGCACTGACTTAGGCAACAGGGTTTCTTAGCATCCCTAGGGAAGAATTCCATCCAGCCACACGACACAGCAGCAGGCAAATTTACCTGCATGGTTGAAGCTGCAGGTGGGTCACGCCCAGGCATCTGTGGGCCATTCTCACTGGGATGTTCTTGCTGGGGGAACCATGCAGTGCAGGTGGGTTGTTTGGCCCTGGTCAAAAGCAAGGACATGGAGACAAAGAACACAAATGACCCCGGGCTGACCCTGTTCTGAAGGTTGCAATCAGTAGCCCAGACAGGAAGTCCAGGGCCCAGACCCACTTTGAGAGACTAGGAACTCAAAAAAGTAGTCATCCCAGGCAGCTATCTTGACTTTAAGGGAGGTAGAGAACAAAATAGACAAAGGAAAGAATTTTTATATAATGAGGGGAGTGGGAAAGGCAACTTTTATATACTAGTGCAACATAGAGGAAAATAAATATGCACAGGAATAAAGACGCATGGGTCCAAACCCTGGTCCCAGTTCTCAGTGACTGTGTGGCCTTGAGCAAATGACTCCACCACTCAAAACTTCTTCTCATCGTATATAAAATTGGGAATAAGAGTCGCCTCTAAGGGTTGCAGGAAGGATTCCAGATAACATGGGTAACTAGTGCATAGCAACTACAGTGAATTGTGGTTACATGGAGGTACTTTAAACAAGTACTCATGGCACTGGTGCGTGCATGCACACAAACGCACACACGCACACACTGCCCTAATAAAGCCTCCCAGGAACAGATGATGGGCAGACACATTAAGAAGATGAGATCCCACCAGATCAAATGATTTTATGAGGCATGAATCCCGAGGGGAACAATCTTGGGGGACCTACTAATATGGGAATTGGCAAATCCTCCCTGGGGAGCAAACTTTATTTTTTTTAATGTCCACGCATTATGACATGCACAGTCATTTCCCCCCTTAAGTGAGTCACATCCTGAAAGCCAAGACCCCATGACACCTTCAGACCATAAAATTCCTTGGAGCATAGGGTGAAAAGTAATACAACCAACATTTCTTAAGCATAGGATGACATCATTAACATACACTTATTTAATTCTCACAAAAATCCTGCAGGGCAAGCATAGATATTCCTTTTCAGTTGTTTTAATACAGGGGAAAACAGAAAAGGAGGGAAATGAAGTCAATTATCTGAGGCAACACAGTGTGTAAATGGCTGGGCAGGGATTCAAGCTCACTTCTAAAGGGCTAGGAGGTCTGCTCAGCAGTCCCTAAGCAGTCCAAGGCACCAGCAGCTCTGGGTCCAGGCCAGCCCCAGGCTCTAATTCTGCTCCAGCACATTTCCTAGTGAAGGCCTGGACTGTCGTGTTCACCTCTGGGTTCCCAGGTTTGCAGCGTTCTTCATAGTTGGTAGGTAACATTTAAGGGAAGAAAGAAAGAAAGACAGCAGAAAGAGGGAGGCAAGGCAGATGAAAGGAAGCAAAGGAGCAAAGGAAGGCACAGCAGCCTCTTCTCCCTTCAATGGATTTCAGCCTCTACTGCTTCCTATTGTAACAATTACCACATTTGTAATTATTTCAAGTACTTACTTGTTTTTATCTGCTGTTCCCACAAAACTGTAAGCTCCATGAGACAGGGATTCAGTTCATCTCGTTTACCTCTGAATTCCCTAAATGCTCAATAAATACTCGCTGAGTGAAGACACGGGCCCCAGGTGGACTCGCCCACGCACAGACCCAGGTGCAAATCCCAGCTCACCACTTATTATTCTGTGATCTTGGGTCAGTTCCTTAAACTCACCAGTTTCTTCATCTGTTGAAAGGGCACGATAGGCCGGGCGCTGTGGCTCACGCCTATAATCCCAGCACTTTGGGAGGCTGAGGCTGGCGGATCACGAGGTCAGGAGATCGAGACCATCCTGGCTAACACGGTGAAAACCCGTCTCTACTAAAAATACAAAAAAAAAAAAATTAGCCGGGCGCTGTGGCGGGCGCCTGTAGCCCCAGCTACTCAGGAGGCTGAGGCAGGAGAACGGCGTGAACCCGGGAGGCGGAGCTTGCAGTGAGCCGAGATCGCGCCACTGCCCTCCAGCCTGGGTGACAGAGCCAGACTCCGTCTCAAAAAAAAAAAAAAAAAAAAGGCACAGTAACTGTACAGACCTCAGCTTCTGAGGATAAAGTACCTAGGTGAGTGCCTGGCATACAGCACTCACTAAATATCTTTGTTGAGAAAAGGAAGAAAAGAAGGGAAAGCAGAAAAACAAGATAGACACGTTCGGAATCAATACTGCCACAGAACGCAATAATCTTTCTTACTGCAAAAACATGCAGAACTGCAGGAAGCAGAGGTACACCCTCTGTTTCTCACACATCAAACTTCATTCAGTGGCTGAATCAAAGTATTTTTACAGGGCCCAATTAGACAGCTGTAGGATCCTGGCCAAAGGTCCTGTTTCCTTGTAAGTGATAATGATTTAGATAATCTGCATGCATCTTTGCAGCAAATTGGACTTCCCTGCATTCTAACATCTTTTTACTCACTTGAACCTCCAAGTAACCTGGTCCATTTTACAGATGAAAACATTCAAGCTGCTTGCTGAAGGTCATACCACGAGTGAGGGGGTGAGCTAGAAACAGGATCCAGGTCCATGGTGTGCTGGAGCCAGTTAGTATCAGGTAGCAAGAGCCCCTTGTTAAGTTTTTAGGAAACTCTCAGGTTGGCAGATTCAAATTGCCCATGACGGGAGTATTTACATCACAGAAATTGGCAAGAGCTACAAATTACTTGGTTGTGTCTTGGTTTGGGTTTTGCTTTCTGGTTTGGGTGTTTCTTTAGAGTGGCCCAGTTGTTAAACATTTACCAATATACCACTGCCTGGCACCCAGTTGAATATTCTCCTACTACACCACAAACAGAAGTCACCAAGGCTACACCCAACATGCTGAAGCAGAGGCTTGTTAGCATTGGCAAAGCGATTGCTGAGGGTAGAAGATCATTATTTGCTTCATGTAAGACATATTTCCAGTGCTGCTGATTGAATGTTCAAGAAACGATTAAAGGGCTTGGCAATGTTTCTCTCAAATATCTTGTGCATGAAAAGTCTCAGAGATTGGTTAATTGTACAGGCTGCACGTCGGTCACTTTATTCAAGGGCATTTCCAGGCCCCCACGGTGCCCATCCTAGATGCAGGCATGGACTGGATCTGCTGGCAATACTGTAATGCAGGCCTTAGGTGCCTCTCCCAGGAACGTTCTGCAGCCTGAATTACACTCCCACATAGAGAAGCCCTCAGACCGACCCTGTTTACAATGTCAAACACCTGGTCTCCTTGTTTGACTCTTCCTGCCAATTGGAAGAGTCAGAACTCAAGCAGGCCTCCTTCACCTCTCTCTGGCCCTGCCATCTCCATACCCAGCCACCATCAAAGCCTGTCAAGTTATCCACCTAAATGTCTCTTGGATTATCTGAATAGGATTTAGTCCATTCTTGCATTGCTATAAAGAACTGCCTGGGACTGGGTAATTTATAAAGACAGGAGGTCTAATTGGCTTGCTTCTGCATGCTGTAGAGGAAGTATGGCTGCAAAGGCCTCAGGAAACTTACAATCGTGGCAGAAGGGGAAGGCGAAGGAGGCACGTCTTCACACAGCAAGCAGGAGAGAGAGGGGGCGCAAAGGGGGAAGTGCTATACACTTTCACATAACCATGTCTTGTGAGAACTCACTATCACGATTAAAGCAAGGAGAAATCCGCCCTCTGATCTAATCACCTCCCACTGGGCTTCACCTCCAACATTAGGGATTACAATATGACATGAGATTTGGGTGGGGACAGAGACCCAAACCATATCAGTCTACTTCAATCACCTGCCCCATCTCTGCACCGTCGTTCCTGAATCCAGCTTCCCATGATCTCAGCCCTAGACTGGCCTTTCCTTTCCATTCTTACCCAGCTCCAACCCATTTGCTACTTGTAGCCAGAATGCAAATCTGATCACATCACTCTGTACCTTTCCCTCAGTACCCTCAATGGCTGCCACTTGCTCTGAGAAAAACACCAATATTCTTGCAGTGGCTGACATGGCCCCATTGGCTCTGGCACCTCCCAGCCACACTTCACATCACTGCCTTGGCTGTGTGGTGTTTCCCCTGAATAGAGGCTTCACCCAGACTGTGCCTTCTTCCTGGAATGCCTTTCCCCACCCACACCCTCTACTGTGTCTTTGTCTGTAAGCCCTACTGCTCCTCCAGATTTGGGCTGAAGCATCAGGTTGTCAGGGAAGCCGCCCAGATCCTTCATCTGCCTCTGATGTCTTTCTTATATTCATTCATTCATTTGTTCATTCATGTTTGCTGAGTACTATGTGCCAGGCACTGTTCTAAGCCCTGGGAGTATAGAAATGAACAAATCAAGCCACAATGTGGACCACAACAGAGCTTATAGTCTAGTGGAGGAGAAAGACAAAGAACACCTAGGCAAAATATTTAGAACGGCATGACCTCACACAGCTGGGCTTTCTTCCCTCATCACAGTTGTCTCCATCTTAAATTATTCATTAATTGCTATTGATCCTTCCTGCCAAGCTGTGAGCCCCAGGAGAGCAGAGACTCAGTCTGCCTTATGAGCAACTGTATCCTGCACACACAAGTGGTGCTTGGAACATAGTAGATCCTCCATAGAGATCATAGATATTTATTGGAACCATTTGGTCTCAGGTGAATCTCCCTGAAGTCAAGTTGCTCAAGTGCTTGGGGCCTAGGAGGAAAAGTCCCCAACGGCTGAACTTCTCAGGCCCCTCTTATTTGAGAAGACGCCCAGAAGCCTCTTTGGCTGTAACTTTAAGTTAGATAAAGAGTCAGGAAACTTTTTCTTTTAGGGACTAAATAGTAAATACTTTCAGCTTCAGGGGCCAGACAGTCTCAACTCTGTTGTTATAGCACAAAAGCAGCCATAAACAATTACATAAATGAATAGGTGTGGCTATAATCCAATAAAACTATTTATAAAACCAGACTGCAGGGAGAAATTGGCTCACGGGCCATAATTTGCAACCCCTGAGTGAGATGATCCCAGATGCCCGACGGCTGATGGCAGTTGAGGAGGGATACTCCGGGCAGTCTGAGTCAGCCTCGGTTCCGCTGGCAGTGTCCAGCAACTTTCCGCAGGCCCTACAGCAATCAGTCCACAGGGAGACAATCACAGAAGCTCAAGCTTCAGGTGTCTGCAGCCACCACCTTCTTCCTGCAGCACACAACACAAGAAAGCGGTTCCCTGACACCTTGAGGGAAAGAGACATTGGCCTGAAGGCCCCGTAAGGCAAGGATGGAAGCTGCCACATTCCTTCCTTCCATTCCCCAGGCTCCTCCAGAGGCTGAGCTCATTTCCGGGCCCTGCCCAGGCATGTGGCAGGGCTGTTGATGGCTGAGCAGCTGCTGCCCTCCGCCCCAGCCCGGGCTGCGTTCAGCTAGGAGACACAGGGTCTTTGTGCCTCTGCAGCAGATCGGGTGATGCTCATTGGTGTCTTTGAAATGAGACATGACAAGTCAAAACGTGCCTGTTGTTAATGTTAGTTTTCTAGAATTTGACTTCTGTTGGCAACTGGCAGAGGAAAAACAATCACTTTTTTTCATATGTGTATATGGAGTTATATTTACTCTGATCTTTGGGGTCTGTAGCTATGGAAAACAAGAATCATCTGAGGCTCACCTGCTGGTATGGGATGAGGCAGACAGATTAGTCTAGTATTTACAGAGCCAGAGAGCATTAATTGTAGCATTAACACTGTATGTAGAACGGCCGTGGGTGTTAACTGTTAAAACAGATATAAAAACATCACACAAGCTCCAGGACGGTGCTAGGATGTGACAGTGTCCTATGGATAAGGGTACTTGGCCAGGCGCAGTGGCTCACGTCTGTTTATCCCAGCACTTGGGGAGGCCGAGGCAGGTGGATCACGAGGTCAGGAGTTCAAGACCAGCCTGGCCAAGACAGTGAAACCCCGTCTCTACTAAAAATAAAAAAGTTAGCCAGGCCTGGTGGCGGGCACCTGTAATCCCAGCTACTTGGGAGGCTGAGGCACAGAATTGCTTAAACCCTGGAGGTGGAGGTTGCAGTGAGCCGACATCGCGCCACCGCACTCCGGCTTGGGTGACAAAGCAAGACTCCGTCTCAAAGAAAAAAAGTAGGTGACAGAGCTGCAGATTCAGCTTTATCCTGAAGTTACAAAGGTGCTGAATATTAGAGCAGTGTTCCCGGAGGCCTTGGCAAGTCTAAGTAGAGTAAGTTATTGTGACGTTCTGGTTATGTCTATACCGTGAGGGAGCAACACTCATGGAATGATGATGCTCAGCTGTCACTGTTCTCCAAGGACAGCCATGCTCTTGGTAGAACACTACGTAGAGCAGGGGTTCCCAACCTCCAGGCCACAGGCCAGTACCAGTCCATGGCCTGTTAGAAATCAGGCCACACAGCAGGAGGTGAGTGGCCCGTGAGCAAGCAAAAGCTTCATCTGTATTTATAATGGCCCCCCAGCACTCGCATTACCGCCTGGGCTCTGCCTCCTGTCAGATCAGCCGTGGCACTGGATTTTCATAGGAGTTGGAATCCTGTGTGAACTGTGTGCGTGCATGGGATCTAGGTCGCCTTCTCCTTATGAGAGTCTAATGCCTGATGATCTGTCAGTGTCTCCCATCACCCCCAGATGGGACCATCTAGTGGCAGAAAAACAAGCTCAGGGCTCCCAGTAATTCTAAATTATAGTGAGTTGTAGAATTATTTCATTATATATTACAATGTAACAATACAGAAATTAAATGCATAATAAATGTAATGTGCTTGAATCATCCCAAAACCATCCCCCCAATTCTAGTCCGTGGAAAAATTGTCTTCCACGAAACCGGTCCCTGGTACCAAAATGGTTGAGGACTGCTGACAGAGAGGGTATGCAGGCCTCTATATGATCCCAGGGTTTCAGAGTCCCTTGGCTGCTGGTGCGTGATGACATTTTGTACCAACACACTGGTGTGCCAGGGCTCGTACTGACTCAGAGCTGCAGCGTGTCACTTCTCTGCATGACTCTTACACCTGAAGCAATGATCTGGGTGCTATGTCTCTCTGGGTGCCTGTCCAAAAGTACTGCCAGTAATGTGCTCAGGGAGGGGCTGCAGTCCCCTTGGTCATGCTGTTCCAAAGCACACATCAATGGAATTCAATCACAGGGAAGGAGAAAAGGCCAGTCCCTCCCTTTCCAAATAGTCCATCACTGAGAAATAAACTGCATCAATTTGATCAAACCTCAACATTTGTGAAAGCAGAGGTCCCAAACTCAAAAAGCCCTAGGGGCAAGCAGGCAAAATTAGTGAGCACAGAAGGCTGGGTAGTAGAGAGTGGTGACGATTATGGCAAGCTACGGAGGCACGTCCTGCCTAAAGAGGGCAGTAGTGACTCAGCCCTGTCAAGTACGGCCATGTTGAAGTGTGGATCTAGGGTTGCCTGACCTGACTTTTTCAGAAATGCTAGAAACCTGGATTTCTTTTTTATTAATGTACAATTTGCAAAACATTTGAGCCAAACAAACTGCATCCATGGCTAAATTTAGCCTGTGGCTGCTACTTGGCAACCTCTGCCCAGAAGCCAGAGTTGCAGGTTTGGGATAGATGAGTTCCATTACCACCAAGCAGATGTCTCGAGGTTCAACTTGCTAAGCCAGAGGGTGACACATTCACCTCCACAGACCCTGGCTCAGTCAGCACTTCAAGTTAGAAATGTCCTTTCTTCTCCTCTCCTGCCTTCCCCCAAGCTGCCTCTCTCAGCAGAGAAAGATGACTTTCCACCCTAACTCTAGAATAAGGCCACTGCTGAGTGCCTACTGCAGGAGCAAGAGATCCTACAGCCCAGCCATTCATTGTCTGTGCAGCCTGTTCATACCTGAGGAGCCAGGCCTGGGATCCCAGGTGGCTGCAGAAGAAGCGGGCTGTGGGGAATTATATTGGCAGCATCCTTCAGGAGGGTCAGATTCTCACAGGTGCATGGGTACCTGGCTGACAGCTAAATAGAAACAATGCCAAAACCACTGGTCACTTGGTTTGATTCTGTCCAGCTGATTATTGTAATTGGATGACAGGGGGATATTTCCTTCTCCTTTTCAATGAGTGATGGAAAGTGAGTGGACCTAGCTCAGGAGTCACCCTTCTGGGTGGTTATGTAAGGGGGAAGGTTATCTCCTTCCACAGGCAGAACTGTTCCTGCCTTTTGGCTACCTAAAGAATGAAATCAAGTCCAACCAAAGTCAAATGCCAGGAAATTTCAGAACTTCCTCACATTGCGTATTGCACCGTCTACAAACATCTTTGAAATTTTCCCTGCTCCAATACTCAGAGGGGATACAGAGTCAAAGAATGAATTAGAACAGAACCAACTACAATAGGGGAAAAGAAAGAAAGCAAGAAGAAAGCTAGCGAGAAAGCAAGAGAGCAAAAGAAGGAAAGCAAGAAAGAGAGAGACACAGAAATAAATACAGTGAAAAATGGCAGGATTTCTCATTTGGGGGTGATTGTGGCAATTAATGTGGAATAAGGAGAATAGTTTTGTTTTGATGGAGTTGCTGCATTGAAGTTCTTTAAAATGAGCTGTAGATTCAGAATTTTGTAATGCTGTGGATGGAGCCCTCTTCTGGAGAAATTTTTCAACAGGTATTACAAGATCAAAATGCAGAGATGTACACACTCACTCAGACGCGCACACAGAAACACTGTTGGCTACGTAGATGATATGACTGTCATTCAGGTGTAAATTAAATCCATAGTTTGTCCTTTTCCTACATTCCACTAAATATAAATTAACTAGACTCCCCAAGCAATTGTATTTTTGGAAGGAAATAAGGATGT